>NC_000008.11:75302265-75927265 GCF_000001405.40 Homo sapiens | reverse complement strand
CAGATTTTCTAGTTTATTTGCATAGAGCTATTTATAGTATTGTCTGATGGTTGGTTGTATTTCTGTGGGGTCAGTAGTGATATCCCCTTTATCATTTTTTATTTTGTCTATCTGATTTTTCTCTTTTCTTTATCAGTCTAGCTAGCAATTTACCTATTTTGTTAATTTTTCTTCCAAAACCCACCTCCTGGATTCATTGATTTTTTTGAAGGATTTTTCATGTCTCTATCTCCTTCAGTTCCACTCTGATCTTGGTTATTTCTTGTCTTCTGCTAACTTTGGGGTTTGTTTGCTCTTGGTTCTTTAGTTCTTTTAGTTGTGATGCTAGGGTATTGATTTGAGACCTTTCTAGCTTTTTAATATGAGCATTTAGTGCTATATATTTTCCTCCTAACACTGCTTTTGCTGCATCCCAGAGATTCTGGTACATTGTCTCTATCTTCTCATTGGTTTCAAAAAACTTCTTGATTTCTGCCTTCATTTCATTATTTACCCAGGAGTCAATCAGGAGCCTGTTGTTCAATTTCCATATAGTTGTGTGGTTTTGAGTGAGTTTCTTAATCTTGAGTTCTAATTTGATTGAACTACGGTCTAAAAGACTGTTTGTTATGATTTCCATTCTTTTGCATTTGCTGAGGAGTGATTTACTTCCAATTACATAATCAATTTTAGAGTAAGTGCCATGTGCCACCAAGAAGAACGTATATTCTGTTGCTTTGATATATCTATCAGGTCCACTTGATCCAGAGCTGAGTTCAAGTCCTGAATATCTTTGTTAATTTTCTGTTTCAATGATCTGCCTAATTTTGAGAGTAGGGTGTTAAAGTCTCCAACTATTAATTATTGTGTTGGAGTCTAAGTCTCTTTGTAGGTCTCTAAGAACTTGTTATATG
This sequence comes from Homo sapiens, assembly GCF_000001405.40. Classification (NCBI taxonomy): domain Eukaryota; kingdom Metazoa; phylum Chordata; class Mammalia; order Primates; family Hominidae; genus Homo; species Homo sapiens. The sequence continues at coordinate 75,926,372 of NC_000008.11, read as the reverse complement.
AATTTCGTTGCTCCTGTATTGGGTACATACATATTTAGGACAGTTAGCTCTTCTTGTTGAATTGAACCCTTTATGATTTTGTAATGCCCTTCTTTGTCTTTTTTGATCTTTATTGGTTTTAACTCTGTTTTGTAAGAAACTAGGATTGCAACCTCTGCTTTTCTCTGTTTTCCATTTGCTTGGTAAATTTCCCTCCATCCTTTTATTTTGAGTCTGTTTGTATCTTTTCATGTGAGATGGGTCTCTTGAATACAGCACACTGATGGATTTTGATTCTTTATCTAGCTTGCCACTCCGTGTCTTTTAATTGGGGCATTTAGCCTATTTACATTTATGGTTAATATTGTTATGTGTGAATTGGATCCTGACATCATGATGCTAGCCTGTTATTTTTCACACTTGCTTATGTATTTCCTTTATAGTATCACTGGTCTGTGTACTTCAGTGTGTTTTTGTAGTGGCTGGTAATGATTTTTCTTTCCATATTTAGTGCTTCCTTCAGGAGCTCTTGCAAGGCAGGCCTGGTGGCCCTCAGCATTTGCTTGTCTGAAAAAGATTTTATTTTTCCTTCACTTATGAAGCTTAGTTTGACCAGATGTAAAATTCTAGGTTCGAAATTCTTTTCTTTAAGAATGTTGTATATTGGTCCTCAATATCTTCTGGCTTGTAGGGTTTCTGATGAGAAGTCTGCTATTAGTCTGATGGGCTTCCCATGATAGGTGACCTGGCCTTTCTCTCTGGCTGCCCTAAACACATTTTCCTTTATTTCAACCTTGGACAATCTGATGATTATGTGTCTTGTGGTTGATCTTCTCTTGGAGTATTTTCCTGGGATTCTCTGGATTTCCTGAATTTGAATGTTGGCCTGTCTTGCCAGGTTGGGGAAGTTCTCCTGGGTGATATCCTAAGTGTGCTTTCCAATGTGGTTCCATCTTCCCCAACTCTTTCAGGTACACCTATCAGTCATAGGTCAGTCTTTTAACATAATCCCATAATTCTCACAGGCTTTGTTGGTTCCTTTTCATTCTTTTTTTCTCTTATCTTGACTGCTTAACTTACTTCAGCAAGATAATCTTTAAGCTCTGATATACTTTTTTCTGCTTGGTCTATTTGGCTATCAATATTTGTGTTTGCATTATTAAGTTCTTGTGTTGTGTTTTTCAGCCCCATCAGGTCATTCATGTTCCTCTCTAAACTAGTTATTCTGGTAACAGCTCCTGTAATGTTTTATCATGGTTCTCAGCTTCTTTGCAGTGAGTTAGAACATAACCCTTTAGCTCAGTGAAGTTCGTTGTTACCCATCTTCTGAAGGCCAATTCTGTCAATTCATGCATCTCAGCCTCAGCCCAGTTCTGTGCCCTTGCTGAAGATATGTTGCAATCATTTGGAGGAGAAGAGACACTCTGGCTTTTTAAGTTTGCAGCATTTTTGCATTGATTCTTTCTCATCTTCATGGGTTTATCTACTTTTGATTTTTGATGCTGCAGACCTTTGGTTGGGGTTTTTCTGGAGTCTTTTTCATTGATGTTGTTTTTGTTGTTGCCGTCTGTTTGTCTTTCTTTTCGCTGTCAGGCCCCTCTTCTGTAGGGCTGCTGTGGTTTGCTCGGGATCTACTCCAGACCCTATTTGCCTGGGTTCCTCTCACCCCTGGAAGTATCACCAGTGGAGGCTGCAGACCAGCAAAGATGGCAGCCTGCTTCTTCCTCTAGAAGCTCTGTCTCAGAGGGGCACCAACCTGATGGTGGCCAAAACACTCTTATATGAAGTGTCTGGAGACTTCTGTCGGGAGGTCTTGTGTAAGATCACACTCAGGAGGAGCAAGATCAGGGACCCGCTTAAAAAAGCAGTCTGGCTGCCCCATGGTAAGGTGAGTGTGCTACGCTGGGGGGAATCCCCTTAGTCTGGGCTGCCGTGATTCTCCAGAGCCAGTAGGCAGAAAAGATTGTTGATCCACAATACCACAGCTGCCCCTCCCCCTAGGGACTCTTCTCAGGGCTATCAGAGTTCTGTCCATAAACCCCTGGTTGGGGATGCTGAAATTCCCACACGGAGGTCCCACCTGGTGTGGAGGAGTATATCGGTGTCCTGCTTAAATATGCAGTCTGGTCACGAAGTGATCCAGCCACTGTGCTGTGCTGTGGGGAACTGCTCTTGGTCCAGACTGCCCCATCTCACTGGCACTGACGGCAGGGCAAAACTGGCCAACCGGAGCCGCAATGATGGTGGCTGCCCCTCCCCCCGGGAACTTGGTCTTCTTAGGCATTCTCTAGCCTGCTGCGCTGGCCAGCTGGGATTCTAAGCCACTGGGTTTTAGCTTGTGAGTTTCTGTGGGAATGAGGCCACTTGGCTCCCTGGCTCTAGCCCCCTCCGCATGGGAGTAGAAGGATCTCCTGCCTCATGGGAGTTTCCAGAATTGGAATATGCAAATGCTCCTGTTTCTCAGTGCCTACTCTAGTGGCTGCTCACCCTAGCCGTCACCATAATTCTCCATAGCTTTGTGCTTGGGACCCAAGGCTCTGGTGGTGTGGACTCAGGAGGGGACCTCCTGATCCACAGGTTGCAAGGATCCATGGGAAAAGCATGGTTTTCAGGGAGGGTAGGCACAATCCTTTACCACCTCCCTTGGCTGGGCAAGGCAGTTCCCTTTGCCCTGTGCACCTCCCAATGACTCCCAAAAATGCAGAATCACTTGCAGTTTTTGTCCTTCTCTGTAGGAGTCTCAGAGCAGAGCTCTTTCTATTCAGCCATCTTGGCTGCTCCCTTCCTCTACTTCTTTCAAAGTATTTTTTAGACTTTTGTTCTTTTATACAAATTTGAGCATTAGTTTGTCAAGTTCCTAGAATTAGACTTAATCTATAGATAAATTAGGAAACCATAGCTTTATAAAAATGACTTTTCCTATGATTAAATATATTTCTCTCCTTTAAAGAATTGCTTAGAATCTTACAAAGCTTTATAATTTTATCAATGTATTATTGTCCTAAATATAAGGGATAAATAAAAGTTCTAAAAGAAAACATGAGAATTTTTTTGTGACTTTAGGTTAGGCAAAGATTTCATAGATATTATACTACAAGTACAATCCTCAGAGAGAAAATATTGATATATTGGCCTTCAGAAACACTTATAAACTTTTGCTAATAAGTAGTCACCATTGAAAAAAATGAAAAAAATAGGTTACAGACTGGAGTAACATACTGGCAAAATGTATGTCTGAGAAAAGTTCTATCCTGAAGATAGAAAGGAATCTTGTAACATTAACAAACTAACAGAAAATAAATAGATATTGCACCAGTGAAGATATATACATTGTTAATAAGCATATGAAAATGTGTTCAATGTAATTATTCATTAGAGAAATTCAAATTGAAACCACAGTAAAATATCACTACAGACTCACTAGAATAGCTTCAATCATAGATATTGAAAATTACCAAGTTTTGCCAAGGATGTGTGAAATGGAACTCTCATATATTCATGGTAAGAGTGTAAAATAAAATTGCCATTTTGGAAAATAGTTTCTTAAAATTTTAAACATATATTTACTGTATGATCCAGCAATTCTATTTTTATGTGTCTACACCCCCCAAAAATAAAACATAAGTCCAAAAATGACTTGTATGTGAATGTGTATGTTTCATAATAGCCAAAAACATGAAACAACAAATGTCCATTAACTGATGAATAGAGAAATAAAGTGTATTATACCTAATAAACTGAGTAACATTCAACAATATAAAGAAAAGTACTATTGATATCTGCAGCAATATAGATGTACTTCAAAAACATAATACATAGGGAAAGAAGCAAGACACAAATCATTATATATTTTTAAATTTGATTTTTATGGAATTCTTAGAAGTAAAACTATAGATACAGAAAGCAGATTAATGGTAGCCGAAGGTGCAAGTGAGGTTTGGCCCTTTTTGTAGTGATAGAAATGTTCTAAACAGAGATTGTGTGGATGTTGTGTAACTGTACAAATTTACTTAAAATCAATCAATACATTTATGATGTATCTGTTTTGTAGTAAGTACATTTCACCTTTAAAAAATATTATATAGTTAAATTTAAGTGTCTTAAAATCACTGCCAAATATATTTCTTTTCAGAATTCAGATGGTAAATTTAACTTCTATTCTGGTTTTGACCCACAGTGTTATTATAAACCAAAAATCAAAATATGGTCTTCCTTATCTCCTGTTTTCTTTCAATATCCTGTTTTATTGGTGTGGTGGTGATAGTTTGTTTGTTGTTTTGCTTTATGACTCAACATTCTGTCCTTCATCTGGAAAACAAATTAAAACATCTTTTCCAGTTAAGCCAAGTAACTAAAATGGTCTTACACATGCTCCCACAAGATGTCATATTCCATGCCAGTCTGCAGAGAGAATATTTTATGTGCCAGAGATGGCTATTTGGCCACCAAATTTCAGGCACTTCCTTCCATAGTATAACATTATTGTGACCAAGTACACAATTTAATTTTTTTTTTTGCTTTCACTTAAGCACTAGGCACCACCTCACACTGCTAGTGTATCTAATTTTTTTAAAGCACTAGAAACTAAATCTTGAAATAATACAGGCACCTGTGGAACTCCCCCCCCTTCGCCCACCACCAGGAGATTGCTTTAAGGCTATACCAGCCCATTCATCAGATGAAGCAATAACTCAAGACAGAGAGTTTTAATTTTAGTATCTGACTTAAGAATCACAAAGTAAATGCTCAGTCAGTGTGACTGAAGTGCAAATTAGTGAAATAGTTATCAAATTTTGAATCTCATTTCATTACAGTTCAAATAATTGATGCAAAATGCAATATTTTGTTGATGCTATAGAGAAACCCATATATTGTAAGTTTCAGTTTTTTCTTACATATATTTTACTCATGTACTAATTAATAATCTAAAAAATTCTGATTGTGGAAGGAAATTAATCAATCTATTACATGCTTATTTACAAAGACACAAACACTTATAGCATAGTTTTCCCTTAAGGAAATGGAGAAAAACTCTAAGCACAAAAAGAAAACTGGCAACACATATAAACATTTCAATTTCAATTGAATATTACTGACAGTTATTGTTATATGGTTTTACATAATGTAGACATTTATGTACATTAGAATGAAGGATGCTATCCTGACAATTAAGACAATGTGTTTCAAGGTGGGGGGGTAATTAGGCACTGTAATGTGCCCAAAGTAATATTAAGCTAAAACTAAAATGATCAACTGGATTTAGTTAATGCTCTTGGTAAGTTAAATTTTTATTGTATTCCAGAGAAGGAAAGGTGTTGAAAAATCCTGGAAGGCAAAGGGGTAACAGGGGTTATTGGTGTATAAGAACCTTAATAGAATTGGACTCAGAACACATGGGGAGTCTCTTCTGTCCATCAACAATTTGCTTTACACAAAAATAAATTAATTCATTACAATCGTATTTAAGCCTTGCTGGCTATACTATCTTGTTTAGAAAGATGAGAAAGAGATTTCCTTGATGCAGACTGAAAGGCTTGAAGCAGATTGAAGAATGAGAAAAAGACATAACCAAGAAAAGGGCAAAAATGGAGGAAGAGAAATGAGTAAGGAGAAAATGAAAGACAAGAAAAGAAGTAATGAAACACAAGAAAAGAAGTAATGAAAGAAGAGGGGAAAAAGAGGAGGAAAAGAGGAGTAAGAAATGAAAAGAAAATAAGAGAATAAGAAAGGCATATGGGAAAGGCGAAGGAAGATGAGGGGAAAAATGGGGAGGGAAGGCAAGAAGAAAGTAAAGAAAGTAGATGCTCGCAAAGCAATAAAGCAATGTTTAAATTTCTCTTTTTTTCATTCCTATTCATCTCATAAATAAATCAATAGACAAAATGCTGTATCTTGTATAGATTCCAAAGGCTAACAAAATCTTCTAAACAATGAATATGTAAGCTTAGAAAAATTTGTTTTTAACATATATGTTTGAATTATTAGGAAAATGTCTAAAAATGCACTGGCAATTATTAGAACCTCTTGTGACATGCATTGAATTTTTTTTCTATCCATCCACCCTTTTTCAAGCAAAAGGTGGAATTTTTTTCTAGGAACCACATTGCTCCTTGATTCCCACAATTTGTCTATGAGCTTTTCAGGCCACAGAAAATCATAACACTCAATTCCCCTGACCATAGCAATCGGTTTATAGTAAATTTCAATACAATTAATCTCAGGATATATTCTGAACAAAATCTCTTGCTCTCTGATACAGCCCTAAGAGTTGCTAGCAGCCCTTCTGAGGCCACTAGTGAATGAGGTTTTGTGAGGATGGAGTTAATACAGAGGAAGCAGACCCAACAGACAGGAGGAAAACCCAGTCCTAAATTGTTTAATCCAGTCCTGAAGCTAGGTCTACTCTTCAATCATTCTGTTACAGATTAATTCATTCCTTTCATTCATTCCATTTTTCTTTCCCCCTTAGGCAAATTACATTTGGTTTTTGTCACTTATGACCAAAAAAAAAAAAAGAAAAAGAAAAATCTGAAAAAAAAATTTAAAATTCAATGAACATAGATTTTTTTCATGAGTAATGTTTCTCTTGTATTTTCATTTGTATATTAGTCTTCTTAGTATGCTCTATGAAAGAAGCCTCCTAAAATTATTAAGTTTTTATAGGATATTTGTGAATCAGGATTTCATAAGAAGAGCAATTTAGTTTTATGTTTAAGAGAAGTAAATTTAGGAAAAGGAATTAGCCAAAACTCAAAATATATCACAAGTAGGTCATTATTAAAAGAAAAAAAAATAGTAATTCTGTTCAACACTAAGAATATCATGAAGAAGCTAGGATGTAAAATTTATATTAAAATGAAATTTATAATTTGAAATTGTTCCCTTAACATTCAAGTAGCCACAATATCATAAGAATGAACAGCTAACCATGATTTTGGCTTTAATCTAATTTCAAAATATATGTTCCTGATTTCAATGGTAAATAAAATATAGTTTTGCAAAATGCAAAAATATGGAGTAATGACATTCTACCATTAAAATTATATATTTTTTTGACTACAACTAACTTATCAAACAACTTTTTCCCATGCTGATTTCCACAAAGATATAAATTATTTTAAAACCGTATATTAAGGGGAGCTGATTTATTTCCAGTTGAATTCCTCAGTACTTCATTCATCCAAAATACTTTGTTGTCAAATGAATCAACTTTGCGATAAGCTTCAGTGGGTCTTAGGCATAGCTTTTTCTTTAGAAAATTCTATGTCCTATAATTATATTTTTTAAGTATTATATAATTGGAAATTTTAAAATACACTGTAATTGTAATAGAAGAGCCAGGTTACATAAAAATATATATTCAAATGAAGAATCAAATGTCTGCTTGGAAGATAAATTATCCTAAGGAAGTAAATAATTTAGTTTTTAAAATGTATTAGTGATAGAAAACCTACAGAAAAGAGAAAAATTCCTGAGCACACACACCCTGACAAAATTGAATCAGTAAGAAATAGAGGACCTGAACAGAGTAATAGCAAGTCATGAGATAGAATCAGTAATAGTCTCCTAACAAAGAAAATCCAGGACTGAATGGGCTTACTGAAGAATTATGCAAATTATATCAAACTTACAAAGAAGAACTAACACCAATTATCTTCAAACTATTACAAAAAATTAAAGATGAGAGAATTCTCTGTAACTCATTCTACAGAGCTGGCTTTGTAGAATGAGTTACTAAAACCAAACAAAGAAATAACAAGAAAAGATAACTAAATAATAATAAACAAACAAAAAATGCCAAAAACTACAGGCCAATATCCCTGATGAACATAGATGCAAAAAATCCTCAATAAAATACTATCAAACCAAACCTAACAACATATCAAAAAATAATAATAATGCATTATGGCCAAGTGGGATTTTTCTCAGGGATGCAAGCTGGTTCAACATATGCAAATCAATAAATGCAATACCTCACATCAACAGTATAAAGGACAAAAACAACATGATCATCTCAATAGATGAAGATAAAGCATTGATAAAATTCAGCATTTCTTCAGGATAAAAACGCTCAACAAATTAGGAATAGAAGGAGCATACTTCAATTTAATAAAGGTTGTATATGACAAACCAACAGTTAACATCCTACTGAATGCTGAAAGCCTTTCCTCTATGAACTGGGACAACACAAGGATACCCACTTTCACCACTCCTATTCAACATAGTACTGGAAGTCCTAGCCAGAGTTATCAGGCAAGAGAAAGAAATAAAAGGCGTCTATATTAGACTTTTCTTACATTGCTATAACAAAACACATGAAACTGGGTAATTTATTTAAACAAAATGGGTTTAATTGGCTGATGGTTCTGCCAACTTTGCAGGAAGCATGGTAATAGCATCTGCTCAGCTTCTAAGGAGGCCTTGAGAAGCTTACAATCATGACAAAAGGTAAAGCGGAAGCAGGCATATCACACGGCAAAAGCAAGAGAGAGAGAGAGAGAGGCAAAGGGAAGTGACACACACTTTTAAATAATCAGATCTCATGAGGACTTATTCACTATTGTGGAGAGAGCACCAAACCATGAGGAATCTGCCCCCATGACCCAAACACCTCCCCCCAGGCCCCATATCCAGCATCGGAGATTACAATTTAGCATGCGATTTGGGCAGGGACAAATATTAAATCTATATCAGCATCTAAATCAGAAAAAATTAGAGTAAAATTATCTCTTTTTGCAGAGGACATGATTTTATATTTGTAATTACATAAAGATTCCACCAATAAACTCATATTTGATAAATAAATTCAGTAAAGTTGCAGAATCTAACATCAACATACAAAAATTAATAGCATTTCTATACACTAATAATGAAGTAGCCAAAAAGAAATCAAGAAAGCAATCCATTTACAGTAACTACAAGAAGAAAAATATGTAGGATTAAATTTAAACAAGAAGGTAAAAGATACCTATGAGGGAAACTACAAAACACTGATGAAAGAAACTGAAGAGGACACAAACAAATGAAAAGACATCCCATGTTCATGGATCAGAAGAATTAATATTATAGAAATGACCATACTACCTAGAGCAATCTATGGATTCAATGCAATTCCTATAAACATACCAATTCATTTTTTACACACTTAGAAAAAACAATCTTAAAATTTATATAGAACCAAAAGAGCCCAAATAGCCAAAGCAATCAGGAGCAAAATAAATAAACCTGCAGACATCACACTACCTAACTTCAAAATATATTACAAGGCTGTAGTAATCAAAACAGCATGGTATTGTTATAAAAACAGACACATAGATCATTAGAACAGAAATAGAGAACCAAGAAATAAATCCATGTATTTATAGCCAGCTAATTTTTTACAAAGGTGCCAAGAAAAAACACTGGGGAAAGGACACTCTTTAATAAATGCTGCTGGGAAAATTGGATATCCATGTCCAGCAGAATGAGACTAGACCCCTATCTCTCACCATATACAAAAATCAACTCAAGAAGAATTTAAAGCTTAAGTATAAAGCCTGAAACTATAAAACTACTAGAAGAAAACACATAAATACTATTCATACATGAATTTAGGACATTGGTCTAGACAAGGATTTTATGGCTAAGACTGCAAAAGCACAGGCAACAAAAACAAAGGTAGGCAAATAAGACTATATTAAACTAAAAAGCTTCTACATGGCAAAGGAAATAATTAAATGAGTGGAGGAACAACCAGTTGAATGGAAGAAAATATTTGCCAACTATTCTTCTAAAAAGGGACTAATATTCAGAATATTAGAAACACAAACAATTCAACAGCAAAAACAAACAAATGATAATTCCATTAAAAAGTGGGCAAACGACATGAATAGACATTCCTCAAAAGAAAACATATAAATCATCAACACGTATATGATATGAAAAATATGTTCAACATCACTAATTATCAGAGAAATGCAAATTACACTCATAATGAGATATCATCTTACCCTAGTTAGAACAGCTACTATTTAAAAGACAAAACAAAAACAAAACAAAACAACAACAACAACAAAAAAAACACATTGATGAAGATACAGAGCAAAAGGAACTCTTATACACTATTAGTGGGGATGTCAATTAGTACAACCACTATGGAAAACAGTATGGAAAATCAGCTGTTAACTAAAACTAGAACTACCATACAATCCAACGATCCTACTACTGAGTATTTATCCAAAGAAAAGAAAATCAGTATGTCAAAGGGACACCTGCACTACCATGTTTATTGCAGCACTATTCACAATGGCAAAATTATGGAATCAACCTAAGTGTCCATCAGTGGACAAATGGATAAAGAAAATTATATATATATATACACACACACACACACACACACACACACACACACACACACACAACAGAATACTATTCTGCCATAAAAAGAATGAAATAATGTCATCTGCAGCAACATGGGTGGAATTGGAGGTTATTATGTTAAGTGAAATAAGCTAGGCACAGAAAGACAGATGCAGCATGTTCTGCCTTTTATGTGAGAGCTTAAAAATTTGATCTCATGCAGGTAGAGTCTAATGAAAGATACCAGAGGGTGGCAAGGATATGTGAGTGGAGGTGGTGGTGAAAAGGGGTTGGTTGATAGGTACGAACATACAGTTAGATGGAAGGAATAAGTTATATTTGACAGCAGAGAAGGGTGACTATAGTTAACAATATGTATTATGTATTTCAAAATATCTAAAAAAGAAGACTTGAAATGTGCCCAACACATAGAAAAGATAATTACTCAAGGTGATGGATACCCTAAAAACCCTGACTTAATCATTATACATTCTGTATATGTAAGAAAATATCACAAGTACCCCATAAGTATATCCAAATATTATGTATCAATTTTTTAAAAGGCTAGAAAAAGTATTAGTGCATTTATTAAATCTATATTAGCTAAAGACTGGAAATAACTCAAAGGTCCATCAGTAGAAGGTTGTATAAATAAACTATGGTATATCTCCAATGGAAAAGAGTGCTATGCAGGCTTAAAAAAGAATGAGGAATATCTTTATACACTGTTATGGTATGTTTTTCAGGATATTAGAGTACATAGTAGCTAAGATAGATTGAAATATATCAAAACATTTTAATCTATAAGTTCACAATGTTATTAAAAACACAAGTACACTTTGTTTTATGTTTGGGGTGTTCTTAAGGAAACAGCTATTCTGAAATGTGGTGAGGGGACAGAATCTTGTAGGCATCCTACATCTCCATACTCATATGTATGACTAATACCTTTGGGTAACCAAATAGTTGATGAGAGGAAATTTCTGTCTTAGGAATATTTCAGCTAATAAAGACCAAGTGATGGAATTAGAATATCATCAATTTGTTACCCCTAATAAAATATTGAATCTGGGTCATGACTGTCAAGAGATGCTAAAACCATTACGTAAAAAGCTAAAGAAGGGCTTTATAGTAGATAGATTAGGCCAGCAACTGAACCCACTGACCTACTGACTGATTAATCATTTAAGGCTGCTGGACATTCCACCTGGGAAGTGCGATGTGTTGTTGCCAAAAACTAAGGGGTGGGAAGGGAGGGATAAAGAGAGACAGAGAAGGAGAGAGAATAAACTAAAAGATATTTAAGAGATTATTGACTAGTTGCAATGGGTAGAATTTATTTGGATTCTGATTCAATAAACCACCTAAAAATAATTAAAAGGAAATGAGGAATATTTGAATATGGACTGAATATTTGATATAAAAACATTATTGAAAGATGTTCAAATTAAGAGAAGTGATACATTATGGATAACATTTCTATAATATCAGTGATTTTACTTCAACTAATCTATTGGTGGAATGATGAAATGGTTTGAAACAATATTACCACGAATTGACCATTGTTAAAGTGTGGCACAAATGCATAGAGGGCTACACAAAATGAAGCCTTGCTCCTCTAAAACTTCAAAGTCTTCTAGCAGTGAATGAACGTTGGCAGAGCCTCGAGGCAGCATCTGGTAGATGCAGTGATGGCCAAGGCAGTTGAAGTACTTGAAAGGGCAGCAATATCAAAAACTAAAGCTGGGCCAGGTGCGGTGGCTCTCGCATGTAATTCCAGCTACTCAGGAGGCTGAGTTAGGGGAATCACTTGAACTTGGGAGGCAGAGGTTGCAGTGAGCCAAGAGGGCACCACTGAACTCCAGCCTCGGTGACGGCAACAGAGCGAAACACTGTCTCAAAACAAAACAAAACAAAACAAAACAAAAACAAGCTAAAGCTGATAGTGTTTCATGAAATGACGCCCTTGGAAGGGCCAGCATAGATCTATAGAATCCTCTTTGATGAAGTTACCTCAGAAGGTTTCATAGACATCAGAGATATTGGCACAAGACCTCACTAAATGTGGCCAGAAGAGACCAAGATCAGGAAAATGATAAGACATCGTGGGCTAATATATGAATACTTGTCAGATACTTCTAAGAAAGCTGAGAGATATGATTGAAAGTTGAAGGGAGCCTGGAAGCCTTAACTATATTGAGCATTAGAAGTGCATTTAATGGTCCTCCTCCCCCACAAAGATATGCCTATATCATGATCCCCAGAACTGGTGAATGATACCATATTTGGAAAAAGAATTATTTTGCAAATGTAATTAAGTTAGGGGTCTTGAGCTGTAGAGATTATCTTGGATCATCTGGGTGATCACTAAATCCAGTGGAAAGTGTCCTCATAAGAGACAGAAGAGAAGAACACAGACAGAAGAGGAAGAGGGGATGGGACCATGGAGGCCGATAGAAGGGATGCTGATAGAGTCAAGGATTGCCAACAGCCAATAAGAGCTATAAGAGACAAATAGATTCTCCCCTACAGCTTTCAGTAAAAGGAGAGTGGCATGTTATCCTTGCATGTAGCTCTTTTAAGTTACCTGCTGAACAGAATTTTTTTTTCAATCTAGAGAGACAGAAAGACAGCAGAGTCATTTATGAGCTCCTGTCTAGCTGAGACATACTGATCCAGGGTATCCTTTGCAAAAGTTTTCTTATCAGCATTTGTAGCCTAAATTATGTATCTGCAAGGATTTGAGCTTGGCCATCAATATGTATTCTTCTCTCTCAACACTTCTATGTAAAATATGCTATTTTTAGAAGGAAATGCTTTGTCTCATATTGAGAAACACTGAGATTCAGGGAGGTAAAGGACTTGTGCAACTTTACCCAATTGCAGAGCTGGGATTCCACCGAAGGTCTGTAGACTCTGTATCAGGAAGGCCACTGGTTTCTTTCTTTCCTTCTCCTTCTCCTCGTCTGTTTCTCTTGCCTTCTTTTTTCTTTCTTTCTTTTTTTTTTTTTTTTTTTTTTGAGACAGCTTCTCATTCTGTTACCCAGGCTGAAGTGCAGTGGCATGAACATGGCTCACTGCAGCCTCAACCTCCTAGGCTCAAGCAATACTGCCACCTAAGCCTTCTGTGTAGCTGGGACCATGGGCATGTACCACCACACTGGGTTAACTTTTTGTATGTTTTGTAGAGATTGGGGTTTTGCCATGTTGCCCAGGCTGTTCTGGAACTCCTGAGCTCCAGCGATCTGCCCACTTCACCCTCCCAAAATGCTGGGATTACAGGTGTGAATCACCATGCCCAGACCCTTCCTCTTTCTTCTTAAGTTTCCTCTTTATGTGTTTAATTTGAACTGGCTTCAGTTGGATAAATATACTAATGTAGGCATATTTTGTCCTTGACTCTGCATATCCTCAAGAATGAAAATTATGTGCTATTTCTTGAAGTAAGTTCTGCGTGTTCCACCTTGAGTGGGTCTTAAACCACATTAGGTATTTGAACAAGGATTCTCAAGGAACTCTTTCCTTATATATTTTCTTTTCTTTTTTTCTATCTTTTTTCTTTTCTCTTTTTTTTGGAGACAGGGTTTCATTCTGTTGCCTGGGCTGGAATGCAGTGGCATGATCATAGCTCACTTCAGCCTTGATCTCCTAGGCTCAAGCAACCCTCTTTCCTCAGCCTCCTGAGTAGCTAGGACTACAGGCATGTGCCACCAACCCTGAATAACTTTCTTTTTTTAAAAAAAATTTTTAGTAGAGATGAGATCTCACTATGTTTCCCAGGCTGGTCTCCTGAGCTCAAGCAATCTCAGAGCTCAAGCCAGACTCAGTCTCCCAAAGTACTGGGATTACAGGTTTGAGCCACCGTGCCTGTTCCCCTTATAATATTTTATTCACAGAGAAATAAACATGAAATCCTAAGTCCCCGAACTGACTAAACGGACCCTCTCTTGGCCAAGGACACCCTAAAAAAAAACCTTGAAGACTGAATTCCTGGCCATGATAGGATGGGAGGTTGGATACAACTTCAATCCCTCCCTCACTAATCACCATTAGGCTTTCTTTCCTAAGGTTTAAACAGAAACAAATCCTTTGGAAAGACTCACTTCACACTTAATATCAACCAACTCTGACACTGCTTGCCCTTCTGCATTTTTAACAAAACAACCAACCAGCATTCCTTCTTGATAAAAGAACACTGATCACAGAGTGGTCTGCTCAGTCTATGAAGGGTGCACAGAGGACATGAAAACTCTTCTCTGTGTAGCCTTGGATCATGCTAACAGTGACATTTTTTTTAACATGGATGCCATGGAGAGACATAAAGCTCAATTTGCATGCACACATTTCTCCTTTCAAAATATTCACGACTCCTCCTATACCTAATTGAGTATGTACATCTGGCCACCCACTTTAGCACACATATCCCTTATTCTTTTCACCTTCTAAGTGCCTGTTTCTGGCTTCTGACCGGAAGCTACACTTCCCAGCCTGTCAGAATGTCCACCCCGAAGGCTGCAACACTTTATGAGAAGTAAAGGTCTCCTTTCCAAATTTATGAAGCTCGTCATTCTTCAGTCAACACCACATTTTCCTTAAAAAGGAACAGAAAACAAAATAAAAGAAAGAGAAGCTAAAACCTAAAGAACTGAGAGTCTAAATCCACAAACTTGAAATGGCTCATGCTTGGACAAATAACATAAACTAAAAGAGGTTACCAAAGTAAAATTCTCTTTTCCTCATTTGATGAAAGGATTATTTTTAAGTAACCAAAATGTTTTTATGACTCAGTAGCATGTTGTTTCTTTTGTTTCTTCCAGAAGGCAGAATTATCAAGAGCAGAAAAAAAATGATTTGGGTTGAGAAACCATAATAAATGTATTCTATTTCATTTGCATGTAACGTCTCAACTGATTGGAATTAGCATTAGGTTAAAATATTTATCACACTTATTCAGGATAAATTGCATCAATATAATTTATTATTTAAGAACAAATGGGAATAATCTGTATTGGTGAACGTAAGATTGCACCTCATACTATTCTTGACAAAGGCAGGTTTAAGGAAGTGTTAAACTACTTGGTTTATAATTTATAAAATACAAAAATGTAACTGTAAATATTTTAACATCTTTATGAAAAAAGAATTAAAAGGTGTGACGACCAACCCAAGGAGTGGGGAGAGCGTGCCCCAAAGACATTTCAACAGAAAAGTCTGCCTGTGAAGCATTCTAGGGAGTACTGAATTAATCAGACTGTCTCCCTGTGGGTCCTTTCACAGTTCTATTGCAAATGAGGAAAGTAATTTACATCTACACAGATTCTTCAATAAATAACTTCCACCACTGAGTAACATGGCTTAGTTTTTTTCACCCTAACTTCTGTGACTAAGAACTTATCTACTAAGAACTTAAAATGAAATAATATTTAGAATTAGAATACTTAAATGTTTAAACTTCCATTTTCTTAGGTTTACTAGCTTTATCTTACCATTGGTGAAATCTGCATTCATAATAGTGATCTCTTGTACTGTCATCATGAAGGATGCTGCCAATATTTCCACTGACATCTTTTCTGTGACTGTTTTGACATCATCCTAGATATTACTTTCCCATCATCTTGACATCATAGCATAGCCTCCCCAGACTGGTGGTGATATTGCTTTGCATTGTTTTAACATCACAATCTGGTCTGTGTAGATTTGTATTGACCTCATTTGGCCATCAATTTGACATTGTAATTTAGTCTCCATGGAAACATGAAACCATTTTGTCATTATAATTTGTCATTATAATATGGTGTCCATGGGCTTATCAAAATTGTTTTCATATAGCAATTTGACATTACAACACAATCTCTATAGGCTCCCCCTTGGAATGTTATGATGATGGTAAATTGCATTCAAATGAGTGGGAATAGAATTATGATAAGCATGAAAAAATATCCATTGTATGTACTCAGAAGACATTTTTCAATCTTAAGTATGTGCATAACTTAAGGGTTTTTTTTTTCTTTTAAAATCATGGTGGTAGCCGGCGTTTTGTGTTAAGTATTAAATTTTATGCAGTTTAAATTTCTAAATTCTTGAAATAAAAAAAAAAAATGTTATTTCTGCAGAGTAAATTTTCTCCTGTTGGCAACAACCAGAATGCACAACTGTCTTTGCTTATTTTCTTCAGTTTTCTACATACAGTAACACTAAAACCTGTCTTTGCTCTGACATAGTAATAAATAAAGAAGAACCTTCTCTAAGCTAACCCTCAAATTTTCATTTCTAAGCGCCTTCCTCTTTTTGAGATTTTAAAATATGATTTTATTATTCTCTAAAAACGTCTCGACATTATCTTTCATGATAATTTTCAGAGTTTCTTGGTAACCAATACATATGCAAACTACTCACATTATCTTCAATAGAAATGGGACATTGATTGGATCAGAGAAACAAATCGCAGGAAAAAATGGTAGAATTGGCTGTAAGGGTGCTAACACTAAAGGAATTGAATGCTTCTTGGCTCTGTCTAGTTCTCACATCCACTCCTTTCTGAGTATCAGTTTATACTCTCTATTCTAATCTAAGTAGAATAGGAAAGCGGCAAATGAATGGCTGACAGCAGTTTAGAACTTCAGATCCTATAGGCTCTATGACCAAAGAGGACTAAAATACATTTAGAAATCACCTTCCCCAAGCACCCCAGTATGAAAAACTTCAGAAAAGGAACTTCTTATCCAGCCTTTGTTACTTGCTTACTTCTAGAATAACCACTGTGGTCAGGGATGAAAGATAAAATGGGCCCAATTTGAGTGACCTATTACTCCCATACTCTAGTATAAGAGTGTTATGATCTGAAAAATAATCTATCGCAACCAACAATATGATTTACATGTTGCTTTAAACTTTTTCCCAGTGATTTCAATTCTTACCTCTAGTGTTCACAATTAACCTTGTTCTTTCATTCCATTTTTCATACATTTCAATAGGCTTCATTATAATCTGTCTTCCTATTATTGAGTCTTTGGCCTTAGTTTTCAGATGCATTCTGACCAACCTTTATGTATAGGATAGCAACCATCTAGCCAAAGATAAAGATTGTTATGAGAAGAACATGGTGCTCTCTAGATCTGAAATATTTTTGGCAATTTTATTTCTCATTTTCCTTTTACTTATAAATTTAAAACTTATATAGCATCTTTTTCTATAGAATATATTTGGAAAATAAAACATTAAAGAACCAGCATTGCTCTAAACAAAAATGTATAATTAAACAATATAACTTACGTAAAGTCTTCTTAACTAATTTTAAATAGATTCCAATTTTACCCTCACCACTCTTGTAGAGAAAATCTTACAATATTCATTTTATATATGACTAAACTAATGTCCACAGAGATTAAGTAGCTTGTTCAAACACTCACAAGTGTGTTAGCTCCTGACTTTTGGGCATTCAGACTCAGACTAGGATTTATATCACCCCTTGACTTTCAGGCAGGCTGACTCAAATTGAATTACATCAGTAGCTTTCCTGGATCTTCTGCTTGCAGACAGCAGATGATGGGGCTTCTCAGCCTCCGTAATCATGTGAGGCAATTTCCATTACATATATACGTATGTATATATACACACTATTGTTTCTGTTTCTCTGGAAAATCCTACAAGGATCTATAGATCTGGGGGAATTTCTCTCTTCTTGAGGTTCTCATAATATCCTGTTTCATGGGTCTTAAGAAAATCCCAAACCACTTTTCTTCTGCTCTCACACCACAGCAATCATCAACACAGAAGACTTCTGTGACCAAGAACACCATGACCAAATGAGCAATCAATTCTGCAGCAGATACCAACTGGGTGTCCTCCAATCCAATTCCAACACTATCTACCTAGAGATAGTGTCAGATCCCACATATTGGGAGCTCAGTCCCCAAACTGCTCTCCCCTCAGACACCAGTCACAAGTTTTGGCCTCTGGAACTTCTGACCAATCAGCTTTAAGTTGGGGTTCCCATAACCCCCACTTTGGGTTCAATTAATTTGCTGGAGTGGCTCAGAGAACTCAGGGAAACACATTTACTGGTTTATGATAAAGGATATTACAAAAGATACAATTAAAGAGATGCATAGGGTGAGGTGTGGGAAAGGATGTGGAGCTTCCATGCCCTCCCTGGGTGTACCATTCTCCAGGAATCTCTATGTGTTCAGCTATTTGGAAGCTCTCTGAACCCTATGTTTTTGGGTGTTTATGAAAGCTTCATTATGAAAGCGTGACTGATTAAATCATTGGCCACTGGTGATCAACCTGGCTCTAGCCCCTCTTCCCTCCCTGAAGGTTGAGGGGTGGGGCTGAGTGTCTCAATCAGCTAATCACGCCTTTGTCTTTCTATTGTCTAGCCCCACCCTGAAGCTATGTCATCACTTAGCATACAAAAAAGACAGCACTTTGGAGATTCCAAGGATTTTAGGAGTTAATATATTGCACAGTATCACATTGAGCTTGCCAGGAAGTGACATTCCTTACTCGCCTATAAGCCTGGAAACGCTGTAAGTCAGGTGATAGGTCAGTTTTTCCAACACAGCTTTGCAAGCATTGGCTCCATAAAGTCAACTTTGGTTCCTTAAAACCGTCTGCTCATATATAATTCTATGCATCATGCTCAAATATGACATTCCAGTCAAAGCCTTGGTAATGTAACCAATGTTTGCAATTGTGTTCTGTTGTAAAGAAAAAAGATTCTTATTTAACTTAAGCAAATAATTATGTTGCCATGAAAATAAGAATAATCAATAATAGTTTCTAAATTCTGGAGGTATCAGGGCAGGGGACAAATATAAGTATTTTATTTCTGTTAACAAAAGTATAATCTACTAAATTGCCACAAGTATAGATAACTTAAAAGAAAGGGGAAAGGGAGTTCTTATATCTGAAAAATAGAACATAAAACATCCAGCAAAATTCTAAAGAAAATCTGTAATCATCCTTTACCAGTCAGTCCACTGAATCTCATGTAATTAATTCTTATTCTGCTTAATTTTAGATTAGATGTTTAATGAAGCTATCAGCTTCTACCCTTGAGTTCTGGAAACTCTTACTCAATCCAGTAGCATTGTTTGGGGTGCAATAAATATTCTAATTACTGAATTACTGGAGGGTTTGCAGCAACCTCAATTCTTGTCTCCTCAGAAGAAAGAATTTAACTGAGGGGTATGAGGCAGAAAAAGAGACAAGGCAAGTTTCAGAACAGGGGTGGAAGTTTATTAAAAAGCTTTAGATCAGGAAAGAAAGGAAAGTACACTTGGAAGAGACCAAAGCAGGCTAATTGAAGGACAAGTGTGGCGTTTGACGTTTTGACTTGGGGATTTATATGCTGGCATAATTCTGGGGTCTTGAGTCCCTTTTCCCATGATTGCTCCCTTAGGATGGGCTGCCTGCATGCATGGTGCCCTCCTTGTGCTTAGGAGGAGAGCACATGCAGTGTGTTTAGGAAGTTGTACAAATGCCCGCCTGAGGCTTTCATCCCTTTTCTAGTGGAATGGCCCCAAAAGGTCATACGCCACCATTTTGTCTCTTAATGCACATGCTTGAGCTCACTTGCACAATTCCTGAGATTTTATTGGAAGTTGATTACCAATTTCAAGTGTTTTTATCTGCTTGGGAAATTGCCTCTCCCTGGCGCCTGTGATCAATTATCACTTTAGTGTGATAGCTGTGAACCATCAGGAAATTGCCTCTCCCTGGAACTTGCTGCCAATTTTCATTTTTAGAGAGACATTGTGATAACTGCTGAACCATCACCTGATGGTTGCCTGACATTCCTAGTGGGTATGGGGGGGAGCCCTCTCCTGTCCCGCTCATGTCTGGCTAGATACCTACTGTAACAGTACAGTCTCAAAATTATTTACGTAATGCCATCATGAAGCATTCTGTTCAGTAGCTGATAGCAAATACTTTCAGAGAATAATTTTAGAATAAAACAAGATACTAGGAACAAATTCCTAGGAATTTCATACAATTTCTGAAATAACTGCATTTTATCAATACATATAGTAACCTAGGAGGGGTTAAGCATGTTTTCTTATTTGGCAATGTTTCCCGTGTCACTCAAGTATCAAATAAACCAAATTATTTTTAACATTTCTCTTTAGAAGGTAAAAGAATAAATGCTTTAAGATTTTCCAGGGGCCTTTTGCAAAATCTTAAGGTCAGTTCAAGAACAAGAAGATTTAATTTGCTGGGCACAGTTGCTCAGACCTGTAATCTCAGCACTTTGGGAGGGTGAGGTGGGGGTATCATGATGTCCGAAGTTTGAGACCAGCCTGCCCAACATGGTGAAACCCCGTCTCTACTAAAAATACAAAAATTAGCTGGGTATGGTGGTGGGCACCTGTAATCCCAGCTACTCAGGAGGCTGAGGCAGGAAAATTGCTTGAACCCAAGAGGTAAATGTTGCAGTGAGCCAAGATCGTACCATTGCACTCCAGCCTGGGTGACAGAGTGAGACGCTGTCTAAAAAAAAAAAAGCTTTAATTTAGGATTTTATTTTGGGAAGGCAAAATTATAAAAACTATAAAAAAGCGAAAAAAAAAACCTTTGCTCTTTTAAAACTCAGAAGTCTTGATTCTCTTAAATAGTTAAGAACATAACAAAAGTTAATATAAAGCAAGGAAAATTATTCTCACAGAACACAAAATTTTAGTTTCCTAGGCAGATTACTAAAAATGTAAACAAAAATCCTTCACAATCTCTCATTAAGAAGAGACTAATATAATACAAGAAAATGTCCTTTTAACAGAAAACTAAATTCAATTTTTATAATAGTACTCTATTAGGCTTATTTTTTTTTAATTCCTGTAAGTAAATCCATTCGTTTTTACCATCCTTGATCACCATGAAGTTTATTTTCCACAAATCTTCTATAATTTTCTATATCCATTTTGTATTTGTGCTGTATTTTCCTCTTTCTCCTTCTGGAATAACCAGTATCTTACTTTAGGACAAAACTGCTCTCATTTTCCCTTACGAAACCATATCCTTCATATTCGTTACCTTTTCTTATCAATGACACATCTTACTTTCCTTGTATAGTTTTCATAGAACTTTCTTTACTATTTTAGGTAGTTTCACTTACAAATGTCAATTATAATTTTTTAATGCTTGGTAAAATTTTTACACAGAAAACTAGGAGGTAAACCATTGTGGATTGTCTGTTGCATATCAGTATTCAGCATCAGATCACAAGCACTTCAACTTAAACTTATGCTTAGCTATTAATGTTTAAGTAGTTGGTGTTTGTTAGAAATAATCTAGATATTTAATAAATGTCTATTACTTAATTTAGCTTAGCATAACTCAACAATTTCAAGATACTAAAACAATATTGAAATTGTTTATGGACAGACATAGTACAACATTGAACAAAGCTAGCCGTCATCGCAATTCCCTATGTTTCAACACATGAATATTAGACTTCACTACAAATCAAAAACCTAAAAAAAGTTAAATATGCATCTTATAAAAGTTTACTGTTGTGCTTGAAACACACAAAGTAATAGATATCAAGTCATTCATTTTTATTGCCTCTTTACTTCTATATTTGTTCTTAGGTTGAATTTATAATTTTTATAGTCTTAAAGTAGAAATAATATTACCTTATTGCACTAGACAATCCAAGTGGAATAAAAACATATGCTCATATTATACTTAATGCTGATAACTAAGAAGATATAGCTGCTTATATTAAACCAATAATATTAAACTAATCTTATTTACCAAGATTTACCCAAGTCATGTGTACTTGAAAAGCACTTGGGCTAGTTTCTGTATTTCGGGAAATGTTGAATTATATTAGCATTTATTTATCTCCAAGCCAATAAGACTAGAACCCTTTATGATATTCTACAAAGTAATTTGGTAATACCATCGGGAGGTAGAAAATATCATACACAGGCATATCTTAAAGATAGTGCAGATTTAGATCCAAATCACCACAATAAAGCAAATGTAATAAAACAAGTCATATGAATTTTGTGGTTTTCCAAAAAATTTGGAAAGTTATTTACACTATTCTGTAGTCTATTAAGTGTGCAATAGCAGTATGTCTAAAAAAACAATGTAAATAATTTAATTTAAAAAATACTGCTTGCCAGAAAAATGCTAATGATCATCCAAGCCTTCAGCGAGTTGTAATTTTTTTGCTGCTGGATATTCCTACCTTGATGTTGATGTCTGCTAACTGATCAGGGTGGTCATTGCCAAAGGCTGGGGTGACTGTGGCAATTTCTTAAAATAAGTTGTGCACTACTGCTTGAAAGCATTTTATCCACAGTAGAACTTCTTTCAATATTAAAGCCAATTCTTTCAAATGCTAACACTACTTTATCAACTGAGTTTATGGAATAGTCCATATTCCAAATGACTTTGTTGTCATTTCAACAATATTCACAACATCCTCACCAGCAATAGATTCCATCTCAAAGAAATCACTTTTCTTGTTCATTGATAAGAAGCAACTCCTCATCCATTCAAGTTTGATTGAGATTGCAGCAATCCAGTCATATTCTCAGGCTTCACTTCTAGTTCTAGTTCTCTTGCTATTTTTACCACATCTGAAGTTACTACCTCCACTGAAGTCTTGAATCCCTCAAAGTCATACATGAAGCTTGGAATCAATTTCTTCCAAACTCCTGTTAATGTTGATATTTTGACCTCTTCCCATGAATCACAAATGTATTTAAATGGCATCTAAAATGGTAAATCATTCCAGAGGTTTTCAATTTACTTTGCCCAGATCCATCATAAGAATCACTCTCTATGTCAGCTATAGTCTTACAAAATGTATTTCTTAAATAATAAGACTTGAAAGTCAAAATTACTCCTCAATTCATGGGCTGTAAAATGGAGATTGTGTTAGCAGGCACGAAAACAACATTAATTTCCTTGTTCATTTTCATCACAGCTCTTGGGTGACCTGGTGCATTGTCAATGAGCATTAATATTTTCAAAGGAATCTTTTTTTTAGGAGGGGTAGTAGGTTTCAACAGTGGATTTAAAATATTCAGTAAACCATGCTGTAAATAGACATGCTGTCATCCAGGCTTTTTTGTTCCATTTCTAGAGGACAGGTTGAGTAGATTTAGCATAATTCTTAAAGGCCTTATGATTTTTGGAATGGCAAGTGAGCACTGGCTTCAACTTAAAGCTACTAGCGCATGAACCCCTAACAAGAGAGTAAGCCTGTTTTTTAAATTTTGAAGCCTGGCATTGACTTCTCTCTAGATAGGAAAGTCTTCTTCCAATAGAGAGGTGTTTATCTACAGTGAAAATCTATTTTATAGTATGGCCATCATCATCGATAATCTTAGCTAAATCTTCTGGATAACTTACTACAGCTTCTACATGAGCACTTGCTGCCTTGCCTAGCACTTTTATGTTATGAAGATGGCTTCTTTCCATAAACCTAATAAACTAGCCTCTGCAAGCTTCAAACTTTTCTTCTGCAGCTTCCTCACCTTCCTCAGCCTTCACAGAATTGAAGAGAGCTAGGGCCTTGCTCTAGATAAGACTTTGGCTTAGGAGCATACTGTGGCTGTTATGATCTTCTATCCAGACCACTAAAAGTTTCTCCATATCAGTAATAAGGCCATTTTGATTTTTTATCATTTGTGTGTTATCTAAAGTATTGTTTTAAATGCCTTCAAGATATCACTTGGGGGGGTGGTTGGAGATAGGAATTTGACAAGATATTGACAGTGATTGGATATTCGGTGGGAAATGATGATTAAACTGACTTGATTTAATTGTTGCTAAAACTGGGTTCTTGAGGACATGCCCACTGATGGGCCCAAACTGAGAAAGGACTTAGAGAAGTCTTTCTAGAGTTTGATTAAGGAGATAATTTTGTCACTTAGTATAACATCCTTTGCATTAAATGGCACTGTAATTATTGTTGAATTATTAAAATTATTTTTACAATTGCCTTCATCTGCATTTGTGCAAATCCTTGAAGGCAATCTGTTTCAAGCTGATATTCTGTTTACAAAAACAATCTTACTGAAGAATAGCTTCAATTTTACACTTCCCTTATTACCATACTTCAAATTCAACTTTTTTTCTTGGCAAAAGCAAACCTTAAATTATTAGGTAGTAGGTAGGCAGTCAACCTTAAGCAAACCTTAAATTAGTGCTTAGTCAAAGATACAAATACAAAGGACCGATAGAATTTTATGAAGGTGGCAGAAGAAGGAGGAGGATTCATTGCATCTTGATTGCTGAATCTAGTCACCTAGGTCAACTGTTGTAACTCAAATAACTTTCGAGTCAGGCAGGTGATATAAACAAGTTTTGCTCTAATACAGGATTTCGATAGTTTTCTTTAGGCAGAGATACTCCTTGAATAGTAAATAGATAGGGTAATATTTCATGAAACATGCAATCTCTTTATTTTTCTGTTCAGTAGCAAGAGAAAAATTGTCTAACGCAGACAGTAAGTAAAGCAGACATGAGGGAATAGCAGTGACTATAGTGAATGGATAAAATATATCTTCTTGAAAGGGCTAGCTACTCTTTAGTTCCAACTGATTATTCCCATATGAAAATGTATAACCACTGAGGTCAGATAGCCTGACTTTTCAAGAGAAGTTATATAATCATATATTAATAGGAAATCTTTAGATATTTAAATTTTGATAACCAATTCAAAATTATCAAAAACATCTTTCAGGTCATAGTGAGATCCAGATGCCCTAGCCTGAATTAGAAATGCACATAAAGAGGGGTGACATCATGAAGTAAAATAAAAATTCTGAAAAACAACATATTTTAATGGCTGCTGTGAGTATTCTGTCATTGGCATAAAGTCCATAAAGTTCCAGTTCAGAGTAAGGATTAAACTAACCTTTTTATCAATTAAGTAAAAGTGTACTTTTCCTTGCTTAGGCTGACAATTCTCTAATTTAAAAACAATGGCCAGGGAAGTAATTGAAACACTCACAGCTCAAAATTGCTAAGTAAATAGGTAGATTGTTTGCTAGGAGACCAACGCTTTCTAAACGATAGGTTCTGAGCTTCCAGTTAGAATCTAGGCTTAAATAAAGGTATACCTTGGAATTCTCCTGCCCAATGGTGGTCATTTGCTCAGGAGGAGTTGCCCCTGGATGATTTAGGTAAATGTAATGTACTTCAATCAAACAAGGAAAAAAAAAGTACCTTGATGGTATTCCAGAAAGCCACAGCACATTATCTGTCTTCACTTTATCTCTTCCTTCTTCTAGTACACGGAGCTTTTAATGACACAGGAGAAAACTATTGTTAGTAGTAATAATCTAAAATAAATGTTACCTTTTTAAGTTGAGATAGTAATTTCAGAGTAGTGGTTAAAACTTTAAGATTCAATGTCCCTTTGCTATAATAAATATTTTTTGACATGTGTAATGAAATAAAATTCATAGATAATATAACATATTTTAAAAATAACATTTAAAAATAAGCAATGTAATGCCTTAATTCAAGCATAAAGAAAAAAAACAAAGAAAACAATTCGTGATATAAAATAAAATAGTATACACTGAAATATGTTAAACATTGACTACTGTAAAAGGTAAAAATACCCTCTAAAATTTCTAAAATGCCCCTGCAAGGCAGAACCATATGAACTGAGAACTATTCTGGTATATTTGAATTTGTGGTACACACATACTTTGCATAGTTAAGTGTTTCCTACATAGAACTGAGGTTCTTAGGACGTCTGTCTACTGAGCTACTTCAGGTTAAGGATAGCACATTAGAATACATTTTTAAAAGCTGACAATTCTCATTATTATATTTGATACCCTGAAAAGTCTTGCAGAAGTGAAATGCATATAATTTTGTTTATCCTAGTGTTCCTCAAATTTATTTAATCACAACACTTCTTTCTCCCATAAAAATTATTTTTCTCTGCTGTTTTGCTTCACAATATGGAATTTTCAGTTTAGTAGTTTTCCCAGGGGAAGGATCCACGGCACGCATAAAGTTAAAATACATTAGGAATAGGTGTCTATGTTAGGCAATTACAGGACTGTGAACCATCTAAGAGATTATGTTTTAAATATCTGGGTACCTTTTAAAATCCTCATCTTTTCTGGATGGATTATAGTAATTTAACAGATAATTTATGGTACAGCTAATTCTCCATCTGTACTGTTTGTAATTATTATTTTTATATACTATCAATTTAATCTGAAACACACAAGTACTGCTTTGCTAAGCACAGGCCCTGAACTGAGTGAATGGTGAGTTTGATAAATTTCTTAGGCACAAGGAGCTTATTTTCTTCAAAATATTGCAAGATCCTGTTGGTCTTCCACTGTGTTTAGCAAATATTAAACATTTGTTGAGTAGTTGTTGATTCCCTGATTTTTATATTTGAAAAAGCTGTTAATGATTCTAAAACATAAGCATACTTAGATTAAAAGAAGACATGCTGTATTTGAGGGAAGCCATTACATTAATATCATCATTATCATTATAATCATCATCATTATCATCACCTAAGTTTCCCTATAAATGTCACAATACAAAGTTCATACAAAAGTTGTAATAATTAGCCATATCTTTAGAGAAAAATCACTTGTGAGAAATTACTCCTTTTCATCTCCATCATCATCATCATCATCATCATCATCATCATCATCATCTTTATCATCTTTAGTAGGTCCTGCCATTTCTGATGTTTTATAAACATATAAAGGATGGAAAGGCATAATTATCATATCAACAAGACATTCTCAATATCTAATATTTAATGAATACTTACTATATTCCAGCCACTGTGCTATCTTTCTTACATGAATTATGCTTGGTAACCATCACAACAACTCTATGAGCTAGCGGCAAAGATAAGGAAACCAGAGAAGAGTGATGTTAAATAATTTCCTCAAGGTCATACATCAGGACCAGAGTCAAACCTCGACTCTCAAGGCTTTTGACTCCAGAGCCCAAGCTCATAAGCTAAAGACAGTCATGAAAAGAACTAAGGTTACTGTGTTTACTCAACTTTCATACACATACTTGTAAAGCTGTGCAGTTGCAGCATGAATTAGTCACCCAAGCTCTTCATGTATTGGTACAAGAAGTCCTTCTCAAAGCTTAGGGACTTGACCTTGTTCTGAAGTTCTAAGACTAAGTTCCTTAGGGGAAATTGTATCTGTGTGTATTTTCAAAAGGAAAGACAATTATATCTAGACTTTTCCAGCATCCCTATGATGGTATCTATCTCTCATCCATTTAATTTCTTAGGCTGATTTGGAGCCTGAGGTAAAGAAAATAATCCTAGGTATTCTGACCTCTTCTCACCCTACTTCTACCTCTTCTCTGATTTTATCCTTAAATGAATAAAGGCTGATTTGTTAATATGGTTACTTTCTCACATATTAACAAAAAATATTTTAAATATACATGAAGACAGGAGGTATTTATTGACTAATGAGTTCAAATTTGGAAGGTAGAATGAATGTGAGTTATTATTATATAAGCTTACAAAACTTAACAATAGCAATAAAAATTTAAGAGCAAGAAATTTAATGTCATCCACCAATTGAACAGTTCTCTACCAAGGATTGGTCTACAAGAAAGAGTGTTTTCTTCAGTATGAAAAGTGAGCTATCACAACTATTAAAGGAACAAAGGCAGCAGAATTTTAAAAGGTACTGGCTGAAAGGAGAAAAATAATTGCTCATTCACTGTTCTTTAGATCATGTAGTTCAACATCTTATTTCACTTATAAGTAAGATTTTAACATCTCATACACATTCCCACTTTTTATTGTCACTCTGTACTATGAGTTTTACTGTATAGATAAAAATGAGAGAAACAGAAACAAACTCCCTATACTGAGAAGTATTCATAAATGATTATCATGACTCCAAGTTTTTAATTCATGTACAGGGTTATAAATTTTAGTAGTTAGCACCTATATGTTTACTTCATTTTCTTAGAATCTGTATGCAAACTTTCAAAATACACACATTCACAGGAGTTGCAGCATTTTGGAAAATTATAAATACCTTTTAAAAATACCTTTATAAATTAAAAATTGTAAATACTTTAAAAGTACCTTTATTTCCAGCTTTAAATTATATAAGCTATTCTGCTTTCCCTCTACCATGATTCTGGCATTTTCCCATGTAATGTGAAAATAAGACTGTACTACATTAAATTTCATTTGTAACATTCCCGGTCACGGCTATATTCTATTAAGATTTCCCTGTAGCTTTATCCCATACTTCGGTCTGTCTACTGTTTTCAAACCAAAGTATGGTTGAGAGTTTACTCTTATTTCAAGGCCATTTATACAGAAGCTAAATGAGATTGGCCCTAGTATAGATCTCAGGAGAACTATATTTGTTACTTCTTTTTTTCTACAATCTTCTACTCACAATTGTGGGGAAGGGCTGTGTATGTTTGTGTGTGTGTGTGTGCATGTGTGTGCATTTTACTCTTCCTTTTTAATTTCATTCTCAGATACAATTTACTAATCTATTAATACAACACTTTATGGACATGAGCAAAGAACTATTATAGAAAAGAGAGTTTCATATTTATTCCAACGGGAACAAATCTATAAATGCCTCTACAATTACACATGTTAAAATTCAAGTAAAGAAAGAAACATATTGAAAGGGATAAAGATCAAAATAGGTAGTAAAACTGTGATTATATTAACATCTTTACATACTGTTTCTAGTTGTAAACAATGATCCAAAATTTAGCATCCTCTTTTTGTGTTTCTTTTTCATAGAATTTAGCCCTCCACTTTGAAGGCTTCATTTGCATATGATTTTAAAAGTTTTGAACTAAGATTTTATTATTGATAAGGACTATTTTTAATTATATGTATTATTTACATAAAGTGATGGTGTTATGCTTTGTAACATCTTAAAAGATTTAAGGACTGGAGAGTTTATCACATTTATCCTTAAAAGACACTGTACTGTAAAACTAATAATTTCTAATTTGTTATATTTTCATGGTTGGATTATGCATCAGAAATATGAATTGTTAGTGCTTTCCTTAGCACATAGTTAGAATAGTTAATAGAAAGCATTTTTTTTTTTTAGTTAGAAAAGTGTAGTCTTATGTATTTATAAGGGGATCCTATTATTTCGGGGATCTATATTTGCAACCATAGATGATTCTGAGAATTTAGCTTTTGCCACCTTTATTTATTCCTGGGACACCAATGTACATAAAAGAGATCACCGACATTTTTTTCCTACCATTGTTTGGCTAAGGAATTAAATGTGAAGTGTCTTTTCTTAGGAATATCTGCTTTGCTACTTTAAATGCTCATACTTGAAACACCCATGCATTCCTGCTTGTAAATGGCCATGTGGAGAGACCCTGACACCACATGGAGAAGAAAAAAACCCAGATGAGCTCAGCCTTCCCATAGTCTTTGCCAAAACACAAAGTATATGAGGGCAGCCCTTTTTGACCCTCAGGCTAGTCTTAGTTAAGAACTGAATACCACTGATTGATCCATGTTGATGCCTCATGAAATAGAATACTCTCCCAGTCCAATCCTATCTAAATCTCTAATGCCCAGACTGTGAGCATAATAAGATGACTGATTTTTTTTAAGCCAATAAATTTTGTGTTAGTTTCTTATGCAGCAACAGGTAACTGGGAAACTACCTTTCAGACTGTATGAAAACATTTATTATACAAAATACAGTTTCCATGCATTTACAAATAACTTATTCTTTAAATAGTTCATTATTTATTCAATAACAAATTATAAGTTGTTAGCTTCTTTTTCTGTGTTCTCTTAAGTTTTTTTTACAGTCTTCCATCATAGTTCTTTTTTTTTTTTGGAATACATTTTAACTGTTACTTTATGTGTCTTGCTTCTTTCTTTAGACTACATGTGGGTCTAAGATCATGTGTATTTCTTTAGTAAAATAACATGAGGTTAAGCAAATACACTTTTGCTCAGACAGTCTGGGCTCCTGGTCTGTGTAACTTAACCTCAAAAAAATTCTCAGCCTCTTGATGTGTAACATGGAGGAATGAATAATATTTAATCAAGAAACTTTTAAAGATTAATCAGGATTAAGTATAGAAAGTTCTTAAAATATTTTAGCTTACCAAATTTCCTGCTCCTAAATTTTATTTCTTGTCAAGATAAAGTAACAGTTAACTCATTTCCCCTCCCACCTAAAATAATAAAAAAAGAGATAATATATATGAAGCAACAGTTTTCAGGACGCTGAACATCAAACAACAAAGAACAGTAATCTTCAAAAGACAGGAGAGAAGTCAAGTGATGCTAGGAGTGCTCTACCTTACCCTGAGGGTTTCCTTGCTGTGACAGAAAGAAGGGGAACACAGGTGGAGTCTGATGGCCCATGAATTGAGGAGCTGGAGCTGAGACAGATCAAGGAGTTGAGTGTTCATAGGAGAAAGTACTGGAGATGAGAGCACCTCACACAGAGAGAATTTTGGATATCTCAGGGGGCCCCTTTCTAGTATTCAATGGAGTACTGCTCAACACAAGCATGTGAAGGGGCTACCTCATGCCCAGGGAAAAAAGAGTTCAAAGGATTGCAAGTGAACAGGACATAGAACTCACCTAGGCCCAGAAATAGTCCTGTTTGCATCAACCAGACTGGAAAACTTTATGACTTAAGGAGCACTGAGTAGAATACGTAGAAGAGTCTTGCCTAGTAGTGGAGAATAATTATCCCTGGAATGGGCACCGCTCCAGTCCCACCTAACACATCTTGAAAACAAGATGTGAGAGAATTAAATCATTTCTAAGTTACCTATCCACATCCAATGAACACAACTCAAGAATATTTATAGATTCACAAAAATGTCCAGAACTCACATAGGTAAAATTTACCATGTTTGGCATTTAATAAAAATTATTAAGTTTTCAAGAAGCAAGAATATATGTCCTATAATGAAGAGAAAAATATACAGTTAAGTTAAACTAATATAGATGTTAGAATTATCAGAAGATATTAATGAAGTTATTATAGTTGAATTACACATGTTCAAAATATTAAGTAGAGATATATGATATATATCAATCAGTCTTCTTCATGAAAACTAAGATGGGGGAGATGATTAAAAAAATGCACTGGACAGAATCAACAGTAGATTAGATAGAAGAGATTACACTTTTGTAATTAATTAATATGCTTCACACATCTACTGAAAAATAATTAAAAAATAGCTATATAGAATATAAACTTAGAGTTAAATAGAAAAGAATAGGGAAGAGAAATAACATTTTTTGTAGTTGTATACTGTCCTAGGTACCTTGCACACATTATCTCATTTTATTCTTACAATATAATAATTCTTATAACAAAAACAACCTCATTTGATTCTCACAATAATATTATCCATGTTTTTAAAATAAGAAAACTGAAGTTCAGAGAACTTCAGAGACTTTTCCAATATTATACTGCTTGAGATGATAAAAGCCAACATTTGAGTATTCTGGTTTTTAAAACCAGAATTATTTTGGTTTGTTTCTCTGCTCTCCTGAACTATTTCCTAGAAAAAAAATATTCCA
The DNA here is from genome assembly GCF_000001405.40 of Homo sapiens. Lineage (NCBI taxonomy): Eukaryota > Metazoa > Chordata > Mammalia > Primates > Hominidae > Homo > Homo sapiens. The sequence goes on along the minus strand of NC_000008.11, from coordinate 75,894,508 downwards.
TTTCCCACTATTCTATCCACATTCCTATCAACAGGAAAGAGGATGATAGGCAGGGAGGCACACATCTAGTTCAGGGCAAGACTGTGAAATTTGTTCACCTAAATACTGCTTATTTTCTATTGGACAAAAATCTAGTCATATGCCCGCATCTATTCAAATAGGATGCTAGGAAATGTATTCTTTAACTGGGTACCAAATCAGTAATTGGCTGTTCTTACAGGCCCCGCCACAGCTTGCTCTAAATGCTGCAGTAGAGCTATTCAATTCAGTAAGCTGATCCCCAGAGTTCATTGATCCCCACAGTAAGAAACAAACTAATAACAACACAAACAAAAGAAGAAGGAAGGGGAAGAGGAGGAGGAAAGAGGAGAAAGGAGGAGGAGCAGGAAGAGAAGACGGCAAGAAGAGAAAGAAGTAGTTGTTTTTCCCCATAGTCAATGACAAAAACTCATTTGTAAAATTCAAAAATACTTAACACATGGTTCTCCTTAGCCAATAGATCTGTGGCATTGTACAGAGAAGAGCCAAAGAAAATACCTCCTTTTGGAGCAAGCAAAAACAGAAATAGTGCCTGAAGGAAGTAAGTAACCACTATTGTCATGGCCACTTACAAATCAGATACATTGTGGCTTGTAGTCTACACTTTGTTAAATGTCACGAAAAAAGTCATTGCAAAGATTAGTTTACTTTGGTAATGTTAAACTTTTAAATATTTCATCTCCAGAAGATGAAATTTAAAACAGTGGTATCATACGAAAAGATAATTCCTGAAGTATTTTAACCAATTCATTAAATAACAAGGAAATAGAATCACCATAAAAGTAGACCCTAAGTAAATATTATATTTTGAAATAATCCTGTTTTTAAAAAGTATCACTTGAATAATCATTTTCCAAGTTAGAATGTAATACATTTCAATGAGAAAAAATTAGACAAATGTTTGAGAACCTCTGTGAGATTTCTTGACTGGGTAAATATCACATACAATTTGTATAATTATTTAAAGATGGCCAAAAGGGACAAAATAATGTTGAGGTGTAATGTGATTCGATTAATAGTTCTTTTTTTAAGTACAAAAGTGAGACATATTAGACAAAGGAAAAACGATTGGAGGCAACCAAAACCAGGACTCAGAAGATAACATCATTTTTCTCTGGTTTCTATTCTGTCTGAACAGAGCTTTGAGTTTCAATCTTCCCCAATACTATATCTCATCCTTTACCACTATCTTTCTCTCTTAAAGCTATTGAGGAGAGAGTCAGGGGGATGATAAGGAATGGAAGATGGCTGAAAGAAATGGTTAATAGGATTCTAAAATCTTCTATAGTTAAAAAGAAGTTACTATAGGGGTGCCCTCTATATTGTAAAGTATGTGAACTTAGCTATACCCCAGAAAATTTATCCCATGTTCTCAAAAATCTTTGTTTCATTTTTCCGTTAGTTATAATTTCAGATAATTTCTTCCTTTTGTTCATATGGTGTTTTCCATTTTATCTTAAATCCTATGCCATATAAATAAAATAACTGCAATTTTGTCTCTATCTATCTATCTATCTATCTATCCATCTATCAATCATCTATATTTAGTTGAAAATGTATAAGGAATCCTCTTGCAGTTCATAAGCATGATGATTGGGTTTTCACACTCCTGTGTGAAATGTACCTTCCTCAAACCTTTTTATAACATCAGCACATTACCGAACATGAAAAAAAAATGTATACCGAAGCAACTTATACCATAAAGAATAAGTAGCTTAGAAAGATATTTTTCTCAGGTTCAGCTAAGACATAATGTGTCTTTCTGGCTAACAAAACACTATGATTTCAAGTATTTTTCATTTTTCATTTATTGTTCCCAAAATATAAATGGATATGGCTCAAATATAAATCAAAAGCATAAGATTAGATTCATGGGCTTACAATAAGGTCCTTAATCCTGCTTCCAAAATTCCCATTAAAATTGTCTACAAACTATGAAAATGTGAGAGGAAAATGTTCATGCCAGAAAAGATAGCTAAAGAAAAGTATCACCCATATACCAGAAAACTGGTGGAATTTCTGCTAGATTCAATGTCAAAGACACCATTTTGAATCAAATCAAATAAAAAAGATAAATCACTACAACACTCATTAGCAACATTTTACACAATCCCACTTCCTCCACTTTCTTTCAAGTACATAGTATTTTTAGTCAGTATTAAGAGTAAAACCCTAAGTAGGCTCCTTCAAATGATACCCATTAAGTCAGAAAGGCTTTACCTGCATAGCACTCATTAAACATTATTTGGATCTCTATCACCATCAAGAAACAAGAAAATTATAAAAACAGTCATTACCAAAATTAATTCCCTCCCACAATATTCCTGGGTGGCTGAATCATCAAATGGTACCCGGCTAGGAGTCTCTCTTTCATCTGAGGACACCTAATCATAAACATTTCTTTGTGAAAATTTTGAATGGAGATCCATACTTATTATCAACAAAAGCCAACTCAAGTATTTTATAAATTTCAAATCAATATTGGCAAATATATGCAGTTAATTAAACTGTATGAATTTGATGATGCACCAACATAAAACAGTTTTTTTTTCTCCTTACAGCACTCTTCTCTATTTGATATGGTTTGGTTCTGTGTCCCTACCAAATCTCATGTTGAATTGTAATCCCCAGTGTTGGTGGTGGAGCCTGGTAGGAGGTGATTGTATCATGAGGGTGGTGTTCATGAATGGCTTAGCACCATCCCCTCAGTGCTGTTCTCATGATAGTGAGTTAGTGAGTTATTGTGAGATCTGGTTGTTAAAAAGTGTTTAGTGTGCACCTCCCACCTCTCTTTCTTGCTCCTTGCTCTGGCCATGTAAAACGTGCTTGCTTCTCCTTCGCCTTCTGCCATGATTGTTAAGTTCTCTGAGGCCTTCCCAGAAAGAGAAGCCACTATGCTTCCTATACAGCCTGCAGAACTGTGGGCCAGTTGAAACTCTTTTCTCTATAATTACCCGGTCTCAGGTATTTCTTTATAGCAGTGCAAGGATGGACTAATACACTATTCAAAAGTTATTCCTAGAGTAAATGCAGAGATTAAACAATCACCAAACATCCAGTTGTTGAAAATATGACAGCCTTTCTTTGGGGCATCCTGTTTTCCATGATTTATTCACATGGGACCCCATTTTGCTTGGCCTGTAATGGTAGGAAGTCCCCTTCCTCTCCTATTTTCCTCCTACCAAGAACTCCTAATTTTAACCTTTTATTTTCTTCCCTGGGCCTTTATGTTTATAGACAAAAATCTGTGTTGTGTTGGATTACAGTTGGGGATAGCATAGCTTGTTCAACCAATTCTTAAGTCCTGAGAAAGGAGGTTAGCTCCAAATGTCTTTTTACCACTTATATAATATATGTGGACTTTTTTCCTTGGCTTCAGCCTCTAATTCCCACTTCTGTCGCAACAAGAATCTCACATTCAACATGTTCTTAGACATGGAGGCTTTTGTAATTCAAAGATACTACAATGCTGTGAAAGCGTTCTCCAGCCAACAGTGATGGAAGCAACAATTTGACAAAAATTCTTAGAGAAGCCATCAAGCAAGGGAATAATCCAAGCTAGGGAAGAACTATTTAGACATGAAAAATTGGCTTTCTAAATATTAATAGTGATGATGCATCTAAAATAGATGCCTTTTTACTCCCTCTATCCATAAGTGGAATTTATTTTCTCTTCTCTTGAATCTAGACAGGCTACGTGATAGCCTGACCAACTCAATATGGTGGAAATGATGCTGTGTCTGTCTCTGAGTCCAGATCCTGAGAGATTGGCACCCTCCATTTCCTGACTCCTACAACACTTGCCATGTAAATTCTACTGCCCTGACACTGCCATTTTGAATGGACCATGTAGAAAAATCACTTGGAGCAGCCCAGAGACTTCACAAAAAGAAAACATTTCTTAGCCCTTCAGCTATCCCAGGCCACTGAAGCACCCCATAGACAGCCATGATTAAACAGACAAGCTACCCCCACCTGGACCTGTCCAAACTGCAGATTCATGAACAAATGTGATGCTAGTTGATATTTTAATCCATTCAGTTTTGTGGTTATTTGATACATAAGCAGAACATATAGTATAAGCAGAACACACAGTGCAGAAAATAAAGTAACATATAAAAGACAAACTCAATAAACTCCCTGAAAGAAATGTTTTAAGAAAGTGATAAAAATTATGAGGAAATTATAGCTTTGAGGTAAAGATATAGAAAACTTGACCTAAAAGTAGAAACTTGAGAAAGAGAAAATATACGTTGCTCTTGTTTCTACATGATATGGCCATAAATTTTATTTCTTTAGAATATTTTTCAGTTTAAAGGTCATAAATCTGTTTAAAAAGAAGGGCAGCCCATCCCTTTAAATATAGAAGAAGAGAAGAAAAACACAGAAACATGAGAAACACTGTATATCTCATATACTTGTGTTACATCAAATTACAAAGAATATAGAAAATTTGAACAATAAATTAAAGTTGAGTGAAGTCACATTTGCTTTTGAGCTTCCCAAATATGATATGATACCTTCTTCTTTCCAAGTGTTCGTTAATTTTTTTTTTAAAAAACATTGGTATTTCACGAGGCTAAAAATAAAACATTGCTAAGTATAAGACAGGGAAACTTAAAACTTAATTGTTTAAACATGTTATTAAAAATATATGTCAAAGTTTAAACAATGCTTACAGAACACTTGGAAATAACCCCCTTTTGCCAACGCTACCTAACACATAGTATAGACACCCTCTAAAATACTCTTTCACATCTGAATATTTATTGATGCAAAAAAGGAAAGTAAAATTACAGTGATAAGAAAAAATGTATGTGAAAACTTTGAGACAAAAGGCACAGTTTTGCTCATAAATAAATAGGCTAAATAGCTTACTTCAATAATAAAGCATTAAAGTTTTTAGATAAAAATTAAAGTAGTGTTATTTATTTTAAAAATGTATTTTCCGTTTTTATTTCATTTTGAATTAATTAAAGAATAATGATATATGAAAATAAACTAACAGTTTAAGTGGTTTGAAAGTAAAAAATTAAATAGAGAAAGTAATAGAAAAGGGAAAAATTAAAAATAAATATTGAAGTAAATATATGTACAAAAAAGCAAACATATAATTTATAAATAATTTGTAAACCTGATTTTAGAAAGTTCAATACTACAAATGCTGCCAAGTTGTTCTGAAAATGAGAGAAAAATAGAAAATGGTATATTTCCTCATTCTCAAAAGTGATAAACTGGAAAGTTGATATGATAATGGAAAGGCATATTGTCTTTAATTATGGGAGAATAATATATATTAACATCGTTCAAAATATCAACTAGAGTACATTTCTGAAAAAGTGTAATTTATGAGATTTCACAATAGAAGTATAAAATTTTTTAGCTCAGTAATGTGAAGAAAACTGAGTAGGTAAATAATGTATTATCTTAAAAATGGCAGGATTCTGCTTGAGACCTTTTCAAATTATAAATCTAATTTCAATGATTTATAGATAATTTTAAAAAATAAATCTCTAGAAAGCTTCTAAAGTCATTTTATAAGTCCAGAATTTTGACAAGATACCAACATTTTTACAAGAAAATTGACAACACATTTTAAGAATATGATATAATGTAAAAATCCTAAAGACAAAATGCCAAAATATTTAAAAATATATTGATAAATAGTATTTTAATAAAATGAAATGCCTGTTTTGATATTAATTTTTAAAGAGTAGAACACACATCAATATATATTTTATTTTGCAAAAAAATATGAAAGACTGAAGGAAGTTTACTCAAGATCAGTACTAATCATCTCATAGGTATGTTGGAATTTCTTCTCTATACTTCTTTTAATTTCTAATTTTATAATAAACCAAATAGTTTTATAGTTTAGTAGTTTCTTTTTAAATAAAATGTTAATATTAAATTCTATTATTTAACTATATTGCGAGGATTGTATCATCTTCCAAAAGAAATGCCTCATTTCATATGCACGTACAGCTTTTAAATGTACACTTTTAAATGTCCACGTTTTAATTTGAGAACTGAAGAAATTTGACAGGTATTAATAATATGTTAGCCTTATACCAGACACTGTATTTCTTTTTAGAAAATGTCCACTTTAATGCAATGATATGTGAGGAACACTATTGCTTTACATTTCATGCTATAGAAATCTATGAACATATCAAGTTTAGATAACATCAACCCAATAAAAAAGAGTGACTTGTAGGTCATAAACGCTTCCATTTTTAACAACTACTATCATTGTGAGAAATGAAAGAAAAGTTTAAATTATTTTGGTTGTAAAAGTAAACACTACAAAAATCTATAGATTTTTATGGCAATCTTATTGTCTAAAAGTACTTAAATCTGTACTTTAACTCATTCTACTTTTTATTTTATTCTATTTCCAAGGAACTGTACACAATACAAAAAATGATAAAAATATCTAAATTTTGAGCTCCTATAAGATGAACATTGTTCAATTAAAAAATACAAAGTGCAGCAAAATACTAATCAACCACAGTTGAGGTCAAGTGTGTTCAAATTATGTTGGTTTCATTCTTTTTGTTCTTTTTCCAGAGATGAAATTGTGTATTTACTGTATTATAATATTAAGGATTTGGATATGTTTTAGAATAAATCACATCAATAAAACCTAAAAAAAACTTGGTATTCATTCAGACATTCAGCAAACATTTACTAGCTGCTATACATTGTATTGAAGATGGAAAAACTATGAGTCAGAAACCGTCTATAAACTTTAGATCATTTTAATACAGAGAAACAGATTTGTCAGTGACAGAAAGCTTTTTGGTTTGTGATAGCAACTCATACACAGGCACAATGTCTGAGGCTAGTTTTGGCAATAGTGGTACAGAAAATCTTCATGGAAATTTAATTGTTGAATTGACTTTGCAGTTGAGCAGAAAGGGCAACATTAATAAGTAATATATTTAATAGCATGGCTGCTTTGGGGATCAGCAAGATATTCAGAAACCCTAGAGCATGGATGGTAGGATGTCATGGGCAATAGCAGAAAGTATAATAATAAAGGCAGTCAAAAAATAGATAATGCAGGACTTTGCCTGCATTATTATGGATTTTGACCTATTCCCTATATGTAATGAGGAGTCATTAAGTAATGTTAATCAGTAGAGGGCCATAATTAGATACATGTGTTTATCCTGCATTGGTAAGGACTATGGTGGGGGGATTCATAGGGAAGGTCAGAGATCATGCATTTATTCTAGCAGAGAAATGTTAAAAGAAGGCAGTAGCAATATAATGAAGAATGAGAAAAGACATAAAAAAGAAAGGATCAATAGAAATTAGACACCAGTGATGGTGGAGCCAGTAATCAAGACAAAAAATTTAAGAGAACCAAGATCAGCAGAGCCATGGAATCAAGAAGGGAGGAGCAATAAAAATCTGAATTCAGTTTGAACACATTTACAGTGTCTGTGGGACAACAGAAAGGAGAAATGAGGTAGTTAAATATCCAAGTCTAAATAATAAGAGAATAAATTGAATCAGAAATGTTTTTATTTGGCTATTTAGAATTTTGATGATTCTTAAAATTGTGTGAGAAAAACACTACAAGGTAATGAAAATGATTGTGGAATATACCCAGGACAGAACTTTAGGGGACGCCACCATTGCAAGGTATGCAAAGAAAATTTCACCTATGAAGAACACTAAAAAAGGCTGATGAGAGAAATGGGATGAGTTAGAAGCCAGTAAACTTTGAAAGATAAAAATGATTAACTTTTACATATACTAAAAGGGAGATTCTTATGGAACAAACTCATGCTAATTTGATAGTGACTTAAATCTATGTAAAATTTTGCTTGAATTAGTCACAAGAGTCCTTTAAAAATTGTGTAAAGTATGCAATTATCATGTACATCTATAAATTCATTTTTCAGAGTTTATGAAAAAAGTATTTGGTAATGAAAAGTGTAAATCTCCCACTTTATCTTGTAAGGACATTGATAATCACTTTATTCAGGAAACTCACAATGACTTCTTCAATTTTACCTACCTTACTGAAATTGTACATGTCAGACTTGGCAATGTAAAAGCATTTGTTTACTATTTTTCTGTCCTATTTTGATGAACTGCTTACTTTTTTCTTGTAAAATTTATCTCAAATTTCTAATTGTTCCATAACAAATATTTTAGAATGAAGACTAAAGTTTCCAAAGATAACATTTCACTTTCTTCTGTCTTCCATAATTTCTGTGAGGAATCAGATAAGATGAAGAAGATTTTTTTTCTAGCAGCTTTAATATTTTCTCTTTATTTTTAGTTTTTAAAAGATTGATTATGCTGTTCCTCAATCGTATTTTCTTCATGTTTATCTTGCTTAGGTTTTGCTGAGGTTTGTAAACAATGTGTTAAAGCATTTCAGTAATTTTAAAAATCTTTGGCTATTTATCTGTTTCTTAATCATTCTCTCTTATTCCAAATAGTATTTTGGATGCTTAAATTATATTCCACAGGTTTCTTATCTGATCATTATTATTTTTTCTTTATGCTTCAACATACATATTTTTTGTTAATATTACTTCCAGTTGACTAATCCTGCATTCTCTTCTGTTTAATCTGCTGGTAAATGCAACCACCAGTCTTAATTTCAGATATTTACCTTTTAATTCAAGAATATCCAATTGATTATTTTTATATATTATCTTTCTCTGTTGTAATTAGCCTTTTTAAATCTATATTTTTATTTATTCTTTAATCTTCCTCTAGCTTTTTAAATATTGTTATTATAACTTAAAGTCATTTGGTGTTAACTTCAACATCCGGATCATCTAATGGTATCCTTTTAGCATCTGTTTTATGCCCTTGATTATCATTCCAATCCTGTTCGTTTTAAATGTCTCTAAATATTACATTTAATGATGAATATTTATATTAAAATTTTTAGGGGCTGAAGGCCATTTAGCTCTTACCAGACAGAATTTGTCCTTTCCTCTGCTAGGCAGAAAAAGTATGGGCTGAACCCTTTAATTAAAACATGCAGTGAACTGGCTCAAATCTGGGCTCCAGTTTTGACACAACTCAGACTACTCCTGGTTTGCTAAGTTCCTAGGACATGGCCTCCATGTCTTTCAATGAACATCTAGAGTGATCTTACCTCCTCAGGCTAAAGAGACAGAGGGAAGTACACTTTGCTTTTAGAAATGTTTGGCTTAGTCATTTAATTTCCTAACCCTCAAATCTTCAGAATTTACAATTCTCAAAAACATTGGTGTGTGTGAGGATCCTTGAGTCTTCAATTTTGTTACTCCAGCCCTATATAATCATTAAAACATCTATTGATTTCTCAATAGCGGCCCTTTCTAGGCCTAACACAGAAGCTTTGTCTTTGTCTAGCCTGCATCTAGAATTGGCTAATGCTCCCAGGAACATTTTCACACCCTTAGTGCACTTTGAGAACTTCTCTGTTCTCTGCTCTTAGGAAGAGTGCTCTTTTGGTCCTTCTTGCTTCCATGGCTCTCTGATAGCTTTACTATAATATGGCTGTAATACACCATTTTTTTCTCATTTTTATTAGTGAGAGGATTTGCCTTCCATAGACTACTTCATCCTACTTACAAGAAAAATTAAAGCTCTTTCTTGTGAAATAAGCCAATATTTGGTTCCACTATAGCTTCATGTTGACCTTAGAATAACTCAATAATAGTGAGAAAGCAAAGAAGAAAGAACACTCAAATCTCAAAGTGTTTTTAACTCAATTTTACAACACATACAATTTTCCTGTCTCCTTCAATTATAAAGTTCTTATGTCAACTGGTTTCGGCAAAATAATCCATTTCAGGCAGCCCTATTTCTGTCATTATCTGAGTCTAGCATAGATGTTAATACCATTTCTGCCCAATGACTTAAGGCTAATTGTCTTCTTTGGAGAATCTTGTATTCAACAGAACTAATAACACTTCCATTTAGCGTACAAAATATATTTACTATAAAATTTCTGAACCACTATGCGTCAATATTAAGCATACATTTGTAGCTGTAGAGTTTCCAAGACTCAAATCTGTATAATTTGTCTCCTAATCTAAATCCTTTTTACACAGAGAGCAGTCCATTTGACAATCAAATGTTGGGATCTATTTATCTTCTTTTACCTTTTAGTTAAGGCAAAACAAGAGAATACAAGGCATGAGGTCTTTTCATCATTGTGTACCTAAAAGATCATAGAGAAGTAAAGCAGTGTGTGGAATGGGTTTTGAAAAAACGAAACGTTACTAAAAAGTGTGTTTTATGACAACAACCTGTACAGCTGGAAGATTCAAAATTAACTCTAAGACCAACATAAACTTGGAGCATAATAAGAATAATCAAAGAAAAAATGATTTAACATTTCTTCCCAATACAAATATGAAACAAAGGTGAATTGCTGCATAGCATAATGTAGGCAGAAATAAATTATATGTCCAATTTCCCAAGAGAAAGATAAAGTGGTATTTGAGGTATTTTAAAATGGCACATTGTACATTGACTTTGAAGATATTATTCCAAAGTTCTAATAATAGAGAAAAATCCATTTCATTTGGGCTTCAGTTAAATGTGTTTTGATGTAATAATACATTAGCATAATATTCTAATATTTTAAATTATGACTTCAGGTCATGACTAATTAATCTATGGGGTTTTATTAGACTCTGATAAACCCTAGAAATAGTTGGTAAAAAGAAAAATGATGTTTTAATGACTATTTTAAAGCAGTTTAGTCTTTAAAAAGAAATCTGACTCTAAAAGTTCAAAATTAAAATTAAAGCCTGATTTAATGTTTAACTTCTTGCATTTGTTTGGACTGACAATTAATAGAGACATCTAAATAAGTGGGTGCAAGGAGACTTATTTATAAAGCATCACAGTTTTTATATTGACAATTTTCTTCAATTTAGAATTCACAAAAAGGTGAGATTTTAATTTTTCTGGATCATAGAACATTGACATCTCTACCTAGAAATATCTTTGCATATTTTCTATACCTAATAAATGTTGGCAAAACTGAGCTACCCAAAATAAACAATATAAACACAGGTTCTAAGTTCATCTAATTCATCAGTTCATCTAATGCAACATATGAGTATATTTAAAGACAAAGTGTAGAATTGCAACTTTCCAAAAAGAATGACTATAATGAATACACCTAAATATAGTATATTCTCCCAAGAGAATATAAACATAAACTACAAATCCACCGTGCAAAAAGATGTAGAATGTCAGGATCAGTTAGTTTATTCCACAACAGAAATGGAGCAGTAGGAAAATTACAAAATAGGACAACATGACTTTCCAGAATAAACAAAGTTTTTATGGAATTTATTCATTTATTCATTATAATAAAAATCAAAAGATAATTCATGAAATTCTTCAGTTTGGCTGCAGCTTGAATTTTAATTCTAACCCAGTTTTCACTAGTTGGTATTAAATTAAGTCAAGATAATTTTTTTAAAATACTATGAATTATGTACCCACTAACGTGTTAGCTCAGAGACCAACATAACTTTTCTATGGATCATGATCTAAGGATGGCTTTTGACATTTTTAAATGGTTGAAGAAAATCAAAAGAAGAATCATATTTTGTGACACATAAAAATTAGATGACAATCAAATTTCAGAGCCCATTAATAAAGTTTTATTGAAATACAGAGTGAGATCAGATATTGGGAACAGTTTGAGCACTTATCCTAGTCAATGATTAAATGTTGGAGAGATAATATTTTGGTTATATTGAGTTAAATAAAATAGATTATGAAAATTAATTACACATTTTTATTTTAATACAGTTATTAAATAATTTAATATGACATATGTGTCTCATATTATATTTCTATTAGACGAGGCTGCCTTGAAGATTGGTCTCACTAATGATGTACCAGAGAGGCGTAAATAAGACCTTTATGTCTCTATTAATAAGATAAACTGATCAATACCACAGAATAATTTTCAGATCCTGCAAGAGATTGGAGTTAACTTATACCAACAGTAACAGAGAACATGACAACATGATAAATGATGGTATCAGGAATATAGGGCCTATCCAATTCAAAGCCCCTACTGCCCCTAATTCTCCAATTTCTTTTTCCTTAAGAATTGACAACACTGCAAGATTCAATATTTTTGGAAAAGATTAATGTAGTGGCTTTAGATAACTCATACCTAGCATCAACCAAAACATCCATTATATCATCATTGTGTTTTAAGCTACCAAATACTTTCTTCACAGAAAATTTTACTTCAAAATCAAAATCATTATAAAAGCACAATAACTCTGATTAAAGTTGGGTATGTGTCCTTAATGTCTGTTTACGCAGGTTTCCTCACACTCATCCCAGCCTTAAGATAGCTTAAGAGAACCATGCAGATACATTCGGAAAGAAAAGAATGTGAACACAGAGTTAAGCCTGAATGTGAATGTGTTGAAGTCTTTCCATTAGTGTTTCATTGTCATGAAATCAATGGCTATTTTTTAACTTAATAAATAAAATTCAGCACTGAATCTTTTTGAGAATAGCTCTCAAACTATATACTAAGTATGTAAATGAAAATAAGAGGGCCAGGCACGGTGACTCATACCTGTCATCCCAGCACTGTGGGAGGCCATGGTGGGCAAATCGCTTGAGCCCAGGAGTTTGAGACCAGACTGGGTACATAGTGAGACTCCATCTCTACAAAAAGCAGTAAAACATTATTAAGTTGGTGCAAAAGTAACTGCAGTTTTTGCCATTATTTTTAATGGCTGGTCATGGTGGTGCACACCTGTAGTCCCAGCTACTCCAGAGGCTGAGGCAGGAGGATGGTTTGAGCCCTTGAGGTCTAGGCTACAGACAGCTATGATCATGCTACTCACTCCAGTCTAGGTGACAAGTCAAGACACTGTCTAAAAAATTTATATATTTATATATTTTACATCTCTTCTAGTCTATTAATATTATACCACAGGCTAAAACCAACATTAGACAGAGGCAGTTGGTAGAAAAATGATTTTATTGCCAGGAAGTTAAATCTGAGTTATCTGAGAAAATATTTTAATTATGCAGAAGAGGGAGTCAATAGGCTAGCTGATGATCTTCTGAGGAGCAACTGGTAGATTTTGTTCAAGATTTTCTACTGTAGAAAAACTTCCTACCATAACCAGATTATATAGCCTAAGGAATTAGCTATGGGGTAAAGGGATTTAAAGTCAACTTCTCTTCTTGTGCATTAAAATTAAATCTCACATTATCAGCTGATTTATTGATAACTATCTTCAATGCTGCAGCTTTCTAACTTGATACTGTTAGATAGGGTTTCAGACTAGGAGGACTTTTTTTAATAAATAATTCATGAATATGTCAAACACTCTTTACAAACCTCAGGAGGAATTTTCTTTTAGAGATGTTATCTGGAAACCCAATAAACAGGCACATATATTAGGAAAAGACTACAATTCTTACTTTGGACACAGCAACCAATTTCTCATGCCCTGGTAGTTCCAATTTGTATTGGATGAAATTCCTGGTGAGATGATTAAGCAGTTTCCCGTATATTCCTTCCTTATTCTTGGAGATGACATTATGAGTATACATATGAGCATTAGAATTTAATTATAGGAAACGTGGATATTATTTCATCCAACATCAATTAAGCACATTTTAGCAAGTGCCCTAGAAACTAGAAACAGAGAAATTGTTAGGTCCTAGTCTATGTCATAGAAGAATGGCTCAATTTGGGAGAAAAGCCCATTGCATGCTTACGTGATAGTTTAAGCATGGATATGAATATATTTTCTTTTACTTTCCATCCAAGTTTTATGAAAATAGAAAAATGCACCTTATTTTATCCTACAATGGAAGTCATAAATGCTGTCTTTTCTGTTTGTCATGCCTATAGGAAGTTGACTGGAGCTAAGAATGTGAGTATGTGGGCAAAATTATTGTAGTAGAAATATAGATAATATAGTATTGGGAGGAATTTTAAGAGGTAATATGCTACAAAGTATACTAACTGTCTTTATAAATTTGTATTTGTATGGTTATGGCTATCTTTTCTCTTGATGATCCATGAGTATATAGCTAAAAGATAAATCATATAACTTAAAAATCACAAAACCAAATACTGGAAAAAAATACATATCTTCTACACGATCTGTAGAATTCTCTCATTTTAAATACTTTACTATATAGGTTGGTGGTGGAGGTAGTAAAATATAAACAACAATATGGTTGGGAAAAATAAAGATGAGTGAGAGCATGCATCTTTTTAATGAATTTTTCAGGTCACTGATCAAGATTATTGATAAAGATTTTGAAAACTACTCATGGCAGTCAACCTGCTACTAACACCTTGATCTGAAGACAAGTGAGCTTGCGCTTGGATAACTTCTTTATTTCATGTATACCAAGTCCTCCTTGGAATGTCAAATCCTGAATGCTCACAATTTTATGACAAGTATATAGATATTTCTGCCCAAGTTATTTCTTATCTTCTTCATCTAAAACTGCTCTGGATTATCTTTGTTGAAATTGAATAGTTTTGTCACCCCATTCCATTTAATAGTTTTGAGCAACAAATGGAAAAAACAATTTGGGGAAAATAACTAACCTTTTGCTACAAACCACTTTCAGGCTGATGATATTCAATGTTAAGTTCTGTCAGAACCCAACAAACAATCTAACTGACTTTTTCATCTTCTGAAATTCTTCTGAAGGATTGTATGTGGCCTACTTCTGATCAACTTTCTATTATGCTGAAATTTCCTAAATATCCTCTGTTTGGGAACCAGTACAAAAATGTTTGCTATAAAAAATTCTGAGAATATAAGAGATTAAAAATGCGTAGAGTCTTTGATCTCACAAGCAAAATAAAATATATCTATTTAAGCAGGGTTTTTATATTTAAAAATAAGTTTTAAAGTAGAAATTTTAAAGTCATTTCTATTTATGAGACAGTCACCTGAGATAACGTAAAAATTAGAAAATATTTTTAAAAGTATCTGTGGTCATTGACTTAAACCAGGAGACTTGATGAAGTTGAAAAAATATAAAATTTCATATCTGCTGGATAATGGGCACAGACTGTATAAGTCAATTAACTTTCTGAGATTTAGGCTCATTTCCTTATTGCTTTCAGGAGATAACACCAATGTCATGTGTTGTTTATTAGATTTCAGGCAATTTAGAAATTTGAGACATATTACTTGGAAAGTTAAACAAAACAATTATCCCCAGTTAGCTGACTTTTATTCTACTAGTACTAACTGTAAATGAGATGGAATTTTAATGTTGTATCTTTTTGATGACTATTTAGATGCCACATTTTCCTTAAGATTTTCCCTGGCTCCCCTTATACACAAGTTATTGCTGCTTTATTAAATCCCACAAATCCTCTTTAAAATATTACTATGTGGTACTTCACTAAGGATATAAACATGAGAAACTCCTTGTCCTCCACTCTCCCATAAGAAATTACTTGTATTTTCTTTCAGCACTCAAATTATTCTGTCTGTGACTCCCATTAGTTTCTAATGAAAGACTCTTGTTTTATTCATTTCTTTCTCTGCAGCACCCTGTTGAATGCCCAGCTTAGATAATTTGATGAATGGGATTTTTGAAATAAAGTATATTCCTTTATGTGAAAATTTAATATCTATTGCCTATTAAAGAATATCACTTTCTGTTTTTCCCCTGAAGCGGTTTTCTAACATCAGAGATTCAGTGTAATCAGTATAGGAAATGAGTAATCAGTATAGGAAAGAGTAGTGGAGAGAAAAAATAGGGAATCTGGCAACTGCTTTCCTGTAAATTTAATATAATGTAAACCATGGCTGTCTCTTTACCCTGTATCTATACACTTTGGCACAGAATTTGGCTCATAATGGATGTTAACAGTGTTTTTCTTAGCCAGTTGAGAAAAAGGGGGAAATATAGGTGGAGTTAGTGGTCCACCCATCACTTGATGTGTGATTCAGCATCTATTGTTTAACCTTCACAGCTGTGTTCCATGTTCTGGAAGGGATTTGATTTTTATAGCAAGGTGATGTGAAGATTACCAGGGAGAAATGTTTATAAAAATGCCTAGTAAATTGTGAATCATTAAACCATTACATAAATATTAATATAATCTTAAAATATAAAACATTTGTGTTTTTTAATTGCCTTACATAAAAAGAAAAACAAAATGAAACAAATGCTCTTTATCTATTACATATCTCAATTATATAGTAGAATATTTGAATTTCCTTTCCTTCCCTTTTTTCCATAATACTATTGGTTTTACTGAATTTCAGCTACTCAAATTACAGTTTTGCATCCTGATGTCTTAATAATTCAAAAGGTAATTAACATTTTTGTTCAAAAGAACTTTCATTTCTTAGCCAGAGTAGCAGATGTAAACCTCAAAACATTTTTAGTGTAATTTTTAGTTAACTGTTTGAGTTATGTTAATAGAAGTCTCAATAACTAAAAGAAATGCAGTCCAAATGGGAAGAAGGAAGAAGAAAGGAAATCAAATTTTGTTTGCAGACAACATGATCCTATATGTAGAAAACCCCATTGACTCAGCCCAAAAGCTTCTTAAGCTGATAAGCAACTTCAGCAAAGTCTTGGGATACAAAATCAATGTGCAGCAATCACAAGCATTTCCATACACCAGCAAGACAAGCAGACAGCCAAATCATGAATGAACTCCTATTCACAATTGCCACAAAGAGAATAAAATACATGGGAATACAGGCAACAAGGGGAAGTGAAGGACCTCTTCAAGGAGAACTACAAACCACCGCTCAAGGAAATCAGACAGGAAACAAACAAACGGGAAAAAATTCCATGCTGATGGATAGGAAGTCAGTATCATGAAAATGGCCATACTGCCCAAAGCAATTTGTTGACTCAATGCTATTCCCATTAAATTACCATTAACATTCTTCACAGAATTAGGAAAAAAAACTATTTTAAAATTCATATGAGACTGGGAGCAATGGCTCAGGCCTGTAATCCCAGCACTTTGGGAGGCCGAGGTGGGCAGATCAAAAGGTCAGGAGTTTGAGACCAGTCTTGCCAATATGGTGAAACCCTGTCTCTACTAAAAATACACAAATTAGCTGGGCATGGTGGCGTGCCTGTAGTCTCACCTACTTAAGAGGCTGAGGCAAAAGAATCGCTTGAACACGGGAGGTGGAGGATGCAGTGAGCTGAGATTGTGTCACTGCACTCCAACTCCAGCTTGGGAGACAGAGTTAGACTAGTCTCAAAAGAAAAAAAAAATTATATGAAACCAAAAGAGAGGTCATATAGCCAGAACAACCCTAAGCAAAAAGAACAAAGCTGGAGGCATCAAGCTACCTGACTTCAAACTATACTAAAAGGCTGCAGTAACCAAAACAGCATAGTACTGTTACAAAAACAGTCATATAGGCCAATGGAACAGAATAGAGAACTCAGAAATAAAACCACACACCTACAACCATCTGATCTTAAAAAGAATCCTGACAAAAACAAGCAATGGGGAAAGGATTTTCTGTTTAATAAATGATGCTGGGAGAACTGGCTAGCCATATGCAGAAAATTGAAACTGGGCCCCTTCCTTATACTTTATACAAAAATTAACTCAAGATGGCCTAAAGACTTAAATGTAAAACACAAAAATATAAAAACCCTGGAAAAACTCTAGGCAGTACCATTCAGGACATAGGTCTGGGCAATGATTTTATGATGAAATCACCAAAAGCAATTGCAAAAAAAGCAAACATTGACAAATGAGATATTATTAAACTAAAGAGCTTCTGCACAGCAGAAACAATTATCATCAGAGTGAACAGACAACCTACAGAATGTGAGAAAACTTTTACAATCTCTCCGTCTGACAAAGGTCTAACATCCAGAACCTACAAAGAACTTAAGCAAATTTGAAGGAAAAAAACAACCTCATTAAAAAGTGAGCAAAGTACATTAACAGACACTTCTCAAAAGAAGACATAAATGTGGCCAAAAAACATGAAAAAAAGTTCAACATTGGAGAGTTCCAAGATGGCTGAATAGGAACATCTCTGGTATGCAGCTCCCAGTGTGATTGACGCAGAAGACGGGTCATTTCTGCATTTCCAACTGAGGTACCTGATTCATCTCATTGGGACTGGTCGGAAAGTGGGTGCAGCCCACAGAGGATGAGCCGAAGCAGGGCAGGGCATCACTTCACCTGAGAAGTGCAAGGGGTCAGGGGATTTCCTTTTCCTAGCCAAGGGAAGCCATGACAGAAGATACCAGGAAAATCGGGACACTGCCACCTAAACACTGCACTTTTCCAATGGTCTTAGCAAACAGCACACCAGGAGATTATATCCCACCTGGCTCAGTGGGTCCCTATGCCCAAGGAGCCTTGCTCACTCCTAGTCCAAGATTGAACTGCGAGGCAGCAAGCCTGGCTGGGGAAAGGGTGTCTGGAGGCCCATCTGCCTCTGTAGACTCCATCTCTGGGGACAGGGCATAGCTGAACAAAAGGCAGCAGAAACTTCTGCAGACTTAAACGTCCCTGTCTGACAGCGCTGAGGAGAGCAGTGGTTCTCCCAGCATGGTGTTTGAGCTCTGAGAATGGACAGAATGCCTCCTCAAATGGGTCCCTGATCCCCATGTAGCCTAACTGGGAGACACCTCCCAGTATAGGCCAACTGACACCTCATACAGACAGGTGCCCCTCTGAGATGAAGCTTCCAGAGGAAGGATCAGGCAGCAATATTTGCTGTTCTGCATTATTTGCTGTTCTGCCACCTCCACTGGTGAAACCCAGGCAAACGGGGTCTGGAGTGGACCTCCAGCAATCTCCTAGAGACCTGCAGCTAAGGGATCTGACTGTTAGAAGGAAAACTAACAAACAGAAAGGAATAGCACCAACATCAACAAAAAGGACATCCACACCAAAACCCCATCTGTAGGTCACCATCATCAAACACCAAAGGTAGAAAAAACCACAAAGATGGGGAGAAACCAGAGCAGAAAAGCTGAAAATTCTAAAAACCAGAGCACCCCTTCTCCTCCAAAGGATTGCAGCTTGTCGCCAGCAACAGAACAAAGCAGGACAGAGAATGACTTTGACAAGTTGACAGAAGTAGGCTTCAGAAAGTCAGTAATAACAAATTTCTCCTAGCTAAAAGAGGATGTTCGAACCCATCGCAAGGAAGCTAAAAATTTTGAAAAAAGATTAGACGAATGGCTAACTAGAATAAACAGTGTAGAGAAGACCTCAAATGACCTGTTGGAGCTGAAAACCATGGCACGAGAACTACAAGATGCATGCACAAGCTTCAATAGCCGATTCAATCAAGTGGAAGAAAGGGTATTAGTGATTGAAGATCAAATTAATGAAATGAAGTCAGAAGAGAAGTTTAGAGAAAAAAAGAGTAAAAAGAAACAAACAAAACCTCCAAGAAATATGGGACTATGTGAAAAGACCAAATCTACGTCTGATTGGTGTACCTGAAAGTGACGGGGAGAATGGAACCAAGCTAGAAAACACTCTTCAGGGTATTATCCAGGAGAACTTCCCCAACATAGCAAGGAAGGCCAACATTCAAATTCAGGAAATACAGAGAACACCACAAAGATACTCCTCGAGAAGAGCAACCCCAAGACACATAATTGTCAGATTCGCCAAGGTTGAAATGAAGGAAAAAATGCTAAGGGCAGCCAGAAAGAAAGCTCGAGTTACCCACAAAGGGAAGCCCATCAGACTAACAGCAGATCTCTCAGCAGAAAACCTACAAGCTAGAAGAGAGTGGGGGCCAATATTCAACATTCTTAAAGAAAAGAATTTTCCACCGAGAATTTCATATCCAGCCAAACTAAGCTTCATAAGTGAAGGAGAAATAAAATCCTTTACAGGCAGGCAAATGCTGAGAGATTTTGTCACCACCAGGCCTGCCTTACAAGACCTCCTGAAGGAAGCACTAAATATGGAAAGGAACAACCAGTACCAGCCACTGCAAAAACATGCCAAATTGTAAAGACCATCAATTCTAAGAAGAAACTGCATCAACTAATGAGCAAAATAACCAGCTAATGTCATAATGACAGGATCAAATTCACACATAACAATATTAACCTTAAATGTAAATGGGCTAAATACCCCAATTAAAAGACACAGACTGGCAAATTGGATAAAGAATCAAGACCCATCAGTATGCTGTATTCAGGAGACCCATCTCACGTGCAGAGACACACATAGGCTCAAAATAAAGGGATGGAGGAAGATCTACCAAACAAATGGAAAGCAAAAAACAAGCAGGGGTTGCAATCCTAGTCTCTGATAAAACAGACTTTAAACCAACAAAGATCAAAAGAGGCAAAGAAGGCCATTACATAATGGTAAAGGTATCAATTCAACAAGAACAGCTAACTATCCTAAATATATATGCACCCAATACAGGAGCACCCAGATTCATAAAGCAAGTCCTTAGAGACCTGAAAAGAGACTTAGACTCCCACACAATAATAATGGAGACTTTAACACCCCACTTTCAATATTAGACAGATCAAAGAGACAGAAGGTTAACAAGGATATCCAGGACTTGAACTCAGCTCTGCACCTAGCCGACCTAATAGACATCTACAGAACTCTCCACCCCAAATCAACAGAATATACATTCTTCTCAGCACCACATCACACTTATTCCAAAATTGACCACATAGTTGGAAGTAAAGCACACCTCAGGAAATGTAAAAGAACAGAAATCACAACAAACTGTCTCTCAGACCACAGTGCAATCAAATTAGAATTCAGGATTAAGAAACTCACTCAAAACTGCACAACTACATGGAAACTGAACAATCTGCTCCTGAATAACTACTGGGTAAACAACAAAATGAAGGCAGAAATAAAGATGTTCTTTAAAACCAATGAGAACAAAGACACAACATACCAGAATCTCTGGGACACATTCAAAGCAGTGTGTAGAGGGAAATGTATAGCACTAAATGCCCACAAGAGAAAGCAGGAAAGATCTAAAATCGACACCCTAACATCACAATTAAAGAACTAGAGAAGCAAGAGCAAACACATTCAAAAGCTAGAAGAAGGGAAGAAATAAGTAAGATCAGAACACAGCTGAAGGAGATAGAGACACAAAAAAACCCTTCAAAAAATCAATGAATCCAGGAGGTGGTTTTTTGAAAAGATTAACAAAACTGATAGACCACTAGCAAGACTAATAAAGAAGAAAAGAGAGAAGAATCAAATAGACACAATAAAAAATGATAAAGGGGATATCATTACCGATCCCACAGAAATACAAACTACCATCAGAGAATACTATAAACACATCTATGCAAATAAACTAGAAAATCTAGAAGAAATGGATAAATTCCTGGACACTTATACCCTCCCAAGACTAAACCAGGAAAAAGTTGAATTGCTGAATAGACCAATAACAGACTCTGAAATTGAGTCAATAATCAATAGCCTACCAACCAAAAAATGTCCAGGACCAGATGGATTCACAGCTGAATTCTACCAGAGGTACAAAGAGGAGCTGGTACCATTCCTTCTGAAACTATTTCAATCAATAGAAAAAGAGGGAATCTTCCCTAACTCATTTTATGAGGCCAACATCATTCTGATACCAAAGCCTGGCAGAGATACAACAAAAAAAGAGAATTTTAGACCAATATCCCTGATGGACATCAATGGGAAAATCCTCAATAAATACTGGCAAATCAAATCCAGCAGCACATCAAAAAGCTTATCCACCATAATCAAGTTGGCTTCATCCCTGGGATGCAAGGCTGGTTCAACATATGCAAATCAATAAATATAATCCATCACATAAACAGAACCAAAGACAAAAACCACATGATTATCTCAATAGATGCAGAAAGGGCCTTCGACAAAATTCAACAGCCCTTCTTGCTAAAAACTCTCAATTAACTAGGTATTGATGGAACGTATCTGAAAATAATAAGAGCTATTTATGACAAACCCACAGCCAGTATCATACTGAATGGGCAAAAACTGGAAGCATTCCCTTTGAAAACTGGCACAAGACAGGGATGCCCCATCTCACCACTCCTATTCAACATAGTGTTGGAAGTTCTGGCCAGGGCAATCAGGCTAGAGAAAAAAATAAAGGGTATTCAATTAGGAAAAGAGGAAGTCAAATTGTCCCTGTTTGCAGATGACATGATTGTATATTTAGAAAACCCCATCATCTCAGCCCCAAATCTCCTTAAGCTGATAAACAACTTCAGCAAAGTCTCAGGATAAAAATCAATGTGCAAAAATCATAAGAGGTAGGATGGAAAAGAAGAGATATCTGATGACTAGAGGCTGAGAGGAGGTTCCTGGGAGAAGAGATGGTTGATGAGGCTTTTTCTGGAGAAATTCTGAGTTTTTATGGGTAAAATTTTTTTGTCCCCAAAAATCTTCAGGAATAAAGGCAAATGTCTCATTGGAAAAAAAAAAAAAAAGCTCAACATCACTGATGATTAGAGAAATGCTAATCAAAACGACAATGAGATACCATCTCATGCCAGTCAGAATGGTGATTATTAAAATGTCAAGAAACAACAGATACTGGCAAGGTTGTGGAGAAATAGGAACACTTTTACACTCTTGGTAGAAATGTAAATTAGTTCAACCATTGTGGGAGACAGTATGGCGATTCCTCAAAGATTTAGAACCAGAAATACCATTTGAGCCAGCAATCTCATTATTGAGTATATACCTAAAGGAATATGTCATTTTATTATAAAGATACATGCATGTGTATGTTCATTGCAGCGCTATTCACAACAACAAAGACATGGAATCAACCGAAATGTCCATCAATGATAGACTGGATTAAGAAAATATGGTTCATATACACCACGGGATACTATGCAGCCATAAAAAGGAATGAGATCATGTCCTTTGGAGGGACATGTATAAAACTGGACACCATTATCCTCAGGAGACTAACGCAGGAATAGAAAACTAAACACCATATGTTCTCACTTATAAGTGGGAGCTGAACAATGAGAACACATAGACACAGGGAGGGGAACAGTGCATGCTGTGGACTGTTGGGGGAGGAGAGGGAGAACATTAGGAAAAATAGCTAATGCATGCTGGGCTTAATACCTAGATGATGGATTGATAGGTACAGAAAACCACTATGTTTACCTATATAACAAAACCTGCACATCCTGCACATATACCATGGAACTTAAAATAAAATAAAGTGAAAGAGAAGAAATGTAAAAGTTTTAGTTTATCAAAATGTTTCAAGTTTTATCCTATATATTGAAATGTATCATCACAAGTTGTCTACTACATGAAGAATTAATAATCTATGTTTTAATTTGCCTATTTTTATGACTCTATGTAATATTCACTCTTTATTAGGATAGGGGTTACCTAAAATTTTCTACCATGATTCTTCATTTGACTTTGAAAAAATCAATTGCACTCATATCCTAAGTTACCCAATTTCCATAAAATAATAAAATACGATGTTCAAACATAAGCCTGAATAGAAATCCTAGATGTTTTTGTCTTTATCTGTCCTCCCTTTGCCACGTATGTACATGAATATTCTTAGGGATAGTCATAAGTTTAATATCACTAAAAATTCCCAATATTTAGTACTATTAACTTTTTACTGTCAAAAGTCTGAGGAGGCCCTCAACATTTACCAACACAAATTTAGGTTTTAAAAATGTCAAAAGTATCGAATATTTATTGAGTGCCTAATAAGTCTCATCACCTGAGTTATAGTTAGCAAATGTAAGTAACAAACTGTTTTGTTTTTGTGTGTAATGTCCACTCGCAGTAAAAGCGAGGGTTGCAATAAGGTACGAAATGCTAATTCCCATAGGAATCTTTCCTTATATAAAGATGTCTTTAAACTTTCTGGTACATTAAGGGAAAGTTAATCTTTTCTTATGATCATCTATGACAAATCAAAGCAACCTTTATCCTCTTTGCATTCTAGCAAATATGTCTTTCCCTTTTAGTGCCAGATTGAAGAACATACAATATTGAAGTTTTCTATATACAAACAAGAAAATAACAAAGATAATAATAAAAATTTGGCTTGGTTAGTAAAGTAATTGGGATGAAAATTCAAACAGGCTATCCAAGGTCTTATTAAACAAAGTCCTTTTCATATAAAGCTTTCATAATGTAAAAAAATCAAGTAACGTATGACCCTGTGAATTGAGGCCATTTCATTATATATAGAGATGGAAGATTTGTGGGTTATCTTATGTATGTTATGAATTTTTTGAACGACATAATGGAGGCTTAGATTTAGCTTGACAATTTGGAGGCTCACATGTCAAATTCAACTGAATTGTCTGGCTTCATAAGTCAAATTCAACTGAATCTTCTGTGTTTTGATGTATACCAATTTCTGACCGAGCCTTGGCAAATACTCCTCATGTGGTGCAATTGCAAGGATTCTAGCCAAATAAATTATCCAGTGAAAACATTTCCCTCCAGAGCAAATTAAGGTCCTTTCTGAATAGTATCCTCTGTCTTTGAAAAATTTACTCATCTTTCCTTGACCGAATATTGTTGTGTGACTACTGTCAGGTTCTAGGCACTGTTCTAAGCACTGGAAGCCAGCAGTCAACAAAAAAAGGAAAACCTCTGCCATCATAAGGATTGTATTTTAATGGGGGAGACAGACAGTAAACAAATAAGTAAGTAAAAGGTATTTTATGTTAGATCATAATAAATGCTGAAAAGGACAAATAAAGCAGGTGATATGGTTTGGCTCTGTGTCTCCGCCCAAATTTCATCTTGAATTGTCCATAATTCCCATGTGTTGTGGGAGGGACCAGGTGAGAGATAAATGAATCATGGGGGCTGTTTCCCTCATACTGTTCTCATGGTAGTGAATAAGTCTCACGAGATCTGATGGTTTCATCAGGGGTTTCTGCTTTTGCGTCTTCCTCATTCTCTCTTTGTCTGCTGTCATCCCTGTAAGACGGGACTTGCTCCTCTTTGCCTTACACCATGATTGTGAGGCTTCCCCAGTCACGTGGAACTGTAAGTCCAATTAAACCTCTTTCTTTTGTGAATTGCCCAGTCTCAGGTATGTCTTTATCAGTAGCGTGAAAACAAACTAATGCAGCAGAAAAGAGGGGATAGATAGGTAGCGTCAGATACATTTGTGAAACTTCAGAGTTGGTTAGAGGAAGTCTCACTGAAAATTTAACATTAAGGTGAAGGCTTGAAGTAAGTGAAGGAGAAAACCATTTGAATATCTAAAGGAAGAAAATATCAAAAGAAGAAAAGAACAGGGGCAAAGGTCCTGAAGCACATGTATGTCCAACAAGCTGGAGAAAAAGCAAGGAAGCTAATGTGACTGATGTAGCATGAATGAGAGGAGAGTAGTAGGAGTGGAGAGTTGGAAAAGGAAGGACGTGCTGAAGAATTATGCAGATGCTTAGGGTTATTGTTTAGAATTTTTATTGTATTCTGAGAACAGCAGAAACCACTTGAAAGTTTTGAGTATGACTGACATGATCTGGCTTGGATTTAAACAAGATTCTTTTCATGATATGGGGCAAATAGAATGAAAGAAAGCAAGAGTAGAAGAAGGGATGCCAGGTAAGTGGCTACTGAAATAGTGCATGGGAGAGAGGATAGTGACCCAGACCAGGGTGGAAGCAAAGCTAAAAGGACTTGAGGAATGATTGAATGAGACAAAGAGAAGTGTCATGGGAGACATCAAATGGTAGAGTGAAAATGCAAATAGGTTAAGCAAATGGAAACATGGAAATGTCATTCATCAGATGAGAAAGAATGTAGGTGAAATAGGTTTGAGTGAGGATGAGGATATATTAGGAAATCAGTTTAAGAAGTCTCATTAGATATTCAAGATGTGTTTACTTGGCAATTAATATGTGGGCCCAAATTTCATGTGAGAAGTCTGGGTTGAAGACATAAATCTGGGATTCATCAGCATATAGAAAGTGTTTAAAATGATAAGTAATTAGAGCACAAAGGAAATGAATGTAGATATTTTAATAAAGAAATGTATATATAAAGGTGGAATTCTTTCATCTGAAGGTTCTAGCAGATAAAAACAAACAAGAAAAGAGTGGAATTTCTGGGTCATATAGTAACAGATTTAATCATTTGAGGAATTACTAGACTCTTTGCCAAAGCAGCTCTAGATAGGGAGGTAATGTATTACATAATACATTAATCCTCACATATTAGCAATGTGAGGATTCTGAATCTCCACGTCATCTGCAATACTTATTACTGTCCTCCCCAATACTTATTATTATCTGTCTTTTTGATCATAGTGGTGTGTGAAGTGGTATTTCATTGTTATTTTGATATGCATTTGCCTGATAATTAGTGAAGTTGAAAATTATGTCATGTGCTGACTGGCCATTTGTATATCTTCTTTGCAGAAATATCAATTCAAATACTTCATCCATTTGTAATTGGGTTGTTTGTTTTTCATTGATGAATTGTAAGAGTTTCTCATATATTCTCAATACAATTTTTTATCAGATATAATTTGCAAATATTTTGTTCCATTCTGTAATTCTTTTTTTCACTTTATTGATGGTGTCCTTTGAAACATGAAAGTCTTAATTTGATAAAAATTAAATTTTTCTGGTGTTTCTCTTTTGTTGCTTATACTTTGGGTATTCTAAGAATCCTTTGCCAAATCCAAGGTCATGAAGATTTTCTCGATGTTTTATTTCAAAACTTTTATAATTTTAGCTCTTACATTTAGACTTTTGATTAACTTTGAGTTAATTTTTATGACTGGTAAGAGGTAAGAGACTGATTTTATTCTTTTGCATTTGGCTATCCATTTGTTCCAACATTCCTAGTTGATATAACAATTGTTTCCCAATTAGATGGTCTTGACACTCTTGTCAAAAATCAGTTAATGATATTCTAGACATAAATTCAAGGTAAATGAAAACATACCATTCATAATAGCCAAAAGATAGGAACCCAGATGTCCATCAACAGGTGAATGAATGAACAAAATGTGGTATATCCATGCAATGGAATATTATTCAGTGATAAAAAGAAATGAATTACTGATACATAATACCACATAGATGAACCTTGAAAACATTAGGCTAAGTGAAATAAGGTAGTTACAAAAATCACATATTGTATGAGTCTGTCTATATGAAATGCCCAAAACAGGGCAATGTTTACCTACAAAAAGTTGCTTAGCTCTGGGGGCTGGAGGAGAGAGTAGCAGAGAGTTAGCTAAAGAGGACGTGGTTTATTTTGAAGTGATGATGTTCTTATTTTTTAAGTGTTCTAAATGTTTCTAAAATTGACTAGTGATGGTTGCATCTATGTGTGAATATAATAAAAACAATTAAATTATAAAATTTAATGGGTGAATTGTATGGTATGTGAATTATATCTTAATAACATTGTTTAAAAGAAAAAAAGGTCTGAGAAACAGCTAACGTTGACTGGCCAAGAAGGGAGGCAGAAACAGTGGAGAAAAACTGAAAGAAGCTGCTAAAGAGGAAGGCACTGATAATAGTTTAGAAGCCAAGTGGGGAAAAAATGTTCCAAGCCAAGTGGGGAAAAAATGTTCCAATGTGTCAAATGTCAAATGTAATTGCTAATATAATTATGACATTTTACATTCTTTCATAGGTTAAATAAGGAAAGATTAAAAAATTGACCATTGGATTTAGCCCAAGGAAGGTTATTGACTTGACAATAGCCAATTTGTTGCATGGGGGAGCAAAAATCTGATTATAGTCAGTTCAACAGAAAAAAGAAAGGAAGAATTTACTGTCATTGAGTAAAGACAACTCTTTCAAGGACTTCTGCTATTATTTTTTTAAGAGAGAAATAGGAAAATACCTAGAGTAAATTAAAATCTAGAGTTTTTTATTATTTATTTATTTATTTTGAGATGGAGTTTCACTCTTGTTGCCCAGGCTGGAGTACAAAGGCTCAATCTCAGCTCACTGCAACCTCCGCCTTCTGGGTCTAAGTGATTCTCCAGCCTCAGCCTCCCGAATAGCTGGGATTACAGGTAGCTCCCACCACATTTGGCTAATATTTTGTATTTTTAGTAAAGATGGGGTTTCACAGTGTTAGCTAGGCTGGTCTTGAACTCCTGACGTCAAGTGGTCCACCCGGCTTGGCCTCCCAAAGTGCTGCGATTATAGGCATGAGCCATCACGCCTAGCAGAGACTCTTTATCATGGAAGAAATATCAGCATTTTTTATGCTGATAGAAATGATTTATTAAAGAGAAGAAAAATGATGACATAGGAGAGAGAAAAATGGCTGAAGCATTGTTGTTGAGTGGAGAGAGAGAGGAAACAGTATGTAGACCACAAGTGGACACAAATGTGTTGTGAGTCCTTCCATCTCATTAGAGAAGAACGGAGAGTATGTGAGCAAAAATGCAAACTGGTGTGTACATTTGGTGGTGGTAGGTGCTTATGAAAATTATTTTCTTGTTGCTTTCATTATCTCAAATTCCTTTTGTAAGTTTAAGGGTTAGGGAGTAGTATCAAAGACCTGAAGAAAAAGGAGAATGTATAGAATAGTCCACTAGGAGAGAGGGACAGTGAACGGATGAAGGAAAAATAATATGATTCCCAAGCAACATGAATGGTCTTCTTGAAGTCAGTGGTCATAGATTTTAAAATGAAACAGTCAGCATGGTTGTGTGCTTCTTCCTTCTCCCTGTGTTTATTTGTGCTGGTACAGATATTAGGCAAGCAGGAAGATGGATTGTGGTTTAGTCAAGGGAGGAAGGTGATGCTAGAAAAGATCAAAGGAGTTTAGGGTGATTTAAAGAGTAACTATAATGACTGATGTGGAATTTAAGCTGGATATGAAGATAAATGTGGGAACAAATGGAGTGAAAAACAGTGATGAAGTGGCGGGTCTCCGTATAATCAAAGGATGGTTGGAGCTAGGGCCCTAGAGTAAGTAACATAGAAAGAAAAGAGAAGAGGTGGTAGTCAGAGAGTAGGGGAAAGACATTTTGGAGGGTTAGCAAGATGCTTATTGTTTCTTCATTCTCACATGGATGTGAAAGAAGAAGTGTCTATCACTGGAAAGAGAAATTCCAAAGAAGTAAGGGACAGCCAATGGCCAATGAGAGCAATTTAAATTTAAAAGATCAATCAATCAGAGAATGAGTTGAGGATATAGGTGATTTAGCTAACCGTTACCTTAAGTTTCAGACGGCATAGAGCAAAGGTTTCAGGAAATGGAGAGGAAGGGCAGATTGAAACAGAAAACATAATGTAGAGATTTCTTTGGTGATCTTGGTGACCTAGGATTTATAGGCTGCTTCTGGTGACCAACATGAATAAAGGGGATGCTGAAGTCTGCTCTGGTGATGGTTAGAGATGGCTGTATCAAGACTATGAGTGATGAGGGTCAGGAGGGATGGAGGCTCTTACCAGAAGCACACGTTTCTGAACTTTTGATCGATTCCTGCTGAAGAAGATCTGTGTTTTGCAGACGGAGGCAGGAGGTGAGCAGTGGTGTTATGTCATTCTGAGTCTTTCTAGGCTCTTGTTAGTGGTAGAATGCAGCGAGGTGGCCTTATGAACTCAAAATGGACCTTACCTTTCTAAAACTTGATCTGAAATCTCTGTAAAAGTTGGGTTCCATGACAACTTTCTTTTTATACATAATATTAAAACATTTAACGGATTTTTAATTATTTCTACTTTTTAACTTGCTATTTTGTCAGCCTGATTCCAGGTTTGCATGTAACACCCTCATTTTATAAACTCTCATAATAGAGAATAAAAAGATGAATATATTTTTCTGTAGAGTATGGCAGAACACAAAGTAGGAAGAAACTGCGTAAATGATGTTTGTGTGGACACACCATACCAGCCTACATCTATTTACTCTTCAGAATATATGAAAGATTAAATATTTGTGTGTTTGAGTTGTAATTGCATTTCTGTTACAAGCTGCTGAATGCAATTTTTACCTTACATACCTACAAAAATCTTCACCATTTTCTTTTTTTTGCCATGTTCTCATGATCTCTAGTGATATGTAAATAGTAAAGAAGATACTAAAGTGGTATTCAGTAAGCCTCCTTATTCCCCCTCTACCCCACCACACCCCATGACCATCCCATTTTCCTCTCTCAAGGAATATGGTAAAATTAAGAATTGTGTTTGCCTTTTCCCTTGAAGAAAGAAATAAGCATGTGACTTGCTTTGACCAATGAAATATAAGCAGAAATAACCTTTGTGACTTCTAGAAGTAAATCTTAAAAAGCCAGTGTGTAATTTACCACACACTTTTTTTTTTCTTTTTTCTGCCACATCAGCTTGAGATTATGGACACTTCATTAGCCTGGTTCATTGAGCAAGAATTATGTGCAGGAGAACCCCTAGTGATGGGTATGTAGTAAAGGTAAGAAATAATCTTCATTGTTTTTAAACTTCTGATATCCGGTGTTTATTATTACACCTTGGTGTAGCTTATCCCGTCAGATGCAATGTACTTTCTTGTTTGGTTCCAATCTTAAAGTAAAACACCTACTGTTTCTCCACTCAATGTGCTGTTTTTCTGCATTTCAGAGGTATGTAGTTTAGACATATACTCTTAGCTTTATAATTTATTTTTTATCTATTTCCTTGGTTTTGTTTTGCTGATTTTTAAATTCTTGAACACTTAGTTCATCAGCGTTAATCCTTCTCATTTCTTCACAAATATATTTAAATAAGTTTCCCTTTAAATACTGCTGTGGTTGTGTGTCACAATTTTTGACATACACTCTTTTAAATATCATTCTATTGTAAGTATTTTATATCTTTCCTTAAGATTGTTTCTGTAACATGTGGCTACTTAATAGCATGTTATCTAGTTTCCAATCATAAGATTTGTATAGTTCTTCTTTAGTTATTAGTTTCCAGTATTACCAAATTTTATTGAGAAGAATGTTATATTGTGTTGATTTTCTGAAATATATTAAGGATCATTTTTGTCCTAGTATATGATAAAATTTTGTGAATACTTAAAAAGAGCGTATGGTCTTTGTAGGCTGAGTGTAGAGTTTCTAATCATGTTATTCAGATCTTCTGTTTCTTATTTGGGAATTTGTGGCCTTGATCTGTCAATTTCTGAAAGGGATGTGTTAAACTCTTCAGCTAGAATTGCTGACTTACCTGTTTATCCCCATGATTCAGTCAGTTGCATTCAATATACTCAGAGGCATTAACAGACTATTTCATTCATCTACATTTTTCACTACTCTGCGTCCCTTGAAAGTAGACTGCACTAGCCACTGTAACATTCGAAGTGAGAAATACAAAGCCTGGATATAGTACACCCTTAATTCATCTTTGCTGAACTTGAATAAATGAATATTAATGTAAAATTAATTTTAGAATTTTTCCCATGAGAGTTATATATTTGAACTGATATATCTACATACTTTCTCTAGTATCTTGTAGTGGTATAAAATATTCCTGTGAAGGCAGCGTGTTGACAGGATGATGCCAACTACCTTATAGGAAGATTTAACCTGTAGAAACATTTGTCATGATCTAAGAAAGTCATTTTGATGACTTTATTTAATCATTATTTTCAAACCTGCTTAAGTCAGACATACCAAATAACAAGACAAATATTTTAATAAACATTCTAGAATCTGAGTCTAGCAATCTTATTACAAATTAAGATTTTTTTAAGCCTTGGTTTTAATTACCTTTCATCAGTATAATACTCAAGGATAAATTCTGTCACATTACTTTACAGATACACTTTCTTTATGAGCCAAGACAGAGCATGAACTTGATTTTTAAACATTTATTAAGCATCTACTACATACATAGTAAGTAATTTAGTCAAAATTTCTGCTCGCCTATATCACACACTTAGAATGAGTAGACAGAAATTAAATGTTAATAAACATAAATAATATAATGCTAATTAATTGCCATGAAGAAAATATTGGGAAATAATAAAATTAGCAAGTGATGGGGAATGGAACTACTTTAATTACAGTTACATATGAAATGAAGTTTTACCCAAGTTTGTAGTGATAAGAAATAAGAGGTCATACAAACAGTTTGTGGATATTCTCATTACTTTTCACTGAAAGTATTAAAATCTGACTCATTGAATTTAATAAACATCACAAAAAAGTCTATGTTAATTCTACTGAGTATACAAAAAAGTTGAGATTTTTACCATAAAGGCACTGAAAATTTCCCTAACTTTTGAAAAATATGTTCCATCCTGGGAATAAGCAATCATTTAAGAGAATACAAGAAGAATTTAAATGCATATACTCTAGTTCTTAAAGATTTAGTAATTTTATTGGCATTATGTGTTAGTCTGCTCTCATGCTGCTAATAAAGACATACTGCTGCTAATAAAGACTGAGTAATTGAAAAAGGAAAGAGGTTTAACTGACTCACAGTTCCACGTGGCTGGGGAGGCCTCATAATCATGGCGGAAGGCGAATGAGGTGCAAAGTCACATATTACATGATGGCAGTCAAGAGAGCTTGTGAGGGGAACTCCCATTTATAAAACCATCAGATCTCGTGAGACTTATTCACCACCATGAGAACAGTATGGGGGAACCAACTCTATGATTCAATTATCTCCATCTGGCTCCGCCCTTGACATACGGGGATTATTACAATTACAAGGTTGAGATTTGGGTGAGGAGACAGCCAAACCATATCACGTTTGTCCTAAATTATGGTTCTAGTTTATTGTGAATAACCTGTGCATAGGCCTTTGTCTTACTGATATTTATCAAATTAC
This sequence comes from Homo sapiens, assembly GCF_000001405.40. Lineage (NCBI taxonomy): Eukaryota > Metazoa > Chordata > Mammalia > Primates > Hominidae > Homo > Homo sapiens. Next base: position 75,861,724 of record NC_000008.11, on the reverse strand, counting down.
ATATTTAATACTAGGTGAAGAGAATAAAGAAAATAATTATGTATTCATTAAAAGAAGCCAATCAATCAAGTTCTTTAAAAAGCATACCACCTTTTTAATACAAATGTATAGTTAATCCATGCTGCAACAAAACTCATTAGTATATTATTTAGACTTTATTCTTTCATCTTATCTCAACTCCTTTTTGCTTTACAACCTACTCCCAATACCTAATATTCATTTAAATGCAATATGATAATGGTAAATTATTTCTGCCTACCAATGGAAAAACAATAAACAGTCCATGCAAAATATAAAGAAAATACTACACACCCACAGTTATTTGAATCTCACACTGAACTCTTTGGAAAGTTGAAATTACTGTCAATTATTTTGCTTACATCTCTGTTTTGAGTTCTAGAAGCTTAGCAAACGTGTGCTACTCTTCAAAAACTCCTTTCACTAACACTCGTGTCTCATTCTATTTTAACAAAGCCTCTTGCCTTAATACCTCAAATACATGTAAAAATTATCTATTCAATTGACATTGCCAGCATAAAAGTGAAAGTGAAGCACAGTAGCCAGTCTATCAAAAAAGTACCGTCTTTACTGTTCTTATGAGGAGTACTAAGAATTTTTAAGAAGAATGGCACTTTCAGAATGGGCAAGGCAAAATGGGAATGGAAACAAAAATGATAAATAATGAAAGATAAGTTAATAAAAATGCAAAAGTGTCTTCCTTTACATCATTGAAACTTTCTTCTTCAAAATATTTTTTGGAGTCCACATATTGAAAATAGAATTATGCTTACAAGCTGTATTTGATGGTCAAATAAGAAAATTATTAAATAATATCCTTTTTGTACAGATTTATAAAGTATACCTATATTATAAAGAGCCTGAGAAGTTGTGAAGTCAAGAAATCTATTTTTCTTTGTTTAGTTAAGGAATTCCCAAATTTTTATAAGATTGGAATATTTCTCACTCCAACTCATCTACCCAACTGTGCACTGTTGAAATGGCTCTGCCAAACGCCAGACTCAAAACTTTATGCTGATTTTACTCTGAACTTGGCACATCTCTGATACTTTACGTCACTGGTTATTGCACCACTGCAAGTTTCTTAGCCTGCCCCAGGACTTGAACACACACTCCTTAATAGAAAAATGTATTCACTGTAGGTCAGCTTTGAAACATGAAAAAGAGGTTCAATTCAAAGTAGAAAAGTTTTCGAGTTTGAAATCTTTGAAGACTATGAAATGTAACTTGACTACCAGTGCCAGAGCTTTCCAAGTGTGGATTTAGAAAAAAATAAAGCTTCTCCCCAAATAAAAAAAAATATATAAAAATAAATCACAAACATATAAGAGTTAGACTTAAGTATCAGTTTCATGAATGTTTGTTTTCATTAATTTACCTGATCTTTTAAAACTAATATTAGCTTTCCACTTATTTTTTAAAATCATATTTTATATATTTTATTTTGTCATTATTTTTTCAAATAGCCCAGCTTTATCAAGCTCTAATGACTAAGTCTTTCAGAGAAATAACAATAATCCTGACTTGAATGGCAGTATTCAAAAAAAAATCTTTGGCCTGGAAGTTAAGAGATGTGGATTCCAGTCTTGCTTTGCCACTAAATAGCAAAACGACCCAATGAAAATCAGTTAGCCTTTTCTCTTCTTAATATCCCCATTTGTAAAATGAAGATAGTTGCTGAATGACTTGAGTTGTTGCATTTATCTGTAGCATCTCATAATTCCCAACTCAAGAAAATAATATTTGGAGGGATATTTCCAATAAATAATTGGAACTTCCACAAAATGAATGTAAATTGTCAAAGTGAAAGATTCAAATGTGTCTTGAATTTATAATAATAACAAAAATTAGCATGTGTTAAAAGTGTTTTACAGCTTATGCAAAAATTTTTCAAACATTACTTCAACTGTCACAATAGCCCTGTGTTTAAGATTATATTATCCTCATTTCATGGCAAGGAAATATAGATAAGGTAAATTTCTTGTATATTGGTCACAGAGAGAGATAACCCTGAGCTGAAGTTCAAATTTAAGTGTTTTATTCCCAAACCAATGTTTCTTCCCCAATGCCAAAGAGTATTTATTTTTGTGCATGCAATTATTCAGTTGTGTCAAATTATACTGTGATAATTGTTTCTTACTATGCTTCCTAATTATTTTCAAATGAAAGCAGCTGTGTTTATCAGGAAATGTGTTAATCTCTCTGTCTCTCTCTCTCTCTTTTCCAAAGAGCAAACTGTGTACCTTAAAAGCATTCCTGAGGTTTTTTTTCTCAAAGTAGAGACCTCTTTTGTTTTCCACAACTGATATGATCTTGATTTCTCAATGCTTCTATTGTAGGCATGTTAAGATTGTGAGTCTGGTAAAGGATTAAGTTATTATCTTTGGACTGCTGTCATAGTATTAAGACTTATCTAATTATAAATACATTGCAAAATAACCCATTTTTTTCATATGGTATGCATTTTATATGTGGCAAAACATCCACTCAGCACTGTGTTTTTTAGTTATAATCCACTAAACTCATGGACAAGATACTGTTGAGACACTTCTTAGAATGTGAACAGCTGCTAAGAGTCCACTGATACATCATCAGTGCACCTCTGCTATGGACGTCAACCCAGTATACTTAGTTCCTCACATAGGTTCTCTTTGGATACCAAAAGACAGCTTTTAAACAGCCACTAATGAGTACTGATGCATCCCCTGGGATTGTGTTTTACATACATATAGGTCAAAGTAACCATTAACACTTGTTACTCAAAGCATTCCACAATTATTTAACCCACAATTTCAGTACATTAATTACACAGCACCCCCATGAAGTATGCAAATGCTTTTATTTCTACAGGCAAACCCAAGTAATTAAGTACATTCTAAGTAAATTAAATGAAATAAGGTTGCAGGGGAAAGTCAACAATAAGTATGGCAAGACTAGAATTAAGAATTTTTGATACCCAATTTTAAACTTTAATTGTGGTTTCATGTTTTATTCAGAGCCCCATGGATGTTATTTAGTTAGAAGATAGGAGGCATAATCTCTTTATAGAATCATCAATCAAATTTTGACAAAAGACTATTGTTTAATAGCATCAATGTATTGAAAGGATGAACAAGGTACTATATATATATATATACACACACATATATATGTGTATATATACACATATATATGTGTATATATACACATGTGGTGTATATATAAGCCACATAATTTATCTGAACTTTAAAAGAGCAAATTTTAAAAGCCATTTGGCTATTTTGGTGGGAAGATATTTTAGAGCACAGTATTTGCATAATGTAAATAAATTTTGTTTATGGTGAGTCTAATATGAACAAAAAGAATTGTAGCATGTGTTTTAAATACTTTCATATCATGATTCAACATCTATAATTTCATCCAAATTAGCACATTCTGTTAAGTTTATTCAAAAAAAAAAAACAAATAGAATGATGAAAAGGGGCTGAAGATGGATGCAGACACACTAACTATAAAAATCACCTTAAGTGAGCTGCAAACACAAAAGCCATGTTTTCATTTAGTTTGGAGAAAAAGCTTCAACCTAAAGACCATCATGCATGGAATATTCCCAATGAAGTCAATCTCAATTTGTAAGCTTAGAAGGAAACAATATGATTAAATTCCAAATATGCAACCTTGACTGAAAGGAAGGTTCAGAAGAGCATATTTTAGTCCTTTCAAATACAGGTACACATGAATCTCCAAAGGTAGTATATGTTGGTTATAAATACACACTAGGAATAAAAATTTTAAAATATATTATCAACTAGGAGAAAAAAATATGTTTTTTCTAATATTTCCAGTTACTTTGTTCTGTTCTAAGTAGTATTTTAACTGCTCCTACCAGTACTGAAGAGAGTTAAAGGTTATCGTCAAGAAATGTGAGCTCAATTTTTACCCTTAGAGACTCAAATACTTTGTTCAAAAGAGCTAGTGATTTCTTTATGGTACTAGACAACTCTGAACGGCTCTGTGAAAGATTCTGAAACCATGCTGAGAACAAATGCCGCAAATCTCAAAGTCAACACGAGTGGAAGATGCAGAAGCGGTAAAACAAACAAGTTCAATTTTTTCAAACCCTCATCCAAATAAGAGCGTGGGCAGTGACTTCTCAATCAGATATCAGTCTTGGCAAAGAAGTCATTGGTTCTTTATATTACACAGAAAAAATAAAGTGGGGAAAATTTCATACTCATTAGGCTGTCAGGATATGTGTGGTGAAAAGATAGTCATTTGAAAAGAAATAATAGATTGTGAGGATGAACATCTTTCTAAGCATCTCTCAAATTGTCTCTGGTAGTAGCACGTTATTTTGCCCCAGGGATGTGCTATAAAAATACATTCTATATCTCCAAGGAATGAAATTGCTTTTTAATTAATTCTGGCTCAATAAAAATACAAATCATAAAAATATTGTTTTATATTTCATCAGATGGCTAAAAAAAGGTGATTAAAAATAATGACCTCCCAAACATGTGTGTAAAAATGTAAGACTATTTAAAGATTAAAACACTTATTCTCTCTCAACCCTCCTATCACACAGATGTTTTCCTCCCATGTGTTTTGCATTTGATCAAAATGGATAAAGAGCAGATGAATAAAAAGACCTCCCAAATATATAGACAGAAATATAAAGATATTTCAAGGTTCTCCCATGTGATTTACATTTGATTAAAATCACTAAAGAACAGATCATTTAAAAATAAGAAACAACAGAAACAATAATCTCTTAAGTATATAAAGAAATGTAAAGATATTTCAAGATTAAAATAAAATAGTACAAAGATAAATCCTCTCCTCCCTCCTACCCTTCCCCCATCACACTGAATATTTTCTTCCATGTGCTTTCTGTGTTCATATCCATGACACTTTGAATTAATTCTTTTCCCTAAGGGATGGATTACCTTATCTAGTCTGGGCATTTCAGTAGTTAACAATGGACCCATGAATTAATCTGAATATAGAAACTAATTACAATGAAACCTGTTCGGTGTTCTCACTTTAAACATTTCCTCACCCTTAATGTTAATCTTTAAAAGACCAAGACAGTTGGCACAAAGGCAATGTATCCCATTTAAGGAACTTTTTATTCTTCCTATACTAACATACATTATTTCCAGTGAGATATTCAGTGAGGTGGCATTATGCTTTAAGGTTATCAAGGCACTGTTTGGGTAATTGCGACCCCATGATCTCAAAGGTCAAAAGGGATAAAAGTTGTAAGGAAAACTTAACAAAAAATGTAGAGAGAAAACGGTGGATACAATAGGAGCAAAAGTCATTAAACTGAAAGAAGACCATTGAAGTTAACTATCTCCCTCGGTGTTTCTTCACATTTTCCCTCTCCCCACTCCATAATCAGACAGATGATGAAATAGAGAAGTGTCAATATGGTTGATGATTCATCCATTTTAAGACAAGTGAGTACAAATCCTTGCAAAATATCAAGAAAATGTATTGAATCCTTAGAATGGCTTTGACTTCTCAAAAAATCCTAAACATTGTTACTAAACTTTTTATACAGTTAGACAAATAAGCATTCAAATAAATATGTAAATAAATATGTCAATATTCTCTATGCAAATTATGGTTCCCACACATTTTTATTTCTAAGACCTGGGTACTATGAACATAGCCATGGATTAAGGAAGATCAAGCCATTAGCAGTAAGAAGTGATTTGCTTTTCCCCTACAGAATCCCAGAATGTAGAAGTTTATAGACAATTTAGAGTAGTCTAGTCCATCCTCTCTTTATGTAAACAAGAAAATTGAAAATAAAATGAATTTTCCTGTCCAAAGGCCCTAGTACTAGGATGTAAGTTCTTTGTCTCCATATTCATTCGTCTTCCTCCCATGCCTCAATATCTCACTCAGTCTGATATACACAGACAATACAGATAATTGCATTCAGGTGAAGTGGATTTAGCTTTGCCTCCATGAAATGCTTGGTTTGAAGAGGGGTTCAGGTAGCAGCCCTGCATCAGCTCTAGAAGCCTGCCATGGGAAAAAGTTAGGGAGAAAAAGCCTAGAAACTCATAGGGTCTTTCTTATTTCTACCCATAAAATATTCTCTTAAACCTGAAATCAGAATCACTATTTTAATTAAGTAGTAGCAGTAGATTGTGTGCACTAAAGATCTATAATATTGTGTGTATCTTGGTTGATTAGTAGTAGATAAAAGCAGCTCAGATTTCATTTTATTTTTTTCAATTCACAAATAGTATAGAGAATTTTGCAACCTGTCTTCTTTTTCCATCAGCGAAGTGCAACTCTTGCCTATTCTCTTTTCCAATACCCTCTTATATGGCATAAAGATATTCAGCTTTTGAATAGTATTAGACACTTTTAAATAGCAAGATTCTTAATTTTTTTTTTTTTTTTTGCTTCACAAATTCACCCCTCCCTTTATGTTTTGAAATGCCTTAAAAGTGCCTGATTCCCAGAGTACAATATGGTATGTCTTGCTCCCATCCTCAGGCAGGATATCGTTGGTGGAACCTATGTCTAGACTGTTTCTACCTACAGTGTTTTCACAACTCAGGTCTCTTCTCTCACTCCTTCATCTACATCTTCCATCACCATTAGGGTTCTGTCCTCAGAATAATTCTCTTCCCTCTTTATGATCTTGCTTGGGAGTTTTTACATTTCTGTGGTTTCAGCAAAGACCTGTGTTGATTATTTCAGGAACTGGCACAGTCTAGGCACTCTATTATTGTTTGCTGATTTTAGAATCCTAAATCTGGATGGCTTCAATCTTTACCTTCATCTTATCTTTCCTTTCAAATGTCCATTTATACTCCGGACCTGTCTTCTTTGAGGATTTTTCAGACTTTCAAATCCATATCCAAAACAAAACTTGTCATCTTTCTTCTAAGGCTTGTTCATCCTCCTGAATTTCTTTCCACACTAAATTGCTTTATCCTTCATTGGTTGCCTAAATCAGATAATTCAGATGTTCTTTACTATACCCACTTTGTTAGGTCCTTACATTCAATTGGTCCTTTAGGTCTACCAGTGGACATATCTCAGGAATCCACTCCCCCAGTTTTTTAGTCAAGGCTCTTATCCTATCTTAACACTAAATAAAGAGCTACTTCTAACATTTGAGGCTTTAGTTAGCTACTCTTAACTTTTTAAAGGATAACAATATATTTTAAAATGACCTTTAATATAAAATTCTTGGGGAAAATATCACTCTCAGAAACAATACATGCAGTGGAGGTGGTTTCTACATTATAGAAATGGAGGAAATAATAATTCGAAATATGTAGACCAATCTCTGATGCATATTTAAGTAATTCAAGACGTTTAATTTTGACAATACTAGAATCCAGTTTTCAACATTACTATGGAAGTAATGTTGATAAACTAAAATTGCATAGTTCTGGTCTGCTCTGGCTAGTGTTTTCCATTAGTCAAATATTTACAAGATTCTATTTTGATTATCAACATCACTTCTATAGTCAATGGGTTTGTATATGTGTTAATTTTTGCTTATGTTATTAATTTGATATATATGTAAATAAGCTGTTGATTAAATCAACTTAAACCTTTTAAAATTACTGATGAGATAAAGAACTATCAAAACAAGGCTATCTTTGAATTTTAGTTTACCTAGTCTATGAGTACTAAATTTTACTTGAAAATTCTTTTTTCATAAAACATGTCCTTATTTCTAGATTCACTTTAAAAGGGCAAATACAAAAGTGGAGATAATGTAAAGTAGATCATTTTTATTAAAAATTTTAATCCTAAATATAATCTTTAAAAAATTAAAAAACTTCAATAAGAAAGGACTGGCATCCAAACTTCTAAATATTTCACATATCAAGCACTTAAGGTTTCTTACTGTCACCTCAGAGCTCTCACATAATGGCCCTCATAATTCATGTCAGCTGGGGCTGCTTGAGAGGGTTGTCAAAGCTCTAAAGTGTCATTCTTCAGTCTACTCAAGTGTTCATGGAGTAGAAGGAATAAGTCTTCTAGGTGTCCATATTAGACCCAGAAAGCCAGTATAAAGAAACAAGTTTTTATCAGAAAAAAAAAAAAATAAAGATGTTTCTGGCTACATACCTGTAACTACAGACATTATATATTTAAAAAAATACTCCCATGCCAAAATTTAAATAAATGCAATTCTAAACCTACTGTATGCCAGCTTCTAGGAATGCTAAACTTGACATTTACAGTATAATTATCTTAGTCATTTAGAGATAAATATTTGTTAAGCTATGCATTTTAGGACATATTACTTGATGTTTAACCATGCTCATGATAAGTCTGCAAAATACCTCAAATCCTTGTTTCTTTTCCAACCTCCTCCTTTATCCCCTACTTAAAAAGAAAAACAGGCCGGGCGCGGTGGCTCACGTCTGTAATCCCAGCACTTTGGGAGGCCGAGACGGGCGGATCATGAGGTCGGGAGATCAAGACCATCCTGGCTAACACGGTGAAACCCCGTTTCTACTAAAAAATACAAAAAATTAGCCGGGTGTGGAGGTGGGCACCTGTAGTCCCAGCTACTCGGGAGGCTGAGGCAGGAGAATGGCGTGAACTCGGGAGGCTGGAGCTTGCAGTAAGCGGAGATCATGCCACTGCACTCCAGCCTGGGCGACAGAGCGAGACTCCATCTTAAAAAAAAAAAAAAAAAGAATAAAGAAAAAGAAAAACATTATATGACTTTTTTTGTTTTACCTCTAGTAGTATAGTTTTGGTTGAACATGAGCTATATTTCATTAATATGCTTGATACCTAATTTGGACCTATTATTGTGACTTTTGGCTTAAGATGGAACTTAGAGCAACATTGGGAGTGATGAGACTGTGAAAGGGGTTACTTTCTAGATCTCCCTTTGCTATTTGGAAGTCAATTGATTGGCATCAGGAAAGACAAAGCAATATCTAATCATAGTTATAGCAATTCATGCTGTTATAACACAGTGGTATCAAGAGGGAATGTAGGGAAACATGAAGAAAAAAAATGAAAGTAGAATACCAGAAAGATTTGAAGGATCTCTAACTAAAGCAACTATCCTCATAGACTGTAAGAATGGTTTAACAAGCTACCATTGACCCTAGGTGCCTGAAGTTTCAGATGTCTGAGACTGACAGTTGGCTTGGAAATAGTAACCCTGTTAACCCAACATGATTCTGAATTCAGAAGAATTCTAAAGAGGATCAGTCCTTCTCATTTTCCTGTGAAGAAGTAAGAAACGGGCTTTTTTGTGCTTGAACAACCTTGCCCATTAGGAAGCAGCAGATGAAATCCAAACATGTGAAACTGATTCACCTAGTGTTCTATTTGTTTTTCATGTGGATTTTGTATCAACTGTTAACACATACAGGTCATCAGAATACTATTTAGAATGACAAAAAATTAGTGCATTTTGTAGAATTATTACTAACAAAGCAAAACATCAAAAAATTGTGTCTTATGAATTACAAAATACATATGTTTTACCTAATTTTTTGTTTTTATTGTTCATGGCCTTTTCTGTATATAAACAAAGCAAGAAAAAAACTGGCCAACCATTTTACAATGCAATAAGGTCAAGAAGTTAAAAGGAATAAATCACAGAGAAGATGAATTTGCTTAATTGAAACAACGAACAACAACAACAAAAAAACAAAAACAGAGTTATTTGTATTGATTTCTACTAGACAGTTCTAAGCTAAAGAGATAAATGTTCAGCACTTTTTTTCCTATGAGTATAATAGGATTGAGGATTGTCAGGTATACACAAGCATTTTTGAAAATATTTTTAAAAAATCATGTTTCACTTTCATTCTTTTCTCTCTTGAATTTTTCCAAATGCAGAATCCAAAAATAAATAATAAACAAACAATAAAATAAGATTTAGATACAGAATGATGTTATTTTCTTAGGATAAAATCTCAGAATTAAAATTAGAATCAGTCAAAAGATTATACAAGTTTGAAAATTTTACTATCTTTTATAATGAATGCACTCCCCATCAGCACCAGTTTATTTTTACAGAAAAAATAAACAAAAATGTGTTTATAAAAAATAAGTAAATAAATAAAACCTCTGAGAGTATATATAAAAACTTTTATATATATAAAAACTTTGAGAGAATAAAATAAATAAATAAAATATAAGACAGAAGCAAAAATAAAATTCTTTACAGCAAATAAGACTTTTCACTTTTAGTTTGCTTATTTTTACTAGTTTACTAATTGAACAGTGGTTTCTCATTGGCATAAATCAGAGGCTCTCCAACTGTGAGTCGAATCTTGCCTGTGACTGTGACTGTTTTTGTGAATAAAGTTTTATTGCAATAAGGACACACCCATCCACTAGCATATTGTCTGTGGCAGCTTTACAATGGCACAGTTAAGTAGCTGGAGCAGAGCTGGTATGGTATGCAAAGCCTAATGTATTTACCATAAAGACTTTTACAAAAAAACAAAAAATGCTAACCCTTGATATAAGTGGATGTTTGGTTTTTTTTGAAAGTAGAATGATTTCATCTATTTTCATTTCTTTGCTCATTTATAAAAACTGTATATTAAAGCATTTATTTGCCTTTTAAATTATTTATGCTGATTATGTCATACCTGAGACTTTTAAAAATTATACACTCATGCTGTCATTGTTTTAGTAATTTGTTAAATTTTTCATAGGAATTTCTAGATTTATTTTCCCTGGACACCATTAATTTGACTCCATATACTTAAAATGTTTTCATTTTAATATAGTAACTAATATATACTTTAATATCTATACTTTTAAAATAAGTTGTTTTGGTTTCTCATTTGTTTGTCATTTTAAATAAAGATTTTATATATTTGTCCAAGTTTGTTAAATGCAAGAATTTTTAATTTTTTTCTTTTGTAATGCATTAATTGCAGAGATTAATTTTAGGAAATTTTTGAAGTGTTTGTGAGGATTGTACCAGGCAATGTAGTCAATGCATCTGTCACAGTCCCTGATACATAGTAAGTTCTCAATAACTATTAGGTATTATTAACGACTTATTAACAGTTGAGAACGTAGCACTCAGATTGAGTGTCTACCTTGGGCAAGGAACTAAACTTCTTTAATCCTCAGTTGTTTTCAAAATAGGAAAACAGGGAAAGTTAATAGTTACCATGTGAGTTGTTGTGAAGCTCAAATCCAATGCTACGTTTAACATTATAAAGTGTTATAAGTAGTATACTTTATTTTTATTTTTTTTTTGAGATGGGGTCTCGCTCTGTCACTCAGACTGGAGTGCAGTGGCACAATCTCAGCTCACTGCAACCTCCACCTCCCAGGTTCTAGCAATTCTCCTGCCTCAGTCTCCTGAGTAGCTGGGACTACAGGCTTGTGCTGCCATGCCCAGTTAATTTTTGTATTTTTAGTAGAGACGGGGTTTCACCATGTTGGCCAGGCTGGTCTTGAACTCCTGAGCTCAGGTGATCCACCTGCCTTGGCCTTCCAAAGTGCGGGGATTACAGGCATGAGCCACTGCCCCTGGCTGGCATACTTTAATTTTAAAATAATTTTTCTGCTTCTGACTACACATACTCTGTTATTGACGGCAGCAACTGTGTGTCTGGAACAGCCACTGCCATCACTCTGGCTCCAGCAGGGAGGTGTGGCCAGGGCTGCACACTCTGTGGCACAGGGACAAATGGGAGCCCCATCTCTTCTGAGATAGTGAGGTAGGAACTCCCTGGGTGCAGCTGCAGCCACCCATGTTGTGGCTGTAGACCTGGGCATCTGGCTCCATGTAGCAGGATGCCTGTCATCCGTCATCTCTGCAGCTGTGGCTGGGGACCCAGACATCTCTGCACTCTTGGGGGCCTGGGAAAGCCCCCCGCTAGCCTCACAGGCTCAGAAACGCCTGCTCCTACTACCTGATTTCTCCCTGCTGTTGGTGCCTGCTCTGATCTCAGAGCAAAGTCAGGCCAAGCCCAGGGGCTGTCAAGGCCTACGCGGGTGTGCACACACTCGGGGAAGGCTGGCACGCCAGCCCCGTGCTGCCTTGGCACACTCTGGACTTTGAGCTCTGATGAGCATGGGAGGGAAGCCAAAAGGGTGCTGAGGGCAGCTTGGTGCTGGCCTTCAGGCGCCCCTTGGCACAAACAGCCTGGGTGCCATGAATGTCAGTGGGAGACAGATAGGCTCCTGAATGGAAGCGATTGAGTCCCCCGTGAGGACCTGAAGGCAGGGGGCTGGGCTGCCAGTCCCACTGACCAGAGTGGGGACTTTTGGTGCCTTTTCTGGGCCAGCCCATAGCCACCAATGGACCAATTGGGCTTCCTTCCCTCTGAGGCCCATAAAAGCCCAGGGCTCAGCTAGAGCAGAGCAGAGGACAGAAAGAGGACAGGATGACCAGGTACAGAGAGGAGCTACCAACTCTAGGGCCTCCTCTCCACCAAGAGCTGCAGATGAGGAGACAACCAGCTGCAAAGAGGAACTACCCTCTCTACTGAGAACTAAATACTTGTTGGGATAACCTGCCTGCAGAGAGGAGCTATTTTCTCTTCTAGGAACTAAACACTCATTGGGACACCCTGGCCATAGAGAGGAGCTGCCCACTGCAAATCTTCTCTGAGCTGTTCTGTTGCTCAGTAAAGTTCCTCTTAGTCTTGCTCACCACCCCCTTGTCTGTGCACCTCATTCTTCCTGGTTGCAGGACAAGAACTTGGGATCTGCTGAATGGCAAGGCTAAAAGAGCTGCTGTAACACAAACAGGGCTGAAACATTCCCCTTGCTCACCACACTGTGGGCAAAGAGAAGGAGAGAAGAGCTACAGCCCTTCAGAGAGCCCTGATCTGGGAGCTCTCCAAGCCAGGGCTGTGACTACCTCACTGGGGCCCTGAGATTCCTGAGGTCTCCAAGCTTCCAAGCACCACTGTGTTCCCCAGTGCCAGCCATGGAAGCTGCTTGTGGTGTGCCTGGGCCAGCTGCAGGCTCACAGAGAAGTGGCACCCACATCACCACCTGGAGTTGCCTGCCCTGTGGCAGCAGTTGACGTGTCTGACTTCACAGTGGCCGGACTCCACACTCACACACAACCCTTGCCACTTCACCCCTGACTCTAGTCTCCCTGGGAGACATGGGATCCAGGCTGGTAGTGTGAGCTGAGCACAGCCTGCCAGGCCAAGTGAGTGGAATGAGCCCAATGAGCCTGAGCAGAACTCCAGCAAAGGCAAAATTGGCCACAGGTTTCCAGTCAGAAAAGTGTCACCCCAAAGATCCTGTAACATTTTAACTAATATTTTTGTACCTAAACATATCTTATTTTTTTTCATTCATTCTCTAGGATCTTGTTCAATTTGTTGACATTTTAAACAATGTTTAAATTTGTTTAGCCATTTTACTACAAATTAATTAATCCATTAAATTCTTGAAATAATTTTATAATTATTATTTTTCTCGTGGCCAAATTTTTCTCTTTGTTCTTTTTCCTGAATTACTTCAAAGTTAAGTTAATTTTTGTATTTCTCTCCTAATGCTAAGAATATTTTAAACTATGACTTTCCCAACCACTCAAAAAAGAAAAATTTTCATACTCTTTAACATACTACATTTTTTCACCTACATATTTTATAAATGCAAATCTCAACTTCTCTTTGATCCAAACATCTATTTAACAGTGTTTTAAAACATCTGGGCTAAAATAAGTATTTGTTATTATTAGTATTTGTTATTAGTTCTTTTGTAAAAATCAGAAATTTGATTTAAAAAATTGGGCATTTTTGAGCTGGAAACATAGAGTTCCTCTTTGTGATCTATAATATAAATTGGTCTAGAGTCTCAGGAAATATTATTAATTCTTCCTTTACATGACACATGGCTAAAAATAAGTTTATTAAATCAAGCCAAAACCCCACACTAGTTATAATTTCTATCAGCATTTTTTATTCTTTATTAGTAGAGCAAATACTACAAAATACAATGATATTAAGCTTTGAGGACTCATTTCTAGAAAATATAACATTTGTATTTGTGTTTGTTTTGGTCTTGATATTTACTTATAAAATGCAAATTAACACCATTTTCCCATATGTTTATATTTTTGTATCTATTTTGGCAAAAAATGAGAAAAATACATTTTAAAAAGACTGCCAATAGAATAGAGAATTTTTACCAATGTCTTTTTGAATTCTAATTTTTTATACATTTTAATTCTCTGGTACTTGATTCATGTATATTAGATGTCAATAATAAATTATATTTTTTATCATACACTATAGTCTTATTCTGTTAATACCCTTTCCACTTGAATTCCATTCTCTCTCACTTTTTTATTGTCAATCTAAATTTTCTTTTAGTTGCTTGACGTTTCTTAGGCTTTTTTTCTTGAAATCTCTCTCTGTCTCTCTTTTGCATATCATTTTGGTTTAGGATTCATGTCTTTGTGTATTATATATTATATGACTTTTGCTCTTTTTATACAATTTAAGATTCTTTAGTTAGCATAGCTCTGAAATATTGCTGGGAATCTAGATGGTCACATGCATGCACAGGGCTATGTACTTGTCCAGGAAAGACCTGAGAATTACATGATCTCTCACATATGGCTTGGCTCAAGGCTCTGTGCAAGCAGAGTTGTAAACTGCTTTGTGCAATGTTCAAGGCAAGCCCCAACGCAGAAACCCACAGAGCACCTCAGTAAAGGCTTGAAAGAAACTGGGAAGCAAGGCCCATACATAGGAGGAAAAAAGCTGGCAATATAAGCCATTCCTGAGAAAGCCCAAACATTAGACTTACTAGACAAAGACTTTAAATTAGCTATTAAAAATATGTTCAAAAGGACTATAAGAAACTATGTCTAATGAATTAAAGGAAAATATGATAATGATGTCTTATCAAATGAGACTGTTAAGAGAGATAGAAATTGTAAAGAATCAAACAGAAATTCTGGAGTTTTAAAGTAAAAAAAATGAAATGCAAAAATTGAGTAGAGGAGCCCAATAATAGATTCAAGCTGGCAAAAGAAAAACTTAGCAAAGTTTCATATAGGTCAGCTGGGATTATCCAGCCCAAATGTCCATGAAATAATCAATATATAAAATATGGTACATTTATAAAATAAATTATTGAGCCATATGAAGGGCATATAGTTCTGATAACATGCTATAATATGAATAAACTGAAAGCATTATGCTAAGTGAAATAAGCTAGAAAAGGCCATATATTATATGATATAATTTATATAAAACATTCAGAATTGGCAAATTCATAGAGACAGAAAAGAGATTAGGGTTTGCCAGAGTCAGGGGAATGGAGTGGATGGGAGTGACTGCTAGAGGTTATGGAATTCGTTTTTGGAAGGATGAATATGTTCTAAAGTTTGAAAGTGGTGACAGTTGCACAATTCTGTGAATATATTAAAGCCACCTTATTGTACACTTTAAAAGGGTGAATTTTATAGTATAATTATATATTAATGAAACTGTTATAAAAATAACAGTCGTGTGTATTGTGTTAGGATAACTTTTCCTGTTCAATTTTTAAAAAATTTTTATATTTGATGCAAAATCATCTTAACTCTCTTATTTAATTGATTTTCGTTTCTTTTCTTTTTTTATTTTGAGATGGAGTCTTACTCTGTCCCTCAGGCTGGAGTGCAGTGGTGCAATCTCGGCTCACTGCAAGCTCCGCCTCCCAGGTTCAAGTGATTCTCCTGCCTCAGCCTCCTGAGTAGCTGGGATTACAAGCATGCACCACCACACCTGGCTAATTTTTGTATTTTTGGTAGGGGGTTTTACCGTGTTGGCCAGGCTGGTCTCGAATTCCTGACCTCAAGTGATCCACGCACCTGGGCTACCCAAAGTGCTGGGATTACAGGCACGAGCCATCACACCTGGCAATGTTTCTTTTCTTAATATTTAATTTATTGCTTGCTATATAATTTCAAAATTTCCTTTAAAATGTTCATATTTTATGAAAAAGACATTATGCAGATATTTTTATCTTTTTTTACCCAATGTAAAAACATCTTTAAAAGCCTTTGCATTACATATAAAGATGGACAAACATGTCCTTACTGTGAACGTGTGAAATGAGTTTAGAGCATAGCAATTAAATAAATCGTAAAAGTATATTTTGTTTGAAATTATGCATGTAAATGGGACCAAAATATTAAAATGAATAATGAAAATAGCTGTCATCCAGGTACAGCCACATAGAAGCAACATGATAATATACATAGAAGACTGACAAAAATGCTTTAAAATCTGCCATTCCTGAGTTCCTCATTTAGATGTCATCACATTGGTAAATTGTCACTTTTGACAAAAAACATAGTATTTTTTATTATATTTTAGTTAAATATATTATAGCCAATAATCTTTCACCCACTATTATCCAATTTCTTTTTAAAATTTTATATCATTTCATATCAAGCATAATTTTATATTAGTGCATGTGTGTTTATTTTTAATTGCTGCATTACATTCCATTATATTCATATATTTTAATTTCATGTTAGATTTATAAATTGAGGTTCTTTTAATTCAGGAAAGTCCTTATGAAATGTAGCTATGTGTGATAAAGAGCAATTATGATTTCCCACATTATGTCCCTTGGAGTCACTACCAGAAAATATTTAAACCAAAGAATGGTTTATGACTCATTTCTTTTTTTCTTATGTACATACCACTAAATAAAATTAACTTTGCCTTTTTAGGAACTTATGTAAACATGTACTTCCTGACAATGCAGTACTTGCTTACATTGGTCCAGTACCAAAATGTAAAGCTTCTTCTGCTATAAAAGTCCTTTTTTTCTGTGAAGTTGTAACTAAAATGTTACTATGCTGCACTCACATACACAAGAGACACATGCAACTGAGAATTTGGGCTGAAAGATCTCTAGTTTTATTTACCCCTTATATGTTTTGAAAAAAGGTTTGAAAGTATGGGACTTTAGAAGAAATACTAGAAACTACTTAGGCATTCCTATTCTAATGAGCATAAGGCATTTATTTTTTATTTTTATTTTTTTGAGATGGAGTCTCGCTCTTGTCGCCCAGGCTGGAGTGCAATGGTGTGATCTCACCTCACTGCAACTTCTGCCTCCCAGGTTCAAGCTATTCTCCTGCCCCAGCTGCCTGAGTAGCTGGGATTACAGGCGCCTGCCATCACACCCAGCTAATTTTTTGTATTTTTAGTAGAGATGGTGTTTCGCCATGTTGGTCAGGCTGGTCTTGAACTTTTGACCTCAGGCAATCCACCTGCCTCGGCCTCCCAAAGTGCTGGGATCACAGGTGTGAGCCATTGCACCCAGCCAGCATTTTTTACTAAAGGTATTTAGAAAAAGCAATGTATTTATTTATTTATTTATTTATTTATTTATTTATTTATTTATTCTACTTGTATTTATGGATGGCCTTCTATTAGCAAAACAAATGTGGTTCCTGACCTAAAGGATCTTAAAATCTAAGTTACTGGGCTAGGCAAATATAAATTAAATAACCCCGTAAATAATATAAACCTGTGAGACAGCACTGTCAGTCAGCTCTTTTCAGTCAGTTCTAACTGCCTTCTGGCTTTGGTGGATTTCAGTGTTCATGGCAGTAAGTGGTAGAATTGTAACAGAGTTATGACCAATTAAATCGAAGAGGGAGTCTGCTAGGGATTTCTAGGAAAGCCTTTGCTTTTCTGATATAAAGAAAAAAACGCTGCTGGTATGAAGCTTCCTACTTCCACTTCCTCTGTCTGGAATGTAAATGTGAAACTTGGGAGAAGAGCAAGGACCATGAGGCTTAGCAGTGACAGTGAGAGAATAAAGGCCTACAGCCTCTAGCTGGTAGAGTGAGAGGTCAGCAAGGCCCTGCTCCAGACTTATGATAGGAGACAAACACACTCGTTCCCTTTGTTGCTTTATTTGGTTTGTATCTGCAGGTGAATGCATTGCTTACTGATATAAAGTTCAATTGTCATAAGTGACATAGAGCTGAAATACAAAGTATCTCAAAAGAATAAAATGGGGTGATTTTTTTACAGACATGGGGAGTCTGGAAGTGACAGTTGACATGAAATATAAAAAATGAGCAAAAGGCAACCCATTTTGCCTTTTGAAGGTGGTGAAGTATGCAAAGAAATAGGTAGAAACATGGGACGTAAAGAGATTTAATGAGGTGAGGGTGCCCAGAATAGGATAGAAGGGAATAGTTCAGTCTGAGGATTAGAACTTTATATACCCTGTTAAGGAGTATCATCTTTATTATGCCAAGTATCAGAAGACACTGAAGAATTTTGACCAAGCAAAGCGTTGTGAAATGATCAGGCTTTCTTTCTTTCTTTCTTTTTTTTTAGTCTTTAAGTTTATTCCTTTTTCATTTTAGAGAGTGGATTGGAGAGGTGAAGAGAAAACACACGTAGACCAATGAGCAGCCTATTGCAGTCATTCCACATGAGAGATGATGGCAGCTAAGACAAGGGGCATGTTGATAGACAACAAGTAAAGCGGTATTTGGGGATTGAGGAGAATCTACCAGTCTTATATATGGAAATACCATTACAAAAGGTGTCACAGTGATTTGTAGATGTCATGCTTTTATGAGCAAAACATGATCATGCCAGTCCCTGTGACAGACAACAAGAACAAAGAACCAGGATTGGATGGGTGAAGATAAAGGGTTTAGTTTTATACTTATTGAGTTGGACATGTCATTTGTAGTTCTAAAAGATAAGGGAAGTCAGCCTGACCAACACAGCAAGACCTCCTTTTTACTAAAAAAAAAAAAAAAAAAATTATCCGGCTGTGGTGGCATGAACCTGTAGTCCCAGCTACTCAGGAGGCTGAGGCAGGAGGATCACTTGAGCCCTGGAGGTTTAGGTTGCAGTGAGCAATTATTACACCACTTCACTCCGGCCTGGGTGACAGAGTGAGATCCTGGCTCAAAACAAACAAACAAACAAAAGAAGATAAGGTAAGGCAAGAAGTTATGTATACAGCTCTAGAGGTCAGAAAATAGGAGATAAAAATTTGGGATTTTTCTAATTATATTTGCTAATTGGAACTACAAGTAAGAATAAGATTATAGAGAAGGATTACGGAGACAGAAAATGACAGGTTAAGATGAATTCTTAATAAACTCTTCCATGGAACAGATGAGTAGAGAAAGTTGTGTCTTGAAAAGACAACAACAAAGTGTGGAAGGAGATATGAAAGAATACCCATATAAATTCTGTGAAAAAGAGGCCAAGGTAAGAGAAGATTTTAAAGATTGAAGGATTGCTTAACTTATCAAATATAATTAGTTGAATTAGGATTTTATTTTTTATTTTTTGAGAAGGAGTCTTGCTCTTTTGCCCAGCCTGGATTGCAGCAACGTGATCTCGGCTCACTGCAACCTCAGCTTCCTGGGTTCCAGGGAGTCTCATGTTTCATCCTCCTGAGTAGCTGGGACTACAGGTGTGCACCACACCTGGCTAATTTTTGTATTTTTAGTAGAGAAGGGATTTCAGCATGTCTGCCAGGCTGGTCTCGAACTCCTGACCTCCAGTGATCAACCCACCTTGGCATCCCAAAGTGCTGGGATTACAGGTGTGAGCCACCCCATCCGGCCTAAATTAGGATTTAGTAGGTGCTTAGTTAATATTGTAAATTTAGTGCAATATTTAGAATTGAATTCAGGTAAAGAGTATATAGGTGTTCATTGAGTTACTCTTTCAAGTTTTATGTAGGTTTGATTTTTTTCAAAATAAAGTCTCTTGGAAAAATTAACAAAGTTAAGCTCAAATTAAGATTTAAATATTTGTAAAATACAGTTGAATGATTAATTGAATGAATCAATCCTATGACTTATTAAAGCTCACTAACCAAAGACCACCAGGAACACATGTAGTCTAAAAGGCAATTTATTTAGCAAAAGAAAAAATACTCTGAAGAAATGGTGAGATATCTCAGTAAAGGGATCTGGATGAGGCTTATAGGATTTGGGATAATGCTGGTGGATTCTAGGGCAAAGTTAAGGAAGCTGAGCCAATTCTGAATTAAATGTTGCCAAAAAGCAAGGCCAATGAAATTATTACTTGTCTTTTTTTTTTTTTTTTTTTTTTTTTTTAGACAGGGTTTTGCTGTGTTGTCCAGGCTGGAGTAGTGACATGATCATGACTCACTGAAAACTCAATCTCCTGAGCTCAAGAGACCCTCCTGCCTCAGCCTCCTAAGTAGCTAGGACTATAGGCTTGTGCCATCACACCCAACTAGCTTTTAAATTTTTTCTAGAGATGGGGTCTTGATATGTTGCCCAGGCTAGTCCCAAACTCCTGGACCCAAGCGATACTTCCACTTGACCTCCCAAAGTGCTAGGATTACAAGCACAAGCCACCACACTGATCTTTGATTACTTATCTCAATTTTTATCTAGAACAGAGGGAGACAAAAGTAAGGCTAAAGCTTTCATTGGTAATGGGTAAGTCATTGCTTATGTTTCTTAGAACAGGAGAATGGATACTAAATATCTTTTTCTAGTAACTGTGGCCTTTTCTGTTTTACATTTTACAGATGAGGAAGCTGAGGGTTAGATATGTTAAATGACCTGACCAAAGTCACACAGCAAGTGAGTTACTCAACTGACATTTAAACCCACTTCTATGTGACTCCCAAACCCATGTTCTTCACCACCAACACAAACTACTTGTACTTCTCTGATATATTTTAATTAGCTTTGTTTTATTATTGATGGTGATATAGATTTTCCTACGTGTGATTACTTTCAGATAGTATTCAAGTTTAATCTCAACATTTTGGGATGTTTTAATATTTTTAATGTATGTATTTTATATCAAATCCTTTTAGTAAAAAAATTTGCTATTTAAAATAACTTTAACTTCTATAATTAGTTGTCTAAAAAACACAATTTATATTACTTCTATTTTTTTTATTTTTTAAAAATGTGTATGCTTATCTATTTTCAAAGAGCACTTAAGGCAACATGTGACAGCACATCTAATCTAAACTGGATTGAAAAATAAGAGAAATAGGTTGATTCTTCTGAGAAGTCCAGAAGTAATGCAAGGTTTTAAATAATTTCTTCAAAATTCTCTTTCTCCTTCTTCCCCATGTCTTCTGCATCCTCAAGCTGATATCTGTCTTGGCCAAAAGATGACTGCTATAAGCCACAAGGCTAAATGCTTCTACTTCACTGGTTAGGTCTATGATGTGACAGTTGATATGTTTTCTCTTCAACGTGGCACAAAGGTTCTGAGTTTCACTGCAATTGGACAAATTTAGCTCATGTGTCTGCTCTTCAATTACATTGCCCTGATTGCATTTGGGCAGACCAATCAGAGCCCAGCTCTGCAGCCAGGGTTAAAGGTAATCTCAGACCTATATAATAAAAGAGGTATGCTTTGGATGTCTGTTTAAATCCCAATAGGTTTGAAACCATCAAAAAAAAAAAAAAAATGATCCCAAAGAATAATTCACATGGAGAACTTAAAATCCCAAACAAAAAATTTTGCTAAAAAATACAAGATCTTAGAATGTAAAGTAAGATGAGCATGAATTTAGTTTGCTTCTTTGTCTGACATGACTTTGGGTCCTTAAGTTCCTTATCTGTCAAATTAACAACTGAAACTAATGGAGAAGGAGCAAAGTGGTATACACTAATCATACAGTTGTGGTCTCTGGTCAAATCCGGACTCAGCTACATGTTAAATATATGATTTTGGACATCTTTTTAAAAATAAGAATAAAGTAAAAGTATCATACAGTAGCATATCTAGCACATGGAAATGGTAAATACTATTTACATTACTGTATTTCAATGTAAATATTTTACACAAAGTTAATCTTCTCCTATTAAATATTGCAACATGGAAACATAAGCCACAATGAGGCATCAACTTGCAAATAATCTCTTCCAGAATTTAAAATTTGATATTTCTATTCAGATATTTCCCCTTCTCAAAACTTTTCTAGGAGCTTTAATTTGCTCTTTGAGATACACTTAATTTAGAATTGCCCTGTGTTGTTTTCGTCTTGCTTTACACATGTAAGCCTTTCTGTTCACCTGCTCAAAAACTTATTTGGCTCTGTGAGAACAAAGGCTATACCTGTCAAGTATTCTCCACAGCCCAGCACAATATTGGCCACATCTCTGAAGTTTAATAAATACTTGTTGCTTTGAGCTATGGCACCCAGCAAAAGGAAACTTATAGGTTTACAAAACAGGAGAAAGATAGGAAGATACTGTTTTTGTTTCTACACAAAACAAGTTACAGCAAAATGTACAATGGTGATGTAGAGAAAGAGTTAAGGCAGTTTCTAAAGCTTTCTATTTCAAAACACATTCCAGACAGCAGGGGGTGAAAAACAGCTTAGAAAAAAACCCAACTTTGCTTTTCGCAGTCTTTTGGCTACTCTAGAAAAAATATATGTACAAAAAGAATAATAAAGTAATTCCTCAGTAGATTTCACAATATGCGTTTTTGCTGTTTATACAGTAATACAAATTTTGTTCCTGCAAAACTACTAAACATGTTAGTCTATCTTTAGTGCTAATTTTCTATATTTTTTCAAAAATAATTTCAGGAATTCATAGAATCCACAATTGGAGACGAGATTAAATAACATACACTGATTTCTACTTTGTTCTATGCTAAATCATCTGAGGATGTGTCAATACTTGAACAATAGATGTAATGCTTAAACATTACTATGTGCTAGATATGCTACTATATGATCCTTTGACTTCATTCTCATTTTTAAAAACATATCAAAAATCATGAATTTAATAAGTAGCTGAATCCAATTTTTTTTTTTTTTTTTTTTTTTTTGAGACGGAGTCTCCCTCTGTTGCCCAGGCTGGAGTGTAGTGGCGCTATCTCGGCTCACTGAAAGCTCTAGCCTCTGGGATTCACGCCATTCTCCTGCCTCAGCCTCCCGAGTAGCTGGGACTACAGGCACCCGCCACCACGCCCAGCTAATTTTTTGTATTTTTTTGTAGAGATGGGGTTTCACCGCGTTAGCCAGGATGGTCTTGATCTCCTGACCTCGTGATCCACCCGTCTAGGCCTCCCAAAGTGCTGGGATTACAGGCGTGAGCCACCGCGCCCAGCCTGAATCCAAATTTGACCACAGACCACAACTGTATGATTGGTGTATACCACCTTGCTTCCTCTCCATTAGTTTCAGTTGTTAATTTGACAGTTGAGGAACTTAAGGACCCCAGGTAATATCAGACAAGATCTTAAGTTTCTTTACACAAACTCACATATCTTTTTATGAGTCCAAGTCTCATCATGACTATTTTGAGTTGCTAAGTGTTTGGAATGCTTACAGTAAAACAGTCTATGTTTTAGTTAAGATATAATAGTATAATGATTGCCTACATGTTGAAGATTATTTTCTGCAAAAAGAAATCAAAGTACAAATTACTTTGCAAAAGGAATGCTGCAAAAAAGCCAATGGAAACCATCAAAGATATGGCATTTTTTTCTTATATTTTATCATTTTATTTCAGGAAATACATTTACCATTTTAAGGACTGTAATAAAATGTGTGTGCTTTGCTTAAATATTTCATACTATTAAATGTAGACTCAATTATTTTTCTCCTGAAGAAACATTCATGTACTATAGCATTTTCAATAGAATTACTGACTGTAGTTTGTTTTCACACCAAATATGTGACTCTTTTCAAGTTAATGGATAAATTTGCTCATCTCTTTCTTTATTATAAGGCAAAGATAAATAAGTCTTTTTCACTCAATCTGCTGAGATAAGTTGTGCCCATGCCGAAAGGTGATCTGTTCTAATCAACTTCACAAAGTCTGATGGAATTACACTGAACATATCTCATACCTGACACAACTACAGAATGATACAGTTCAGGACAAACATTGGTGACCTGAATAATACATGACAGACAGATGACCGGGTGAGAAAAGTAATTTTTCACCTACACCACTTGAGTTTCTTTATTAAAGGCTGAGACATGTTTGATGGAAAGAAGGCTGCTTTGCCAGCTAAAAGCTGGTGTGTTTTATTAATAGCTCAGTCAGTATTCCCCTGCCGTTTTACTATTTGAAACATGTTATTTTGGCAGTAAAATACAATAGACAACTACTCTGCATGAAAACTCGACATTTCAAAGACATTTTATAAGAATGTGAAGTTGCTAGTAATCAGATATTATTATTTAATACACATACATGACCAGAAGTATTAAGCTCACTGAATAGAAATATCAAATTTAAAATTCTGGAATAGATTATTTGCAAGTTGATGCCTCATAGTCGCTTATGTTTCCATGTTGCAATGCAACTTATATAAAGAAAAGGCATAAAAAAGTGAAGTTTATCATTGATGTCATATATTACATATTTCTAATGATTATTTTAGGCAAAAGGAAATTTAATTATAAGTCACATTTTGACAAGCACTCTGGCATCAGTACTAATCAGCACAATGTAAACGAAGGATATACTTTAGTGAAATAATTGAATCTTATATTACTTTAAAAATGTGGTTTTATCAGTTTAAATTAGATCATAAATCAAACTGTTTAATTCCCAAAACTGGTTTTGATGGATATATTATAATGAAGAAATATGTCATCTATAGATGGAATCTTTATTTCACATGCTTGCAATAAACATAATAAGGCTTTTAAAAATAGCTTGTTTTCTCAGGGTGATTAACATTAACCCCTGTAATCTTTAGTTTATATAAGTATGTATAAAGTACCTATTATGATCTAGACCTCTTTTTAGGATCTAAGATATAGCAGTGAATAAAGAATTAAAATTTGTTTTAATAGGGTATACATTTTAGTGAGAGACAATGGGCAATACATAAATAAGTAAATTTTATAGTATGCCAGTTGGTGATAAATACATTGAAGAAAATTTAAGTATGAGAGAAGGATACAAATTGAGGTTGTTGAAATATTAAATAGGAAGATCAAGGATGGCTATACTGATAAAAGCATATTTAAAGAGATGGAGATGAAGAGAATCATGTGCTGTCTGTAGGAAAAACATTCTAGGCATAGACAACAGCAAGCAAATAGGCTTTGTGACATATATAGTTGGAGTGGGAATAAAGTTGTTGGTATAAGATGAAGTCAAATATTACGGAAAGTGATTGAAGATGGGAAATAATAGAAACCTAGATCATAGAGATTCTTCTAGACCAAGTTAAAGACTTTGGTTTTAATTTTGTCTAATATGGGAAGCCACTGGAGGATACTGAGAGATATTGAGAATAAGAAACATGATCAGACTGTTTTCTAAAGCAATTATTCAGAGTGGTACATTTAGAATCCACAGCAGAGGTTGAAAGATGAAGGAGGTAGACCAATTAGCAAATTATCTCAGTAATAGAGATGAGCAATGGCAGTGACTTGGAACTGAGTGGTGGAAATAAAGTTGCTATAAAGTAGTCAGATTCTGGATGTATTTTAAAGGTAGAACCAACAGGATTTGATGATGGTTTAAATATAGAGAGTGTGAGACAGAAGAATCAAAGATGAGTTCTAGGTTTTAGTTCTAAACACCTGAATGAATGGAGCCATTTACTTAGTAGAAGAAGACTGAGGGAGGAGCAGATTTGGTCAAGGTGGAAAAATCAGGAGATAGATTATTGTGTTAGTTTCCTAGGGCTGCTAGCCAAAGTTGCACACATTGAGTGGCTTAAAATGACAGAAATTTATTGTCTTACAGCTCTAGAGGCTAAAAGGCTGACATGAAGGTGTCGCTGGACCATGCTCTCTCTTTACCCTCTGTGGGATCCTCCTTGCCTCTTCCAGCTGCTGGTAGCCCCATCCATTCCTTGGTCTGTGGCAGCATAACCCTGATCTCTGCTTCCATCACCACATGGCATTCTCCCTGTCTATGTTTTCACATGAACATCTTTATAAGGAAACCCATCATATTATTTTAGTGGTGAACCCAACTCTATTCTGAGCTTATCTCAACTAATTACAGCAGCAAAAACCATATTTCTAAATAAAGTAAACTTTCGAGGCATTAGGACATGAGCATATCTTTTTAGGGGGGACATAATTCAACCCTTAACAATTGTATTTTAATTTTGAAAATAAACATTTAAATACGGATGTTGAATAAACAGATATAGTGGCTAGAAGATACCTGGTATGAAGATATCAATTTGGAAATCATCATTGTATAAATGACATCTAAAGCCATGACCTGGAATAAATCTATGTAGGGAATATTGAAATACAGAGTCTTGAAATAATACATTATAAAATATAGAGAATGGGAGGAGCAAGCAAAAAGAATAGAAAGCAATAGTCATCAGTGGTTGTTAAGAGCAACAAAAGAGAGACAGTCAGGCAATACAAACCTACAGATGTAATCACTCAGCACTTTTTTTTCTGACTGTTCCTTCTCAGTGACAATCATTGCCTAGATTTATTAACTAATTGGGGTCACAAAATGGTGATATTCTAATTATTCTTTTTTTTTTTTTTTGAGTTGGAGTCTCGCTCTGTCACCCAAGCTGGAGTGCAGTGGCGCAATCTCGGCTCACTGCAACCTCCGCCTCCTGGGTTCAAGCAATTCTCCTGTCTCAGCCTCCCAAGAAGCTGGGACTACAGGTGCACGCCACTATGCCCAGCTAATTTTTGTAATTTTTAGTAGAGATGGAGTTTCACCATATTGGTCAGGCTGGTCTAGAACCCCTGACCTCAGGTGATCCACCTGCCTCGGCCTCCCAAAGTGCTGGAATTACAGGCGTAAGCCACCATGCCCGATCTCTATTCTTTTTAATTTATTATCTGAAAAATATGTAAAAGGAAAACTTTTCTATTTTATCTATATGGATATTCTGGGTACAGTTCTTTTAGGAATGGGAGAAATGCTTGTCTGTTTCCTCTCTTTGCCAGTTTTTGAAATAAGAAGTTGGTTCTCTAACAATGCTGGTCACTGATTGTGTTCTGTTAAATTTTATGTTAGTATTATTATGAACTCATATATGTACTCTTATTATAATGTTTTCTTTCATTTACTTTTATAATTTTTATTGATGTTAAAATCATCTTTGACAGATAGGAGTCTATCCCAGCCAGCTCCTTAGTCCTTAGTCCTTTTGAAATGGCTCAGTCTTTGATAAAGTCCTTGCTCTCTGCTATAACATGCTGTACAACTCCCGTTTCATACCTGAAACCAGCCATTTCTCCGGAGTTCTACTTTCTTTTACTAGAAAATAGTAATTAGAAACCACAATTTTGGCACAAATGGTGCTTAGAGATAATTATGTTCTCTAGGATTTTTCGAAGAATAGAGCTAGGCAATAAGTATTTTTTTAGAGTACCATGTCATAAATTCATAGTGTTACTACTAACTAAAATTAAAGACTACAAGGTTTTACTTAACCACATCAATCTTAGATGTCTTTTTTCTTCCATGTCAAAAATGTAGAATCTCATTAATATAAACATCATTGCTCCTTTGCAAAGATATACAAGCTATAGACTCAGAATAGCAATATTAATGTTATAATTTATACTATAATTATTAAAACTAAAGAGTTATGTATTCATTAATTCATGTAGCATTTCTTTTTGTTTTAGGGTAAATTCTATCACTTGGATTATACATTCAAGTAACCATGTCTTCAAGTCACTCAAAATGAATTTTCCCTGTGCGTTTATTTCTACAGATTAAATACACAGTGAGATTCACTTGTTTAATTTTGGTTTTGCTTTGTACACATTTTTAAATTTTTACACAGCAATGTAAAATATTTACAGGAGTCCAACATCAACTTTATTAAAATTGTAGATGCGAAGAAGTTTATCTTTCACATCTGTCTCCTCCACTCTGTTTTCTCCCTATACTCTTAGGTAAAATTTTATTTATTTGTTTATGTTATATAATCTTCCAAAATCAATTCATGTTTGATTAAGCAAGTGCATATTTATATATCTTTTTTTGGCTTAAACAATAGAAATTTATTGTCTCAGAGTTTTGGATGCTAGCAGCCCAAAATTAAGGTGTTGGCAGGGTTGGTTCCTCTTTTTTTAAAAAATTATTTTTTATTTCAATAGGTTTTTGGGGAACAGGTGGTGTTTGCTTGCATGAATAAGTTCTTTAGTGGTGATTTCTGAGTTTTCATGCACCTGTCACCCAAGGGGTATACACTGTACCCAATGTGTAGTCTTTTATCTCTCATCCCCCTCCCACACTTTTCTCCAAGTCCCTAAAGTCCATTGTATTATTCTTATGCCTTTGTATCCTCATAGCTTAGCTCCCACTTATGAGTGAGAACATACAATGTTTGCTTTTCCATTCCTGAGTTACTTCACTTAGAATAATAGTCTCCAATTCCAGCCAGGTTGCTGCTAATACTTTTGTTCTGTTTTATGGCTGAGTAGTATTCCATGGTATATATATATACCACATTTTCTTTATCCACTCATTGATTTGGGCATTTGGGCTGGTTGCATATTTCTGCAATTGCAAATTGTGCTGCTATAAACATGTGTGTGCAAGTATCTTTTTCGTATAATGACTTCCTTTCCTCTGGGTAGATACCTAGTAGTGGAATTGCTGGATCAAATGGTAGATCTACTTTTAGTTCTTTAAAGAATCTCCACAATATTTTCTATCGTGGTTATACTAGTTTATATCCCACCAACAGTGTAAAAGTGATCCCTTTTCAGCACATCCATCCCAACATCTATTTTTTTATTATAACCATTCTTACAGGAGTAAGATGGTATCACATAGTGGTTTTGATTTGCATTTCCCTGATAATTAGTGATGTTGAGCATTTTTCCATATGCTTGTTGGCCATTTGTATATCTTCTTTTGGAAATTGTCTGTTCATGTCCATAGCCCACTTTTTGTTGGGATTGTTTGTTTTCTTTTTTTTTTTTTTTCTTGCTCATTTGTTTGAATTCTTTGAAGATTCTGGATATTAGTCCTTTGTCAGATGTATAGATTGTGAAAATTTTCTCCCACTCTGTGGGTTGTCTGTTAACTCTTGTGATTATTTGTTTTGTTGTACAGAAGCTTTTTAGTTTAAGTAAAACAATCAAGGTTGAGTAAAGTGTATGCAGTCATATGGTAGTAATCAAAAAAGAAAGGGTGTACACGCTTGACTATATACACTTTACTCAACCTTTATTCTTTTACTTAAAAATATATCTTGGCATTCAATCCACAAACTAGTATGTACTAATATTCCTTGTTGCTTCTGATAGATCCACACTACTCCATTTTGTGTATATAGTAGTTTTTAAACCACTTTCTTATTCAACCTGTTTCTTACTTAGTGGATATTTCACTTGCCTTCTTTTCTTCTTAAAGGAATGTTGCAATAAGTAAGGTTATGCATATATCTTTTATATTTTTATCACAATTTTGTTTGAAATATATTCCTAAAGTATAACTGCTAGATCAAAGAGTAAATATATATGTAGTTGTAAATATAGCTAATTTTCTATATATATATTATAAATAAAAATATATTACACATTTTCTCAAAGCCTCACCAACACATTATAGTTCTAGACCCCTTTTTTCAATTTGATAAATAACAAATGGATTTTCAGTGCCAATTTAATTTGTTTTTCTATTTTATGAGTGGGGTTTAGCAATTTTCATGTTTAAATCTATTCATATTTCTTTACCTATGAATTGTCTATTTCTCTAATTTATTTTTCTATAAGATTGAATCTTTTTTGCCTTTATTTAGAAACCCTTCATATCTGCATTTTAAATGCAATTGTAGTTACAACATGCATATGATTTTTAATTATGTTTATTCTTTGAATGTTAAAATGTCATGGCCAATTTCTAAATTATTACATCCTAAAAATGTTTCACTAGTATCATAAAAGTATGAAATGTATATGTAAAATAGGTTAAATGTTACTATATAAAGCAATTAGAAAACTTACATTTTTCACATATATACTTGTGTGTGTGTGTGTGATGTTTTAATGAACAACTCTTTACAGAAATTATTTTTCTAGTATTTTAGGTTTATACAAAAATACATCAGAAGGAGAATAAAAATGTGAAAACATATGAATATTTTGGTAAGTTTGAAGACATATGGACCAATTTATAGAAACTCTTATACAGGGTTGGAATTCTAATTTTATCTTATTCACAATGTATTACTTCAGGGGTTTAATTTAATACTCAAAAAAACTTGCCTGTGATATCTTTAAGTATTGATGCAAGTAAGCATTTTCAGTTTTAAAATATTTCTTTATATTTGTGATTTCTCCACCTCTGTTCTTTAATACTGATATATTTATTTGTCTTAACTCTTTATATAATTTTAGTATTATTTTCTGCACACATATTTTCTAGGTTGCATTGTAATAAAATTACTTTTTTCACTCAAAATAATAATAATATGTATATTACATGTTCATTTAGATATTTTTTCTTCCATTTCCAACTTGCAGTATATTTCTCTTCATCTTGATTTAGAAAACTCTATTGTTAGTCAGAAATTTGATGTTTTATATTAATCAAATTGATCTTATTTTAAATAGAATTGTTTAAACATATATGTTTTTCTCAAATTACTAATATACTACACCAATGTGTTTGTTTAATAACACTTCATTTTTCACTGACTTCTGATATAAACTTAATTATATGAATTATTAAATTCCTATGAGTTCTTAATCAATTCCAGATGTCACATTTTATAGAAAGCCTTTTCTAATATTCCAAGGTTTTCTTCAAGTGCCTATCTATGTGGTTATACTCATACATAGTTGTAAGAATCACTGTCACAAAGTAAACAATTTACATAAAATCAATGAATTAATTTATGAAGTCGACTTATAACCCATCTACTCTCTTCCATTGAAGTTTTCTTCACTGCAAAATATGTGATTATTTTTGTAAACATTCCATACATACTTCAGAAGACAGTACAGTCTACATCTACTATCTCTGGAATTTTAATTGATTATAACTTGTCAAAATTAACTCCTTTTCTAACATAACCATACATTAAATATTATAATTCTTTCAGCCCTCTGACAATTTTTCCTCAAATTTAATATTTAGTTTTTATAGTGATTTTTGACATATAAATATTTAGCAATTGTAACAAAGAAGGCTGTGCTCACTAGTGTCAGTTTTCTCCTTTTCTTCCTAAGCCAATGATGAACTATATTCCCCGTCTGTTCTTGCTTTTGGTGAGGCCAGATGACCAGACTCTGGCCAATGAAATGCAGAAGGAATTGATGTATGCCAGCTTAGGATGTATCTCTGAAATTTCTCTCATAATTTTTCACAGTTTCTCTTCACTGTGCATTGTCTGTATCTTGAAAATTCAGTAGAGGATGGCAAGACTCTAGAAGATAACAGAGCAACTAAATGGTAGAAAAAGCCTTCCCAGAATAAAGAACACCTAGTACCTTGGAGTGTATCCTGGCATTGATGTGCAACATTAAGGAGGTTTATTGTGTTAAACCACTGAAATGGTTTGTTATGGCAGGTGACTTATGAATAATGCAGGACACCTCTTTTCTTACTATGATGGAATATTTTAGTAAAATAAAAGATCCTCTATTCTGCTTAATGCTTTATATTTTACATTCTCTATTGTTTCTATATTTTCTAATAATCTATTTGCTTTCACCCACCCATCTTGCCACAAAAAGCATTTGAGGCAATTGTTGTTATTTGTGCTCTGCTGAGGAAAGTTTGACTCATAAAATTTTTCTTAGGTTTTACATTTTTAACTTCTTAATGTTTCTAATATGTTTCCTTTATATGTTTCTTTCTAAATATTTATAAATTATTTTTTCTTTATTTTTGTGATCCAAGCAATTTTTTTCAAGTAATATCTAAGTATGGATTTTCTTTCAGAACTTTTTTCCAGATCATAATAAGCCTTTGAGTAGTCTTAGTACTTGAAAAACTTTAATACATTTTCTATTATTTCATTTATTATATTAGTTCTGTTTCCTTCTTTGAGAAGACTTATTATTTGTAGGTTAGATTTCTATGGTTATCCTCATTTATATAATCCTTTTCAATTAGTTCTCTTCTTCATGATTTTCTGTATTATGTGAATACCTGTTAGTTGTCTTTTCCACAAATTATTCATGGGTTGCATTCTTAAAGTCTACTCTATATTGCTTTTATTACTTATTTTATTTAATTGTACTTTTTTTCCATGCTATTTTGTTATTTTAAGTAGTCCTCTCTTGCTTAATATAGCCATTTTACTGTCTTATTTATTTTAAAAATCAAAGCAGATATTATTTTTAAAGTATTATATATCATGAATAAATTGGCATTAAGGAAACTCTCCATTGAGTCCTGATGATATTCTTTCTTTTCATTTATTCATGCATGGAAGACAAGCTCTTCAGATTTAGTGTTGTAATACCAAAAGAAACTACGGAGTGATCTCAGATTGTTCACAGGTCCATTATACTTTGCTCAGAAGGAATCAATAGTCTCTGTGAAATGTGAAACCAGAAGACAAATGAAGAAGTTTATAGAGGAAACGCTATTCTGCACAATGCTTATCAAATTTACAAGTTATGTCAGCCATTTCAAAATCCTTCATGGTATGTAATTCCATTTCAATCTTCCAGGCATTTAAAAGAGGTACATTTAATTTCAATTGAAAAAAAAAATTCTTTGTCTTAGGTCTTGGCAAACATACCAAGAAGACAAAGGGAGAGTTAACACAAATGCATTTTCAATATTGGTAAGTTACTTGAAATTTCAGTATAAAGGAAAGTACAACTAATGACCTGATAATTTGGTACCTGGGTTAAGAACTTTCTATTTTATACCTAAAAATCACTTCCCTGTTGATTCAGTGACTTCATTAGTATTTTTTTTTTTTTTTTTGTAATAGAAGACCCATCTCCATCTTACCTGGAATTCATTTATAATCATAATATATTCGGTGAAGTGGTGATCAGATTAATTTTTCAGGGTTGATTTACATGACAGGGTTGGTGTGAAGAAAAAGGGAGCAGTTAGTATGGACAACCTGAGAGAGAAAATGCAACTTGTGAGATCAACCAACTATATGATGTAGGTTCTTCTGGTCTGTGCTGGGGAACTAATGTCTAAATGTTATCAAAAGACACTTCATGTACAATTTAGGAGGGATTTTAGGAAATCGGTGAAAACAAGCAGTCATGCTTTCAAGCTTAGGTGACAAGTGTAGTTCAGAGTAGGAAGAGCAGTCTCTTGACTTCCATGGGAAGTATATTAGATGAGTCATATAAAAGTAATCTTCCATTGTCCCCTTTTTGGTTTCTGTGCTATTGTTACCATACATTTTACTTCTCAATATATGCTGAAAATCCCAAACCTGAATGGTTGTATTAGTGAATTCTTGCATTGCTATAAAGAAATACCTGAGACTCAGTAATTTATAAAGAAAAGAGGTTTCATTGGCTCACAGTTTCACAGGCTATACAGGAAGCATGATGCTTTCATCTGCTCAGCTTCTGGGCAGGCTTCAGGAAGTTTACAATCACAGTGGAAGACAAAGGGGGAGCCAGCATGTATTACAGGGCAGGAGCTAGAGAGTGAAGGGGGAGGTGCTACACACTTTTAAACAATCAGCTCTCACAAGAATTCACTCGCAATCATGAGAACAGCACCAAGGGAATGGTGCTAAACCATTCATGAGAAATCCACCCCCAAGATCCAATCACCTCCCACCAGGTCCCACCTCCAACACTGGGAATTACGATTCAACAGAAGATTTGGTGGGGACACAGATCCAAACCATATCATTCTGCTCTGGCTCCCTAATCTCATGTCATTCTCACATTGCAAAATACAATTGTGCCTTACCAATAGTCCCTTAAAGTCTTAACTCACTCCAATATTAACTCAAAAGTCCAAAGTCCAAAGTCCAAATTCTCATCTGAGATAAGGCAAGTCATTGTCACCTATGAGCCTGTAAATAAAAAACAAGCTAGTTACACCCAGGATACAAGAGGGTTATAAGCATTGGGTAAATACTCCCATTCCAAAAGGCAGAAATTGGCCAAAAGAGAGGAGCTACAGGCCCCATGCAAGTACAAAACCAAACAGAAAAATCATTAAATCTTAAGGTTCCAGAATAATCTTCCTTGACTTCATGTCCATGTCCAACATCCAGGACACACTAGTGTGAGAAGTGGAGTCCCAAAGCCTTGGGTAGCTCCACTCCTATGGCTTTGCAGGGTTCAGCCTCCAGGGTGGCTCTCATGAGCTGGCATTGAGTATCTGTGTTTTTTTCCAGACACACAATGCAAGCTGTCAGTGGATCTAACATTCTGGGATCTGTAGGATGGTGGCCCCCTTCTTCACAGCTCAACTAGGCAGTGCCCCAGGGGGGACTCTGTGTGGGGGCTCCAAACTCACATTTTCCTTCCAAGCTGCTCAAGTAGAGATCTCCATGAGGGCTCTGCCTCTGCAGTAGGCTTCTGCTTGGCCACCCAGGCTTTCCATACATCCTCTGAAATCTAGGCACAGGCTTCTAAGCCTCAGCTCTTGCATTCTTTGAAACTGCAGGCTTAACACCACCTGGAAGCCACCAAGGTTTACAGCTTTTGCCCTCCAGAAGAGCAGCCTGAGCTGTACCTGAGCCCCTCTGAGACATGGCTGGAGCTGGAGTGGCTGAAATGCAAAGAGCAGCGTCCTGAGGTTGAGCAAGGCAGCAGGGCCCTGGACCTGGCCCACAAAGAAACCACTCAGTCTTCCTACAACTCTGGAACTGTGATGGGAGGGGCTGCCATGAAGGCCTCTGAAATGTCTTCAAGGCTTTTTCTCCATTGTCTTTGCTATTAGCACTTACCTTCTTCTTAGTTATGCAAATTTCTGCAGGGGATTTCCCCCAACTAAAAATGGGCTTTTTTTTTTTTTTTCTACCACATAGTCAGGCTGGAAACTTTCCCAGCTTTTTTTTCTCTGCTGCTTCTCTAAATGTAAGTTCCAGCTTTAGATCACTTCTTTGCTCAGACATATGAGCACAGGCTGTTAGAAGCAGCCAGGCCATTTCTTGAATGTTTTGTTGCTTAAAAATTTCAGAATTTCACAGATCCCTAGGGCAGGGGCACAATGCAGCCAAATTCTTTGCTAAGGCATGAGAAAAGTGACCTTTGTTCCAGTTCCCAAGGAGTTTCTCATTTCCATCTAAGACCTCCTCAACCTGGCCTTCACTGTCCATATCACTATCTACATTTTGGTTACAACAATTTAAGTCTCTAAGCATTCCAAAAGTTCCCTCATCTTTCTGTCTTCTTCTGAGCCCTATAAACTCTTCCAACCTCCGCTGTTGCCAAGTTCCAAAGCCGCTTCCACATTTCAAGTATTTTTATAGCAATGCCACCCTCCTCAGTACCAATTTTCTGTATTAATCCATTATCATGTTGCTACAAAGAAATACCTGAGAATGTGTAATTTATAAAGAAAAGAGGTTTAATTGGATTATGGCTCTGCAGATTGTACAGGAAGCATGATGCTGGCATCTGCTTGGTTTCTGGAGAGGCCTCAGGAAGCTTACTATTTTGGCAGAAGATAAAGGGAAAGCAGACACGTCTCATGGCCAAAGCAGGAGAAACAGAGAGTAGGGGGAGGTGCCACACACTTTTAAACAAACAAGTTCCATAAGAATTCATTCACTAGTCACAAGAACAGCACAAAGGGGATGGTGCCAACCATTCATGAGAAATCCACCCCCAAGATCCAATCACCTCCCACCAGATCCCACCTCCAACACTGGAGATCACAATTCAACAGAAGATTTGGTGGGAACACAGATCCAAATCATATCGATGGTCAATTATCTTAAGAGACATTTAAAAAGAAGAAAAATATATTTTATATTTACCCTCATATTTACCATTACACTGCTCTTTATTCTTTCTTTATATTCATAGTGTCTCTTTTTATGGCATCTACATGATGACATACATACTCAGTTTCTTCCCTATGTCCTTGTATTTGTGAACTATAGTTATAAGAGATTTATGTCTGTTTCTATGAATTCTATAACATTTCCATTTTCACTACATCATTATTGGTTGAATTTTCTCTTTATTGTGGGTTGTACTTTCCTATTTCTTGGTATCCTTAATAATTTTTATTGAATACTAACCATTTTTAATATTGCCTTTCTAAGTGCTGGATATTTTTGCATTTCTAGAAATATTCTTGAGTTTTGTACTGAAATGCAGTTAAATTAGTTAGAAACAACATGAGCCACTTGAGTTTTGCTTTTAAACTTTTATGTGCAAGATCAAATCAGTCTTTAGTCTAAAACTAATTTTGTCTGAATCCTGATACAATATCCCTGTGAGTACTTTGCCCAATGTCCAGTGAATTATAAGGTTTTCCACTCTGGCTGATGGCAATGCAAATTTGCTGCCTTTTATGAGTTATTTGGGATTGTTTGTTCTTTTTCTTCCACCTCAGCCTTAGGTAGTTTTCTCACCTGCATGCACTGATCAATACTCAGATGAAGACTTAAGGGTAATTGCCTTGCAGAACTCTGGAATTCTCTGGGGATCTCTCACTTCTTTCCTAATTTGTCCTGTGAATTCTAGCTTCTGTGACCGCCTAAATTCCCAGCTCTAGCTTCTCAACTCAGGAGATAATCTGAACTCCATCTTGGTTGTCCCTTGCTGCACTGTGTCCTTGAATCCTTTTCTAGGCACTAAGCTGGGGCAATTTTAGGACTTGCTTCAATTGATCTCAGTGAAAATTGTCTTATATTGTTCAATGTTCAATGTCTGAAACCGTTGTTTTATGGATATTGTTTGGTTTTTAATGGTTTCAGGAAGGAAAGTGTTTCTAGTCCTTATTGTTGTTTGTTGCCCAGAAACAGAATTCTTCTAATATATTTTAATGCTGTATTTTCCCTATCGATTTGAAGTGTTTTCGTATATTCTTATACATATATTGCTTAATTTCTTGACTCCTTTGTCTATTCATTGCAGTGCCAGTATTATATTAATTTTTGTGACTAGAATTTCATATATCTATGTGTTGGGTTTTACCTTCTATCACTTGTATCATGTAATCATTTCTTTCATTTTCATAATTTTCTGATTCTATTTTTATTCTTATGAACTTTACAATTTTTGTTAAATACCTTCAGGCAACACTGTGTGCTTTTTAATTGAAGTTGCATTGAATATATAGATTGACTTTGAGATACTTGATATCTCTATAGTATTTTTCTTCACTGTTATAACATTGTATTCCTTCAAAAGTAAGACATATCTGTATTATTCTCTATCATCCTATACTGTCCCTTACATAGCATTACATGCTTTTCTTCATATAGATTCTGAATATTTATTGTGAGGTTTTAAATATTATACAGTGTTTATTGTTGTTTTCAGTTGTCTGTTTTCCCCAATGATTCACCTTTATTTTTAGAATTTACATAGGTAAAGGTTTTGCATTTGACACTTTAGTGACCCTACTAAATTTTAACTGGCCATACAACGCTATTATCTAATTTTCCTTACTTTATTTTCTTGGACTTATAAATTATCCTTTTTTTAAGTTCTCTTTCTAGCATATAAAACTTAGATTTAATTCTCAGGTTCACTGCTTCAAGTAGCCCTCCAAAACGATATTATAATGTGCCATAAATAATATGCAAGTTTGTCTGGTTTCTGATTTTCTTAGAAATTCTGCCATTTCATCAAGCATGCTGCTAAATTTTGTTTTCTGATATATATTTGTTCATTTTCATGTTAAGAAAATACCCATTTATTTCTATATATGTAGGGGAAAAGACCTGCACTCAAGATGAAACTAGTTGTTAAAAGCCAAAAAGTCAACTTTAAAAAGCACCGGTTCAATAAATTATTTTTGACTACAACTATTTTTGCATAGTGAAATTTTTCACTGAAGCTGGATATAAAATAGGTAAAAGTTTATTGGCCTTAGGGAGGAAAAAGAAAAAAGACATGGTTAACCAAGTTTTAGGTTCCCATCTCTCCCCTACTTTGTGGTCTCAGGGACACATATGTACTGTCTGGGGCTCCTCCATGCACACTGAAACTTGACAGTGATTACCAAACCGGGCTGTGGATAAGCATCTCTAGAAAATTTCTTTGTAATGCAGAGTCCCAGGGTTGACTTCCCTGAGCTACTGATTCTGCAACTCTGGGAAAGAGAATGGGATTCCATTTTTAAAATGTTCTCTAAGGAATACTGGAATTCGGATTGTTTTGAATTATTGCTCTGAATCATGTAAGGTTCATTCTTTATTGTATGCTCAGGTCTGTAGCATAGTGCTATCCTGCAATCATTGAGAATATGAACATAAATATAAGCACATCATCCTAAAGCATATGCTGTAAGCGTATGTTTTGAATGCTAAATAAATATAAATATGAAATAAAATCATCTACATTCAGGTGGTCTACTATGCCATTTCTTTTTTTAGCATATCAAGACAAAAAGTGATGTATAATTTGGTCAGTACTAATTTTAAAACCAAGATCTCTACAGAAAATGTTAGGAAATTAAAAGAAATTAAGTTGTTTTTAAAATCTTGACTCAATGTGTTCTAGAGCGCAATGATTCATTGTGGTTAAGCACATCTATCTGTTATTAAAGAGAGAACTGACAGTAATGACACTATTATTCAAATGCATTGTGATGATAAAAGTATTCATGTTGCGTAACTTTCTAACCAGTGTGTACATATTAATGATCAATTTATTTTGCCACAGGGAACAAATAAATATTTTTTTTACTTTAGGATGGGCTATAAGAGGCCTTGTAACTAAGTCACAAAAGTGTTGTTGCAAGTCAACCTAATTAAGAGTCATCAAAGGAACTTTATTTTCTATGATATTTGTAAGATAGAAAAGAATGGGAAGAAATGTATCTATGAAAGCTTCATTTAAAATAATAAAAATGAGGCTTAAAGTACATTGCAAGAGTCAAATAGGTTACCCACAGTCACTCAACAGGAAAGCGAGACCAGAACAAAGAAGACTAGATTTAAAAATATATTGAAATGGAAAATCAATAAACCTTTTTAATTTCCACTGGTTGCAGAAACTAGAATTTTTCACAAGCTTTATTTTTATAAGAACCTCTATGCCTCATAGTCCTTTTCTATATTTCAACACTTTTTGTTGCAAAAGATTATTATAGTATCCAAATTCGGTATCCCACTATTAATATCATATAGAATTGTCATGATAAAATTCAAACTTTCTTTTTTGTTTGTGACATATGGCAATGGAACATTTTGTTGCTAAAAAAAAAAGAGAAACTTACTTTTCTGAATTTTTCCAAAAAATGTATTCTAGTAAA
Source organism: Homo sapiens (assembly GCF_000001405.40). Taxonomy (NCBI): domain Eukaryota; kingdom Metazoa; phylum Chordata; class Mammalia; order Primates; family Hominidae; genus Homo; species Homo sapiens. Next base: position 75,822,459 of record NC_000008.11, on the reverse strand, counting down.
TGTGAATTTTTCTTATATGTCTTTACTCACTCAAGGAACAAATATTTAATGAGTGCTCTACAATATACTTAAAAATATTCCTCACATAATTTTAGAAACTTTCTTCCAGAAGCTTTTCATGAGGAGTAACACTTATTTGTCTATTAATTTGTATCTCACTAGAGACTGTGTATCAGTTGTACAACTAGCAATAGATCTAGAAAAAAGAGAAACACAAAACTCACATGTTCATTATTAGTTTCTCTCCTGTACATACGTTATTTTCACAGAACATACTTTCCAGAGCAAGTTGTTATGTTAACTTAAATAATCTAAAATTAATTTTTAAAATATATTGTAAATGAATGTTATAGTTTTTAGATATGTATGCCTTTTGTAAAATAAAAAACAGAAATTATTCCCATATCTATCCAAAATGGAAAGATAATTTGTATAGATAATCAAGAAAACTTTAATTTCAGGTTAACTTTTCAACTAACTGAAATACAAAATCTGGTATATTTTCAGGATCTTTCAGACGACAAGCAAAGTAACACATGTTAAAATAGAAAAACTTTGCTCATGAAAACAGCCTGAATTTTCAAGGGACTAAAATAAAATTGTAGCCATTTGTAGACACTATTTATTAAGAGTCATGAGGGAATAGAGCAAGGCCCAAGAAAGAAAGCAGGTTAGGCAACAGTTCTCATAAAAATCTCTGCTTTGATTCAGTGACACATAAATCAATTATTATACATGATACATTAAAAAAACTTTTTATTTTTATTACTTACACAATAGAAAAAAACAGATCAGGACTTGATATTTTGTTAAGGAAACAATGATATGTAAGTAAGCCTCCATTAACCATCACTTTACCCAAAGTCTTCAAAAAAGTATTTAATGATTTCTAAATTATCATTCAATTCAATTCAATCATATCATTCACTTATCTGATATGATATCAGATCTGACTTCATGTATTGTATAAAGTTTGGTGTCAATTTTAGAAGGTAAAACATTTGCAATTTGAAAACTAAACTTTTGAACTGGCTAAATGACCACCTATACATATTCTGTGGCAAATATATTTGTGTGGATATTCTGTAACTTCTTATGTCTTGATTTTTTACTCTAGCATTTTCTTGCAGTTCACAGCCCTGATCTTAAGTTGTGGGAATATAGACATTGGGTACACATTAGCTATTTAGCATGAAACTGATGACATAGCAAGTAAAGCCCATTAGAAAGAAAAGTGGTTGCTGAACTGAGATGCAGGTTTAACAGATACTGTAAATTGTTTTTAGTTACAGCAAAGTTGTATGTTTTTATTTTATCTATGGCATTTACTTTCAACCAAAATAAGGAAAAGTAATACACAAAAGTAAATAATTGATAATAACAACAACATTATCTACGAGCCTTAAAATTATTGAAGGAAAAATAGCTCAAATGATTCTTAATGCCTTTCAGGCACATCTGAATCAAATAAGGTAATTATTCCTTAAAATGCTTACACAAAGTCTGATTTGCATGCTAGTAATTGCTGTGCCTTGTGGCATCTAGCAATTGACACAGCAATGATTTTAATTATTGTAATTTCATCAGTATAAATACTTCAAAGTTATGCAAATACTATCTCATAATCCACATAGACAGCTCAGAGTATTTGATTTACTAGTCTTGTAAGTCTCTTTGTCTATGCAGTTTACTCTCAGATGTGACTCTGCATTGCAATCGAAGCCTTTCACTTACATCAAAGCTCTAAATCATAACAAGATGAGCTAATTTTACAAAGACTGACACTTCAAACATTAAGTTGCAAATACAATTATAAGATGAAATATAAAAAGGACTTTGCTTGGATATCATGAGGCACAGATACCTGCAGTTAATCATGTCTAATGTTTTCTATGACATGAGAAAGTAGAGATACAACATGAAGAAATGCCTTTGAATGAATAGAAACAGAAAAGACCCTCCCCGTTACATGATTAATTTAAATGCTACAATAGTAAAATCTTTTGTTATGCAATAAATTATCATCAGTATTATAGTCACTCATACCCTCAGCTAATAGAGGATACTGAGCTACAAATAAGACTTCCCTCATAATATACTGGCCCACTGTTAGTAAATCTTAGACTGTGACTCTTGAATTCTCAGGGAGTGGAAACTCTTGCAATTGAATATAACTACCTGTTAGGAAACTGTTTTCTCAGAAATGCTATTATTGTGAGAAGTCATCTTATTATAGTCTTGGCTAAAGCCAAAAACAATTTACAGAAAAAGAAATACATAAGGAAATGCTTAAGAATATGTTGAAACGTACTTGTAATCTTATGCAATCAAATGGAAACAAAATATGGATAGATATGATTTTAAATTCATTATAGTTGATGAAATTTTATTCTCATATTAAAAAATGTATTCAACTTAATTGGCACTAATAATTACTTTTTTCAGTCTACTCACATTACTAGAATTACATTAGGTTGCAGGTAGAAGAAAAACAACAAAAGATAATGGCAAGATAAAATTTTCAACAGAAAGTAGTGAGTGAAAGCACATCAGCAATTTACCATAGGTGGACAAGGGAAAACTTGATTCTCTTTCTATGAACCGATACCTGGTGTCAGGTTCTCTATTATTAAGTCATTTTCCTATCAGCCTTAGTGGAAAGAGAATTTGGCACTTTTTTGCTCTTCTTAGAAAATTCTGTCTTGTGGCCGGGCGCAGTGGCTCGTGCCTGTAATCCCAGCACTTTGGGAGGCCAAGGCAGGCGGATCACGAGGTCAGGAATTTGAGACCTGCCTGGCCAACATGGTGACACCCTGTCTCTACTAAAGATACAAAAAATTAGCTGGGCATGGTGGCGCATGCCTGTAATCCCAGCTACTTGGGAGGCTGAGGCAGGACAATCGCTTGAACCCAGGAGGCAGAACTTGCAGTAAGCTGAGATCGCGCCACTGTACTCCAGCCTGGGTGACAGGGCAAGACTCCTTCTCAAAAAAAAAAAAAAAAAAAAAAAAAAAAAAATTCCATCTTATACGTTATTATGTCAGACAAAATTCTAAGATGACACCCAATGAGATATGGCCTTTTCAGTCTCTTCCCCTTAAGTGTGGGTAGAATTTTGTGACTTGCTTCTAGCCAATAGAATATGGCAAACGTGATGGGATATTCATTACCATGATTGTGTTATAAGGCTTTTTCTTAGCAGACTCAAGGGGCCATTCTTTTAGACTTTGAGTGAGCTGCCATGCCGTGAGAGGACTTGTGAGAAGACCACCTGGCAAAAAATTGTGGGTGGCCTCTAGTCATTGAGACCATCTGCTGACAGCCAGCAAGGAAAAAGGGATTTCAGTCTTACAACTGAAAGAAACCAATTTTTATCAACAACCACATGAGCTTGAAAGACAACCTTAGGCTTCAGAAAGAAGCACAATGGACTTGACACATCAGTTGCAGATATGGAGATCCTGAGCAGAGGACCCAGATTTGTTGTATTCAAACACCTGATCCATGGAAACTGTGAGAAAAGAAATTCATGTTGCTTTACATTTCTTAGTTTGTGATACTTTATTGCACAGCAATGGAAAACAAATACAGTGATATAATTGAAATGTGACTGGTTAGATGATGAGCAATGTGTTTATGTATGTGCACCTGCATGTGTTTATGTGAAACATTGCTGAGCTATCTCATGGCAACATGTATCTTTCTCAATGTGCAGTTGGCCTCATTGGTGGCTTGTATGCATGCCATTGCATGTATATCCAAGTCACTGATATGATTACAAATTCCCTGATGCAAAAATAAATATTAGACAAATGAGTTTAGAGAGGACCTAAGCTAGAAGTTCTATTGATGCTATATTACAACTCACTTTTCTTCTTTTCATTCTTTTTCTTTTAACTAGATAATAGTCATGAACTATGTTTTCTAACTGCAGAACAAAGTGGTATTAAAGAGTTTGTTTAAAACTCTTTTAAAAATTATATAGTATATGATAGTAGACATAATACACACAGAGGCATATGTAGAATAAGTTAAATGCAAGACTATGTACTTTCAAGTTTTTGACTTTGGACGTCTTATTAAAATACTCTGATGCCATCTTCATCTAATTAGACTTGGCTTATAGATCTGCAGTAAAGACAATAAATAATATAAGTAGAGTGGCTGGCACTTGATAGATATTATGATAATGAAGATAGAAAATATAAATGACTTTTAAATTAAAGGCATTGAAGCAGTTTCACATTCTACAAGTATTTATATATAAGAAGGTCTATGGTCTAAATCTTTGTGTTGTCCTCCTCACCCCTACACAAATTCCTGAATCCGAACCCTCAAGGTGATGATGTTAGAAGGGGAGGCCTTTGGGAGGAGATTATACCTTGAATGTGGAGCATTCATGATTAGAATGTGGAGCATTCATGATTAGAATGAGTGCCCTCATAAAAGAAATCAGAGACAGCTACCTAGCCCTTCCACCAAGTGGGGTTTCAGAGAGAAGACAGGCCTTCACTAGACACAAAATCCACCTTGATCTTGGACTTCTCAGCCTCCAGAACTGTGAAAAATAAATTTCTGTTTATAAGCCACCCAGTTTATGATTTCTTGTTGTGGCAGCCTGAACTTAGACAAGAGTGGAAAAGCAATGAATTATGAATAAACTTAGTGAACCTGAATATTTCAGTCTCAATTTCTTTCTAGCCATATAACCTTGAGAATATGAAACTTCTGGAAGTCCTTATCTGTAAATGGGAGGAAGAATATCTGCTTTACCTAGCACAATTTTGATGTAAATTGCAAAAAAAAGATGATATGTGTGAAACTTTATTATGATTCTGTATAAATGTGAGGCATTGGAATTACTTCACAGAGGCATGTATTTACATTTATTGAGAAATCCAATAAGTATTTCATGAGAATTTAGTAGGGAATTTACTAAGGACTATCTTAATTTGTTACCGATTTGCACATTCAAATATAAATTTTACTTCAAAGATATCTAAGAAAAAATCCTCAAAAATTTGACATTTGACAAAAAGAGGTGTCAACATCATATGTTTCAACCTCACAAATACTGGGAAAAATACTGCAAATTCATCGTGAACAGGGAACAGGAAAAACAAAGACTTAAAAGGCAAGAGGAACACCAGAAAACAGACAGCATCATGAATAGCTAAATACATTCTATGCAACTAACAATAAAACACAGAAAGATAACATCAGCAAGCCACCTTGCATGGTTGTCAAATGACAAGAGAAACATAACAATAGAATCACATGTGAAACATTGAAAGCACTAAAAATGCAGAATTAATTTTGCACTACCTATTTCTCCAAGGTCTCCTCAGCCATGTTTTTGTTTACTGGACACACATCAAACCTCTAATCCTTAGCAATGGAAATTGAATATTTCAGATATACTCACCATAGAAAATTCTAACTATCCACACGAACCACTTTCAAGCCTCTAGTCTTTCTTTTGCCATATGTTTTACATTATATAAATATTTATGCTCTTTACAAATATACTAAGTACCTCCTTTATCTTCTTTGTATCATGTAAAAAAAAATAGTTCTTTGTGATTTGAAAGAGAGGAGATTGGATCATAGCCAGGAAGAAGTGGCAAAAGATCACAATGAATATTAGAGGAACTAAAGGGAGGAGACTCAGGAGATAGAAAATAAGAGAGACAAAGTGTGGAGAAATTAAAGAGTGAGAAAAATAGGCCCAGGAAAGAAGGAAAATATTGAGAAGTATGGTGGGGCTGAAGGAGAGTTGACATGGGAAAAAACAATAAGTAAAGTGATTTTTTAGGACAGCGTAGAGTCATCAGAGGGGACTGGAGCAGAGGTCAGGTAAAGCAGCTAAGAGAATGCTAAACTAGCTAATTTAACAGGAGAAATGGATCTTTAGATTTCACAGGTAAGGTGAAAATAATTTGTATATAAAGAATCAAGATTTAAGTCTAGAATAATAAAATCTCAGCATTGGAAGAGTATTTGGAAAGAACCAATGTCCAAATAATTTATGAGAAATTAGTGTATAACAAACAGCTGAAAGGGTAGATTATAAAGAGAAAGAGTTTTTTTTTTTCTTTCCCCCATCTAGAGAACAGATAAGTGCTGATTCCTAAATAATCAGAAGGTAATCATGGCATCCTATGGGCAAATAGCACCTGAAAAGTTAGAAGTTAATTGATTTCTTTTGAGTCTATCTGGGTATCAAATTAAATATAATTTTGGTGGCATTATTTTTTAGTTCCTGATAATAATACTAGTACCTAATATTTACATAGAGCTTCATGTTTCACAAAGCAAAGAGGATAAGAAAGAACCAACACTTATTGAATCCCCGATTTTTACCAAACGGCATACATAGTCTGTCTTTGTATCTCTTGCTTATGAAATAAGAAAACTGGTTCAGAAGGTAATGTCCCCAGTATCATGTAGGTTGTAGCAAAATTGAACCAGAAATTAAACTTGGACATACGTTTTACCCTTCCATACTAGAGAGGCAGATAAGCAGGAAAATAGTAAAAACAAAAGAGAGAGAGAGGGAGAAAAAATAACAACAAAGAAAGGTACACCTTTCAGTGTCCATTGCTGGACAGCAGCTATGTTCATCACCACATACGACCTCTGGGAATTAGGCCAGGATTGATGTTACACTTAATACAGAGAAGAAATTTGGATCAAAGAGGTAAAGCAACTAGTTCAAGTTTACATTTAGTAAGGGGGCTGCATTCACTTTTTTTTTTTCTTTTTTTAACCTGGAAACGAGTCAATTGTGGATCTGCCACATCCTAATTGGGCAACTATAGGCAGGTCACACATCCTGTTCCAGTCTCTACTGTTTTCATCAATGTTGGATAATAAATGCCTACTTTACAAGATGTTGTAAAGATTCAGATGCTATAAGTAAAGTATCCAGCATGCAGATACTCACAATAAATAGTTAATATACTTGGTTAGAGGTTAGGTAGACTAGAAGATGCTAAATTGGAAACGGGACAGACCATGTGTAAGAAAACTTATATTGATCTATCCGGGGTCACCAACCAATAGAAAGAAAAATAAAAGTTAAGTGTTCTAAGTCAATTGTTTGTCTAAGTTACAGACAAACTTTTAAAATATCATCATCATCAATGAAAATATTAACTATATTAACTATATGTTGTAAACTTTAGTTGGTATTTTCAGGAAGAAATAATTCCTACTCATGGTTGCTAATAATAAGGGAGAAAGTATATTCAATAAAACTATACATAGTTTATATTTCAGATATGTGATATCCATTTACAGACAAAGTAAAGGGAGAAAAGAAAGATAAACAAGTAAGAAACTAGTGGAGGAAAAAACTATATAAATATATTAATCAATGTAAAGCAAATGTATAATACAACTTCTATACTAATATTTTGGGGAGGTAGGGGCCAGGCATTATAGTAAGTAAACAATTCCACAGTTGTTTTTGTTTTTTGATGTACAAAATCCTTATATAAAGAATATGTTTATGTTCATTCCTGAAATTCAATCTTATCCTTTCTTCATCAATGTAAATACATACTCAGACTTTTCTTTGGAAACATTTTTTAAAAGATATATTTTCAGAGGAAAAAGGCTGCATCTTATATCCTTCCATAATGTGGAAGGTATAAAAAGTTTATAAAGTCATGCTTGTAATACCTAAATAGAATACATTTTTTTCAATAAAATTTGCATTTTGCACCATTAGTTGATTTTTTTCTTGGCATTAAGCAATGCTGGCAGACAATCTAAACCATTAGCATTCATTCATTTGTTAATCAATTAAATCATTAGTCAGAGGGAATTAACTGGAGAGCTTAAGGTTCCCTCCCTTCTAGAGGCCATATTTTTTTCAAGAGTGTTAGGGAGCCATAGACTTTTAATGAATTCACTTCCATTGCTATGGTGACTGCTCCAAAAGGCAACAATAACCTTAAGTAATGATTGGCAGTGCGACCTCCATGTTTGCATTTTCACACTGTTGCGGGCAAGATCAGGGAACTTTAATGATCATTGACTATGACTTGTCCAAAGATAAGAGCTGTTAGGCACTGTAGTTTGACATCTCTCACAGTCTTTCACAATCTAGTTCTTCTACATTTTGAAAGGTAAGTTATGGTATATGGAGGCATGTCAGCCAAATGTGTCAAATAAGAATATGATTCTGATTTGTGTATATTTACAACTCTTGCCCTTTAACACTCTTCAAAATGCTCCCCCCAAAAAATCAATTTCAATGTTGTAGCAATTGAAGTGCTTTACAAATTATCATAAGCAGATCATAACACAAATCACTATGCACTTTACAAACTGTTTCTGGAATGACTATTCTTAGAGTCATGCCTGTAAATACCTAAGTAGAACACTTTTTTCAATCAAATTTGCATTTTGCACCATTCATTGATTTGTTTCTTGGCATTAGGCAACGCTGGCAGACAATCTAAACCATTAGCATCCATTCATTTGTTAATCAATTAAATCTATTTAATGCATTATTGATAGGTAGACAAAGTACCTTTATAGTCCTAAGCAAAGCAAATTATACATATATATTATATATATAAAAAAATCTCTTTTGAAAACATAGAACCTAGCAAAAATTATGTAAAGGGAATTTGTGACAATTAAATGCATATATATTCATAATTCAGCTATCTGGTAAAGACTAAACTATTAATCATATTTCAATAATTTTTAAAAAACAAAGATTAAGAGCTACCAATAAATGGCAATGCATCATCTAATCCACACAACAAAATGGGTGATATTTACATTTTTATTAACAAATAGTAAAGCTGAGAGGCAGAAAGTGTAAATAGTATGCCAACGTAGGCTCAGCCGGTAAGTGCCAGGGTAAATATTCTGACTCAGGCAGTATGACCCCAAACTTTTAACCACTATGCTTCAGTACAGAATACAAATCTTATTACAGTAATTCAGCTCCATCCATGGTGCTCCAAGAACTAAGAGAAAGAGGTAAACTTTTACCAGATACCAAATCAGGCACCATTTTAATGGTATATTTACGATTTTCATACAAGTAAATATTAGTGTTATATTATTAAAAATTATCCTTAACCAGAGATTTTAGGCCACATTTTTCCATGCAAAAGAGAGTTTCCTCTATAGGAACTACTGTTTAAAATTTCTTATCTCAGCTAGGCACAGTGGCTCACGCCTGTAATCCCAGCATTTTGGGAGGCCAAGGCAGGTGGATCTCTTGAGGTCAGGAGTTCGAGACCAGCCTGACCAACATGGTGAAACTCCATCTCTACTAAAAATACAAAAAAAAAAAAAAAAAAAAATTAGCCGGGAGTGGTGGTGCACACCTGTAACCCCAGCTACTTGGGAGGCTGAGGCAGGAGAACTGCTTGAACCTGGGAGGTGGAGGTTGCAATGAGCTGAGATCGTGCCACTGCACCCCAGCATGGGCAGCAAGAGCAAAATTCCATCTTAAAAAAAAATTATCTCATATACTTTTTTCAGCCTCTCCAAAAGTTATTCCAGAATCTTACTAGTTTGAATTGATGGTTCCTTGCTTCTCTGAAACTTATTTTCTTACACATAAAATAAATTATGTTATTAGACTCAGTTTTCAAACTAAATGATATAAAAAATATATAAGTATGTAATTATGGTGATAAGTACCTAATAAGTATTTGTCGAATTACATGCATTTCAGAGTTTTTGAATTTGGAGAAATATTGAGCATTTTCCCCAAAAGCCTAATATATCATCAAAATTTATTATAACATTGAATGTCTGTTCATATTTCTCTATTCCTTGTACTAGTTAAATATGGATCATATATAATTATTTTTTCTTTATCTGCCAATTAGATAATTTAGTTGTAATGTGTAGGAAAAAAAACACTTATACCTTAATTCAAATAAAATAAATACAAATCGACAGTTATTATTTTGGCATTAAAGGTAAAATTTAATTCCCAGGATTTAATGACCTATATAAAGAAGCCAAATAGTTCTTATTTTTATAATTATAAACTTTCCAATACACACAACAACTATATTGGGTACAGTAGGATAATGGTATTTTAAGGAAGTACGTAGCTAAAGAAGTTAAAGATGAAAATTATGCAAAGAGGATATTTTCAGAAATGCATATTCTTTGGTTACTTCTTTTTGTTTTACAATATTAAATTCTCATAATTTACAAACAGACTAAATAAGGTAGCCTATCAAGAGTACAGCCCCATACCCTGAAACCATATGCTTGCCAATGATCTATGACGATTGGGAACAAATTCAATTTCACTGATTGTCAAATTGTCCTTTGTAATTGAGAACTTGGCTGATTTCCTTGCAAAAGAGTGAAAACATGAAGAGTTAGAAATCTTTCAGTAAAGCATAAATTCTATTTACAAAATAATAGGGTAGCTACATATTATTAGTGCTAAAGGAGTGTTAAAAATGTATTACAATCAATTGCATTTAACTTGTGTGGGAAATCAAACTTGGGGCTCACACCTGTAATCCCAGCACTTTCGGCAGCAGAGAAGGGCAAATCGCTTGAGCTCAGGAGTTCAAGACCAGCATGGGCAAAGTGGCAAAACCCACTCTCTACAAAAAAATACAAAAAAAAAAAAAAATTAGCCAAACAAGAGAGGTTGAGGCTGCAGTGAGCCATGATCATGCCACTACACTATAGGCTGGGAGACAAGAGTAAGAGACACTGCCTCAAAAACAAAGCAAAAAGAAGGAAACAAACTTCTTTTGCATGCAGTACAGATTTCCAAAGATTTATGTTCTGAAAACCATTCTTTGCAAAATAAGTATTCTAAACAAAATAAGTATAATACTTATTTTGTGAGTGGAATAAAAGTTAAATTCTTTAACATGTAATATTAACATTTTAAAATCAACTTTTGAGAAGCAAATACTGTGTAAAAAATTGTCCCTTTTGAAGCTAACTTTCTGTGTGTATATCATGCAACAGTTTTCCAACTTTTGAAAACTACAGTTTAATAACCAAGGAAAAGTTTAATATTCACCAAAAACATACATACACAAATCAAATAAAAACATATGTATATTATTTACAATAGAATATCTATATTTCTCATAAACCCCCCTATAATTTGTAGCTTTCTCTTCAGGGAGGGCTCCAGTCATTCAACATTCTGAGGCAGTGAATGGCTCCACGGATGAGTAATGAGATAAAATACCTTTTCCATACAGATCATAGCCCTTCTGTCTGGTCTGTGTCACAAGTTACGAGGAGTCATCATTACCAGTTGATGGGTGTTTAATTGTCAATGAGAAATGGCTCCTGGCATTGGTCCAATTCCTAATAGCAGTGTTCAGTGTTACAGAAATCACCATAGTGTGTTAGCTTTCTTATCTGCAAAGTGTGTTGCTCGATACATTTAGACAAAACAAAAGGCTCATTCAGCCCTAAAGAGCTATATTCAGAAGGAAAATAAAAAATGCTTCCCCCATATTATATAAGCATAAAAACTTCACCATTAAAATATGAAGAGGAAGAAGAAGGAAGGAAGGAAGGGAAGGAAGGAAGGAAGGAAGGAAGGAAGGAAGGAAGGAAGGAAGGAAGGAAGGAAGGAAGGAAGGAAGGAAGGGAAGGGAGGGAAGGAAGGGAAGAAAGGAAGGGAATGAAGGAAAGGAAGGGAAGGAAAGGAAAGAAGGGAAGGAGGGAAGGAAGGGAAGGAGCGAAGGGAGGGAAGGAAGGAAGGGAAGGAGAGAGGGAAGGAGAGGGGGAAGGAGAGAGGGAAGGAAGGGAAGGAGAGAGGGAAGGAAGGAAAGGAGAGAGGGAAGGAGGGAAGGAAGGGAGGGAGGGAGGAGGGGAGGAAGGAAGGAAGGAAGGAAGGAAGGAAGGAAGGAAGGAAGGAAGGAAGGAAAGAAGGAAGGAAAGAAGGAAGGGAGGGAGGAATTTTACTGTGCAAAACAATTGTCTCGAGTGTTTATTGAAAAAATAGATTCAAAGCATCATCTTTGAATCACATTAAAAAATACATTGCTGGGGATTCTGTTGCAGATGTTTATTGAACCAAATTTTTAGGAAGAGTGATTTAGATGATGGAGAATTCTTGAAAGCTTTGAAGCAGGTGAATAATCTGTTTGCATCTGTGTTTGAGGAAGTTCATTCCAGCTACAGATGGTAGATTGAAAGTGAAAGCTATGACTATTGGCTTTTTCATTTTGTGTAGATAGCTTATTGACACTATTCTACATGATTTCATATGCAGATTATTTTGTAGCTATATAATACGTTTAAAAATATCAGACTTAAAATAATAGAATACTAACTAAAATGCCAAAACAATATCAAACAACACATTTGTGACAGCCTGGTTATTTGGCTCCATTGGTGAAATCAAGGCTATCTAGTAATGTAGAGTATTTTGTACAAAGTGATTGTTCAATTAATGTTATTGATTGTCTTGCAGGCATTTCTGAGAGGCATGCTACTGTAAACTAAAATAATAATACTTCTTTTCATTTAGCAAGATGGGATGACTGGGATTTAGCCATGGGCAGCATAAAGTACAAAATAAATTTCAGATATTTGATAAGTTACTATTTTGTTTCTAGGGAATAACATGTTTTCATTTGAATGAGTATAAAAAAGTGCCTACACATTTCATTTTAGAGTCTGTATAGAAGACGAGATTTTTTTACTCTAATTTTTACGCCAAAAATTCTTTAAAAATTTTAATCATGTAAGAAATAATAGATAAAATATATACATACAATTCAAATTCAAGATAAAATATTACAAATAATTAACAAATTCTATACAAAATGTCTAGAACACAGCCTGACACACAATAGGTGAACAGTACCATTTATATTCGTTGGAATCAAGGAAGATTAGTGATGACCCTGGTTTTGAAAGTTTAGGAGTTTCAAGTGACTGTGGAAATGACATAAGCTTTGGATTCCCAAGGTCACTATTATTTTTAATCTGTGTGATCAAGAGCCATTTTACTTACCTTTCTGCACTTTAATTTTTTTCAGATATATGTATACATACACATGCACACATGTTTATCATTGAACATTTACTATATTAATGTGTCGGACACTGTGCTAACCAATTAATTTATGTAATCTCATTTAATTATCTGATTTGTTCCTTGAAATAAATTTTTAGTGTACGGATGAGGAAAGTAAGCCTCAGCCAAGTGAAATGAAGTGTTTACTTCATGAGAAGTGTCAGCACTGAGGTTCAAATACAATCACCCTTTCCCTGTTGACAATCTGGGAGCAACCGTCAGAAAGTTCTCCTCTCCCGCCTCAGATCTAACCAGGAGAGCACAGGCAGATATTTCACAAACACAGAGAGAATTTGAATTTCAACTTTATCTCAAAAAATTCAGGCACCTTGTTATAAGTATACTGAATATTGTATCATTTGATAAGTCCTAGCAAATACAAGTATATTTTTCCTTGAACTTATTATTTGTCTAACGAATAAATATGCACAGATATATATGCACATATACATACACACATATGTGTAGTGTGTCTGCATTTGTCTGTGTGTATATGTATATGTACATTATATATATACTATATATATCAACTACCTATAAATATATACTGCATGCAAACACCGATAATATATGTGTGTGTGTGTGTGTGTGTGTGTATATATATATATATATGTATAATAATCTAGTTCATATCAGGAACTTATGGCCTTGGAAAGAGGGGACAGTGTTACCCTCTTTAGGTAGTTGATGTGACACACGCCCTCTTCTGATAGGAACTACATTTCATCCTTCCCATCTCTGGAACACATCTGGCCATGAACTGTTCTCAAAAATATTGGTTGAATTAAGTACGTGAAATGAGCCAAGGGCATGAACCATTCTCCATATTTTTCAATAAATCAATAAAATTGTTTTTCAACGTACCACTTAGTAAATTTTTTAGTATAATTCACATTGGTCCACATGTGTCATGGAGTAGGCATAGAATATCTTGATTATTGCAAAGCTGTTGACAAATCTTCCCTTGAGAATTTATTTGGGATTAAGTAGTGAGCTAGGTCTTAATACTATTAGGTAGAATTGAAGCTAGTTGATCATCCGTACAAAATGAGAACTTTAATTAATGATTCTGTGCCAACATAAATCAATATTTCTGTAGCTTGCTATGGGCTATTTCATGTTCAGCACGTTTTAAAGATAGTATTTATTTGTACTATTTAATTATAGAAAATTATTTTTAAAAACTCAGAAACACCCACAAATTCCATTAACGACAAAAGTAACATATCTTTTAGCCCTTCTCTATCAGTATGTTTTAAATAACTAAGGTAAAATTGTTCATACTTTTTTTCTATCCTGAGTTTGCAGTTTGGGTGCACTTGTTGGAAATATTTGTATATTTTGACTTAATACTGTCTATGTTGCCTTCAGCATGTCATAGTATTATGACCCAGAGTTTTAGGAAAGTCACACTCATTGCACTTATTTGACACAACTAAGTCAGCAAATCATAAAAAACAAATCTGAATTGCATGGCATGTTTCAAAAAATCCAAAATCCTTTGCTTTTCATACATGTATTAAGCAATAATGATAAAGGGGTAGCATCTTCTCTGAGTTGGTCTGTTGTGGGCAGGCACTACTCCCACATTTTAAAAGATTTTGGTATTTAGACTTTATTTTACAGTAAAGGTGTTTTACTGGGCTTGTTGCTTATCTCACCTTGCTTAGATATTCACTTACATCATATTAGCTACCCCAAATAATAACAGATTCCTTTTTTTCATATGAATCAATTTGTTATATTAATTTCGATAATTTTGAATTGTCACTTAAAGCCTATTTATTTAGTGAGACTGAGACTGAAAAGTCATTATACTGAAAAAATAGTCTTCCTAAATGGATTAAAACATTTCAAGAGACTTTCTGGTGAAAATCATTTATTAGGCAATAATTACCTGACTATGTCTGTAAGTTCAATTACGTTTAATATTTTATGGCTTTGAATTATTAGAAACTATGAGCTTACCTTTACTTTTCAATTATGTTTTTATGAAGCTATAAGATCAAGATAGTTTGATAACTTGAACTATAACTTTTAAATATTTAGACATATGATTCTTGGCTCTCTTTTTGGATCCTTGCCTCAGGATCAGAAATGCTTGACTTGATAGCAGGAAAAACTCAATTCTCTCTGCAATGTCCTTCTTTTATTTTTTTCTCTTTGTATTTTTTATCATGCATAGATCAGATATGCTTAATTTATTTTAAAGATTTTCCTGCTCATGAAGTTCGTACGCTTGGCTTTTTGTTCATTCTCACAAGATGTGAAGAATTTACCAAATGTAGAAATTTTACATGACAATATCATGTTCTAAATGAAATTATCTTATTAAAAATTAAAGACTTTCTAAAGTTACTTTGTGTAATTTTGAATGCAAACACACAAAAAACAACACTATAAAGATTAGAATGACTATACAATCAAATCTCCAATATATTTCCTTACATTATGATTTCCATTCTAATAAACATCTTTTGGCTTAAAATGTATAATATTCTAACTAAATTTATTAAGAAGTATATTATGAATTGATTTCCTGCATATTTGATTTAATTTTCTCAATATTTTTATACATAAATTTTATGCTCATTATATTTTGAAATTTTGATCTTGTAATAATATTTATTCAATAATGCATTCATACTTCTGACATTTAGAATGTCAGTATATCAGGTTTTCAATCTCAATTATCTGAAGCTGATTTTCAGATATTAGCAATTCCTCAGAATGACATAATGTACTTGTTTATATTATTTATTGATAATGTTTTCAGCTGGAACTGAAGCCAAATTATTACTGGTAATTATCAGTATTGTATTTCTGCCAATCTCTAGCCCATTGACCTTATCTTCTCACAAACTTCAAAAAAACTACTAATACCAGGAAAGTGAAATTAAAATGAAATCAAGGGAAGGAAGTGAGATTATTTAGTGGAGAGATGGTTTGCTGAAAGACAGTTTTTGATCTGCCTCTCACACTAAAATTGGGATGATGAGCAAGTCGCATTATTTCTCTGGGTTTCAGCTTTTCTATTTGTAAAATAAAGTTGGGTTTTGAGCCTCCTAAAGTTTTTTCTAACTCTAAGGCTTATGAGGACAAATGCTCTATCTGTATTTTATGATACCTCTAGTGCTCAGCACATTGTCTGGCACACAGTAGGCACTCAATAAATATGTGTTAAATGGCTACCTATCAGACCATATATGTTTAAAGCATGAAACAGATGGCCTTAAAATTAGGTGGTTTGGGTATTAAAGATACTCAATCCAGAAGAAGACAAAACTAAAATAAGTTGATGGAACGTTTTAAGATTCTACATAAACAATTCTAAAATCATAGTGTTTATCAATGGTAAGTCTAAAGATCTGATGTGGATTCTTATGGCTCTAGTATCACAAATTTGTCACCATTTGTCTGAATTTTGATAGTTTCTGTATCTATAAAAAAATTGAATTCTAATTTTTTTGTTTGTTTGTTTGAGATAGGATCTCTCTCTGTCACCCAGGCTAGAGTGCAGTGGTGCAATCATAGCTCAGTGCAGCCTGGAACTCCTGGTTCAAGTCATCCTCCTGCCTCAGCCTCCTGAGTAGTTGGGACTACAGAAGTGTGCCACCATGACTGGTTAATTTTATTTCTTTAATTTTTGGTAGAGGCAGAGTCTTGCTATGTTGCCCAGGCTGATCTGGAACTCCTGGCCTCACTTATCCTCTTGCTTTAGCCTCCCAAAGTGCTGGAATTATGGGTGTGAACCACAGCAGTCAGCCTTGACTAACATTTTTCAATTGAAATTGATATTCATATTAACCAGAGACTAAAGAAAACAAAAATTGTATTACCTCCCTTTGTGGTCCCTGTACCCCTCAAAAATCACTCCAACCTCATTTTTCTGAATAATGAGCTAAATTCTGTACTATGCTTTTCAAATGTAGATCTGGCTTTATGGAATTTTTTGGGGGGGGCGCGGGGGCTGCTTGAAATCAGCAATTTCCAATCACTTTATATTTACCTAGAATCAGCTCAGAAGTTCAATATTAGCCTTGACTCCTAAACTGATAATCAGGACAAGAGGTATATATGTAACCTTGTGGAATTATTCCGACATTCAAAAATTTAAAGCACTCTGAGGAGGAAAGACTAAAAACTCTTCTGGAAACATGAACCACTTGAACCACTTCAGTAATTTTCAATTGCTTTGTGATGTACAAGCAAAGAACCTCGATCACTTTCACACTGAAGCACTTAAGCTCTCTGATAATTTTACACCCTTACAGGCATTTTCAGAATATCATCATTTCCCCCACTGAAGTGGTTTTAAAAATATGTGAAGTGTTTCAATAATTTTAAATTATCTTCTATGCCAAATGCTCAAACACTGATCACCTCAAAATTTATCAGCTAATAACATTTGAAGAGATCCAATATTTTCTTTTAAAAAATCTATGTATAATTTCAATTGTTTTAATAAGTGATTTCAATTTGGATTGAATAGACTACATAGTAATGTAATTAAAGATATATGGAATAAAACCTAACTGTATCAGGAGTTAATTAAAAATGAAAATCTTAGAAAATAAGCCATCTTTCTCATCTCAATCCTTGAACAAAATATTTGCAAAATATATTTTAATTCCTTTATTTTAAGACATTGACCAAAAATGTATATAAAATAAATTAAAAATGAAACTAAAAAAACTAGTGTGATTAAATGGAGACCAGAAAACAGTTTAAACAATGCTCTTTGAAAAATAAAAATACCGTATTTCAGAAATATATGGGTATATAAATATATTAACAATGTGCCCTATGTAGAAAGTGGCAAAGATATAGTTAGGCATATTCGAAGTTTACAAATTGAAAATTCTTAGTTTATTTGGAACAATACCCAAGAGGACTTATTTAAACTAATAAACCATAATTGTAGAAAACAATAACTAAATTATTTGACATCTTTTTACCTTAATTATTAATGTTCTTTGATATGTATTTCAGAATACCATGTTTTCCCCTAATAATTATAAACAATGCTTTCTCCTTCTCCCAAAATGCTTGAAATAAAATTGACAATCAAGAACATGCAAAATACTCACTGGTTTTCAGTTCTTAGAACATTGTCAGGACGGTGATAACCATAATGTGAAGAGCAGGGAACTGGGATATTGAGGAGGAGAGGGAAAAGGAAAGTTTATGTGACCCCTTTAGGATAGCTGTGTGTCTACAGTGATAAATAATGATAAATAAAGCCAAGGAGATACCATTAGATATCACCTGCATAAATGTTTCATTTTACAAATAGGGAAATTGGGAACTAAAATGGTTAAAGGAATTATCCAAAGACTCACATTTTTATGAGAAACAAAAAATTAGATTTTTCACTCTGTGTTCCCTTATATATCCTTTTCCATGGTCATTGCCTAACAAATATGGAAGCTCTACTGTAAAATAAATTGAATCTAACTTTGTTGACAATACGAATCAAATAAAAAATCATGGAAATGTAGGACTGGAAAAAATGTTGGACTTCATCTAAGGTGATTCAGCCATTCCATTTTATGGGTAGAGAAGGTAAGTCTTAAGAAGTGAAGTGACTTGAAAGTGGCAGAGGTCTGGCAATAATTCAGGTCTCTGACCTATGTTTTATTTTGACAACTTATATTATAGATTCACTTTGTATCATTCTGTTCACTTAGAACAGTTTCTTTGTTGTATGTCACTGTGAATGAGAAAGGAAAAAAAATGGTAACAGGCACTCAGATGTAAACTTTTGCAGAAAATGTATTTGAGAGGTCTTTTTACCATATGCTTTAAAATATATAACCAACTAAATTAGAGTTTATTATAAAATAAAATGTTGAAATACTATAAAATGCCACTTTGAGAAATACATATGATAAAAAATTCTAAGTTAATGACATCTTAGGAACAAAATTATTTAATAATATATCTGGATTTGACAAAGGAAGGGATCTGGTAATTGGAAACATGAAGAAATAAAATATTGTTTAAAACTGATTAGTAGGTACTGATTAAATTAGTATTGTAATTGCACTGATATTGTGACCTGCTATATCTCTACAATTTTATTTTCAGCCTCTCAAGAAAAGCTGTTTGCACAGCTAAATTGTAGTGCTTATATAATATGAATAATGATGAGCATTACAACACTCATTTTTCCACATGATAAAGATGAGTCAGAATCTCACTGTCGCCTACAGTTGTTATCCTTTACAAATCAGTTCCTGTAGGTAATGCCCACTGGATCATTACATAGATAGAAGGTCAATTTAATGATTGGGTATTTTACTCCGACATGTCCAAAATACAGTGATCTAAAATTTTATTACATAAAAGCAATGAGTATTTATTTTGGGTGGTATTACAAGCCCAAAGTACAATGTTTATTTATTTGGTGGTATTACAAGCCCCAAAGCAATGTGCATTTATTTTGGGTGGTATCACAAGCCCAAAGTAACTTGGTAAGTGGTACAGATCATATTAGAGTGATAGCACATGAATATAGAGAAGGCTCAAGAGACATGGTATGGTAAGAAGGTACCACAGTAAGTCAAACTCCTAGTCTCACTAAGCACAGACATCAAGGGACTATTAGGAATCTCAATCAATATATTCTATAACTGATGCAATATGGACAAAATAAGTATAAGAAAGCCTGGATAAGCTGTCTGCTCTTCCTAATATCCAGATTGTATGTAACTCTCTTAGAGCCAGGCGGTGAGTCATTCTACTTCGAAGAAAGTTTCCATTACTGGAACTAGTCCAGTCCAGAAGCATAATTGGGACACACAGTCTCAGATATGTGCTAATGTAGCCCTAAGAGACCTCCAGGTATAAATCCTGGAAGACACTTAGGAGGGTTGTTGGACCCTGAAGGGATTACACAGTTTGCCTTGCAAAGGGGAAGACATGAAGTAGGAAGCTCAATGAAACTTGAAGAATAAAATGTCAATTATATTTTATTTGTTAAAGAAATGTGTGTATGCTCACAGTTTAATTCAAACAAATGCAATCGAATACAAGGAGAAAATTACACATGCACCCCAAATCCCATCAACTAGGATTGACCATACTCAACTTAAGATAAATATGTGCATGAATGACTTTCAATACACATGTTTATATAAAAAGGATGGCTGGGTAGATAGATTAAAGATAACTAAATAGTTAGATAAATAAAGCCATACCTTTTTATTGTGCTTTGCTTTATTGTACTTTGTAGATATTGAGTTTTTCACAAATTGAAGGTTTTTGGAAACCCTTTGCCAAGCCAGTCCATCAGCACCATTTTTTCCAACAATGTATGCTCACTTTGGGTCACTGTGTCACATTTTGAAAATTATCTCAATATTTTAAACTTTTTTATTTTATTATATCTTCTATGGTGATCTGTGATCAGTGATCTTTTATGCCACTATTGTAATTGTTTTGGAAGCACCATGAAGCAATGCGCACGTAAGATGGCAAACTTAGTCAATAAATGTGCATTTCTGATGGTTCCACTAACTGACTATTCCCTGTGTCTCTGCCTGTCCTCAGGCCATTCTATTCTGTGAGACATAATAAAATTAGGCCATTTAATGAGGAAGAGTTGCACATCTCTCAGTTTGAGCTTAACTTTAAGCTTAGTGAGAAAGGCATGCCAAAAACAGAGTTAGGCTAAAAAAAACTAGGCCTTTTATGCCAGTTTGCCAACTTGTAAAAGCAAAGAAAAAAATTGTGAAAAAAACTAAAAGTGCTACTCCAGTGAATGGGAATCAGAAGAAAGTGAAACAGCCTTTATTGTTAAATGAAGAAAGTTTTAGTGGTCTAGATAGAAGATCAAAACAGCTACAATATTCCCTTAAGCCACAGCCTAATCCAGAGCAGGTCCCTAAATCTATTCAATTCTGTGAAGGCTAAGAGAGGTGAGAAAGTTTGGAAGCTAGCAAAAGAAAAGATAGAAGCTAGCAGATGTTGTTTCATGAGATTTAAGAAAAGATGCCATTTCTATAACTTAGAAGTGCAAGATGAAGTAGCAAATGCTGACAAAGAAGATTCACCAAGTTAGCCAGAAGATCCAGCTAAGATCATTGATGAAGGTGGTTACACTAAACAACAGGATTTCAACGAAGAGCAAATATCCTTCCATTGGAAAAAGATGGCACCTAGGACTTTTATAGCTAGAGAAGTCAATGCCTGGCTTCAGTGTTTCAAAGAACAGGCTAACTGTCTTGTTAGGGGCAAATCCAGTTTTGGCTTAAGTTGAAGCCAATGTACATTTACCATTTTGAAAATTCTAGGGTCTTAAAAATTATGCTAAATCTACTTTTCCTGTGCTCCATAAATGGAACAACAAAGCCTGAATGAAAGCACATCTGGTTACAGCATGGTTTACTGAATTTTAAGCCCACTCTTGAGAACTATTGCTCAGAAAAAAACAAATTCTTTCAAAATATTATTGCTCATTGACAATGCATTTGGTCACCAAAGAGCTCTGATGGACATCTACAAGGAAATTAATGTTGTTTTCTTGCCTGCTAACACAGCATTCATTGTGCAGCTCATGGACTAAAGAGTAATTTTGACTTCCAATCTTATTATTTAAGAAATACGTTTTGTAAGGCTATAGCTTCCATAGATAGTGACATGGTTTGACTGTGTCCCCACCCAATTCTCACCTTGAATTGTAATAATCCCCATATGTCAAGGGTGGGGTCAGACAGAGATAACTGAATCATGGGTTGGTTTCCCCGATACTGTTCTCATATTGTTCTCATGGTAGTGTATAAGTCTCATGAAATCTGATGGTTTTATAAATGGAAGTTCTCCTGCACCAGCTCTCTTGCCTGCCACCATGTAAGATGTGCCATTGCTTCTTCTTTGCCTTCCAACATGATTGTGAGGCCTCCCCAGCCATGTAGAACTGTGCCGTCCCTTAAATCTCTTCCCTTTGTAAATCACCCAGTCTTGGGTATGTCTTTATTAGCATTGTGAAAACAGACTAATATGGATAGTTATTTCTCTGATGTATCTGGGCAAGGCAAATAGAAAGCCTTCTGGAAAAAACCTGACCATTATAGACACCCTTAAGAACATTTATGATTCATGAGAGAAGTTCAAAATATCAACATTAATATGAGTGTGGAAGAAGTTGATTTCAACTCTCATGAATGACTTTGAGGGTTTAAGACTCAAGTGGAGAAAATAACTGCAGATGTGACGGAAACAGCACGAGACCTAGAGTTAGAAGTAGAGCCTGAAAATTTGATGGAATTGCTGCAATCCCATGATCAAATTTTAACTGACAAGAAGTTGCTTCTTACGGATGGGCAAAGAAATTGGTTGCTTGAGATGGAATCTACTCCTGGTGCAGAGACTATAAATATTATTGAAATGACAACAAAGGATTTAGAATATTCCATAAACTTAGTTGATAAAGGCTATGGCAGTATTTGAGAGGATTGACCCCAATTTTGAAAGAAGTTCTACTGTGAGTAAAATGCTATCATACAGCAACACATGTTACAGAGAAATCACTTGTGAAAGGAAGAGTCAATTGATGTGGCAAATTTTATTGTTGTTTTATTTGAAGAAATTGCCACACCCCAATCTTCAGCACCCACTACTCTGATTAGTCAGCAGCCATCAACATGGAGGAAAGATCTTCCACCAGTAAAGAGATTACAACTTGCTGAAGGCTCAGATGATCTTTAGCAATTTTGAGCTATAAAGTATTTTAAAAATAAGGTATATACATTGCTTTTTTAGACATAATGCTATTATATGCTGCAAACCTAACTTTTATATGCACTGGAAAACCAAAAATTTGGTGTGATATCCTTTATTTGGCTATTTGCTTTATTGAGGTGGTATAGAACAGAACCTACAGTATCTCCAAGGTGTGTCTGTAGTAGATGCAATTTATACAAATAAAATTTTAAAATTACATTTTACCTGAATTTAACTTAAGAACAATAAACTAAACTGGCACTAAAGTACTTGTTAAAATTCAAATAACGTATGTTATTATTGCTAATCCCTACAGAGGTTACTTTAAAACATCTCTTATTCCTTGAAGTTCAAGATAAAGATGGTTATGAAAAATACTAAGTTTAAGGTCATTATATTTAAAATTATATGTTTTTACTTTAAGTTATACTTACCCTGTCAAAGTTTAGAACATTTGCAGTCTTCTAAAATTAGTTTTTCCTGGTCTACCTTCTGATCCTTTTGAGAAATTTTTCTTCTATTGTATTTTGGAACATTTTAGATTTTTTTCTCATATCCTATACATCTAATTATATTTATCTATATTTAACTTTTTCATATGATTTATATGCATTATATTTTCTAAAATTATGTAAAGTTTTCTATTTTATTATTATTATTTTTGAAAAGTTTTCTTAAGCCTCTTCCTGATGCTTGTTATGGTTTCATCTATAGCTGTGCTTTTTTATTTTTGCTTTACATGTAACTTTCATCTTTTAACATTTTAATTTTCTTTAAATGTTCCTTTGTCAAGCTCTGTCAAATCTCTTAAATCTCTTTTCATCTTACTTTAGTGTCTTTTTTTTTTTTTTTTCAGACAGGGTCTCACTCTGTTCCTCATGCTGGAGTGCAGTAGTGTGATCATAGCTCACTGAAGCCTTGACCTCCTCACCTCAGCCTCCTGAGTAGCTAGAACTACAAGCATGTTCCGCCACGACTAATTTTTTTTTTTTTTTTAGAGATGGGTTCTCACTATATTTCCCAGGCTGATCTCAAACTGCTGAGCTCAAGCAATCCTCCTGCCTTGGCCTACCAAAGTGCTGGGATTATAGGTTAACTTTACTGTCTTATGACATCATTCAATCCATTTATCCTTTTGTAATTTTCCTTTTTTTAAAAGAGTGCTTATGATTGACTAGAGCTTCTTTGAGACGATGGAGAACTTTTGTTTTCAGAACACTTGGCCTACTTCCTTGTGTGATTCTTCTTGTGTTCAACTTATCTTCTCTGTATTATGTTTGCATTTCTTTTTTTTTTCTTTGATTTTACATTCTATTTATAGGTACATTATTATGTGAATCGTTCTTATTGTGGTAGACAAAATGGTCATGCCCTAACCCCAAAACCTATGAATATGTTACATTACATGAGAAAAAGAACTTTAAAGAGGAAAAGTTAATGAGCTTAAAATAAGGATAGTATTTCAAAGTTTTCAGGTGGACCTAATCTAATTCCGTAACTCCTTACAGGCAGATAACTTTCTAGAGCTGGACCAGAGAGGCAGCAGAAGACAGAGAGATTTGAAGTGTGAAACGGACTCCATCTGCTGTTGCTGGAAGGAGGCACATGAAAAGCACAAGAAGTGCAGGAAGCCTTTAAGAGAAAAGAAAGCCAGCAAGGAAACAGAGACCCCAATCCTACAACTGTCAGGAACTGAATTCAGGCAACAACCTAAAAGAATTTGAAAGTCGGTGCTTTCAGTTACGTACATTAAAGGATGTAGCTCTGTCCAACACTTTCATTTCAACCAACAGAACACAGAAGCTCACTCAGACTTCTGACTCACAGAAACTGTGAGATCAATTTTTGTTATATTTGGGGGCTAAGTTTGTGGTAATTTATTATGGTAGCAATATGAAACCAATATGCTTACATATAGTTAATTTTTGAAGAATTTCTGAGGACCAACTTGAAACTTCTAACCAATATTTTTATTTCTAGAACTTTCATCATGCATGCAATTTCCTCTACACTGGCAAGCGTATCTTCCCTCCACTGTCGCACAAGGGTTTAGGGTGGCAAAGGCTCTCCATTTTGCCATAGATCACTGCTATCCTATTTCACTGCTTTTAGCCGGAAGGTAGGTTGTAGATAGAAATAATGTAAGCTTTACTTATTTCCTCCATTGTCTTCACCTCCCTTTTTTTTTCTTCAGAGCTAAACTAGTTCTCTGCAGGAATATTTGCTGCTTCTTCTGAGATACCCAGACCTCTAGACCCTATCTTCTGTTAAGTCATTCTTGAGAAAGTCTTTCAAGTTTAGAGAAATCCATAATCTGCAGGCGGTCTAAGAAGGCACACCTTCAGGCTATAGCCTTCTACTGCATCCATTATAAGACTTCACAATTTGTTTCCTAATCTGCAGTTTCTGGTTCTGGCACTTTCGTTATTTATTGTGATAAAGTCTTTTTGTTGTTCTTCTAATATTTGCTCGCTTATTTTTCCTTCTCTTTTTAGGAGTAGTGAGAAAAATTGAAAAAGCCTCCATTTCTCAAACTTTAACGAGGAACAGTGTGCATTTTCAGTAAGTCTTTCAACATAGGGAATGGAAAAGAGAAAACTCAACCCAGAGAAAGGAGGAATGAGGTAGGAGAAAATAATATAGAAATGGGAAGCACAAACCAAAATAATCCAACCTGCTTTGAGTTTCTCTTTTGATTTAGATTG
This sequence comes from Homo sapiens, assembly GCF_000001405.40. Lineage (NCBI taxonomy): Eukaryota > Metazoa > Chordata > Mammalia > Primates > Hominidae > Homo > Homo sapiens. Next base: position 75,796,968 of record NC_000008.11, on the reverse strand, counting down.
AAATTGACCTTAATCCAGAAGTTTTCTTTATGTTCTTAGTTCCAGTAACAATAATCATGACACACATACACACAAGTGTAAAAACAACAAAAATGCTATTGGAATCTGAGAAAAAAAAAAAACTTTGACAAAGGAATCTATTTGGTTGAACAGAAAAATGTGATTATAATCAGATTCTCATTTTATATGCCACATAATTTTTTAAATTTTAATAAAATGAAATAAGAATTGGTCACCTTCTAAGTACCCAGTCACTATTTTCTGTATGGAGGCATATCAAGGAACGACACAAACATACTCCATAAGGGTAACAGTTTGGGGCAGGGAGGGAAACAAACAATAAATAGATAAACAAATTTATGCCAATTTGTGCTAAAGGAAAGAAAGGAAAAGACTGGCCCAAAAGGTCCCATTTCACAGAATGTGTTCGCGGAAGCTCTCTCTCATAAGGTGACATTTAATAGATCTGAAGCAAGAAGTATACCATGCAGGGACAAGAGCAAATGAAATAGCCCTAAGATGAAAGAAAGCATACTTCACAACTTTCAGGACCCAAGGAGTCCCTTTTAGGCTGAAGAAGGAAAAGTGGCAGGAAATGCAGGTTGGAGATGAGGTCAGATGGGCAGTGAGTGGCCTGATCAATAGAGCCTTATGGACAATTATGACTTAATCTTTTACTCTTGTTGTGAGATAGGAAGCCACTGGAGAGCATTAAGGAAAGGAATATTGTGACATGTTTTCTCTGGATCCTCTGGTTTCTGTGGAAGTGAGTAGAAGCAGAAATAGGAAACCAGTTGGGACACCATTCAACCCAAGTAGAAGGTAATGGTGATCTGCACAGGGGTTGACAGTGATAGTGTCAAAATGGAGTCAGCTTCTGGGTGTATCTTCAAGGTAAAGTCAACACAATTTGCTAGGGCATGTGGCGTGTGAGAGAGAGAGAGAGAGAGAGATAGAAAGAAAGGAAAGAAAAGAAGAAAGAAAGAAAGAAAAAAGAAGAAGAAAGAAGAAAAGAAAAGAGAAAAGAAAGACTGATTTCAAAGTATTTTATGGCCATGTGTAAATGTCAAAACATCTCATTCCCTAAAGGACAGTGTCTTCATTCTTCAGAAAGCAATTTAAGACAATGCTAAATGTTACAACTGCTAGACTCTTCTAACCTTATTCATCACATATAACAGCCATATTATGTTTTGCAGAGTGTTTAGTAGAAGGTGATCAGTACAGGCTGAATGAATGAAGAAGAATTAACTTAATAGTTATAGATTATACTGGGGAAACGTTTTGTTTACATTTACGTATAATATGTATCGAGAGAAAGATTTTTGCTATAGCAGTATGAAATTTTATATCATTTGAGACATTTGCACGCATGTTTCACGAAGATAAGAAAAATAACTTTTTGTGATACTGCATAATTCAAATTCTGCCTAAAGTATGCCACACAGAAATAATGATGACACTATTCAATCCAATAATATAAAATCAATAGATGTCATTAAACTGCCATCTAAAGCAAATTTAAAATGATATTTTGTTGATTATTAATTAGATTGACATTTGTCAAATTAAACTAAAATTTTTTTCTTTTGCTCAAAAAATATGTCCTCTTGTCTTGAAAAATATTGATGGAAGCTAAAATAATGGAGATATTAGCAAATAATTCCATCAGATGTATTTTTAACAATGAGGTTTAATTTTTTTAAAGACAAATTTTATTGTCTGTATAAATTCCATAAATAAAGCTTTTGCAAATGGTCTTTTAACTTGTATTGATCATGACCTTGGCATTCAAAGTCTAATTATACTGAAAACTGCCCATGTCTCTTGAGTACTAGAAAATCATTACCTAAAATTAATCAGTTCTTCAAACATACCATTCCTAATTACTGTGTGGTTATTGAGATAGTATACAATTTTTAAAATATATATAGAGAGTACTAATTTCACATATCTTATTTGTATAAATTATAGTATTATCATGAAAGTAATGCATAATATATTTTACATCATACCATAATTACAAAAAGGACTTAAAGCAGAAACTTACTATTTCTGACGAACATTACATTCAGTAAACAATAATAATTAAAAAATAACATCAGCAAACATTCTTGAATGCTTAGTATGTGCCAGTAAATGATTCTAAAATACTTTATTTTCTTTTAACAAATAATTATGTAGCATGTACCATGTGCAAGCACTATTGAAAATACGTTACAATTGTTACATTGTTTAATCTCTACAATCACCTGAAACAAAATTATTTTCATCTCTATGAAAATGAGGGAAAAGAGGTATGAGAAGTTATCATAACTGCCTGTAATCACAGTCTACATAAATATTCTTTAATATTATAATGTGGTAGGCAGAATTCTAAGATGGACCCCAAGATTCTTGTCCTTAAGTATGGGAAGAATTTGTGAATATGACGGGATTTCCCTCCCATGATTAAGTTATGTTATAATGGTGATATGCCCAGGCTGTGTCCCCAACAAAAGCTCATCTTGAATTGTACCTCTCCTAAGCCCCATGTGTCATGGGAGGTACCCGGTGGAAGGTAATTGAATCATGGGGGTAGATTTTTCCCATGATGGTCTCATGATAGTGAATAAGTCTCATGAGATCTGATGGTTTTAAAAGGGGAGTTTCCCTGCTCATGTTCCCTTGCCCCCCACCATGAGAGACGTGACTTTGTTCCTCATTCGCCTTCTGCCATGATTGTGAGGCCTCCCCAGCCATGTGGAACTGTGAGTCAATTAAACCTCTTTCCTTTATAAATTACCCAGTCTCTGGTAGGTCTTTATTAGCAGCATGAGAACAGACTAATACAAATGGCAAAGATGAAAGGGTTTCACAGATGTCATTAAGGTCCTTAATCCAGTTTTCTTTACATTCAACAAAATAGAGATTATCTTGGTGTGCCTGACCTAATCGTACCAGCCCTTTAAAACGAAGTCTAAGCCTTGACTGAGTGAAAGATACCAAGCAACAGAGATGATGACCTGTTTGCCTTGAAAAAGCAAACTGGAGAGGACCACATGGCAGGGAACTACATTTGGTCAGTAGGGGCTAAGGACCATTGTCCTAGAGCTGCTAAGAACTGAGGGCTACCAACAACTAGTAAACTTGGAAAAAGACTCCAACCCTCAAATGAGAATTGCAGCCCTGGCTAGCACCTGGATTTCAGCCTATTTAGACCCAGAGTGTAGAAGCCAGCTAAACCATCCCTAGACTTGACCCATGGAAACTGTGAGAAAATAAAAGAATGTTGCTTTAAACAACTAATTTGTTATGTAGCAATGAAAAATTAATAGACGTAGTTAACCTAGGTCTTGGATTTGCCAAGTTATTAACTTAACTATAATCCTTACTTGCATATAGCATGTTCCTTCCACCCTGTATTTCTGCCTGTGTCAGTGAAGTGTAGGCTTTCCTAAATACCTCTACGGCAGACTTGGCTCCACCAATACACTAATCTGAAATGCATTATGTTTCACTGTTTAGACCACTATAGATACTAAACGAATCCAGCAGCGTTTCTTAGCTTATCACTTTATAAAGGGGACCACATGCCAAATTGAGAATATCTAAACATACGGAATGGAAAAAACCACAAGAGATTATAGATCAATTAAGCCAATTCCAAATATAATAAATACAAATAATACACAGCATGTCTCTGCATCTCCAAGACACAGTCTCTCCTCATGGGGAGGTGGATGAATCTGCATTTTCTCTCATTAGAATCATTTCCAGTTCCTTTTCACCATCTATTATCCATTTGTATTAATCTTTGCCTGTGCCCTACATTGTTCTCGTTTCACAATAACTGCTGAGATACCAGAGTTTTTAAACTCTAAGTACAATTTACATATTTTTTAGTCTTTCTGTCTACAATAGCACAAAATTCATACTGAGTGTGTCCTTGTCAACATTTTCCTAGTTCTATGTCTATTTTTCCTGGCTTCAGACCCAGGGAATACTGGAGGACAGAACTTTTTTCTCCTTTGCTATGTTCTCTTTGAAATGTAGTGTTGACCACAGAACGTATTGACTTGGCTCACTGCTTTTCAGATTCTGCTTTGTTTCCCCTTTAATTGTACAATATTTGGGGCAGGGATTTTTGTTTAGTATCCCCTGAAACAGTTTTAAACATTTTAACACATATATGACATAGGTTTAATAATTTCTGCTTACGGTCATCAGGGCTTTACCATTGATGTAATCGTTATAACCTTCTGGCTTAACCTAGAGAAGTGAATTTCCTGTGCTTCTCTGTGACCTTTAAATCCATCTAATAATTAGCTATGCATTGCCTGTTATAGCTCTTGTACTATTGTCTTCAAATATCATTTAAATTGATATTATTAGATTATATATGTTTATGTCTGTTGCCCAAGCAGATTGCTAGATATTTAAAAGACAGTCAATAAAAATTAGTTTTTTGGGGGGAAAGGTAAAAAAATAAGTCAATTTCTTTCTTCTTCCTTCCATATTTATACATTTCAAAGTACTACTACTCCAGACAGATATCTAAAGTTTAATGTCTAATCACAAGTACTCACGGTGAATTCATGTTTATGTGAAAAGCCCTGTTCCACTACTTACTCTTCTTTCTCCTTGTTTCTTCTTGAGAGTTTGAAGAGCTTTGTTCCCCATTTTTGACCTCTGACTGAGCAAGACTATAAAGATAAGAGCTACATTCTTCTTTAAGATATCTAGAGAGAAAAATACTCCACAGGGTGCTTTATGACACCCTCTAGGATCTTACAGATCTTATAGGCAGGAACTCTGTTGAGAGTTCCTTAGTATCCTGGGTCTAACATAAGGCAGGAAGGGAAAGATACTCAACAGAAGGTCTATTCTCCCTAAATTCCCTGCTCCCTTTCCAAGAATGCTAAATGCTACTGCTAAAGCTCAGAAAACCAACATCCCAGAAAGCAAAGATGACAAAAGTGTCTGTTTTATGTGTTATTGAGATGAACTTATAAGCACATTTAGATGTTATTTTCTATGCCTAACTTATGTGGTTTGTATTCAGAAATCTGTGTTAATATGATTGAAAATCCTTTAATAACATTGGGAATACAAATGAGAAATTTAGTACTTTAGAAATGTGTTTTCTGGACACATGTTTTTCCCTTAGAAAGATAGTAATGTAATTTGTACCATCAGCACAAGTCAAACGGCTATATTGATTCACTGTCACCCTATAATATATTCAAAGTCATAATAACACACTAAGTGCTATACAAAAATTAATTAAATACTTTGATAGGCCTCTCAGTGATTTTACCAAAATTTGCAAAGAATGCTAAACTTTATTTGTTAATAAATAAAATACACTGTATTACCACATTGAAGTCTTCATAGTTAATTGAATAGTAATGTTTAAGGATTTAACATAATTTTTAACATATTTATTAATTGACGCTTTCACCATCATCGTAGCTAATGCTCTTTAAATACATTGCAGACTCTGGCTAAGCACTTTGTATACATTTTCTAATGCCATCTTCACAAAAATCTATGAAATAGTGGCCATTATTAACCCCATTTTACATAGAAAACTGAAGCTTGGATAAAATAAGTAGTTTAACGAAGGCCAACACAATTTAAAATTAGGGGGACCAAGGTCTGAACTCCTGAGCCCGTGTGCTAAACCACTATGTTGCAGTCGAAAGGTTATATCTTTATACAGACAACCGTATTGTATTTGTATTTTACATGGAATCCAACAAAACTACTTCTTGATTTAATATTTGAGCCAAACTTTTAATATTTTTTAGCTATTTATAAAAAAGTATATTATAATATATATTTTTTACAAAAGATATATACAAATACAACTCTAAATTAAAACTTACAATTACAGGTGAGTCTAGGTACTAGACCATCAAATTTAAAAAAACTCTCAAGCCCATGTAAAAACATAGTAACCACCTAAAATAACAATCACATAAGAAATATTGGATATTTTTTTCTGGAGAAAGGCATTTGCATCTATTATTTGCTTGTTTGTTTTATTTTTTATACATAGAATAAAACCAGTACCCAAATTATATTAATTTTCATTTGGCAAAGTTTATTACTGTCATCATATTAGTCATCTTTGACCATGTCTTTTGAACTCTATTTAGTTGAATTGTCATAGTGGGAAACAAATGATATTTGTTAACATATTATTGAATATTTTCTTTATTTGCTCTACATATTAATGAAAACAAAACTAAAATATCTACTATAGTCATAGTTTTACTTTCAAATAGCTAAGAATGAGCTCAATATGTAGACCTCTTCCCAGAATTGTAGCTGTGAATGTAGAGAGCAGCAAAAAGAAACTCTTCCCTGGCTATTATAAAAAAAGAGAAATTATTTTAAGAGATTTAGATTTCTGGTAGTTTTCATGGTTATTGCTACATGTTTAATCCCAGAAAGGTTCAATTCTCATTTAAATATCAGCTCTCATCAATCACTTGTGCTTTCCTTCCTGGGTCATTGAGAACATAATAATTCACTGTGTCATTTGAAGGTGTGCTGACCTACTTTCACTAGTTAATTTCAAGAGAAGGATCAGATGTTCCATGCTTTTGGTAATTGATTTGACGATAGATCTTTACTATAGCCCACTACATAATCTGAGGGCATTCCAGGCAGCAAAGGCTCAAGGTCATTATTGAAATGAAAATTCCTCAAATCAATTAGTTGCCTTAACTGAATTGTCTGTTTCCATAGACTGTTGATTCTTATATGTCAATCAAGACAGAACAAGAGAATTTTGAATTTCAAATATAGAAAATATTATTATATATGACCAAAAAGAAATTATGATCTCAGAGCTAGATAACTTATCTTAGTAATCTATAGTATATTCTATTTTAGCCTATTTTTCAGATTCTGTTGATTTCCTTGACCACTTTCAAAAAAGAAGCTGGAAAAATGATTGGAATCATAATTACTATATTTTCTGAAAATCTTTACTCTTCTTATTTTATCTTACATAATTCTAATATAAAGACCTATATATTTAGGACATTTACTGCATAACTTCATTTCAATTTATAACTTGAAAACCTCTGATAGAAAAACTAGTAAAATCAAATATTTTATCAGACACACTGAAAATCAGATGGTATTTATAATATTGGTAGGTAGTCAGTAGTAATGATAAATTATCATTTATGTTGTTGATTTAGTAAAAAGAAACATGATAAATTAGATATTTTTCTGAAAGTTACAGAACTGAAAAGGATTTCAGAGATAAATTGGTCTAGTGATTGATTTTCAGATCATCTAAAGCCTACAGATACAGAGAGAGAGACAGAGACACAAAATGTTTGAATAACTTTCTGTAGTTACTCTCCAATATTAACCCCATTATGCATAACCTTTCCTATATTCATTTAAAACTTTTCTTATTTTAAGTCAATATCTCTTAGTAAGACATGTAGAATAATGGCATGCCTTTGATAGACTCTTTTTATATCCTGAAGATAAACTAATTTTTATTCTTCTATTTTATAGACAAAATCACCCCAATTTCCTTTTCCTGTCTCCATGAGACATGTTTTCCATCTCTTAATATTATTTTTATGGCTCTACTTGGAACTCTTTCCAATTTTCCCAATATTCTTTTGAAATAGAAATATTTAACCATCTTGCTCATTCTTCCTTTGTGGCTACTACTCTCTGTTTATGATCGTCTATTGGTACTTGGCAAAAATATTACACAAGTTTATGGAGTCTGTGTCCTTGGTATTATATCTTTCACAATAATGATAATAGTATCAAATATTTTACAGCATTTAAATTTTCAATTTCTCTTCATAGACAGCATTCCATTTCATAAATTATGGCAGCCTTAGAAGAGATAGTGAGCAGACATATCAATTTGTTTTACATCTGAAGAAAAAAAGTTAAGTAAAGTTTAACCATATCAAAGCTAATGATACATGTCTGACTATAATTCTAGTTTTCAGAACTTCGTGTTAGAAGGCTTTGTTAAAATCGATCGCATATCTGCATATTAATGTGACTATATAATTAAGAATATCACCCATTTAACTGCCTGAATATTTTAAGTTTATATGAGCTCTAAGGCCTTAATTTTCAGGATCTGAAAACATTTACTTCTTTGGATTACAAATGTTAAATTTAATATGCTTAAATGTCCACAGTACTGTTAGCAGCAATTGTTCGCTTCCATTGTCTAGCTTTATACATCCTTATGCCGTTATCTGTTTGCTTTCTTTTACCATATGTCTATAAATATAGACTCGACATTTCTCTTGGTCTGTCTTTACATAAGCATGTAAATGGACACCAAATGCATACACTCATATGTATATATGAATGTATTTACATTTAAATGCATATACTCTTATACAAAACATATAAACAGGTACACATATATACCCATGTGTATATACATATATCTATGTAAAGACACATAGATTTGTCTGAGATTTATCCTTAATGCAGCTTTAAATGATTTTGTTGAGCTTAATCTGTAGCTGGCTACATAAAACCACTGCTTTACAAATATTAGTTCATTTTTTTCCCACAGCCACATTAGGAAATAGATATTCATTCACATTTTACAGATAAGAAGACTGAGGCTCTGAGACATAATGCAAATTGTTCAAGAAATCATGACCACTAATTCAGGCATTGAATTGATTTCAAGGATAACTAGCTCCAAGGCAAATATTCTTAACTACTATACTGCATTGTTTCTTGTTCATAGGTTTATAGGTACCTTGTCTTTTTTCCTCAGAATTAAAAACATTGATTACTATTGTGCAAAAATGCTACACTAATTTACAGTTACAAAACTCCAGGATTATTCATCTGTAATAATGATTTTGCAAATAACTGTGCATCTTAGTTTCCAGATACTTTCTCAAGGATAAGAGTTTGTTATTTATATATACAAGCCAAGGTCAACATACATCAGTGACTGGAATAGTTTTTACTGCACTAACAAGGACAAATAATATTTTCAATGTCACTATCTTTCTTATAAACAAATATTTATCAATCTTTTTATACGACACCAGATAAATTTCTAATAAAATCTTGATCTTTGGCTGATGCTTTTAATAGCATATTTCAAAACTCTTTTTTCTCTTTTTAATTTTTTCCACATCCATAACCTTAATTCAAGACCTCTCTTATTCTCTTTGTTTCCTAAATTCTTAATTCTAGAACATATACACATGAAAAAATTTCCAATGCTTCTGCTAGGGGGAGTGAGTAGTGATTTTGACAATGCTCCCCTACCCTTTTTCCCATTTCCCATTTTGTGTTTGAAATGCCCTCCTTTTTCATTTGAACAAATAACTTTGATAGGACCATTCAATGACTAGTTACTTTCCACCCACCACAGTGCTTCTTATGGCATCATGATGAGTGTTTGAGATGTCCTTCTTTCCAATATTGCAAATACTTCTTTTGTTCCCATGTCATACTCACATCTACACTCTTCCTTGATTGTCAGAGTTAGTGTGTGGAATGCTTTTCTATTCTGGATCTACATGTAAGTCTTGGAGTTTCATACCTTATCAATGGTATGGTAGTTTGACCTCTTCCCTTTGATTCCTGTCAGTACAATATGTATCACATAGACATTATATATGTATACATATATAATATTTATATATAACCTACATATATAATGTGTATATATATGCATGTATTCATATGTATTATATAATACATATGCACATATATAAAACAAATGTATTTTAAATAAACATGACAATATAGGATATGTGTCTCTCCATAACATTTGTCTTAATGCTCATCTGCAATGTTGGTTTATCTTAGTCTGGTCTACTCTAGCCATGTTAAACTTCATGAATAGGTTGTAACAATCTAACAGCTGTATTGGTTAAACCACAATATCTCACTTGTATAGTTAAATAGTTCTTGCAAATACAGGAAAAAGTCCAATGCTGGGCTGACCAGTGGGATGGCTGTCATCCAAAAAGCCTTTTTCATCTGGTATTTTTACCTATACCAGGTTGCTTCTAGAGCTATAAGTGAAGGCTGGGCATGGTGACTCACGTAATACCAGCACTTTGAGAGGCCTGGGTGGGAGGATTACTTGAGGCCAGAAGTTTGAGAGCAGCCTGGGAAATCAAAGTGAGACCTCATCCCCCTCTGCCTCCCAAAAAATGCCACTGGCCATCAGTGGTCTCTAGTTCAGGCTATTAGAATGGAAAAAGGGTCTGGAAGATCCACTACAAGGAATTCGTCTGAAGTATCATGTGTGACCTAGCCCCTCTGTTTGCAGTCTGTTGGTTAGAACACAGTCACATGGACAACTAATGGAAGACAAGCTGAAAAATGTAGTTTAATTGTCTGATGAGGAAAGAAGAAACAGCCGGTTTCTGCCATAGAAACTCTAATGACTTAGCATTCTCTCTATGGAACCTATAACTCATTCACAGCTGGATAGAAAAATCTTCAGAATAAGAGAACATAAATTCTCTGAAGTTCTGAACAGGGTAGTACTGGTTTGGTGCAAAAGTAATTGCAGTTCTTGCCATAAAAGTAATGGCAAAAACCACAACTACTTTTGCACCAACCTACAGAAATTTGTTGAGAAGGCTGGAAATACAAAGAATGCAAACCAAAGTGAAACATCCTATTGCAGCTTCTTATTACAGTTTGATAAATAGTATTAAAGTCCTTTTATAAGGTCCTCCCTCTTTCCTTTTTCAGTTTAACCTCAGGTGCCTCAGCTGTGAATTGTCTTATTAAAGAGTACCAGCTTGAAAGCAGAGGACTATGCCAATTGGCCTGTGTGCCTTTCTAATGTTAAAACCTATCCTTAATTGGAATAAAGATGAAATATTTCAGATTTTAAAAAAAAACTATCTTTATATTTCAGGGAAGTATCCTTAAAAGAAAATTATTTAAGTTCTTCTTTTTTTCCACTGACATAATATCAATTATTTAGGATGTTTTTTCCTTCTAGGAAATTTAAATATTTCAAATATCATCAGATTTCCATAAATATATAACGTATTTATTGAAAAAATACTGTTTGAATAACATTGCCTCTGGACTTATGTGAAGAGAGAAAAACATTCAGCAAGAGCAGAGCATTTGAATGGGTTGGTTGCTGGAGGTTTTTGTTTGTTTGTTTGTTTCATGTTTCTGTTTTCTGAGTGGTTTTTTAGAGATAGAATCTCACTCTGACACACAGGCTGGAGTGCAGTGGTGCAATCATAGTTCACTACAGCCTCAGTCTCCTGGGCTCAAGTGATCCACCTGCCAAGTGATCCACCTCCCAAGTAGCTAGAACTACAGGTGCATACCACTATACCTGGTCTTTTTTTTTTAATTTTTTTAGACGGTGGTCATGCCATGTTGCCAGGCTGGTCTCTCGAACCCCTGGCCTCAAGAGATCTTCCCTTTTCAGCCTTCTGAAGTGGTGGGATTATAGGCATGTGCCAATACAGTGGCCAGGTTGCAGTTTTAATAGTCTAAAAAAGGGAACATGGATTTCAGGTGCTGAATGTATAGTGGTAGATTGACCCTGGCTACGGTGGCATTGATATAAGAGGAGGAGAAAGAGGAGGGTTCAGGGAAACTAGCAAGCATAGATGTTATTCTACACAACAAACACTTTACATATGATGGCAGTGGCGGCCCGCCTGGAGTGGCCACTGCCATGATGCCAGCTGCAGTGAGTGAGGCATGGCCTGGTCCGTGAGCTGCGTGGAGCTGGTTGAGCCAGGAACAGACAGAAACCCCACCCCTTTCTGAGTTTATAGGGCAGGAACCTTGCACTCCCCAGGCACAGCTGCAGCTGCCCAGCCACAAGTCCAGACCCAGGCATCCCTGTGCTCCTGGAGGTCAGGAGCAGGCAGGAGCTCTGCCCTCCCAGGTGCAGCCACAGCTGCCCAGCCATGGCTGCCAACCCAGTCAACTCTGCACTCTCGGGTGCCTGGGAAGCAGCCCTGTTCCTGCAGTCGTGGAAGTGCCTGTTCCCACTGCCTGGCCTCTCTCAGCTCCCAGCACCCACTCCAATTTTGGAGCAAGGTTGAGGCCAAGCCCAGGCATTGTTGGAACATGGCTGGGTGTGCACACAATTGGGGCAGCACTAACACACCAGCCCCTGCCACCTGGCCCCCTCTGGACTTTGGGTACCAATAAGCATGGGAAGGAGGCTGAGAGAGGGTGAAAGGTGGCTTGGCATGGACCTGCAGGCAACTCTAGGCACGAAGAGCCTGGGCACTGGGGCACCATGGCCAGCAGATTAACGGTGGCAGCAGGCAGACAGGCTACTGGGTGGAAAGGGGCAGGTCCCCAGTAGAACCCCACCTTCAGGCCAGGGATGGCCTGAGGCCTGGGGGCTAGGCTGCCAGTTCTGCAGACCTGAGTGAGAACTTATGGTGCCTTTTTCCTGGCCACCTATGGCCATCCATGAACAAATCAGCATGCACTTCCTCCCATCTGAAGCCCATAAAAACCCCAGACTCAGCCAGACTCGGGGAGACAATTGGACAACTATCTGCAGAAAGGAGCTATCCACTCCAGGGTCTTCCCACTGCTGAGAGCTGGGCACATGTCTGGACTACCAGCTGTAGAGAAGAGAAGAGCTACCCACTCCAGGGTCTTTCCTCTGCTGAAAGCTGAACCCTCATTGAGATACCCTGCCTATGAAGAAGAGCTACCCACTGCAAATCTTCTCTGAGCTGTTCTGTCACTCAATAAAGCTCCTCTTTGCCTTGCCCAGCCTCCAATTGTCTGCATACCTCATTCTTCCTGGATGCAGGATGAGAACTTAAGACTCACTGAATGGTGGGGCTAAAAGAGCTGTAACACAAACAGTGCTGAAACACACCTCTTGCTTGCCATGTTGCAGGTGACAAGGGGAGCAGAAAACAGGAGAGAAGGGCTGTCAGGGAGCCCACACCTAGGACTCCCCAATCCAGGCTGTGACACTTTCTCTGGGACTCTGTAATTTCTGGAATCTCCAAGCTTCCAGGTGCCACCATTTTCCCTGGTGCCAGCTGTGGAAGCTGTTTGTGGTATGCCTGATGCAACCACAGCCTTACAGGGAACCAGCACCAATGCTGGGTGCCTGGTGCTGCCCACCCTACCCCAGCCGGCATGCCTGGCTCAATGCAGTGGCCAGACCCCACACTTGCTCGCTCACACACCCTTTGCCATTCCATGTCAGGCTCACCCTTGGCAGGTGTGAGATTCAGGCCAGTAGCATGAGCTGAGCACAGACTGCCAGGCTAAGTGGGCAGAACGAGTCCAGTGGCCACAGGTAAAAACTCGGGCAAAGGCACCACCAGCCACAGAGGCTTCCGGCTGGCAGAGCAACACCCCAAGGATCCCATGATACTACATAGAAACTGAGGTCTAAAGATGTTAAAAAATGTATGGAAGTACACAGAATTGAATTTGAAACTACATCTATCTGATTTCTAAGCTCATGATTTTTTTTTCCTTGAGAGAATGTGAAGACATTAATATCTTACTTATCATCCTGTATTTTAGTAAAATATGTAGATGTGCTTTGTATTATCATCTATCTCACTGGTACCCTCCTTATCCTCTTTGTGTGTCTAGTAACATACTTTTTGCATGCCCAAATGCATATTATGTAGACATTAAGAACATACACTCTTTTAAAAAAAGATTAATTACATGATCTATCATGAAGAAAGATAAACAACATAAATTGTCATTCATATGATTTCCTATTAGAGATATGTTACTCTGCTCCTAACCCATAGTAACCTCTGTTTAAAGTCCCTGATACACTTTTGTTGTATGTACAGGTCAAACTGGATAAGCTACACAGAAGGTATGTAGAAACCATAATATAAGGAATGATTGGACTGAATCTTAGAGGTATAGTCTCTTCAAAAGACGCAATTATGCTTTATTCTGAAACATCAGTCATCATTTGGACCTTTGTCAGCTCTTACCCTAACAGAATTCCAGCCATTTTAACATTTTAAAATATGCTGTTATGGCATTTTTCCAACTTAAGTGTATTGTTTTTAAATAGAAGCTATTTCCTTCCATTATCAATATGCATTAAAACTGTTGAACACAAACTAAAATATGGCATTTGTAATTTTAAGTGAAACTATCTTTGCATAATTATTTGGTTCGACAATACAGACTGTGTCATACAAGCCTTTCTAAACCACATAAATATTCATGATCTGTTTATTCTATTTAAAATGTAATCTGAATGTGTGTTACTGTTTTTTGTACTGAGAGTTCTTTAAAAATGTGTCCATTTTTATACACGCATTTGAATTTCAAAAGGACAGAAGGAAAATCACACCCTAAAATAAGTAACTATTCTGCATATTATATTTTTGTTGTATATTCTGTATATTATCCTTAGTGCACAGCACAAAAGGGGTACAAAATAGAGGAGAAAAATAGACAGGGAGGTTGATAATGACTGCTAAGTAAGATAAGAAGGATGATGAGAGGGACACATGAATGCTATTAGAGCCATAGAAAGAGCCCTAAACCAGACAGGTGGATTAGGTAAACATTTGATAGAGGAGGACCTTGAGTTTTGAAAAAAACACAAGCATTGGGTAGGTGAAATTTGAAATAAGGGCAGAGGGGTATTCATTGGCTTGATAATCTGATTCTTCTTTATTCACATAAATAGAAATACTTCCATTGCTTCAAGATTGTCCAGACATATACCTGCATTATAGTGAAGAATTATTTAATGAAAGACCAGATGCTGGTCTCATGCTTCTCTTTTATTTCTGTGAATTTACTCCTCCCAGGAAAGACTGACAGGCCTTCCAGATTGTCTGTGTGATACCTCATCATACTAAGCATTGCTTATATGGCCCTTTGAAAAAGGCAAAGATTCAGAAAGAGTAGAAACTTTAAGAGGTGGATTTAAGGCAGTGTCTTATAGAAGTAAAATATCAAATGCTAGTTTTAAGGGGAAAAAAAGTATTTCTTAAATAGTTTATTGCAATCACCAGTTAGTGATCTAATCCACTGGTGAAATTTAAAGATACATCTAGATTATCCCAGCTCTTTATTTATTGTCAGGACTTGGGGAGTGCCTCCCAGGGGAAAAGGAGCAACCTGGGACTGCGTCCATCCTGAGTTTTGATTTATACTCTAAGCATCCTCATAACCCAAATAAGAATCTGGGAAAAATCCATCAAAAATCATTACCTGGGAAAGATTAGACTTCTCTGCATCAGCTTATTTGAATTCTACTTACTTGTAAATCATGCTTGACACTTGCTAAGGTTTTTGGAGGCTGGGGAAACTTGAAAGTTACCCCATAAAAGCACCATGCTCCAATGTTTAGAAAAGTCACATTCTAATGTGACTCGTGTCCTTTTTATTCTATTAGAGGGTCCTATTTTTCTTGCTCACACTTAAAATCCTGAAAGTTTTGCCTAGATTTCAAATGCTTTTCATAATGGATTCAGAATAATGCTTAACAAAAAATCATAGGGCAATCCAAAGTACCAACTATGCAGCGTAGGTCAATTCTATGCTGCTATAAACTCTACAGTTATATTGGACTCCATTTCCCCATATTTAAAAACAGTTCTGGGGTCAGCAGTAGCAACCAATCAGATACAAATTTCTTTTTTGTCTTTTCAAACCTTGAATATACTTCTCAAGCCTTCACTCCTGCTGTGTTCTAAGTCAGCCTTTCATTACCATTACAATATTGCCCATATAAAATAATTCCTTAGTTCTGGTTAAATTCTCTTGAATGTTTTTTTTTTCCCTTGTCTTGACTCTGTAAAATGTTCACACAGAGCAGACATGCCTACTCTTCCAAGAGATCATTCAAAAAACCAGCAGCCTGTAAACTGAATGGACTCTTATCTCAGAAGGATGAAGGACAGAGCTGCCCTGCTGGGATTTGAAGTGTTGGTTCCAGGGAGTCTAGATATTTCAAACCAGACGCTTACACAACCCATTTTTCTCTGGCCTTATGACTGAATGCACTAATTCTTTTACCATTCAAAGTGTCCTTCTATAATTTATGCCACACACTGACATGTATTTAACTCTCTAAAATGTCTTGAATACAATTTGTTTGAAAGGCATTATACACAATACACCATAATGTATTTTTAAGAAGCATCTTAGAATAAAAATAAATATAAATTGGAGAAAAATGCTTATTAATAAGCATTTATATGGCACTTCATGTTTACAGATGGTTTTACAGTCATCTTTTATTAGTTTAACATGCCAAGTCTCTCTGGGCTCAAAGTGCTGCTTAAGTACATCTCCGGGCTTTATACCCCTGGAGTCTAGACTTACAGGGTCAAACGTTATAGAGACAGTCTTTCTGGAAAAGTTGTATCCTAAAGCCATTAAAGAAATTTTAATGTGATGAATGAGAGTACATCCAAGACACAGTTTTCACTTAAATGTCTGGTTATGAGGAAATAAGAATAAATATGTATGGATATTAGTAGCTTTCCATGCACAGCTATGTCTGGCTTCTTGCCCATATTTTTAGGTCTAGATCTTACATAATAACATCCATGGAGTCTTTCAAGGGTTGCCTGTGGTTCTTGTGTAAAAGTACACACGCCTAAAGGGCTATGCATTTTGTCCCATGTTAGGACTGCTACTGGAAACTCTTCCAGAAGTGTTCCAGATTGCAGACTGATGGCCTATATTTTTTGATGTCATGGTCCAACTAATATCACCCTCAATCTGAAGATATGTCAGTTGCCATTAAGTTCTGTGGAAAAAACATTTATGCTTTCAGGAAACTTTGTTAGATAGAATCTGAGGGCAAATGGTAACACAGTAAAATTCTGCAACAGGACTGCAGGGTAAATGACAGTGTCTCAGACATATATACCCTGAGACTGAATATTTGCCTAACATTAATTCTAATATACATTGCTCAAAATATTTTAATGATATTATTTCAAAGGCAAATATCAGAGAGATTCAAATATGTTTTGGCTGAGGAGATATTTCTAAGAAATTTTCAAAGAAAGTTAGTATTACCAAGTAATTTACATTGCTGTGTGATCTTGATTTGATCAACTTATCTTTATAAATGGTATTTTTAAAATCACATTTAAAATTTTAAATAAGAAATATTTATATGTTTTTTAAGATAAGTTAAAAAATAAATAAAACCCTCAAAAATTACTTATTTTCAAACCAAGGATGTCATTTAATTATATATATATTTTTAAGACAGGGACTCATTTTTTTCACCCAGGCTGGAATACAGTGGCACAATTATAGCTCACTGCAACCGTGGACACCTGGGCTCAAGTGATCCTCATGCCTCAGCCTCCCAAAGTGCTGGAATTACAGGTGTGAGCAGGATTGCATTTTAATTTTGTAAATTTTTTTTCCTGAGGATCAAATTGTACCTGTTCTTCTCTCTGTATGTCTTAAAACTATATCTGAAGTTTTTAAAAATATCACAAATGATATTAGCTATATGGAATAAACAAATGAGGGCAGCAAAATGCAGGGATGGAGGTTTGTAAAAGCTTTGTAAAAAACAACCTTTAAAACAAAAAGAAAAAATCTGACTGAAGTCTTTTTCTTTTCCCTTTTTTTTTTTTTTTTTTGAGATAGAGTCTCACTCTGTCACTAACTGTCACTAAGCTGGAGTGCAATGGCACAATCTCTGCTCACTGCAACCTCTGCCTCCTGGATTCAAGCAATTGTCGTGCCTCAACCTCCCAAGTAGTGGGGATTACAGGCACGTGCCACCACACCCAGATAATTTTTGTATTTTTAGTAGAGACAGGGTTTCACCATGTTAGCCAGTATGATCTTGATCTCCTCACCTCGTGATCTGCCTGCCTCGGCTTCCCAAAGTGCTGGGATTACAGGCAGGAGCCACCACCCTCGGCCTGAAGTCTTTAATGTATCCAACTAAAATAAGTACATTGATTTTATCTTAAATTCATGAGTTGTGTATGATTGAACATTTGTAATATACTATTTACAGCATCATAGTTAGAAAGAAATGCAAAGAATTAGCATTAACTGAGGAATGAGTTAAGCTCTTTAAACATGCTAATTCCTGTGGTTTAATCACAACCTTGTGGCAAGGTAGGTAGCAATAGTCCTCTTGATATAAGGAGCTTGAGACCCAGAAAGTTAAATTACATCATTACATACTCTTAGTATCAACTCATAGTATCTACTCATGATAGAGTCAAAGTTGGAATTTAGATATGACTAATTTCAAGTCTATGATCTTTCTGCGCAGCTGCAAGTTCAGTTTTTCAGGCTGCATTATATACTAAATTGAATCATTTTCCTAAACTAATTATTCTACTTCATAGCAGATTGTGGCCAAAACAAAGTAATAATATGAGTATGTATATATGTATGTGTGAAGAGAGAGAGCTAGAGACAGACAGAGAGCCATCTAAAAAATCCTCAATTCAATTTAACTTGAATTTATTAAGCACAAACCTAGTACAACACAATTCTGTCATTTTACTATTTCTCTATCAGTATCTTCTTCCCTAACTCTACTGGCTCTGCTCTGCCAACAGAGGCCATGGCAGAGCCCTCTGCTGAGGCCACATCTGCCTGCTGGATTATTGCAATAATTTTCCAACCATTTTCCCTATTTCTAGAGTTGCTGTTTCTAGTCTCGTCTATACCCTGCCACTCAAGTGTTCTGCCAAATATATCTAAATATAGAACCCTCTTATCCGAATACCTTCAATACATCCTCATGCCCACGGGAAAAAATCATAAACCCTTAGCTTTTCAGGCTCTATTCGCATAGCCCACAGTCTTCCATCTGAACTTGTTAAAATTGTGCAAGCAATATCGGTTGAAATGAAAGAATATTAACTAAAACAATAAAGTTACTGAGCATAATTATGTCCAGCATGATGTTTCTATATATTGGTAACATTTTGTATGGCACATATTGTTTTAATCCCTTTTCTCATGTAGCTTTAAGCATATTTGTTCATTTAAAATGTCCATGTATTTTGATAATTTTGTGAATTCAGAAGCTTTTTTTGATTTTTAATATTAGTATTTTATTTGTTCTTTAGTTTATGCTTTCAATTTGTTTTCTGCCAATTATATTGGCTTTGCTTCATTATAAGCAACTAAGTTTTACACTTTTCCCACTATTAAGTAGATCATTAGGAAGCAAAATGATAAAAAATTAACATTTCTGTAATTATTCACATAGATACATTTTATAGATTTTAGAATTTAATGTTTTACATGTTTAAATAATTATTTTTCTGTTACTTTAAGTTTTGCATTCATATGCTTTTGCTATTTATTTTTCCTACTTATCCATACATTAAGTAAGTTATACTTTTTATGTTTATGAAGGTATTATAAAAATCAATGAAGAAAATTATATTCGATGTCAATAAAGTTTAATTTTTGAGTCTGTTAGTCATAAAATGACTAAATTTCAAAGTTACTTTAACAACCCCATTGCAACAAAGATTTGAGAAAGAGTTATTTGTGTTATTTTGTATTTAATCCTCCAAATATTTTGAGAAATGTTTTAACGTTTACCCTACTTATACCCTATCAGCTGTTGCCATTCTCCTATTTTCTCACTTCGAATAATTCTCATTTTTTGTCAACCATAATTTAACTAATAATTGAGTAGTTAGGTAAGGTCATTGATTTATCATAAATTATAAAATCATGAAATACCTGATTGCAAATATTCATTTTGTAATATTTTATTTTAATCATTTCACATTTCTGCTACATTAATTTGATTCCTTATGCTTTAGTAAACCAACAGTGATTCCCCATATGGTGTGCCCCTTCACATGCTGATGCTATTGCCTGTTTTGATCTCTTTTTTTCTAAACATCCAATTGGATGACTTATCCCCAAATCTTAGCTCAACAGTGAATTTCTGTGTCCCTAACTTCTTTGGGAGATTTTCATTTTTTGTTTTTTTTTGTTTGTTTGTTTTTCTTTCCTTTTCCCTGTTGTGTTTTTTACATGCCTTCATTTAAATAGCAAAATTTAAGTTTAATCAAATTCAATTTCAACCATTTATATTTGTTTTCTAAAAAGAAAGTAAACTTCTTGAGGCAGGACAGAGATACCAAAAGAAAGAAGGAAGGGGAGGAAAGAAAGAAGGGAGGGAGGGAGGAAAATGAAGAAGAATGAACTTTCTAATTGAAAGAAAAAGCTGGAAATACATATTAAAGACATATCTTTTCTTGGGAGCTCATAAAAGTTTCAAGCTGTGTTTTACTACATGTATGTTCATGTATACTCACACTAATTTTCCCCTCATACTACACTACGGTAAGAATAAGAGGTTATTGATACATCATTCATTGTTTTGTCTTAGAGAAATAAGTAATATTTGAATTGAGTTTGTTTTTGGTTTTGGTTTTTTGTTTGTTTGCTTGTTTTTTTGAGGTGGAGTTTCGCTCTTGTTGCCCAGAATGGAGTGCGGTGGTGTGATCTCAGCTCACTGCAACCTCCACTTCCCGGGTTCAAGCGATTCTCCCTTCTCAGCCTTCTAACAAGCTTGGATTACAGGCATCTGCCAACACGCCCAGATACTTTTTTGTATTTTTAGTAGAGACAGGGTTTCACCATGTTGGCCAGGCAGGTCTCAAACTCCTGGTCTCAGGTGATCCACCCGCCTCGGCCTCCCAAACTGCTGGGATTATAGGCATGAGCCACTGGCCCAGCCTGAATTGAGTATTTTTTTAGTACTAAGTTAAACTTTTTATCACTTACTCATATGAGCAAAACATTGTATAAACTTGAGTGAGTTGCTTAACCTCTCAGAATTGTTTTTCTTTATCTATAAGAATATGGAAGTAAATAGTCTTTTAAGATCTGTACAAATTCTAAGAATATAAAGGATAGTGTGAGTTCTGATTCTGAAATATTTGGTGGACAAAATCTTTCATGTACGTTCTAAACAAAAACTAGATGTAATGTCCATATTTTGACTCTCTATATATTTTGGTAGTTTTTCTCTTACTGTGTTGTATTTTCCAATCAATTCCCTTATCTCCCCCAATTAAAAACAGGGGATTTGTTTTTAAACAATAATAAATATAATTTAAGAAATTAAGAGAGTTGGGAGCAAAAGTTGTCAAACATAGTGCATAAAAATTATCTAAGAGAGAGCATTTATTTCAGAAGCTTCAGGCCAAAACAATGCTGTTCCTTACATCTGAGGTGGAATCGAGAAATGTGTTTTAGTAAGCATTTTAGGAGGTTTTAATATGGGTGGTAGTGTAACTGAGAAATCTCATATGATTCTTCCATTTCCCTTGTAGTAATTGGTTCATATTCCAATTACTATGGCTGTGTAACAAATTATCCAAAAGCAATGTAGCTTAAAACAAAAACAACCATTTAATACCTACCTGGATTTCTTTGGGTGAGGAACTCAAGAGCGGTTCAGCTGGGTGACTGGCTGGAGACTCTCAGGAGGTTGTAGTCTAATGACGACTGTGGTTGGGGTCTTCTCAAAGGCTTCTTCACTCACACATCTGGCACCTGCCTGGGAAGACACAAATAGCTAGGGCTCCTCTGCCACCTCCCATCTTTATGTGGTTTCATCATATGATCCCTCAAGCATGGTATGGGACACTTGAGAGTAGCCTGTCTCAAGGTTCCAAAAGGTTTGTCTTAAGAGAGAGAGCTACAACATGCAGCCATTTGCCACACCATGTTTGAAAATGTAGATGAGGGAATGATGTCAATGGAACTGAAATAAAAATAGAACCATAAAATCGGGGTTCCACACAGGACTGTGTCTATCACAGGAGGTAGCCATTGTCTGAAATAGCAAGAGAATGAGAGAAAAATGAAGCAATGCCCTGAACTTTCTCTCGTCCTACCTTCTACTTTCCTGTTTCTGCTTTACATTGGCCAAACTCAGAGGGTCTGGAGAGCAAGAAAACCCAAGTGAGGAATTTGCAGAAGCTAGTTTCTTAGAGTACAGAGTAGGGGAGAGGATGGCAGTTAGTGGTCTAAAAAGACAACTGAAGAAGAATCATCCCTGACAACCCAAGATTCACTGATAGGAGACAACTGTTAGATCAACATTTAATCTCAACTGCTATGTTTGCTGGGAAAGTAATCAAACCTAAAAAGTTAATAACCAGTGACAAGATGTTTCCCATAGCCTGTAATCCAGTTAAGACTTGACTTCCTCATTCTCTCCTTGCCTGAAAAGGTTCAGTGGAGAAAGTAAGTCTGTTTGTACTGAGCAACAGCCAGGGGCATTCAGTAATGACTATACATGTCCCTAGAAACTATGAACAACTTAATCAAAGAAAGTGGTAGCATTTGCTTCCTCTTCTTCTTCTTCTTTGGTACCCACGTTGTCACTGCAGCCTTGACCTCCTGGACTCAAGTGATCCTCCTGTCTCAGCCTCCCAAGTGGCTGGGACTATAGGTGCATGCCACCACACACAATTAATTTTTAATTTTTTTTGTTGACATGAGGGTTTTTCTATGTTGCCCAGACTAACCTCGAACTCCTAGCCTCAAATGATCCTCCCAACTGAGGCTTTCAAAGCCAGGACTACAAGCATGAGCCAACATGCCTGATTGATTTCTCCTCCTTAATAGCAAACTGAGCCATACATCAGGCCATAGAAAATCAAAGGCTTTTGTTGAGATTCTGATGTAAGCCATGAAGCCCACTGCAAGATAGAACCCTGTTTGCTGATGCCTATGTCCTTTCTGTTGACATTAGAATCTAGTCTTTAAAAAGTGAGAGCTGTTTTTTAAAGTTGCTTTTGCTTTTATCAACTCCATTATAGAAAAACCTCCTATCAGTGAGATAAGGGGACGAGCCAAATGCTAAGATGGGACTCTAAATTTTGGCTACATAAAAGCTACATAAAATGCTATCTAATGAGTAATCTCAAAAGGGTCAAAAAAATTCAGACCAAGGCAAGAAAAATTATCTTCTGTAAGTTTATATCAAATAATAAGACAATATGCAAACATTTTCAAGTCATTTTTAATATTAACTTGGTCAAGGGATCCTTTGGACAAAAACAAATTTAATTATTATTTTTTGTTGACTGTCCATTAAATATGGGTGGCTGATATTAGCATAATCTAATCCAGGCATATTTGTGATCCCCTCACACACTATGTAGCTCCTTACAAACTATGTAATACGAGCTAAGGCTCATATTAAAATAGAAAATATGATCCAATCAGAAACTAAAACAATTAATAGCAAAAACAAATCTTGCCAGTAAGTTTATCCATTTCTAATTCTGGTGAAAATATAGTAATTCCTGGTTTTTGTTTTTGAAATTACTTTTACAATTAGTGTTATCAAAGATGTTATATAATACCTTACAGTTTTATATATTATTGTCATTAATTAAAAATTCTTCATATTATTATGGTATATATCTATGTTTTATATGGATATACATACACTGTTATGTAAGTACATAGATAAAATGAATATAAAAATGGCATGCACAGACACATATGGAATACAGCACTACTTTAGGTTTTACATTGCCCTATTGGTCAACTTAATGTCAATGTGAGTCCTTTAGCAGGATTGATGACCTAGATGAAGGAATGGCATCTATACTCTTCTAGAACAAGTCCCAAGAGAGCAGCTACTACAACTTCTAACACTTTATTATTGGTTAATTTGGGGCTTCTTTCACTCAGATGACATAGTTAGAAGGATGTCACTGCACAAATCAATACCTAGTGCCTTGCCATTGATGTGCCTGCTACCTTAAACAACAGCTGTGTCTACAACCATCTTCTGAGTAGTCAGGATACTAATTATTGTAAGCGTGCCATACTTGGAAAGTGACTCTCCAAGAAAATCCTGACCTCTTCATGTAAAACTCACGACAGCTTGCTGCACACTCAGCAACAGCTTTTGTGTGTTTTTTTTTCTTGACAGCCTAGACTGTCTCTCTGTTGTCAAGACTATGCAAAGATTCCATTCACAGTGAAATTAAAATGTGCATGTAATGCAGCTTCAAGCAATAAGAAAAAATGATGAATTTATTAAAAGTAGAGTATGCCTGCAATTTTGATGTCTCCTAATTGTAGCTATGTTAACATTCCCCACAAAAGCTTCTACTTATTTTCTGGAGCTTGCTCTTGCAGACTAAAGATTTTTAGAAATATGCAAGGACATATTTGAAAAGAATATGTTGTAATTGTCTTAAAGTTTTTTTCAAGATCTCTTTAAAGTATATAATTATCATTTCATGCCCTTTTGGCTAAGATCATGTGTAAAAGAGAGGACCACACATTTTCCTAACTTATAAATATTCAAACCATTATGATACTACAACATGGTCTAAGATGACTCAAATTATGCTTTTCATAACAACCTAAATTAAAGCTTAGATTTGTGTTTTTTACTTTCTCTTAAGTTTGATAAATTAAAATAAATGTATAAATGCATATATAGGGCTGGACATGGTGGCTCACACTTCTAATCCTAGCACTTTGGGAGGCTGAGGCAGGCGGATCACCTGAGGTCAGGAGTTGGAGACCAGCCTGATCAACACCGAGAAACCCCGTCTCTACCAAAAACACAAAAAATTAGCCAGGTGTGGTGGCACATGCCTGTAATCCCAGCTACTCAGGAGGCTGAGGCAGGAGAATCACTTGAACCCAGGAGGCAGAGGTTGTGGTGAGCTGAGATCATGCTGTTACACTCCAGCCTGTATGACAAGCTCCGTCTCAAAAAAAAAAAAAAAAAGCATAGAAAAATAATCACATATAAGATAGAAAATATAAAAGATCACTTAATATTAATTAAATAATTTAGCTCTTGTGTTTTTGTCTTTTACTTAATCATATGCCACTTTTCTTCTTAACTTAAGAAAGTGTGCAATAAGATTTCCATGTGGGGGTTATTCTAACAGTTTCAATACTGCCCCTGTAACCATAGGTTCTAGCTATCAAGATTTCTCATATCTGTTTAAAAGAAACCTTAAAATATATCTGTAATAGCCCATACATTCTTGGCTTGTTTATTATTGATTTTTACAGTTCATTTATTTATGTATTTTGGTTCAATTTGCATAATTTAACATACACTGAAATGTTTAGATCGATGAATTTGGACAGTTTTGTACAACTTACATGACTGTCATCCCAAACCAGGTAAAAACAATTTCCATCATTCCAGAAACTCTTCTTTTGAATATTTCCAGTCAATATCCTCAACTCAGAAGGCAACTACTTTCCAATTTTTATCACCATCTATTAATTTTGTCTGTTTTTGAACTTTATATAGCTAGAATCATAAAATATATAGATTGTGTGTCTATCTTCTTCTGTTCAATATGTTTTTGAAGTTTTTCCATGCTTTTGTGTATTTTTAAATTCTATGTTATTGCTGAGCAATATTTCATTATTTGAATAAACTATAACTTCTTAATACATTTTTCACTTGCATATTTGCGTGTTTTTAATTTTTTGACTCCTATGAATAGTGATATTATATAAATTATTGTACAAATATTTTTGTGGACATATTGAATAAATGAATACATATCTAGAAGTAAAACTATTCTCTCTTTCTCCCTCTCTCTGTCTCAAACACACATTCTTTTTCATTTTTTTTATAGGAAATGAGCATTAAGTGTTTACTATAACTCCAGCATTGTACAAAGCTTATCAGATGCATTATCTACTTAGTCCTCATGAAGACCAAACACAGCAGACACTATTTTCATTCCTGGGAGAAAACTAAACTTATGAAGATTAAATATCCAGTACCTATGGGGAGAAAAGATTTCTAATTAATTGATATTATGCCAATGTCTTTTATTAAGGCAAAAATAATAAAAATCACAGATAAGGTGAAACATATATATATGTGTGTGTATATATATATGTGTGTGTGTGTGTGTGTATATATATATATATATATATATATGTGGATATATGGCCAGCATACATTATATTTTCATCTTTTGTTTTTAAGTTTAGAGCACTAATGGATTTTCTTAACTATATAATTCTCTAAGGAATTCTGGCATATTCAAATTCAAGCAGAAACAATAGGGGAAACATGCTTTGAAGAAACTTAAACCAATTATGTGGTCAATTTTAGAATAAGTACAATGTGGTGCTGAGAAGAATGTATATTCTGTTGATTTGTGGTGGAGAGTTCTGTAGATGTCTATTAGGTCTGCATGTTGCAGAGCTGAGTTCTGGTCCTGGATATCCTTGTTAACATTCTGTCTCATTGATCTGTCTAATATTGACAGTGGGGTGTTAAACTCTCCCCTTATTACTGTATGGGAATCTAAGTCTCTTTGTAGGTCTCTAAGGACTTGCTTTCTGAATCTGGGAGCTCCTGTATTGGGTACATATATATTTAGGATAGTTAGCTCTTCTTGTTTAATTGATCCCTTTACCATTATGTAATGGCTCTCTTTGCCTCTTTTGATTTTTGTTGGTTTAAAGTCTGTTTTATCAGAGACTAGGATTGCAACCCCTGCTTTTTCAGAGACTAGGATTGCAACCCCTGCTTTTTTTTTCTTTCCATTTGCTTGGTAATTCTCCCTGCATCCCTTTTTTTTTGAGTCTATGTGCATCTTTGCACGTGAGATGGGTCTCCTGAATATAGCACACTGATGGGTCTTGATTCTTTATCCAATTTGCCAATCTGTGTCTTTTAATTGGGGCATTTAGTCCATTTACATTTAAGGCTAATATTGTTATGTGTGAATTTGATCCTGTCATTATGATGTTTGCTGGTTATTTGCCCATTAATTGATGCAGTGTCTTCCTAGCATTGATGGTCTTTACAATTTGGCCTGTTTTTGCAGTGGTTGATGCCGGTTGTTTCTTTCCATGTTTAGTACTTCCTTTAGGAGCTCTTGTAAGGCAGGTCTGGTGGTGACAAAATCTCTCAGCATTTGCTCGTCTGTAAAGGATTTTATTTCTCCTTCACTTATGAAGCTTAGTTTGGCTGGATATGAAATTCTGGGTTGAAAATTCTTAATAAAGCACTCCTCAGCAAATGTAAAAGAACATAAATCCCATCAAACTGTCTCTCAGACCACAGTGCAATCAAATTAGAACTCAGGATTAAGAAACTCACTCAAAACCGCACAACTACATGGAAACAGAACAACTTGCTCCTGAATGACTACTGGGTAAATAACAAAATGATGGCAGAAATAAAGATGTTCTTTGAAACCAAAGAGAACAAAGACACAACGTACCAGAATTTCTGGGACACATTTAAAACAGTGTGCAGAGGGAAATTTATAACACTAAATGCCCACAAGAGAAAGCTGGAAAGATCTAAAATCAAAATCCTAGCAACACAATTAAAAGAACTAGAGAAGCAAGAGCAAACAAATTCAAAAGTTAGAAGAAGGCAAGAAATAACTAAGATCAGAGCAGAACTGAAAGAGGTAGAAACACAAAAATCCCTTCAAAAAAATCAATGAATCTGGGAGCTAGTTTTTTGAAAAGATCAACAAAATTGATAAACCACTAGCAAGACTAATAAAGAAGAAAAGAGAGAAGTTTCAAATAGATGCAATAAAAAATGATAAAGAGAATATCACCACCGATCCCACAGAAATACAAACTACCATCAGAGAACACTATAAACACCTCTATGCAAATAAACTAGAAAATCTAGAAGAAATGGATAAATTCCTGGACACATACACCCTCCCAAGACTAAACCAGGAAGAAGTTGAATCTCCGAATAGACCGATAACAGGCTCTGAAACTGAGACAATAATTAATAGCCTAGCAACCAAAAAAAGTCCAGGGCCAGACAGATTCACAGCCAAATTCTACCAGAGGTACAAAGAGGAGCTGGTACCATTCCTTCTGAAACTATTCCAATCAATAGAAAAAGAGGGAATCCTCTCTAACTCACTTTATGAGGCCAAAATCATCCTGATACCAAAGCCTGACAGAGACACAACAAAAAAAGAGAATTTTAGACCAATATCCCTGATTAACATCGATGCAAAAAGGCTCAATAAAATACTAGCAAACTGAATCCAGCAGCGCATCAAAAAGCTTATCCACCACGATCAAGTCGGCTTCATCACTGGGATGCAAGGCTGGTTCAACATACACAAATCAATAAACATCATCCATCACATAAACAGAATCAATGACAGAAACCACATGATTATCTCAATAGATGCAGAAAAGGCCTTAGATAAAATTCAACACCTCTTCATGCTAAAAACTCTCAATAAACTAGGTATTAATGGAACGTATCTCAAAATAATAAGAGCTATTTATGACAAACCCACAGCCAATATCATAATGGATTGGTAAAAGCTAGAAGCATTCCCTTTGAAAACTGGTACAAGACAAGGATGCCCTCTCTCACCACTCCAAATCAACATAGTATTGGAAGTTCTGGCCAGGGCAATCAGGCAAGAGAAAGAAATTAATGGTATTCAAATAGGAAGAGAGGAAGTCGAGTTATCTCTTTTGCAGATGACATGATTGTATATTTAGAAAACCCCATCGTCTCAGCCCAAAATCTCCTTAAGCTGATAAGCAACTTCAGCAAAGTCTCAGGATACAAAATCAATGTGCAAAAATCATAAGCATTGCTCTACACCAATAACAGATAAACAGAGAGCCAAATCATGAGTGAACTCCCACTCACAATTGCTTCAAAGAGAATAAAATACCTAGGAATCCAACTTACAAGGGATGTGAAGGAACTCTTCAAGGAGAACTACAAACCACTGCTCAATGAAATAAAAGAGGACACAAACAAATGGAAGAACATTCCATGCTCATGGATAGGAAGAATCAATATCGTGAAAATGGCCATTCTGCCCAAAGTAATTTATAGATTCAATGCTATTCCCATCAAGCTACCATTGACTTTCTTCACAGAATTAGAAAAACTACTTTAAATTTCATATGGAGCCAAAAAAGAGCCCCTATAGCCAAGACAATCCTAAGCAAAAAGAACAAAGCTGGATGCATCATGCTACCTGACTTGAAACTATACTACAAGGCTACAATAATCAAAACAGCTTGGCACTGGTACCAAAACAGATATCTAGACCAATGGAACAGAAGAGAGGCCTCAGAAATAACACCACACATCTACAACCACCTTATCTTCAACAAACCTGAAAAAAACAAGCAGGAGAAAGGATTCCCTATTTAATAAATGGTGTTGGGAAAACTGGCTAGCCATATGCAGAAAACTGAAACTGGACCCCTTCCTTATACCTTATACAAAAATTAACTCAAGTTGAATTAAAGACTTAATCGTAAGATCTAATACCATAAAAACCCTAGAAGAAAACCTTAGGCAATACCATTCAGAACACAGGCATACACAAAGACTTCATGACTAAAACACCAAAAGCAATCACAACAAAAACCAAAATTGACAAATGGGATCTAATTAAACTAAGGAGCTTCTGCACAGCAAAAGAAACTATCATCAGAGTGAACAGGCAACTTACAGAAAGGGAGAAAATTTTTGCCATTTATCAATCTGACAAAGGGCTAATATCCAGAATCTACAAGGAACTTAAATAAATTTACAAGAAAAAAACAAACAACCCCATCAAAAATTTGTGAAGTATATGAACAGAAACTTTTCAAAAGAAGATATTTATGCGGCCAACAAACATGTGAAAAAAGCTAAAGCTAATCATCACTGGTCATCAGAGAAATGCAAATCAAAACCACAATTAGATACCATCTCATGCCAGTTAGAATGGCAATCATTAAAAGGTCAGGAAACAACAGATGCTGGACAGGATGTGGAGAAATAAAAACTCTTTTACACTGTTGGTGGGAGTGTAAATTAGTTCAACCATTATGGAAGACAGTGTGGAGATTCCTCAAGGATCTAGAGCTAGAAATACCATTTGATCCAGCAATCCCATTACTGGGCATATACCCAAAGGATTATAAATCATTCTACTACAAAGACACATGCACATGTATGTTTATTGCAGCACTATTCACAATAGCAAAGGCTTGGAACCAACCCAAATGCCCATCGATGTTAGACTGGATAAAGAAAATGTGGCACTTATACACCACAGAATACTATGCAGCCATAAAAAAGAATGAGTTCATGTCTTTTGCAGGGACATGGATGAAGCTGGAAATCATCATTCTCAGCAAACTAACACAGGAACAGAAATCCAAACACTGCATGTTCTCACTCATAAGTGGGAGTTGAACAAGAGAACATATGGGCACAGAGAAGGGATACATCACACACCAGGGCCTGTCAGCGGGTGGGGGCAAGGGGAGGGATAGACTTAGGAGAAATACCTAATATAGATGACGGGTTGATGTGTGCAGCAAACCACCATGGCACATATATACCTATGTAACAAACGTGCACATTCTGCATCTGTATCTGAGAACTTAAACTATAATGAAAAAAAAAAAAAAAGAAGAAGAAGAAGCAACAAGCTAAAACCCACTGAAATAAAGATGGCAATGAGAGTGACGTTTGGTCATCCTCACTGCTATAGTACTACCAGCGCCATGACAGTTTACAAACATCATGTCAATGTCAGGAAGTCACCCTATATGCTCTAAAAAGGGGAGGCATGAATAATCTACCCCTTGTTGGCATATAATCAAGAAATACCCATAAAACTGGGCAACCAAGAGCCCTCAGGGCTGCTCTGCCTATGGAGTAGCCATTCTTTATTCCTTTACTTTCTTAATAAACTTACTTTCACTTTTAAAAATAAATAAATAAATGATGCCATCTTCCAAAATTTTTGTCCCATTGAAAACACTTAAAGAACTATAAGCAATTGGGATATTTTCATTTCAAAAGTTTATCATTGGTTTTAAATTTTTTTGTTGTTTTCTTTTGTTGTTTTTTAAATTATACTTTAAGTTCTAGGGTATACGTACATATCGTGCAGGTTTGATATATAGGTATACATGTGCCATGTTGGTTTGCTGCATCCATCAACTCATCATTTACATTAGGCATTTCTCCTAATGTTATCCCTCCCTGAGCCCCCGACCCCCCAACAGGCCCTGGTGTGTGATGTTCCCCGCCCTGTGTCCAAGTGTTCTCATTGTACATTTCCCACCTATGAGTGAGAAAATGCAGTGTTTGGTTTTCCGTCTTTGTGATAGTTTGCTGAGAATGATGATTTCCAGCTTCATCCATGTCCCTGCAAAGGACATGAACTCATCCTTTTTTATGGCTGCATAGTATTCCATGGTGTATAAGTGCCACATTTTCTTAATCCAGTCTATCGTTGATGGACATTTGGGTTGGCTCCAAGTCTTTGCTATTGTGAATAGCACCACAATAAACATACGTGTGCATATGTCTTTATAGTGGTTTGTATACTATTCTCTGATGGTAGTTAGTATTTCTGTGGGATCAGTGGTGATCTCTCCTTTATCATTTTTATTGTGTCTATTTGATTCTTTTCTCTTTTCTTCTTTATTAGTCTGTCTAGCAGTCTATCAATTTTGTTAATCTTTTCAAAAAAACAGCTTCTGAATTCATTAATTTTTGAAGGGTTTTTCGTGTCTCTGTCTCCTTCTGATCTTAGTTATTTCTTGTCTTCTGCTAACTTTTGAATTTGTTTGCTCTTGCTTCTCTAGTTCTTTAAATTGTTATGTTAGGGTGTCAATTTTAGATCTTTCCCATTATCTGATGTGGTCATTTAGTGCTATAAATTTCCCTCAAACACTGCTTCAGCTGTGTCCCACGGATTCTGATATGTTGTAACTTTGTTCTCATTGGTTTCAAAGACTAAATATTTATTTCTGCCTTCATTTCATTATTTACCCAGTACTCATTCAGAAGCAAGTTGTTCCGTTTCCATGTATTTGTGAGGTTTTGAGTGAGTTTCTTAATACTGAGCTCTAATTTGATTGCACTGTGGCCTGAAATACTGTTTGTTATAATTTCCATTTTTTTATATTTGCTGAGGAGTGTTTTACTTACAATTATGTGGTCAGTTTTAGAATTAGTGTGATATGGTGCTGAGAAGAATGTATATTCTGTGATTTGAGGTGGAGAGGTCTGTAGATGTCTATTAGGTCTGCTTGATCCAGAGCTGAGTTCAAGTCCTGAACATCCTTGCTAATTTTCTGTCTCATTGATCTATCTAATATTGACAGTGGGGTGTTAAATTCTCCCACTATTATTGTGTGGGAGTCTAAGTCAAGTCTCTTTGTAGGTCTCTAAGAACTTGCTTTCCGAATCTGGGTGCTCCTGTATTGGGTGTATATATATTTAGGATAGTTAGCTCTTCTTGTTGCTTTGATTCTTTTACCATTTTGTAATGATCTTCTTTGTCTCTTTTGATCTTTGTTGGTTTAAAATCTGTTTTATTGGAGACTAGGATTGCAACCCCTGCTTTTTTTTTTTTTTTTTTTTTTTTGCTTTCCATTTGCTTGGTAATTCTCCCTCTATCCTTTTATTTTGAGCCTATGTGTGTCTTTGCACGTGAGATGGGTCTCCTGAATACAGCACCAATGGGTCTTGACTGTTTATCTAATTTGCCAGTCTGTGTCTTTTGATTGGGGCATTTAGTCCATTTACATTAAAGGTTAATATTGTTATGTGTGAATTTGATCCTGTCATTATGCTAGCTGGTTATTTTGCCCATTAGTTGATGCAGTTTCTTCATAGTGTTTATGGTTTTTACATTTTGGTTTGCTTTTGCAGTGGCTTGTACCGGTTTTTCCTTTCTATGTTTAGTGCTTCCTTCAGGAGCTCTTGTAAGGGAGGCCTGGTGGTGACAAATTCCCTCAGTACTTCCTTATCTGTAATGGATTTTATTTCTCCTTCGCTTATAAAGCTTAGTTTGGCTGGATATGAAATTCTGGGTTGAAAATTCTTTTCTTTAAGAATGTTAAATATTGGCCCCCACTCTCTTTTGGCTTGTAGGGTTTTTGCAGAGAGATCCACTGTTAGTGTGATGGACTTCCCTTTGTAGGTAACCCAATCTTTCTCTCTGACTGCCCTTAACATTTTTTTCTTCATTTCAACCTTGGTGAATCTGACGATTATATGTCTTGGGGTTGCTTTTCTCAAGGAATATCTTTGTGGTGTTCTCTGTATTTTCTGAATTTGAATGTTGGCCTGTCTTGCTAGGTTGGAGAAGTTCTCCTGGATAATATCCTGAAGAGTGTTTTCCTACTTGGTTCCATTTTCCCAGTCACTTTCAGGTACACCAATCAAACGTATGTTTGGTCTTTTCATCTAGTCCCATATTTCATGGAGGGATTTGTTCCTTCCTTTTCATTCTTTTTTCTCTAATCTTGTCTTCAGGCTTTATTTCATTAAGTTGATTTTCAATCTCTGATATCCTTTCTTCACCTTGATCGATTCAGCTATTGATACTTGTGTATGCTTCATGAAGTTCTCATGCTATGTTTTCCAGCTCCATTACGTCATTTATGTTCTTCTCTAAACATATTATTCTAGTTAGCAATTCCTCTAACCTTTCATCAAGGTTCTTAAGTTCCTTGCATTGGGATAGAACATGCTCCTTTAACTCAGAGGAGTTTGTTACTACCCACCTTCTGAAGCTTACTTCTGTCAATTTGTCAAACTCATTCTCCATCCAGTTTTGTTCCCTTGGTGGTGAGGAATGGTGATCCACCTGAGGGAAACTCCTGGTCTATGGGTTGTGAAGACCATGGAAAAAAAGAAGTATCTGGGCTGGATAGCTCCATCCCTCATGGCACTCTCCCTCACAGCTTCCCTTGTCTAGGGGAGGGAGTTCTCTGACTCCTTATGCTTCCTGGGTGAGGCAACACCCCACTCTGCTTTTGCTCACCCTCCACGGGCGACACCCACTCTCTAACCAGTCCCAGTGAAATTAACTGGGTACCTCAGTTGAAAATGCAGAAATCACCATCTTTTGCCTTGGTCTTGCTGGGAGCTGCAGACCAGAGCTGTTCCTATTTGGCCATCTTGCCCAGGAATCCCTAATTTTTATTTTATTTTAATCTATTTTATCTGTTGTATTAATCCCTTCGATGGACTCATTTTGGATTTGTTGATTTTCACTATTGTTTTCTATTTGTTTATTGTTTATTTCCACTATTTTTATTATTTTCTTTTTTTCTAATTACTTTGTGTTTAATTTTCTCCTTTTTTCCGGATTTCGTAAGGTAAAAATGTATTTGAAACTATAATTTTTTTCTGCTGTAATTGAATTTTAACATATTGTGTTTTTATTACTATGCAATTAGAATGTTTTCTAATTTCCATTGTAATTTTCTCTTTGGATCTTATACGTAAGCTTAAGATCTACTTATAATTAATGTTTTGTGAAGTAAGTTTAGAAAATCTTTTTTTTTTTACATATAGATATCCAGTTTGTTGAAAAGACTAGCCTTCATTGAATTACTTTGGCATATTTGTGGAAAATTATTTGACTAAGTATAGGTTAATTTCTGGACTCTATTCTTTCCCACTGGTTTGTATATCTACCCTTATACCTGTGTCACTACTATCTTTATTACTGTAGGTTTATAGTAAACCTTGATATCCAGTTGTGAGGTCATTCCTTTTTGTTCTTTTTCAGTCATTTTGACTATTATTGTTCTTTTATATTTTCACATAGCTTTGGAGTCAGCTTGTTAACTACTGCGAACATTACTGTTTTATGTTTTTACTTTGTGAAAAAAAAATATTGTGTAGGAAGAATTCAAGCATATTTTTTGTCTTATATATTAAGAAAAAAATATACTATGAATAAATTTTGTTAAAAGGATAAAGAATACTTCCTCCCTAGGCCAGGTGTGGTGGCTCACACCTATAAACTCAGCACTTTGGGAGCCTGAAGTGGGAGGATTTCTTCAAGACAGGAGTTTGAGACCAGCCTGGCCAAAACAGTGAGACTCTGTCTCTAAGAAACAAAGAATACTCTCTCCTTGCAATTTTGCCTATTTCTTAATACTACATAACCATTATTTTATTTAAATAAATGTAATGTATTTAAAATTTTAAACAACTCAATGCTTTAATTTTGTTTATATAATTTGTATATATTTATACACACAAATATGAAAAATTGGTGATTTTATGTCAAGGAACAAATTACAAAGTTTTCTTATAGACAGAACTGGTAATAGTCTTTTTATATTAAAACCTTTGACTGTATGTTCTATTTTTTAAAATAAAAAATTAAGATTACTGTATTAGTTCATTTTCATACTGCTGATAAAGACATATACGAGGTCTTTATCAAGCAATTTACAAAAGAGGTTTAATTGAACTCACGGTTCCACGTGGCTGGGGAGGCCTCACAGTCATAGCAGAAGGCAAGGAGAAACAAGTCATATCTTACGTGGATGACAGCAGGCAAAAACAGAGCTTGTGTGGAGAAACTCCCTTTTTTAAAACCATCGGATCTCACGAAACCCATTCACTTTTACGAGAACAGTGTGGGAAAGACCTGCCTCCATGATTCAGTTTTCTCTCACTGGGTCCCTCCCACAATACGTGGCAATTATGAGAGCTATAAGATGAGATTTGGGTGGGAACACAGAGCCAAACTGTATCATTGCACCCCTGGCCCCTCTCAAATCTCATGTCTTCACATTTCAAAACCAACCATGCCTTCCAGGCCTTCCCAAGACAAGGAAAGTCCCTTCTGCCTATGAGCCTGTAAAATCAAAAGCAAGTTAGTTACATTCTAGATACAATGGGGGTACAGGCATTGAATAAATACTGCCATTCCAAATGGAAGAAGTTGGCCCAAAAAAAGGGGCTACAGGCCCCATGCAAGTCCAAAATCCAGTGGGGCAGTCAAATCTTGAAGTTCCAAAATGATCTCCTTTGACTCCATATCTCACATCCAGGTCACACTTATGCAAGAGGTGGGTTCCTGTAGTCTTGGGCAGCTCCATCCCTGTGGCTTTGGAGGGTACAGCCTCCCTCCTGGCTGCCTTCATGGGCTGGCATTGAATACCTGCAGCTTTTCCAGACACATGTTGCAAGCTATCGGTGGATCTACCATTCTGGGGGTCTATAGGACAGTGACCCTCTTCTCACAAGTCCACTAGGCAGTGCCCCAGTAGGAACTCTGTGTGGGGGATCCCATTCCACATTTTTCTTCTGCACTGCCCCAGCAGAGGTTCTCCATGAGGACACTGTCCCTATGGCAAATTTCTGCTTGGGCATCCAGGCATTTCCATACACCTTCTGAAATCTAGGTTCAGGTTCCCAATCCTCAATTCTTGACTTCTGTGTATCACAGGCTCAATACCACATGGAAGCTGCCAAAGCTGGAGGCTTGCAACCTCTGAAGCCACAGCCCAAGCACCATGTTGACCCCTTTCAGCAACAGCTGGAGCAGCTGGGACACAGGGCACCAAGTTCCTAGGCTGCACACAGCATGAGGACCCTGGGCCCTGCCCAGAAAAACAATTTTTCCTCCTAGGCCTCCAGGCCCATGACAGGAGTGGCTGCTGTGAAGACCTCTGACATTCCCTGGAGACATTTTCTCCATTGTCTTGGTGATTAATGTTTGGCTCCTCGTTACTTGTGCAAATTTCTGCAGCCAGCTTTAATTTCTCCTCAGAAAAATGGGATTTTCATTTCTATTGCATTGTCAGGCTGCAAATTTTCCAAACTTTTATTCTCTGTTTCCCTTATAAAACTGAATGTCTTTAACAGCACCCAAGTCACCTCTTGAATGCTTTGCTGCTTAAAAATTTATTCTGCCAGATACCATAAATCATCTCTCAAGTTTAAAGTTCCACAAACCTCTAAGGCATGGGCAAAATGCTGCCAGTCTCTTTGCTAAAACATAACAAGAGTCACATTTGTTCCAGTTCCCAAAAAGTTCCTCATCATCTGAGACCACATCAGCGTGGACCTTATTGTTCACATCACTATGAGCATTTTTGTCAAAGCCATTCAACAAGTCTGTAGGAAGTTCCAAACTTTCCCATATTTTCCTGTCTTCTTCTGGGCCCTCCAAACTGTTCCAACTTCTTCCTGTTACCCAGTTACAAAGTTGCTTCCACATTTTCAGGTATTTTTTCAGCAACGTTCCACTCCACTGGTACCAATTTACTGTATTAGTCTGTTGTCACGCTGCTGATAAAGACATACTCCAGACTGGACAATTTACAAAAGAAGGAGGTTTAATTGGACTCACAGTTCCACATGGCTGGGGAGAGCTCACAGCCATAACAAAAGGCAAGGAGGAGCAAGTCACATCTTACATGGATGGCGGCAGGCAAAAAAAAGAGCTTGTGCATAGAAACTCCCATTTTTAAAACCATCAGATCTTCTGAGACCCATTCACTACCATGAGAAGAGCATGGGAAAAACCTGCCCCCCTGTTTCAATCATCTCTTACCAGGCACTTCCCACAACACGTGGGAATTGTGGGACCTAAAAGATAAGATTTGGGTGGGGACACAGAGCCAAACCATATTAGTTTCTTAAGAGGATTTTAATTACAATAAATTAAAAAAATAAAAATATATCATACGGCTATTTCCTTCAATTCCCTCAACTTTCCTTTTGTAGAATTTTCTTGGCCATTTTCCTATATTTCATTGTGTATTCATACATACAAACATACACATAAGCACACTATGTAAACATATAGGGATGCCTATATGTATATATGTTTTTGTTGTAATGATATTAAATTTATATACTATTTTGGGAAAATTGACCAGTTTCCAATACTTATCTCTAAATCCAGGTAAAAACATGCCCATTTATTGACATATTTCTTTATATTCCTCAGTAAAATTTTTAAATTTCTTTTTCATAAATATACTGAATAATTCCTGTGATATTCTTTCTAAACATTTTTATTTTTTGTAGCAATTTTACAATAAATCTTTAGATTTTTTTCAGCTTACTGCTTCACCAAAAGGTAGGTTTCCTTAAAGCGGAGACTATTTAAGCTTTGTTCACATTACATTTCCAGATCCTGCCAGACAACACATCACATCTATATCATTTTCTAGGTAGACATACTTTAAAGATTTTTGATTTGGTATTGAGCTTGCTTTTATTTCATAAAGACAGAATATTCTACTCAACATATCTCACAACACTGTCACTGTTGTTTTATGATGCAGAAAGGAAAGGGAGGTAAAGATGTCTAGGCATTATTAACAAAAACCACAAGATGAAGACTTTCAATAAGGGCTGGCATTTTTGTTGAGGATATCCAGCATCATATATGATTTGGAGGCATTTATTGACAATCACAAATTATTATATAATAATAGATGTACATTATTCTATGAAAGCTTGAGATACTTTTTTTTTTTTTTTTTTTTTTTAGATGGCATTTCACTCTTGTTGCCCAGGCTGGAGTGCAATGGTGAGATCTTGGCTTACTGCAACCTCTGCCTCCCAGGTTCAAACAATTCCCCTGCCATAGTCTCCCAAGTAGCTGGGACTAGAGGCACTCGCCACTACGCCTGGCTAATCTTTTGTGTTTTAGTAGAGACGGGGTTTCACCACATTGGCCAGGATGGTCTCCATCTCCTGACCTCATGATCCGCCTGCCTTGGCCTCCCAAAGTGCTGGGATTACAGGCATGAGCCACCACACCAGGCCAAGAAACTTCTTTTAAAAGGGAGTTGGAACTGAGTAGAGTGTAGGGCAGGGCTAATATAAACTATCTTTCGCCACAGAATATTATCCTAATAAAAGGAACAAGTCCTTCCTGTGTACAGTATTCAAAGTACTAATCAATTCAAATTTGATTCAAGGAGCCATGACTAGCTATGCTGGTTATGGACAGTGGTCCTGATTCATCTTAATGATGTTTCTTTCTAGACCAAGTGACAGTAGTAACCAGGGAGCTGAGGTGGATGAGAAACCAGCAGTTCTCCTATCTAGAAAGTTGCAGGATAAGCTAGTCGGTCTTTGAGTAGAATTTTTTTTTTAATTCAATCTAGCCATCAAGTTAATTATTCAGGAAATGCAGCATTTAAACATTTTGAGATTACTTAAGTTTGTCTCAATTTGAATGAGTGACTTAATTTTGTGCCAGAATATGATGTAATTAAAGTTTGGTAAAAGCCACTCAGTACTGGTGAAAAATAACACTATAAAACCAATAATAGAATTTTCCACGTGCTTTTCTTGTGACCTAGGATAGAAGTCTCCCAAGATTGGGGACTCCAGTGAATAAAATGTTTTTGAGAGTATTCTGTTAATATACCTAAAGTTATTTGTTAAAACAGTATATATTGTTGCCTAAATGTATAAATTTTTACAAAAATTAAAAAATTTTAATGAATGAGGCAAGGCCTGAATACAGATTTAAACATTATTCTTATTTAATATATTTAAAATAGGACAAAAATTTAGCTGTCATTTGAAAGTCTTAATGTTCTAAACATTTATTTTTAAAATGTATTTCTCACCATTTTGCAAAAACTATAATAATCATTGCTTTAGGCAAGAGTCTTCCTTATACCCTAAAATTATTGGGTAAAAGATTGATGAGGAACATGATAGCTTCCAAGTAATGCTCACAGATTACTTATTAATTAGAAAGAGAAATTACCAATTTTTTAGTGGAGAAATCTGATGGGCACTTCTTTATGCAATCAGATCTAGTGTCACTAAATTGGGCAAACCAATAGCATGTACCTCCTGATATAATTTATTAAGCAACACATTAACTTACATAGTATTTCTGCCCAAAGTGCATAATTTTACCCCGATTATTAGGAAATACCATACAAAGCCAAGCAAGAGACAGTCACAAAATCTTGGGGGTACTTTTTAAAAAGAAAAGGGCTAAGAATATTTTCGCGTGTGTGTGTGTGTGTGCAGAAAAGGTTCAATCATGCTGTAAGCATGTAAAAATAGGCATAGCAGAGAATGAAAAACTGAAATAAGACTGAGTTATGGGTAGTCTGAAAAAGAGGTAATGGTAAAGGAAGGGAAGTCTTGAAAATGAGAAAATCCTTGGTTTTAATCCTAGTTCTCCTTTATGCACTCTATGATTTCAGAAAAAAAATTTAGCTACTTTTAATCTCAACTTCTTCATATTTAAAAATCTAAAAATAATTATCTCTCCTGCTGGGTTTTGCCCAAACTTTTCCTAGCAGCAGTAAAAGTTGCTAAATAGATGTCCAGTAAAGTGTAGAGTGGATGGTCTTGGCACACTGAGAGAATAAATATAGAGGAGAGTTTGCCAGTTTTACATTTGGAGTTCAGAGAAATTAGTGGATTGGGTATCAAATAACTTCAGTTGTCTTAAGAAGGAGATAAATAAGTCTGCCAAGAGTTAAATACTTATGAAAAGTAAAAAAAGTTTGGAAAAATCATGAGGAAAATTTTGGCAAGAAGTCAGTAATAATTAATTTAAAAACTGCTGAGTGGTCTGGGCACAGTAACTCATGCCTGTAATCCCAGCACTTTGGGAGGCCTAGACAGGCAGATTGCTTGAGCTCAAGAGTTCAAGACCAACCTCGGTAATGGGGGTTTCACCCCATCTCTACTAAAAATACAAAAATTAGCCAGGTGTTGTGGCACGCACCTGTAGTCCCAGCTACTTGGGAGGCTGAGGTGGGAGGATTGATTGAGCCTGGGAGGCAGAGTTTTGCACTGCACTCCAGCATGGGCAACAAAGCCAGATCCTACCAAAAATAAAAACAAAAACAAGAACAAAAACAAACAAACAATAACTGCTGATTGGTTGTAAAAGTAAAAAGGTAAAGTTGTATCACCTTAGCTGCTTGTATCAGCTTAGCTGCTTGGAGCTGGGGGAGGGGTGACACAAGCATCATTTTGCCCACCACCATTGGGATTGCACTGGGGCAGACCTGAAACCCACACAGCACTGGGTCTTGACCAAGGTCCACTATAACTACTACCTGGATACTGCCTACGTTTGCTCAAGGCCCTAGGGCTCTACAGTCAACAGGTGGTGAAGCCAACCAGACTTATGTCCTTCACTTAACTG
The DNA here is from genome assembly GCF_000001405.40 of Homo sapiens. NCBI lineage: Eukaryota > Metazoa > Chordata > Mammalia > Primates > Hominidae > Homo > Homo sapiens. The sequence continues at coordinate 75,756,049 of NC_000008.11, read as the reverse complement.
TAATGAGTTCCCCAGGTGAATCCAGACATGCTGTCTGGGAGTCAGTGCCTGGAGTCAGAAACCCTAGAAATCTATCAGGTGCTCTATTCTACTTTAGCTGATCCAGCACTCAAACCACCAAAGTCCTTCCCACTCTTCCCTCCCCTTTCCTCAGGCAGAGGACTCTCCCAGTATCCACAATCACCACAGGCCCACAGGGAGTACTGCTAAGGTACTACCAATGTTACTTAAGGCCCAAGAGCTCTTCAGTATCCTTGCGGTAAATGCTGCCAGGGCTGGGACTCACCCTTCAGGGCAGTGAGCTCCCCTCTGGCCCAGAGCAGGCCCAGAGATGCAATCTAAGAGCCATGTGCTGGAATTGGGAGCCTCAAGAGCCCACTTGGTGCTTTTTCCCACTGTGGCCAAGCTGAGACCTAAGCTCAAGACAAAGTCCCCTTTACTCTTCTCTCTGCTTTTCTCAATCAGAAGGTGTCTCTCCTCGTGGCCACTATAGCTGTGAATGTTCTGGGTCACACTGGAAGCCAATACATTTCACAGTCTCACTCAAGGCTCATGGGATATACTCCCTGGCTACTGTTGCTGATCAGCGCCCAAGGGTTCTTTAGTCAGCATATGATGAATCCTGCCAGGATTGAGTACTTCCCTTCAAGGCAGCAGGTTTTCTTCTGGCCCAGAATGTGTCTGGAAATGTCATCTGGGAGCTATGGCCTGGAATGTGGACCCCACAATTCTGCCGAATGCTCCATCCTACTGTGGCTAAACAGGTATCCAAGTTGCAGAGTGAAGTCCTCTTTACTCTTCCCTCTCCTCTCCTCAAGCAGAAGGAAGAGGTCTCTTTTGGAGCTGCGAGCTGCACTACCTGTGGTTGGGGAAGGGGTAATGCAAGCACTCCCTTATCCACCCCAGCTGATGTATCACAAGATTACATGTCCTCTAAGGACATTGGCTCCACACCCAGCACAGCACTAGGACTTTCCTAGGAGTTGCAGTCCTTGTGGCCTAGACTACCTTTCAAGTTTATTTAGAACCCCAGAGCTTTTAAGGCCACAGTGACAAGGGTTGCCAGAACTCAGGTTCTGATCACTGGGATGGGCAATTTCCCACTGACTACGGCTGGTCTAAATATTCCCTCCATGGGCACCACCTGAGTTCTGCCTGGTGTTGGCAGCACCCAGTTCCAATGCTGGGTCCCATAGTCACTGCACTCTCCCTCCCACAAAAGCATGGATTATCTCCCTGCCATCAGACTAGGGAGATGAGTGGCATTGGCAAGTCAAGACTGTCATTCCTACCCTCTTCAGTGTCTTTTTCAGCAATATGAAGTTAAAATCAGGTACTGTAATCACTCACCCAAGGTTTGGTTCTTATAAAGGTGCTTTTATGTGTAGATAGTTGTTAAATTTTTGTTTCTCAGGGGAGGACAATTTGTGGAATCTTCTATTTAGCCATCTTGCTCTGCCTCCCTCCCTGGATCATATGCGCTACTGGAATATACTATTTGAAATTATATTTCCATCAAATCATCAAAGACAGAGATGTATATAATAACTGAAATATTCTTTTTCAAGTACCCCTGGAATATTAAAAATTCACCTGTAGGAGAGTTAGACTAAGTTATTATTATTATTATTATCTTAGGCATAAACTAGTAAGACTAACAAATATCTTTAAGTAAAATTAAGCAGTTAGATCATAGCTTGCTGATGGTAGAGCCCAGTGGCTCAACTGGAGTCCAATGGCCTTAGATCATGTCTAGGTTGTGTCTCTTATTATTTATGTGAATTAAAGCTCTCAGTTCTTCAGTTTTCTCATCTGTAAAATGTAAAATAATAGTGTTTGTCTCCTAGGCGTATTGTGAAGATGAAACCATGTAGTCATGTAAACTATTTAGAAGACTACTTGGAATAGAGTATGTGCTCTCTTAAATATTAATTAATACTATTAATATTATCAGTTAGAGCTGCTCTGTTCTCTCACCAAATCACAAATCTAAATTCTGTCACAAATTTCAAATTTGTGCCCTTGGTGGCATGGAGCCTAAGGGGGCCATGATTAAATCAGCATATTCATCTGTAATATGTGAAAATATCTTAGACTGCAGGAACTATGAACAAAAGCTAGGAGTAAGAGTCAACTCTGTATCAAGATATTAAATGGGTATAATTATTTGATCCACAAATAGATCATGGTTGGTCTTCATTAATTCTAATCTTAACCTTTTGATAATATAATCTTGAAGTCTGCGTTCAATAAGTGACAGTTATTTTTGTTATTACTGTCACTACTACCCAAGAATTATAAGAGAAAAAGGAAATAAATATGCTTCTTTGAAGTAATCATCAACTACAAAAATCAGTTTCCTTTTACAGAGTCACATAAAGGTTAACTGATTCACCTTGGCCATAAAGCAAGTAAGTGGTAGAATAGAAACTAGAATATAAGTCACATGACTCCTAATGCTGCCTTCTAAATAGCAAAGCATTTCATGTGTCTATTAATTTAGCTTTTACAAAGTGACCTAACACATGATCTGTCATGATTTCCCCCCCAAAATAATCTGTGATATGAGTAGGCCAAGGTTTACTGCTAATAGACAACTATTTTAAAAGTTCAAAAAGACAGAATCTCAGGATTTACACGTTACCATAGCTGCTAAGTGACATATCTAAAACTAAACATACACACGTACACAGACAGACACACACACACACACACACACACACGCACATGAAAACAGACAAACATAATATAATAAATAGGCCCAGTTGTCTGAGTTCAAATACAATCATTTTTCCATGTCTTTAACAGCTATATAATGCTTGGATGTCAAGAATTACAGTCTATAATTAGTAAACATTAATAAAGTATGAACAGCTACCTCTTTTAAAAAATTAGAATTCAATGGAATTTCAAATAACAGCTCAAGCCTGTAGGCTGCCACTCCACATCTGAAACAATGCTTCCCACTGTTTTTCTAGTTGACACAATTTATTAAAACCTCTCAACATATACAAATAAAATTATGATAAGCCCCCAAATCCAACCAGAACGCCACGCATGAAACATTTAGGTCATAATTTACCTTACAGAGTCAGAAAAAAAACTGAGAAAAATGAGAAAAGTTCAAAAAAGTCATTTCAGCATCCCACTAGAGTTAAAGATCATTTTCAAGTATTCCTATTCAAATGTTTTTATAATTGCATGGATCTGACAGAGCTGCACATTCTGCCAGCTCTCAAGTGGCTGTTCCCAGAAGGTGGTGACTGTTTCTGACTGGCTGCTTGCTTGCTTTTATTTTCATTTCCTGTGCGAGAGTGAGATTGCTGTTTGGGGACACTTAAATCTATTTCAAGCATAAGAATCATTTGTCCCATGTGGAGGCAGCTTCGATGAATAGCTTTTCATTTCTTCTTATTCATCTTGACTTTACAATTGTGATGCTTAGCATGATTGAGTTTCACTTGGTCTCCCCCTCTGCATTACACAGTTTTCTTTCTTTTTGGGTACTCGGGCCAAAATTTGAACTATCATGGTTCAGATGGCATTTTGGCAGTGATTGTCATCTGCAGACTAAATTTGTCCCTGCGTGGTGTGTTTCTTGACCATTTGCTTATTGTTAAACATGTATCATAGCTTTCAGATGGGAAAAGAAGTATAAGCACAACAGTAATATAAGGCAAAGCTTATTCTTTTTAATTTTCTTAGCAAGACAAAATAAAGTAAAAAAAATGGGATCAACTTCTTGGCTACACTTGCGTAGTTTTCACTGCAGTGAAGAAATGCTAGTTTATCTAATGGCTGAACATCTGATACAAATTAGCTCTGAGCAATGCATTTTGGTACAAAAATATACATTAGATACAAAACTATGGGCTTTCATTTCCTCTTAGCAGTGAAACAAAAGCAAACATTCACTGAAAAGCACATGAAATTAGAGGTTCACACTATACCAGTGAGATAATTCAGAGAATAGAAAAAGTAGAGGTAATTTTCTTTTGAACAGATACCTTTTATTATGATCACAATTTAAATGGCTATCACAGATATAAATTTGTTAAGAAGGCATAGCTTCTAACTACAAACTAGAGGCTTTTCTCTTTGGAAAGTTGGATTTAGCACATTAAGTCTAGCTGGGTGCGGTGGTTCACACCTGTAATCCCAGCACTTTGGGAGCCCAAGGTGGGTGGATCACCTGAGGTCAGGAGTTCGAGACCAGCCTGGCTAACATGGCGAAACCCCATCTCTTTCTAAAAATACAAAAATTAGCTGGGTGTGGTGGTGGGCATCTGTAATCCCAGCTACTTGGGAATTTGAGGCAGGAGAATTGCTTGAACCTTGGGACACAAGGTTTCAGTGAGCTGAGATCATGCCACTGCCCTCCGGCCTGGGTGACAGAATGAGACTCCATCTCAAAAACAAACAAACAAACACACACACAAACACATTAAATCTAAATATTTTTTTAAAAAAAGGATGGCATTTGAAACAATTCATCATGAATAAGCAGATATTTTCTAAAAAGAAGCTACATATTAATGGACAGGGGAAGAATTCCCAGATAAGTATACATATTCTACAAAGACATGAAAATGTAACAAAACATGTTGAGTATGACAATTTGAGAACTTTTCTATTTGTTTTGTGATGTAGACAAAGCATTTAGAGATGTTTCTAAAAAATATAGTTGCAGTCATATTTTAGAAGTCCCTTTATAAGATATTAATAGATTGGAAATTTTTCTCTGATCATTATAGAGTTAAGATGGTTCTATTTGTTTGTTTAAAAAAAAAAAAACAGATGAGCCTATTTCACATTCCACTTTAGAAAACTATCTCTGATAACCATATGAAGGATACTTTGGATTGGGAGAGATTGTGGTGAACGTACCTGTTTTGAGCCTCTGTAATAATCTACATAAATCATGCTGAAGAACTGAATGAACATAGTAAAAGTGGAGATGGTAGGGAAGAAGATGTAAGACACATTTAGAAGAGAGAGTTGATGAAATTTGGTGACTGATATGGATTGGAGTATAAGAAAGAACACAATCAAGAATAAAGCATATTTTATGCTTGTAGAATAAAAGAAATGCTTACAGTAAACAAGATTTATAGAACATAGGTGGAATAAGATAAGCATATTCGGGAAAGAAGCTGACTTCATTTTGGAAGTGTGGACACATGCATCTTGCAGAAATTGTCAGTAGAAACAAAGAGGGCTGGGAATACGGATTTGGAAGTCATTGTGCCTCAGTGATAGTTTATACCCAGAAATGAAAATGATTTCCCAGGGAGATGGTACAGAGTGGAAGGAGAAGCAGGCGAAGGATGGAACTGTGGACAACAGCCATATGTGTGTGGCTGGTAGAAAATGTGGAAGAGAAAACATCAAGCTGACAAACGGAGGAAGCAGCAAAGAGTTACGAGAGTCGTAATAGTTTACTGCTTACAGAGATTAGGTAAGTAAATAAGTCTTCCTTCTTAAAATGTTCCTCTCTTAAATGTTATTTCCCTTTGGTTCTTTTATGATGATTCATTTCTTAAAATCCTCCACAGCTTTATCTTTTGATCTCCTTCTTTGAAAGTGTATTGCTTATCCTCTTTTTTCTTTACATTTGGTCATTCCCCACTGCCATACCTTCAACTACCATTTCATATTAGTTATTCTAAACACAAATATTTTTGTTTATTCAGAAACTTTTGAGGATCGCTATTCCAGAAAGTAATCATTAAAAAAAAAAAAAAAAACAGTGTAGTTGTTCTTTTCTTTAGGAACAAAGTAAGCCACATGAACAAAAAGAGTATAATGTGATTAAAGGTGAAATAATGATATCGCCACTTTATGTGGCACTCAGGTAGCTGTACAGGGAGTGGATTTGGCAGTCCACAGAAAAGAGCCTCTGGTAGAAATTTATTTCAGTAATTCTTAAAAAAAAAAGGATTAGGATCTAGACTAGTGATATCAGAACGGAGAGGAGTTTAGGATGACTCACAAGCTTGTGTATATGTTTTGTTTTGTGTTGCTGTGGGGTAAGTTGTTAGTATCCAGGTTGATAATAGTAATGGCATTCACCAGCACTGTAATTTCTTCAGGCTTCAGAGCGGGTTTGATTGGAGGATTAGAAATGATGACATCAGTTTTGCATATGTTGAGTTTGGCATGTTTTTAAAATGTCTGGGTGGGGCAATAAAGAGGTAATTTAAAATGTGGGGCTGAAACTCAGCAGATACATACTGGGGAGTCAATGCTGTAGGCGGAAATGGAAGTCCCTTTGGCAGATTGTGTCAGATAAAAGGATTGGAAAAAAAATTAAAAATTGCATATTTGCAAGACTCAGTCACAATTTCAATTTATCTTCTGAACTGCTGACTCACAGAACCATTATACATACGAGTACCCACATATGTTCCTAATTCAATGTCTTAAACTACCTGCCCTTCTGCCAAAGTCTATTTGACTCATTGTGCTCTGTATGTCTGTTAATGTTGCTATTATGTTTTCAGTTATGAACTTCTGAAACAATTTGTTGTCTATGTCCACCTGTCCACCTTACAATTTTAATTAGTTACTAGGGTCTTCTTGATTCACCTTTGAGAATGTTTTTCATGTTCATCCAGACTTTTCATTTTCACCGCCAATGACCAAATCCAAGCACTCAGAATCCCTTGTCTGGTCTATTCCATAGACTCCTAAATTGGTCTGTTTCTAGCCTCTCTGTCTTCTAATGCACCTCGCAAGATCCTTAAGGTTTACTTTATCAAAATAGAGGCTGACTCACATAGTATCCCTATTCAATATCCTGAGATGGGGTGTCTTTACCAAAATGAAAAGTTCTGAGGCCTCCAGATCAAAAATCTATAATTTGTGACTTAAATTATCTTCCCCCACACACCTCTCAATTTATTCTAACCAGAATTATAAACTCCAGTCCAAGTGCTCGTGGTTCTCCAAACCTCCTCTCCACGCACTCTTGAGTTCTTCTGTAACTTTGCTTATTTTTTTTTAACCAGGTATACTCTTTCTATGATTTCCAACTAAGCTAAATATTACCCATGTTTTAATCTTGGCTTAAATACAACTGTAATTAAATCTTCTCCAATGCTTTAATCAGAAGTAAATGTTCCTTCTGTTCTACTCTCATAGCACCTCTCTTCTAGCACACATTTTATTCTACATTATATTATGCTTAGTTCATTATGCATGTCAGTCTTTGTGAATAATGCCCTTATCTTTCATTATTCCCAGTAAGAACACAACAGATTGAGTAGACGTATTCAAAAAAACTATTTCCATGGTTTAAGGTAACCTGATTCAATCTCATATCAAGAATCTAAATTAACCTGTATTACCAGGGTAACAGCTACAATTAGGGGGAAAAAACCCCTCAAAATCCTATGTATTTTGAAGGACCAATGAGCATTTTTAAAATTGCTTAGCTACCTCTGTATTTAGGTAAGTAAGAATATGTTTGATAGAGATAATTTAAGACCATCTCTCATAAGAACTTATGTTGTTGCAATCAAAATTTGATATAGCTTTGTTCAATATTCCAGAATGTTCCATGGATTTTGTAGTTAAAAGTTGAAGGTGATTGGGCCAATGAGTTCCTGGCTCCAAGGAATTAAGTTTTTCTTGAGGGACAGAGCTTATGAGACACAAAAAATTGAGAGGAGCTTTTTCTTATTCCAGATGTCATCCTATATTGGCCATTATCTCTAATCCAGAGATGAAAAAGTCTTTGGGGAAACTGGATTACTCCTACAGCCACAATCTTTAACACTGGCTGAATTCTTTTCTCTCTTAACGTATCTAACCAGAATTTATCCCAGATGCAGACAATGATCTGTAGTAGAGTCCAAGTGTCATTGTTTTAAAATATATTTTCTTAATATACAAATTATATATAAATTTAATGTAATATATATTATAAATATATATTTAACATATAGTTTTGTCACATGGATATATTACTTAGTAGTAAAGTTGGCTTTTAGTGTAGCCATCACCCAAATAATGGACATTGTACCCATTATGTAATTTCTTATCCATCACCCCCTCCCACCCTCCCACCTTTCTGAGCCTCCATAGTTTATCAATCCACACTCTATGTCCACGTATTATTTAGCTTCCATTTGTAAGTGAGAGCATGTGGTATTCGACTTTCTGTTTCTGAGTTGACTTAAGATAATGGCCTCTAGTTCCATACATCCTTTTGCACAAGATATGATTTCATTTTGTATGGCTGAATAGTATTCTATTGTGTATGTCTACCACATTTCTTAATCCAATTATCTGTTGACAGACACAGGTCCATTCCATATCTTTGCTATTGTGAATGCTGCTGTGATAAATATGTTAGAGCCAGTATTTTTTGATATAATTTCTTTTCCTTTGGGTAAATATCCAGTAGTGGGATTGCTAGATTGAATGGGAGATCTATTTTTAGTTCTTTGTGTAATTTCCATACTGTTTTCCATAAAGGTTGTACTAATTTCCACCAACAATGTATAAGTGTTTCCTTCTCTCTACAACCTTGCCAACATCTGTGATTTTTTTATTTTCAATAATAGCCACATTCTGACTTACGTAAGATAGTATCCCATTGTGGTTTTAATTTGCATTTCTCTGATGCTCAGTGATGCTGAGGAGTTTTTCATATGCTTCTTGGCCATTTGTATGTCTTCTTTAAAAAATGTTTATTCAAGTCATTTTCCAATTTTTAATGAGGTTATTTGTTTTTTGTTGTTTTGTTGAATTGTTTGAGCTCCTTTTAAATTCTGGATATAGTCCTCTGTTGGTTGCATAGTTTGCAAATATGTTTTTTCACTCTGCAGGCTACTTGTGCACTGTTTTGATTATTTCTTTTGCTGTGCGGAAGCTTTTTAGTTTAATTAATTCCCATTTGTCCACTTTTGTTTCTGTTGCTTGTGCTTTTGAGTTATTAGCCATGATATCTTTGCCTAGATCAATGTCCAGAAGAGTTTTTACTAGGTTTTCTTCTAGTATTTTTATAGTTTCAGTTCTTACATTTAAGCCTTTAGTTCATCATGGGTTGATTTTTTAAATATAGCGAATAATACAGGCCCAATTATATTTTCTTGCATATGGCAATCCAATTTTCCCAGTACTATTTATTGAAAATGGTAGTTTTCCCCAGTTTATATTTTTGCTAACTTTGTTAAAGATCAGTTGCTGTAGATTTGCAGCTTTATTTCTGGGTTCTCTATTCTGTTCCATTTATTTTTGTGCCTATTTTATACCAGTACTATGCTGTTTTGGTTACTAGAGCCTTGGAGTATAATTTGAAGTCAGGTAATATGCCTCCAGCTTTAAATAGAGCTTATTTTAATCCTTTGCAACTTAGTTAGATGAAGTTATCTAGATGCCCAAGTTCTTAAAGTAGAAATCTGTTTATTTGGGATTTGGGGAGACATGAAATTAACCTTTGTTCTCTGCTGCAGACTTCAGTTCTGGAGTTGGATACTTTGTACAGAAAGATCACAGCAAGCCTCTTATACCCGAAATGCAGAAGACAAAAAATATATTGGCTAGTGCTTTTCCCAGGACAAAATATGAATGCCTGGCTACAGGCATCACTAAACCACTGTAGTCATGGTTCTGGCAGAAACAATAGATAAATGGTTTGAGGTCTAAAGAGGTGTTTCCAGAAAAGTCATGAATAATCAAAATAGAAGGGCCCCACCTTCATGAGCTATCATAGGAGAAGAAAGTGCGTTTCAGATCCCCAACTTATTGGCCTCCATAGGTGGGAAACAGTCCTAGATTGTTTTCATTTCTTGTTCATACTGAAGGCAAAAAGAGAAAATCCCCTGTAATTGGAAAGTTCCTTCTGATTCCTTAGTCTAATCCCCTGACCTTAATGTTTATCCAACAAATCCCTTACTCTTCCTGTTACTTGCTTCCCTCAGGACTTTTGGGATTGCTCTACCCTCAGTTCATCCATATTCACCTGGCACACATCCCCTGAGCCACATAATATTTTCTTAAAATAGGACCTTCCACGTATACTTAGAAAATGATATTTGATATAAAATAGTTGCTATCTACTAAATCTATCTAATATATGCTTACAACTAAAACCCCTTAAGATTCAAATTAATAACAAGGCACACTTTTAGAGCATGAATGATATAAATAATTAGATGCACCTAAAAGGTAAACATTACCTAAGATTTTTATTCCCTTACATTCAAATAATCAATTAATTTCAGCTCATATTTATTTAAAGGGCTTGTAGCATAGAAAATGAGTGAAAACCCAAGTATTAATTAACTAATGTATTCAAGATATTATATATGTATTTTCATATGTGCTTTTTATTTAAACCTTACAGAACATTATTCGAATATTGGTGAATAAACTGAAACTCAGCTAAGTAGCTTTTCTGACATATTGGAGCCAGTTTTTAAATCCAAAACTATGTCACTCTGTAGTAGGCATAGTCTAGTCTAACAAGGAAGCAGAAACCACTGTATATTCTTCAACCTAAGGAAACTTAATACAGGGAAATTGATACACAAGGGATGGAAATGCTCAGGAGCCACACAGGCAATTCAGAAGTAGCTGTTTCTGAAGATACCTATCTCTGAAGGCTCACTCCACCTCAAGGCTGAAGGAAAATAAGAGTACACAGCTTAACCAAACCCCAAGATACAGAGTCCCCATTGGAAGCTGAAACCATAGAGGAAAGGGTAGCTGGTTGGACCAGAGAACATGGAGGACATTCAGGGGTTGCTACAGACTCTGTCTGAGGGAGAGAAAGAAAAAGAACAGTAGAAATACTTTTACTTTTCTACCTTCTAGTTTTCTGTCAGTGCCTCACATTGGTTAATTTTACTCAGAAATCAATTGCTAAAAAAAACCTGGGAAATGTACTCAATGCCATGACTCAATGCAAAAGAGGAGAAGAACAGGAAATTGATTTGAGAGTAAACAGGCAAATTCCAGCACAGATTCCATGAGGCTACATAAGCACTATACAGTGGGTGGTATAAACAAAGACATACAGGTGAGAAAGTAAGAAATATGTTCTGGAGTAACAAGCAGTACAGTTTGGCTGTTGCATATAAATCATTTGGAAAATTAGGCTGGAGAAGTAGAGAAATGAGACAACACTGGGAAATATGGGGACCTGGCTAAGTTATTAAAATTTAATTTATTGAGAAGACAATTTTGACTAGGCATATGTTGCAATTGGCATGTTGTTTGGAAAACAGTAATTTGAAAGTTGCATGTAGAATGGTCTTGAGAAGACTGGAGAAGCTGAAGAAAGTTGTCTAGCAACGAAGAAATTGCAATAGTTTAGGGGATAAATGATAAGACAATGTGGCAAAGACCTGTAATTTATTGTTCATCTAATATGCGCCAGCTACTGTTCTGCATAATTTATATATAAACATTATCCCAGCTGATTCTCATGAAGAGTTTTCAAGGTGAACATCATTATCTGACATAAAGACCAACTAAGAATCAGAAAATTGAAGTGAGATTTCAACAGTTACATGCTGAGAAAAGTGACAGCTGGATCTAAACTACTAGTAATGAAGGGCACTCAACGTAAGTATTTTGGAAGTTTCAAAGTTGAACACGACACTTGCTGCCAAAGTTGGCATATGTTACCATGCCAGATATCAATTATCTGTTTTTATCCTTAACGTCTCTGAATGTTAATGCTGAAAAACAATTTTTGTATTGATAGTTTTGTTATTTCATGGAGCATAGGATCTATTCCATATTGCCATGAACTTTCCCCCCCTTTTTCTTGTTAGGTTGAATTATTATTTAGCTTGCAACTCTCTTGCAATAAATATATTTTGTTACCAACATGTTTTTGCACAGTAATGCCTTCAGACTATATTCGAATACTCCATAAAGCAAAAAGAGTGTTAACATCGATATCAAACACACACTAAATTCCTGAATTTTGATTTTATATTGAAATGATTCGATACTGCCTCCACATCAGTGCTTACTGTTTTCTTCAGTTTTTGTTAACTTCTGTTTGTTAATCAGTCTCAACTATAGGACATTAATGCTTGTTTTCTTGAATTTCAATAATTTTATCTCTTTTAAGTGAACAACCTGTCACAGTAAGTTATCTGTTTGACATGTGTACTGATGTGCATTTATTCATTGCAAATTATTTTCATATCATCTTTGAAATTCTTAGTCACTCTTGAAGTGATAATGACTTTAAAAAAACTCTGAAGTTTAAATGTTCCAAGGATATTAAGTGAAGAGTATGAAGATTAATTAGATATTTTGGTTGAAATCAATAGTCATTGTTGTTTGGTCTATTTTTTATTTATTTATTGTTATTTTGTCAATGAGCTTGTAGCCTTATGTAATCACTAAGGGCTGACTAAGTCACCCTAAAATTAGAACTATCTAATATTGAGAGATCTGAATTTGACAGTTTTTCATCCATAAAAACAACTAGATGCTACTCAATCTACCCCATCCTACCTCTCTAAATATCAATTGAAAAATTGGTCTTGGAAACCCATGGAATTTTAATAATATGAGTCAGAGACTGAGTCAGAAGTATTGTTACTATAAAATGTAGTAAAAAATGACTCATTTTAAATAATCATTGTTTAGTTGAATCTATAATAACTCAGTATTTATATTCTTGCAATGACTTCCAATGTCATTCCTGTTTCTTCTAAGAATATTAATCTCTTGGAGAGAATAGGTCATCACAGATGGATCACAGTGATGTGTAGAAAATAGTCATATTATTCTCAGTATATTTGACTCGTTACTGCCCATATGATATAAAAGCCCATGTTATTGTTGTTTCTGTGAATATTCATCCTCATGAAACATTAGGCCAAAACATTAAAATCTTTTATACTTTCTGTATATAAATTTCTGCAATGAGCCAGAGACTTATACTTTCCAATTGATAAATGCTTTCATTGTTCTGACAATTTCTTGTTCAAATTTTTATAGTAGGTGACTTTTCTACAATTTTTTTGTATACAAGTTCTTTCTTCCCTATGACATTTGCAACCTTCCCAAATATTTACCAAGAATTCCAAACACCATTTAAACTGATAAGAACTAAAGTGAAAAGGTATCTTGTAGAGCATATGAGGCCTTAGGACCTTCAGGCCATAGAGCAATAGATTAAATGACCTCTCAAGACCCCCTCCAGTCCTATATTCTATGGGGACTGATAAACCATAGAGATAGCCAAACAAAGGGGATACAATGAAACTGGTTCTATTATCCCAGCATTTAATGGTTTTCTGTGTGTGAAGTTCAAAGCTGAAAGCTTCAACAAAGATTCCACCAACACAGTGTTTCCTGCACTTACCACTTTACTGCTTACAATACTTTCTTACAACATTTTTCAAAGGCCAAGAAAATGTGCTTTCTTTGTAATTCCAAAATTAGTCTAAGTAACAGGAGATATTATTACAGATAAAAAATATGATAGTAAAATCAGATAGTAAAATGGATTTGGGGTTGGTTCTACCAGATCAACCAAAGGAATACAAAAAGGGCAAAAGTACGATTTTTAATAGGCAGAAAGAAAAGCAAATTTTGAGTAGAAGCATACAAGCCAACCAAATAAAGAACAAAGGGGGAAAAGTAAAAGGAAAGAGTAAATGAAATAGGCTGAAGGGTAAATTAAAGTATGTTCAAGGGCTGTGCATATAATCCAGAAATAAATATGATTTTAGTTAGAATAAAAAGTCAATGTGGAGAATGAGAAGAATCCAAAAACTAATCAAAGCAAAGAAAGAAGAAAATATACACTATAAAACATGAGGTAGAGAGAAGCACTGAGATGACTGAATGAAGTTGAAAGTGTAAAAAATACGATAAGAAAATTAAGGGTAGAAAATGAAAGAAAGATTGCACAAGAGTTTGAGATAAATCAGGATCCTTTCAAGTAGAAAAGTAAGAAGGGGTCAGGGCCAGAGATAATGGGACCTCCATGAAATGGAAAGTGTAATTTATTCACTGAAGTGGGGGATATTGCTATCAATTTTAATGACTTCTTTGCATCAGCTTTCAGACTAGAGAATGGAGAAAAGATATTAGCAAAGAGACATATATTTGCATATCTCAGGGAAAGAGGATGAAACAAATATAAAGCTAGGGCAATGATTAAATTATTAAACTGTTATTTCTGGAAAACTACAGAAAAAAACAAAAATCAATCTAGATTTCAGAAAGTAGCATCAATAAATAAGACTTTTATCAGGTGCCTTGTAAAGCTTCATAGACTTCCCAGGAACTGAAAAAAGAGCCAAGATTTCTAGACTCACTTATTTTCATACCTACTGTGTGAAATAATTCTTGAAAACATAATATTCTGGCAACTATGTATATAAACTTAGTCAATCACAGAAAGCTTGATTAGCTTTCTCTGATAGAATTTTGGTGTGAATATACACGCACATACATGCATTAATTTAGATCCATTTTACTCTGCTATGAGAAGGAGGAATTTTTATCTTCCAGGAAGCTTTTTTGCCTCCACAGAGTAGAAGCACTCATGGACGTCCTTGAGGCAGTCATTCACACACCCACTGCTGTGTGAATGATGAAAACACACACAGAGACAGGCAATGGAGTACAGAGCATGCTGTAGCCATCACTGCCTCATGCTGCCTAGCAGCTTGAAGAAGCCAAAAGCCTCACATCAAATTATCCCAGCCAGAGTTTCATACTTATCTATATCCTGATGGGGAATACTCATAAAAAGCACACTTTCCCCATCCTAAGCAGTGTACAGCTAAGTGATTCATTAATGAGCATAAAATCAAAACATCATCTACCTCCACTAAAATAACTGCTCTTACATTTGCTAAAATTTTGCATGATTTGATCACACATAATCCTGCTAAAATCTCTACCTCTGAGGATCTCATAAAGTACTAAAGATGGAACTGATCTCAGCATTGATGAGTTTGACTTCACAGGAGAATGCAAGGCTTCCTGGGAACTTACTTCATTGAATGCTTGCTTCAGCAGTTTCTGATGGACATCTCAGCTGGATCTCCACAGCTGTGAAGATCTTGTTTCTTATGCAATATGAATTTGACTTCTCTGAAAGGCACAAGAAACTAAGCCTGTGTTTATCTAGATAATGAATGTTCAAGTAATTAAAGAAGTAAATTATCATGACTCTGAGGGCGTAAATGCAATGTAAATGACATGAGCAGTAGGGTAGGACCCAGAAGACCTAGCTTCTTTATTCTACCACAAAGTAGCCAAACAACATTAGAGAAATTTCTTGAATGTTTCCAGAGGCAAGTGTCCCAAAAGGGATATAGAAAATACAATAAATATTATAGAATTTTTGAAAAAAGAGAATTCATATCTGGCTCAGATAATCAGGAAATTGTTGGCATTGTTGATGGGATTTAAGGATAAATCAACTTTGATATAGAGGCGGAAAGCCAGATGATATTCTTGATAGATCAAAGAACATAAATTAAGTCACAGATTTTGGGAATGCTCCAGATGTTCTGGACAGACTACTGAACTACAAGAACTAAAGACAAGTGTTGAGGAGGCTTGAAAAGTAATTGGAGGATAACTTTTAGTGGAAATTGCATGCCAGGTTAAAATTATTTAGCACTTATTTGATAGGAAATTATTAGACATTGTATTTTGAGCAAAAAGATACTATGTTTGATATGGTTTGACTCTGTGTCTCCACCCAAATCTCACCTTGTAGCTTCCATAATTCCCATGTGTTATGGGAGGGACCCGGTGGGAGATTATTGAATTATGGGGGTGAGTCTTTCTCATGCTGTTTTCATGATAGTGAATGGGTCTCAGGAGATCTGATGGTTTTAAAAATGAGAGATGCCCTGCACAAGCTCTCTTTACCTGCCGCCATCCACGTAAGATGTGACTTGCTCCTCCTTGCCACCTGCCATGATTGTGAGGCTTCCCCAGCCATGTGGAACTGTAAGTCCAATTAAATCTCTTTCTTTTGTAAATTGCCCAGTCTCATGTATGTCTTTATCAGCAGTGTGAAAACGGACTAATACAATGTTCTAGGAAAATTAACTGAGCATGATGTGCAGATTGGTGAAGCTATTTTAGGGCCAAATTCTGGTGGTGTAATCAGTAATGAGGAGAGATTGGCTGGCTGCAAAGTCATTGTGAAGGAAGAAGGCACAGGACATGGGAAGTAAGTGTATAAAAGGTAAGGATCAACTGGATGGGGAGTTGACGATTACCTGGAAATACAGTGATGTCATTCATACAAATAAGATTATTAGGAATAGGGACAGGAGAATAAGAAGCCTTATTTGAAACTGTTGAATTTGAGGTGATGATCAAATTTAACAAGGAGAAATGTATATTCTTTTATACTGTTATATTACTGACAATAACTGTCCAACAGCTATTTTTACTCAACACCAACCAAAGTAATGATCCTTTAAATTATAAAAATAACCATAACTTTAAAATATTGACTATTAAATAACTTTCTAGCTACAGAAACTGGTTGAGGGATTAAGAACAAATTCTTTGAGGGGGAAAAGGGGGCAAAGTTCAAAACATTTACAAAAAATACTCTAAAATTGAAGTGAATAAATGTGATATAGATATTCGTTTCAATCTAATATTCACAAAAATAATGTGAATCTTGAAACTATCCAGATATAATTTAAAATCCACTACTATTGACACATACACTCAAGTTCAAATGTAATTGCCTTGGAAAAAAATTACTTCCTTCTCAACTCTGACCCAACCTCTCATATCTCTATTTGTTTTCTGAACCAAACATCCAAAAATCTTTGAAAGACTTCAGCACAGAGTATAAATGTTTTCTTGGTGTGATTCTGGCTGTAGAAGTGCTTGCATTTGTCAATTTAGGAAGCTGAGAGGACTGAAAATTGGATCAACTGTTTTCTACAGAAATAAATTCTAAGAAATTGCTTTAGCAGGATTCAGCATTCAGCATGTCTATAAAGTAAACCTGATCTTCATCTTACTTTTATGCTGACTCAACTGGTGTCAATTTACAGAAATGATCATCACCTTTAAAAATGACCATTCAGTAATGTAGAATTCACCATTTATTTGATTTGGCATGATTTAGTTGACATCAACTCTGACAACTTCCATTGTTTTTTTATTTTACTTTTGCCTCTTATTATGTAATATAAATTTAAAATTATCACTACAAAATGTCTAATATGAAAGATGTGTGTGGTTCATCTTTTGTGCATTCAGCACTCTCTTTTGAGGTGCACCTGAAAAGTGGAAGAAAGAAATAGAAAACATTTAAAACAAACAGAGTCTTAATTGTTCTCAGCAATCCAAAAACTTGATCAGCTTGTAAGACAGGCTTCCATGAGAGAACAGAGGCCCTTCTTTTGTAGATGAGACACCTCTGAAATGACCACTCACTGTTTGAAGCTGCCCCAAATCAAGCTGACCTCATTGAGTGTGAAGATCAATGTAATTCCTGTAATACACCTTGAGTAAGACACAAGCTCTTTGAGTCTCTGGTTTTCTTATCTGTAAAATGGGCATGTTAAGACTTCCATGAAAGTATAATTTGTAGTGAAATACAGCAAGATATAGAACAATACCTGCTACAAAGTAAGTGTTTAATATAGTAACTAAAAACAGTTAATAAGTAAACATTCCATTAATCAACTTTTTGGATGCATCAGCTTCATATAAACAGCCTCATATACTGGGTAGTAAATGTACCGATTTTATTTGAACTGAAAGTTGTTTAAAGTATTTTATAAAAAGCTTAAGTACATCCATAAGCTGTGAGGGCAATGTGACATTACAAAAGAGAGAGAAGACGGCAATTTGCCCTCCTCACCCTACCAACATTGATAAAATCGATCATTGACTAATCAATAGCATTTCTGACAGCCTTAGGGCACTTCAACACCTGATCTACCTCCTAACTAACTTGTCAGCTGCTACTGCAGGGCCTCTATTTCTCTGCTACAGAGACAGTTATAGCATGATTCCTAACCTTTCATTCTGACCCTTAGCTGGATGTTGTTGTCTTTATTATAGTGCTGATAATAAATCTGATTTTTCTTCATAATTATTACTTGCACATCAGAATTACAATTTTTGTTTTGAAGACCACTTTTTAGTTCAAGAAATTGCATGATCTCTCATGGATTATGGGTAGCTTTGATTATCCTTGAGTTAAGATAGGTAATCCAAAATGTTTACCACAGATTTTAAGATTATTTTGAATTTAACATTATAAATCATAACAGTATCTACCATACACATTTGAAAGCTATCTGTTAAAAGGTCATCATGTTGTACAACACACATTCACACATGAACATCTGTATATATAAAGGCTCTTTGTCAAGACAATGGGTTCAAAGGTCTTTTGCAACTAAGAGAGCTCCTCACCTCTAGGTCCTCACTTGACAGTTTGGGTGTGTGCATTTAAACAACAAGAATCTCAGAGAATCTAAAATAATGTCTCTCATCTACTTTTCTCTAGAAGCAGTTTGGAAATCGGTGAACATAGGTTGGGTTGTGAACAAGACAGAGGTGCTATGCCACTTAGGCTGTTGGAGTATGAGATGTCAGATGCCCTGAACATTAATAGACAGTTTCACACAATTTTTATTTTTACCAGGCACTCTTGTATGTAAATGACCTGTTTAAATTGATCTCATTCTGAGATATTGAGTCCATTTAATATATAAATTCAAAGTATTTAGGGCAAGTTCTTAATATATGCTGAAGTTTCCAAAAATGTATCATCATGTAAAAAAAAAGGAAGATTGTATTTTGTTTTATTTTAAATATTACCAAGAGCTCACCAATGCTTTTTACCAACAGTTTATCTTTTGAATAACAGGTGATTAAAGGCAAAGTTGTGCATAATAATAAACATACATGTATCAGTCATCATCTGTAACTGCCATATTCATGGTATTTAGACATATAGGTGCTAGCTTACAACTACTTAGTTATGTCTTCCATTCTAGTTATGACCAAGCTTTTGCAAATTAAAATATATTTGTTAATTAAATATTATTTTCTATTGCATGCCTCCTGTACAGTTAATACATTATTTTTTGTTTAATCATGTGTATTGGTAAGTGAAAATATGTATGAATTTTATTTCAGAATAATAGGAGTTATTATGAAGTAATTATAAAAATGAAATGTTAGGCTGAAACCACTGTTCTAGAGCAAATGGCATTATTTCCAATTATAGTTTTATAATTAACAAAGCTTCTCAGGTTTGTCTGATCCAGATAATTTACATTTGTTTCATCAAAATATGGATGCTCAGAGCCCATCCTTGTCCAGACACCCATTTGCCTTTTGCTCAAACAGGAGTGAGTTGGTGTCTGAAGAGACAGGAATGGAGGGGTTCTTTATAAACTCCTGCAATAGCATCCTCCGATAATAGGGTAACTTAGTCTTAACTAGTAGGGTATGCACAGATGTTTCCCTACCTGAGGACGAAGGTAAATGAATCAAATGAGTAGCTGGTTATGTGACACTATGCTATTAATACACTGTATTAATAATGTAATAACACAACTATGACATAGTAACACAACTCTAGGGAGTCCCAAATGTGTTATCAGAAATAAAAATGGCACAGCCTGGAGTTGTCACTGGAAAGATTGTCCTCTAGTTTTGATGTTGACAATAATCTTGAGTTGCAAACCTCAGAAATATCTAGGAAATTTGGGGAGAGCCACAGTTCATTTATTGAGGCTGAAAAAAAGAGAGCAAGAAAAAGCCTCTTCGGGATTTTCTAATGACAGGGACTTACTTGTAGAGGTAAGTAATCTGAGATGTTGCTCCAGAAGCTGCTAAGAGCTGATGGTAACCCCCATGTGGAGCCATTGCCAACACAAGTTTCTGTACTTCTGGGCCTATACACAGGGAGCCAACCCAATCAGGAGACCCTGCCTCTGTTCTCCTGTACCACTGGATCCGTTACTGGGACCCAGTTCTTAAATCACTTCCAACAAAGGTAAAATAGGATTCTGGGTACCCCACTCCTAAGTTCCTCATTGCAGTTTTCCTTATTCTGTCACTCTTCCATCTCAATCAAGTCAGAAAAGCAGGGATAAAGTCCTGATTCTTCATGTAGTTATCACCAGTGGTCCTGAGTAAAACACACCCTGCAATGTTTGTCTCGGACCCTGTTGAGCTCTTTTACTTCCTCGCTACGCATTTTCCATTTACTGCGTATGTGGTGTTGTGCTTGCCTCTGGGATCTAATGTTGGGAAAAAAAAAAAAAAGCAGTCACTGTCCAAGCTCTTATGGATCATGAGACCTAGTGTAGAAGATCAAAATTAATTAACTCATAAATAAAATGAAACTTCAACTATAATAAAGGCTACAAAGTGAAGGTGTACAGTGCCTTGAGAACATGTAAAGGAGGATTTGATCTAGTTAATGAGACAAGAGAAGATTTTTAAATGAAAATAATTGAGCTGCTTGTGGAGGACATGTCAGTGTTAAATAGTGTAATGGATGCACTAGGGTCCTGCCTAGACCTCCCTCTTAGGACTGAGGCATGAATTCCCACAACTCTTGGGAAAATCAATGTAGAGAGGAAGGGAGGAATAGGATAAAAACCTCTCTGGCATCTTTAGACATTTCTCATCTTCTATCTCATAATACCTAAGATAGAGTTAATAATACTACTTCAAAAATTTGGGGAAAATTAAATAACATATATGGGGGTCAACAAATTAAAAACATTAAATAATATAGTGGGTCATTCATGTAGGATATAGTTTAGAATTATTGTAAAGAGCATGGACTTGATGACAGACTGCCATAGCTTCAAATTCTGACCATACCATGTACTCAGTCCGTGAGCCTGGGTAAAATAATGAAATGTTATAAAATTTTCAATTACATGTTTGCTAAAGGTACTGTAACTCAGCATATAGTAGCAACTAACCACTTAATTAGGATATTAATATCAAGTAACTTAAATTATCAACACTTTTCTTGGTTATTATTCATCTTAATATTTTAGTGCCTAGAATAGCATTAGAATTACATAAATATTTTAAATGAATAAATTATGATTCCCCACAAGCAATTTCTTCAGCAATACTTATTAAACATATTTATGAAATGTCTTCTATGTGTCAGGGCCTATTGCACGTAATACTTCCCTGATACAACTGTAGAATTGGTGAATACTAAAGACTATCAAAGAGTAGTTAAATAGTAATGTGAAATTCATGTTTCTTTGGAAAGTTATGAGCATCTCAAAGAGGTCAACTCCAAGATTTGAATAATTACACTGTGCATACCTATTCATACTGTGTATATCAGTCTGTTCTCATGCTGCTATGAAGAAATACCTGAGACTGGGTAATTTATAAAGAACAGAGGTTTAACTGGCTCACAGTTCAGCATGATTAGGGAGGCCTCAGGAAACTTACAGTCATGGTAGAAGACACCTCTTCACAGGGCAGCAGGAGAGAGAATGAGCGCCAAGCAAAGGGGGAAGCCCCTTATAAAACCATCAGATCTCATGAAAACTCACTCGTTATCACGAGACCAGCACGGGAAAAACTGCACCCATGATTCCGTTATCTCCACCTGGTCCTATCCTTGACATGTGGGGATTATTACAATTCAAGGTGACATAGCCAAACCATATCACTATGTATTATCTTATAGGCTTTTAAATCACTCATTCTAACTTGTTTTTTCCTCTGTTTATATAGAAGTATCTTGTTCAAAAAAATTCATGAATTATTAGTTAATAAGTTTTCACAAGTTGCAGAGTGGCAAAATATATCTGCTACAGATAGTGGAAGATATTTACAAAACTGTATCTATTAAAAAGTTTTGTGCTATAAATTTCAGGTAAAATATGGCAGTATCAAATCAGAAAACTCTTCTAGACTATCGCTTCTAATCTACCAACATTTCTTTATGAGCTGTCAGCCAAGAATACTGTCAAAAGAATACAGGTAGGAATTGGTCCTCACTCTCCCCTACACAGACACAGTTAAAGCAAAAGTTTGAATAGTAATTTCTCTTTCTGGTAAAGCAAAGCAACTATTTACATAAAAAAAGTATTTGAGACCATAATAATCAACTTGAAGAGAGTGTATTGGAAGATAATATGATATAAACTTCAAAATATTCAAAGAAAATAAGCTGTCCAGGTTAATCTGCAATTCATTTTGTCTAACATAGCTACAGAGCTCAGAATCAGCCATTCTTAATTGGAAGGAGTTTACTTTCATTTAATTTCATAGATTCAACATTAAAATCAGTAATAGCTCCTAGTTACTATTTAGTGCCCACTACAATTTGAGGAACTAATATTTTAATGCTGGGGCCAGCTACCTCCTCCCAGAAAGCAAGATTTTACATCTGACACATTAGCAATATGTATCCTCCAGTAGCTGGTTAGTGCTGGGGCAATATTATTAACATTATCACAAAAGTAAAATTCAAGTCACAATGAGTCTGTGAAAGATAAGGATGACTGACAATATGTCATTCATTTCAAAGTCTAGACTTGGGAGATAATTATTTCTTAATTTCTTTCAATAACTTTCAATAACCATAGAAATCTCAATAATGTTTCACATTAGTGTACAGCATAAAGAACGATGAAAAATTCAGTAGTCTCCCAGAGCCACAGAAAGAGCATAATGACAGTGAGGCTAAGATTGAAATTTTAGAATAACAGAACCCACTGACTTGGTCCAATCTCCATGAAAAAATACTTTCAGGCCTATAGTTTAGCAAAGTACTGGTAGAAACTGAGAAAGCACATCTAGGGCACACTCATTTAGAAATATTTGTGGGTCTCATAGTAGTGTTGATGCCTCTAGCTTTGCTCTACAGAATTTAAAAAAAAAATGTACCAGGACAGTGTCTACACTTGTTTGAAGGTCTAAAATAGTTGAACAGGACTTAAAATTACCACACATTAACAACTGAAAAAATGGTCTAATAATAATGATAATAATGAGGTTACATTTGCTTTGAGCTAGCTGCATTAAGTACCTTAAACACCATCATTAAAGGTTTTACATCCATTTCTTCATTGGTACAACTATAGTAATAATGAGGTAGGTATTAGCACTATTTTACAGACAAAACATCTGTGGCTTAGAAACTTTAATAATTTGTCCAGAATCATTGTTAAACTGGCAAGCTAGGATTTGAAGCCACACTGTCCAACCCCAGAATTCTTACTCTTAAATATCCTTGAGAAATTAATAGGGAATTAGCATATATACTACATATATATATGATATAATTTTAGGATATTAGTTCAAATATACATACACACCATTTATTGAAAAGCTCTATTGAAACAGATTTTTATCTTCAATTCGGAGAACCCAGTAGGGGAAAAAGTAAAATCTTCCTTACATCTTCTTTATCACCTCTTCAAATTTGTTTCTAAAGAATCAATTTCTAAAAAGTAGAAGTATTTCAAAAAATTTATCTTGACAAGTGCAAGTGAAATTCCTGCGGAAAAAAAAAATCTGTAGAATGCTTATTCTTGAACATATTTTTGAATATTTTAACTAAGGCTACATTCACAGAAATTTTCCTCAGTTACCTACTGCAGAAATTGTATAGAAAATAAATTATAAGCATAGGAAGACTATATTCCATTTACTTGAAACACTAAGTAATTATTTCATTCTGTTATACCAGATCTACTCAGTAAGTTAAAATAGACTCAACTTGATGAAGTATGTAATTTGAAATTCTTAAGTTTGTAATTTAAATGATTACTTTCTGCTATAATCTGCTTAGGGATTTTTTTCATTTGTAAAAGCTAAAACATTTGGCTCATAGCATCAACACAACTTGTCATGCAATCCTTTGTTCATTCATCATCTTCTACTGATAATCTAAATGATGATTAGTCTTGCCTCAGTGAATTCTTTACTCATCTAATGCACATTTAGTTTAATCCTTGTTACATATTGTGATTTGTCATAATTTGAGAAGTGAAATGAGGAACAAGCCTTTCAAAAACTAAAGTGATTAAGGCAAAATAAAATATTTTAAATGTAAGAGAAATTGCAAAAAAGTATATAATTTTTAGCAAAAGCCAGATGTCATGTATAATAGAGAAATGCTCATGTATTTTACAGTCACTAATCCATAAAAATCATAATTTCAAAACATTATTCAACCAGAAGATTTCTTTTCCATTTTGATATATAACCTCTTCATTTTAATATAAAACTTTTATAAACCATAATTAATAATAATAATAAACTGTCTCATTAGTAGGGCAAGCTTTTTTCATGCAAACAAAATTTCAGAAAATACTGGGGTAATCAAAATATTCAAGAAATATATTTTTAAAAATACTTTTCAAAAAGTCACCATTGTTATTTGTTAAAGAAGCATAGTTGAGGCCAGGCGTGGTGGCTCACAACTGTAATCCCAGCACTTTGAGAGGCCAAGGCGGGCAGATCACGAGGTCAGGAGATCGAGACCACAGTGAAACTTCGTCTCTACTAAAAATACAAAAAATTAGCTGGGTGCGGTGGCGGGCTCCTGTAGTCCCAGCTACTCGGGAGGCTGAGGCAGGAGAATGGCATGAACCCGGGAAGTGGAGCTTGCAGTGAGCCGGGATCGCGCCACTGCACTCCAACCTGGGCAACAGAGCCAGACTCTGTCTCAAAAAAAAAAAAAAGAAGCATAGTTGAATAAACAAGGCTGATAAACTCTGCAACAAAGTAAATTTAGTTTGGCAAACAATAGTTTTCATTTTAGAGTAAACCAGCCTCGTATATATGGCTAAATCAGCTCTGGACTCCTTAATTCTCAACACTCCTTTTACCTATGTAGACTCATTCATTGTACAGTACGCTTCATCTCTCTAACCCAACTGCATTGCTTTCTATTTTTTTAGTCATGTTCATAACAATCCATCTTCCTTTTTCTATATTTAGTCTATTTTTATACCCACTTTAAAAAAGAAAGCCTCTTCACAATATCAATTTTCTGTGATTCTTCTCAGGCAAGGCCTAACCTCTTTTTTTGTTATTTTGAAATGACCATAGTATGAGAAACAAAGGGGTAGAATGAAAAAAAAATAAGCAAACTTTTTATAAGGTTTAGAAATCCTTATTTTTAGAACTAACCACCTGCTTGGTTAATACAATTGTCCTTGCCTGTTTAATTTGATCTGTGAACCTCCGGAGCAAGGACCAAACCCTTCAATATGGTTTATGAAGTGCTGGGCTCACCCAGCACTCAACAAACAGGAATAATGAAGACCTTGACCTTTTACATTCTTTTCTTCCTTAGTATTTACCAGAATTCATTCCATTGCTATTATTTGTTTGAATGATTTCACTGAGTTTGGAAAGAGTGCATAGAAAACATTGTATTTTCCATACTCTGTCATCTCATATCATGTATGAAATACACTCTAGAGGGTAAATGATCATGAACATTAAAAATAATACCAATTTATCTTTTTTCACTCATAGTGGTCATAAAGGCAAAACAATTGTTCAGGAAAATTGTCCTGAACAATTGTTTTGCTTTTCCTAAAGTGTTGGCTCTACCCACAAAGTATGCAGATGCCTAACACACACCTTAGTCAAAGGTTAAGTGAGCAACAGAATGTAAATAGATCTACAAAATCTATCATCACTATTAAAAAAATTGTTTGGTATGGCAAGTTTTCAATATGAAATGTTTACATGCCTTTAAATGAGAAAACACTTCTGTTAATTATGACCAATAGGAGTACTCATCTGGAATTGATAATAATGGTCAAATGGCCCAATAATAATATGTATAAGAAATATAATAATATAATAATATTATTTGCTTTATATACTATCTTTCATCCAAAAACCCTACCCTTATGATTATGTTATATTGATGACAGTAATAAATATATCTTGTATTAGTTGTTCTATCATTTCACGCAAATAAGACATGGTATCGTTCTCCCAGAGGATATTGTGTCTCATTTTATAATCAGTAAAACTCCCCAAGGATGGGTTCATTTGTGATTGATATCTCAGTGCTTAGTTCAATGCTTTAGACAGAGTCAATGCTAAGAACACTTTTGTGGAATTATACTGACATCATTGAAATGTTTTTGTACAACTTTTAGGACACCCATACATCCATGAGCTGTATCCCTAGTGCTTCATTGAAGTTATGGGTTCAGGTTTTCATCAGCTCACATGAAAAGCCTTTGATTATAGCCAAAGAATGGCAAAAGTCAAATTCCCATAGGGCACAGGCAAATAATATATATTTACATACATAATGAATGCATAAATTAATGAAGAGTATAGTATATTAGATAATAATGAAAACTGGCCAATTGGATACTATGATTTCCCTAACATGAAGGCTGCTACTAAGCTTCAGCCAGGTACTGCCATGTGGTCTCACGTGCCCAGAATTGTCAAATCACCTAATGTAAGAGAATCTGCAAATCCAGACTTTTATATAAAATCTCAAAATGTTAAAGTTCAGGAACAACTAAAAATATTTTAAAATACCTATTAGGGCCAAAGAAAGTACATTGCTGGTTGTAACTAGCCCCTGAACCACAATGTTACAATTTCCTGTGAATTACAAAGAACATAGAGTAAAAGTTCTGAATATCTGGGTCTTAAATATAATCCAAACTCCTTATATTTTAATTTTCTTATATAACATAAATATTGGATTACATTATTTTGTAAGGTTCCTTTCTTCTATAACAACTTACCTCTTTATTATATGCAAGAAAAATGTATGACATTGAGGCTTAGGACATAAAATGAGAATGTTTACTCTTTAGCCCTTGGAACACTCCAGAAATATACTGTACAGTGTATCATAAAAAGAAGCAGGATAAAGTTATGGGGCAATAGAAAAGAAGAGTAAATTGGATGCCATTATACAAGGAGGTTCTGTGGTAAGTATTTACAAAACATGACTGAAGTCAGTTTGCCTGTGGCAGGAGGAAATTTATACAGTCAGTGACAGAAAAGATAAGATTACTTGGAGGACTGGTGGGGAGTCTGTTTTGGTCATTAGGCTTTAGAAAAAGAAGGTCAAAGGATTTATTCTGAAGAAGAGGTTTAGGGAATTGGCAATGAAGCTCAATAGTAAGAGATATATTGTCAACAAAAGAAGTAGGAAAGAAAAGTTAAGGACAGGATTGTTGGAAATGCTAGAGCCAAAAAGAAGTGTTTTACTTATGGGATAAGAAAAGTCTTATTTAGAAGCAATGTCTCCAAATAAATCAGAGGTAGAGCAATAACAACAGGGACCAGCTAAGTGATTTTAAAAGACTCACTCAAAGTTGGGAGGACTACACAAATAGCTTATTTGGGCAATTTTAAATTTTAAAAAAAGTTGACAAATCTGCAATATTATTTATTCCAAAATATGATGATTTCTTACACAAACTTGAACTATTTTGGATTTTTTCTTATAAATTAAGAATCATATTAAGGATAATTCAGAGTTTATTAAGAATAACTGAGAGCAAGCAACATATTTCCTTCCAGTTTACCAGCTTTTAGTCTCTTAATCTTTTTAATTTAATTTTGAATTAAGAACTAAAAAAGAGTTAATAGCAAAGATAAACACACATGTTATTTGAGGATTTACAAACAAAAATATGTTAAGTTGGTAAGTAACACAGTTCTACATTGCAGAAGAGGAAATGAATCCAAAGAGAGTAAAATAAGCCCTGTTGATTAACTGCCCACCTATGTTTTGGGAACTTTGGGTATTTATGATATCACTACATTTTAGAAAAGAGAAAGCTGAGGATCAGAATACTTAAATAACCTGCCTAAATTCCTATGAGGGATTGACTAGAATTTGAATCCAGATTAATTGGACACCAAATTCTATACTCATAATTGTTCCACTGTGTTGTCTGCGTCTACGGTCAGGAGATAAACCATTATTCCAATTCTCAAAATGTTTTATGTTAAAATGCTTTCAGGCTTTTATGCTTTCTGTTCTTTATTTTCAGAGTTACAGTCCTCCAAATCCTCACTTAGCTCATTCATCTTCATCATCCAGGTGACAATTCTTTTGTCCCCTTCTCTGATAGCCTTTTTGAATCTGATCTGTGCACGTGGGTTTCCTGTCCCACTCACTTGCTGTCCTATAGCACCGTTTCTCCCCTCAGAGCACTTTCTTCTTACAGTAACATTTTTTTTATTTGTTTACTTCCCTGTACTCGGTCTTCTTCCTCTAGAATGTAAACTGTGTAAGAGCAGTCTTCTCATCCATATTGTTGATCCCTGTAAACCCAGGTTTTAAAATCATGACTTGTGTGTAGTAGGCACTTTAAATTTGTGCTGATTCATGAACAAGAATTTTCCAACCTTGATCTTTTAATCATTTTTGAATAGTAGCTAAACTGATAATTTTGTAACATTAAAAAAAAGACTGCATTTTGGGAGGCCGAGGCGGGAGGATCACGAGGTCAGCAGATCGAGACCATCTTGACTAACACGGTGAATCCCCGTCTCTACTAAAAATACAAAAACTTAGCCCAGCGCGGTGGCGGGCGCCTGTAATCCCAGCTACTCGGGAGGCTGAGGCAGGAGAATGGCATGAACCCGGGAGGCGGAGCTTGCAGTGAGCCGAGATAGAATCACTGCAGTCTGGCCTGGGAGAAAGAGCGAGACTCCGTCTCAAAAAAAAAAAAAGACTAATCTTATCCTGTCAGATTTTTAATTCCTATGGAACTAAGTAAAAATTACTAAACAAGGGTACAAAGTCCTTGATGAGCTTTATTTCCATCCTTTGTCATGATCCTTCCCACCAAACAACAGCACAATCATGAGCTGTGGCCTTCCATTGCCCTCAGTCAGCTCAGTTCCTTGACCACCCCATTGGCCCTTCATTCTTAGAGCCTTTCATGTCCCTACCCCGGAAGCACCCAGCCCTCCTTTGCCTAGAAAACTGCCAGTAATTCACACCGACAGACCTAGGGATTTTTCTCCTCTACTCCAGAACTTTGCCTTCATTTCAAGTATACCCATGACTTTATAACATTGTAATAGATATTTTCATGTTTGGCCCTCCCATCCAAAATTTGAGATCCTCACTGACTGGAATCATAAAATAACGGACTTGAAAAGGACAAATGTTACTGCAACATGCCAACCTTGATGACTGCTGCATTTCATCTACATTTTCAACTAAAGTCATCACTAAGAAACCAACATTGATATTCATAATAAAATTCCCATTTTTTGTGTGTCTAACATTAACTTAAACAATTTTTTCTGACTACTATTTACCCATGATTTTAAAAAGGCATGAAGATTGCTATAATTAGGATGAAATAGAAAGAACCAATAGCAATATGCAAATAACATTTATCAAGTGAGTCAGTCATGGAATTTCTTGAAGCCTTTGATATATGGCAAACCACAACTCAGGAATTAGAACCACAGTAGTCTTAAAATGTCAACAAAGCCTAAAGCAAGACAACCCTACTCTTTTTAAATAGTATTTAACTGTATATATAGGTGTGTGTGTATGTGTGTGTATGGGGGGGTGTAGTATGTATATCAAATTTTTAGCTGCACTAATTAATCTTTCTATTTTAGAAAAGACTTTCTCCGCTCCCCTAAAGTATCTTTAAGAATAATCTTAGCTGTGGCTAATAATCTTCCTATCAGTTTATCTTAAAAGAATCATAGTGACCCCTACTGTCCAAGTTGATAAGTAGATATAGCTTTCACATTCCCTAGGGAACTTTCAAATGCAAATTTTAACTTACTGCTTACAATCTATAATCAAAGTCAGAATCCCTTGCTTCACTTTAAACTCATTACTAAAACAGGATAAAAAAAGACATTTGATGAAAGCTCTCCAATAAAAATGCATGTACCTAATTTGGTCTTACTGCATATTCTGCTATTTCTAGCATGACAAGAATTTTTTTTGGTAAAATTATAATAAGCAAAGAAAAGAGGAACTGAGGTGAAATGTCAACTTGACAGTAAAACAGACATTTGAACAACTGCAATTGGTTTTCAATGTAAAAGAAATGCAGAAAGATCTGAAAACAGAATTGCCTAAAATCAAGATTTCAGTAATTCTCTATTTTAAAGGCTTAGAAGTACTGACTTCCTTTCACAATTTTCCAGTTTTAATGGACAGTAAAAGTTAATAGCTGGCTTGACTGTAGATAATAAAGATTTCTGTCATTTGTTGAAGCAGTACAAATCAATATAAAAGCTACAGACTGCAGTCACAACAAAGACCTCAGTATGGGGCTACCAAGAAAAATGACATCTCAAATTTTCATGAAAAAAAATTATAAAAGAAGCTGCTCTTTGAACTGCTAGAAATCTATTCCACTTTTTTAGATAATGTGCCTTAATTGGACTTAAAAAAATCCACCTTTGGAGACCTTAAGAATTTTCTGGAACTCACTTAGGTTTTAGTATTGAAAGTGTCTTTTTAAAGAAGAAAGGTACCACGTTGACTTCTATTAAAAATACTTAAATTTTTAAAAACCATTTCAACCAAAATGCATTTCAAATAAAAACAGATGGGCTACATATTAAAAATATTGCTCTAGAAATCTATGACTGAATATCTGGGATGAATAGAGGGTTGATTTATCTGTAAATAAAATTAATTTGCAAGAATGATTTTTTTCAATTTTTCAAGTAACTATAGTTTGGATATGATTTTTTTGTAATTATTTTTATTATAAGATAGATGTGCCCCAAACTTTGGAAGCAGTTTAACAAACTCTGAAATTTAGATGAAATGGATTGGTATAGGCAAATCTTAAACATATAATGTAATATCTCAGGCTAATCTGGTAATGAGTAGTGTTGGCTTCTGCAAATGTACCCCCTAAGTAAATAAGCAGTTGATTTGATGCATTCTGTCTCTATTTTTAGCCTTCATATTTAGAGATCAATGTGGCTTCTTCAGAGGAGAGGAGAGTTCTGAAAAATCCATGCCACAATGAACTGGGCTAAATTAGGATTTGAGATATTGGGATGTACACAGCTTTCAGAAAAAGAAAGGGTAACAGAGACAGTGAGATGCGAAAAAATAGAAACATAAATGTACTCTATATCACTGTTACTAAATGCATTTATTCAACATGGTTTATTGGCTTCTGCTTAAATTATATTGATCATTACAAATATAATATCATACAAATTTTTTCTCTATCATTAAATAATTTAAGACCTGTCATAAAGAAAAATGCGAACTCCTCAAATTTAAGACAGCTTTGATTCTACACCAATACATAAAATTAAAGTAACTTTCCTGTTTAGCAATATATATTTTAGGTGAAAGAATATTATTAGCAAATATTACATTATTTCATAAAAGTTATCAAATTCTTGTGTTAAAATTTGTATCTATTAAAAGGAGGCTCAAGAACAGAAAATTCAAACACTTGCTCTCAGCATAAACTTTAGTAAAAAAAAAAAAAATCCATAGACAATATACCATCTGTCTCCTAAACCATGTGAAAAGAAAAGCTTTGAAAATCCAGCCGCTGCTAATGTGACATGTTGAAACATTAATCACCCCCTTAGGCCAATATAATTGTAGCTCCATGTTAATTACCTAACAATTAACAGCAGTAATTTCCAAGGGGCAATCAATGAATTAGCTTGTGATTTTCCCACAGATTTCAGTCCCACACTGCCAATCTGAATGCATTTCAAACTCCTCATCGTGGTTCATCAGTGAGACTTCTGGTGTATGGAATAAAAATTCATTTGCACCCTTACTAATTAGGCTAGAATATATCCCTATGTGTATTGCAAACTCTATTCACTTGCACAAAATCTCTGCCACAGGCATTTTTCCCCATTTAAAAATTCATCTTCTATTAAATTAGGAGGTCACCTAGCAGGAAAATGTACTAATCAGGATTTTATCACTAACGAATTAAAGGTTTTTAATAAGCAAGTTTAATTAAGTTATCCTAACAAGTGATAACAGCTATTTACAACTTATGAGGGTGTGTGCACGTGCACTAGAGCATGGAGAGTTTTAAATCATATTTCTGGGTTTCAGTAGATGCGGCATATCCATACTCACATGGAAGTTGGCTATGTGCATATATACACAATTGAAATCATTTGAGTGGAGGAGCTTCCTTAAAGCAAGAGTTAATTAGTTATCGATATTTTATATATTAAAAGATAGAGAATATTTGAGTCAATAACATACTATCTTCTTTTAACCCCATATTATTCTTGGTGTCAAATACATAAATGTTTTGACACATTTTATGCTAAATATGTACACATTGTAGTTGATTATTATCACTTGAAATAAAGATAAAAATTGTGTTTCCAGGAAGCTGTACAGTTGACCCTTGAACAACACTGGGGCTGCGGGTGCCAAACTCATGAGCAGTCAAAAATCTGGGCCAGGCGTGGTGGGTCACACCTGTAACCCCAGCACTGTGGGAGGCTGAGGCAGGTGGATCATGAGGTCAGGAGTTCAGAGACCAGCCTGGCCAAGACGGTGAAACCCCATCTCTACTAAAAATACAAAAATTAGCCAGGAATGGTGGCAGGCGCCTGTAATCCCAGCTATTCGGGAGGCTAAGGCAGAGAATTGCTTGAACCCGGGAGGCGGAGGTTGCAGTGAGCTGAGATCATGCCACTGCACTCTGACAGAGCGAGACTCTGTCTCAAAAATAAAATAAAATAAAATAAAAATAAAAATAAATCTGAAAATCGCTTTTGACTCCCCTAAAACATAACTACTCATAGCCTACAGGCAACCAGAAGCCTTACCAATAACATAAACTGTCGATTCACACATATTTTGATTGTGTATTATATACTGTAGATTTACAATAAAGTAAGCTAGAGCAAAGAAAACGTTAAGAAAATCATAAGAAAGACCAAATATATTTATTATTCATTAAGTAGAAGTGGATCATCACGAAGGTCTTCATCCTTATTGTCTTCACATCGAGTAGGCTGGGGAGGAGGCAGAAGAGGAGGGGTTGGTCTTGTTTTCTCACGGGTGGCAGAGGAGAAGAAAATTTATGTATAAGTGGGCCCACATGGCTCAAACTCATGTTGTTCAAGGGTCAACTCTATATTAACACGCAAAAATATTTTCACCTAAATAAGAGATGGTACACACAAACTTCTGAAAAAATTTACTACTCTCCAAAAAGTAAAAATAAGACATGTATATGGTGTGTAACCATCTATTTGTTTGGTATTCTTATTCAATTTGCTAACACTTTGCTTTTGCCTTTATTGTTGCTATGTACACCCACAAATATTTTGCCCCTTGAAGTATATCCCTTATTAAAATTAGGAATAATTTTAATTAAAGGAAAAGATTAATAATACAGCAACAGCTAAACTCCAACTCAACACCCATAGGCAGCTCTGCAGTTCCACAATTGGATTCTTCTTCCTTTAAAAGATTCAGCCATGAGATTGACCAATCTATGACTCATTTTATTCATTAATGAAGCACACACTACTCTAAATAGTATGTTTAATATTAATTTCAAGATGGTAAGATCACAAATAAACATTTCATGTTATTCAATGGTGTCTTAAAATCTGTGTGAGGTACATACAAATCGCAAGCTCAGTGTTACCACTTTTAAAGGTGGAGAGGAGACAGAAATAAAACTACAGACTGATCAACAGCAGAAGAAAATTCCCCATTCCAGTATCTGTTTACAATGATTACTAACGAAAAAATATATTAGGGTACAGATAATTGTAAAAGACTCAAAGAATACAATCCTGAATACTTTGACATGCAAACCTTTTCACTGTCAGACCATCTTTCTTTGACCAACATTTAATACAGATTATGACAAAATCTTGTTATATGGCACCCATCATAAAATTTTAGAATTTTTAATCTCAGGGAGACTTTAAAAGGTTAATTTAAAAATAAAAAAACTGAAACTAAATGACATAAAGTGACCTATTTATGGTTACACAACCAGTTAATGGCAGATAGAGATTTACTGACCTGTCCGGCCTATGCCCTTTATACCACATTATGCTACCACACTGTTAGTAATGTCATTATTTTGGTCATTAATGTCATATTTAGCAATAATTAATACATTTTATAAAGAATTTGGGGAGTTAGCCTCCTGCCTCTCTGACCCATTCATTCTTTACCACCATTAACTCCTAAGTGGTAACAGAAAGACCGCCAAAAATACCTCTTTAGTCCTACATGAGAATAAACGTCCAAGAAATCCTCATTACTGGCTTTGAAGGTACCCCCTAACCTGGCTTTAAATCTCTATTATCTATTTCTTTTTCACCACTCCTTAATGCTCTCATATATAAACATTCTTCTTTTTCTTTTTCTTAAATGTAAGTGGGCAGCATTCGATGGCTTGGACATTTTGAATGAAGAATAAAAGCACAATATCCCTTTGTGGAACTTTCTTTAACAAACCCACTCACACAAAAAATTTCTTGGGATTGCCAATGATGTACAGCAATTCTTTAATTTTGTAGTTTTTGTTTTTGATTTTACAAAATAGTTTTGTTGTATATCCACAGACATGCCTACATCTATGCTTTAATTTTGTTATCCCACTTTCCTCTGTTTCTATTTAAATCCAACACATTCTCAATTCAAATCCAGCACATTCTCAATACTCACAGGCCCCACAAAGTCTAGCCTCACTGCTTTAAGCTTCTATGTTTTTTTCTAAAACACTTAACAGTACTTTTAATAAATGTATATCACAGTGAAAACATTGTCTTTCAGTGTTTTCTCTTACTTTTATATCAATGTAGAGTAATTGATTTATATATCTCAGCTCAAATATCACCTTCAAAGACAGCTTATCTAATCTGACTGGGCTAAATATTTTTCTGGCCAAAGTCCCTACTAGTTTCATTATATATTTTTGTTTATTTTAATTTCATTTAAAAATCTGAAACCATCTTGTTTATTTATTTACTTATTTATTTAGTGCCTTCCCCCCATATAACATAAATACCATTAGTAAAAAAGGATCTCATCTACCTTTTTTACTACTGTCTTCTGGATCTAGAACACTACATATTGAAAAAGCAGGCATTCAATACATATCTGTGTATATTGAGTATAATTAAATGAGTAACATTTGAATCTCTAGACTGTGAAATTTGGCATTGCATAGTGGAAAGAATCAGATTAGCTGGGCTTCAGATACTGACCCTGCCATTCATTCATTCTTTTATTTATTTACTCACTCAACAAATGTGTGGTACATAACTACCATGTAATGATGGGTACTGTGATAGGTGCCGGGGATAAGAAAAGCAAGAAGTCCTGCAAACCTGGAGCTTAGCTTTCCCAAGGGAGTCATATTAATCATGTAACTCCCAAAACTAACGCGGAAGTGCAACTCTCACAAGTTCCTTATAAAATGAGTACAGATGCTCCTCAACTTACGACCAGGTTATATCTAGATAAACCCATTATAAACTGAAAATATTGTAAGTTCAACATTCCCTTAATGAAACGGGATAGTTCCCTTGACCCCTTTGTGAGACTCATGAAGGGGTTGTCTCCTTTACTCAGCCTACACCTCTCAATCCCTCACGGGAGGGGAAGTGCTGGTGAGTGGGCACAGAGGCCAGGACAGCCTCTTGCACCCGCACCTGGGCCTTTGTCTGGCATCCAGGAGAAATCAGGCTGCATTAATGAATAGAAGGCGGTACATGCGGAGGATTTTATTGCCAGTGAAGGTGGCTCTCAGCGGGAC
Organism: Homo sapiens; assembly: GCF_000001405.40. Taxonomy (NCBI): domain Eukaryota; kingdom Metazoa; phylum Chordata; class Mammalia; order Primates; family Hominidae; genus Homo; species Homo sapiens. Next base: position 75,720,317 of record NC_000008.11, on the reverse strand, counting down.
GGGGAGCTAGAAAGGACACGGAGTGGGAAGGTGGTCTTCCCTCGAGTTTGGCTGTCTCTGGCCGAACTCTTCTGTGAGGTCCCACCGTCAAACCATCCCTATGAAGTCAGGCTGCTTCTCTCCGACGTCTGGCTACTTCTCTTCTTTCTCTGCTGCTCTGCTGTTCCACCAGTGGGGCCTGGGGTTTTTATGGGCACAAAATGGGGGGCAGAGCAGGCCAGGGTGGTTTTGGAAAAGGCAACATTCGAGTGGGAAAACAGGAATGAATGTTCTCACTTTGGGCCACAGGTCCAGGCCTCAAAGCGTGGCCCTCACTGGGGATCACCCTCATCTACCCAGGATTTCCCTGCCTCTTGTCTGTATCATTAATACACCTAACATACTGAACATCATAGCTTAGACTAGCCTACCCTGTGTGCTCAGAACACTTCTCCTTCAGTTCGACAAAATCATCTAGCACATAGCCTGTTTTATAATCAAATGTTAAATATTTCATATAACTTATTAAATATTCAAGAGAGAAAAACAGAATGGGTGGATAGGTAATTGCAGTACTATTTCTACTGAATGTGTATCACTTTTGCACCATTGTAAAGTAAAAAGAGCATAATTTGAACCATAGTAAGTCAGGACCATCTGTATTCAAGTAAAAGTGTATAAATAGCAGAAATATAACTTAAGATGGTCAAGGAAGGCTTCTCTGGGGTTGTGGCAACTGGGGTAAAATCTGAAGGATGAGTAGGCGTTACCCCCACATGCAGGAATTGCTCTATTGTCTTGTGAGGGAAAGTGCACAGTACTTTAGCTATGAAAAGTTAAAGGCAGTGGAGCATACAGAGAAAGTGGGTAACAGGGATCAGGAGAACCAAGTTTTAGAGCCAGGCCATTCAGGAATGTGTGAATGTGTGGAGTATTTTGTTCTTTATTCTAATAGCAATAGGAAATAATGGAAGAGTGTTAAGCAGAAGCAGTAACATGATCAGACTTGCCATTTCAATGTAACACCCTGACTGCATTGTGGGAAATGGCTGGCAGGAAATCAATGTAGATGCAGATAGATCAGTAAGGAGGTGATGTCAATATTACAGGTGAGTTGATGGTATCTTGTGCTATGGAGATGGGGTAGAGAGATGAAGAAGTAAATAGATTTGAAAGCATCCTAACAGAAACCACCAGTGGGGCTTGATGTGGTGAAGGAAACACAAATGTCAGGAATGATGCTCAGATTTCACAACAGGATAGAAAGTGCCAATCTCTGAGATGCAAAAGTAGACCAGTTATATGTGTCAGGGGAGGCTGTTTTCAGGCAAAGATCATGTGTTTAGGTTTCAACTAAGTTTGATGTGTCCTTGAGAAAGCTAAGAAAAGGTGACAACTCAGCATATGTGTCTGGAATACTGAGAAAATGTCTGAGTTGAAAATATCCATGAAACTCTGAGTACAAACAAGATCATTTACAGAAGAGAGTATATAATGGAAAGAGGACCCAAGTATAAACTTTGTATTACTTCAAACAGGTGATGGTTGTTTGTTTACCTCTCTATGTCCTCCTAGACTATGAGCACTGTGACAATCTAGAGCATGTCTATTTTGATTTTATTATGTTTCTAGTATCATCTACTAACCGGGACATGGCAAATATTTGATATTGAAAGGGTGAATGAATGAACAACCTAGAGAAAATGAGTTTATCACTTTGAGCCTTGGTTTTCTCATTTGTAAGAAACAAAAAATCAACACATATATTACAGGGTTGTTCTGAAGGTTACATAAAATGACATACAAATGATGCTGCAGTGTGTCTGTACCATTGCAGCAATCAGTAAATATGTGTCCTTTTCTTTAGGACAATTGTTTCTGGTTAGGTATCACATTTTCTAAGTTTCTATATCAAGCAGTGTTGGATACAGAGCATGTGAACATGGATTGAAATAAACTAATATGAGAAAATATCTTATAGATCTTAAAACTATTCCTTTTTTAAACAATTCTATACACTGTGCAGTAAAGAGTTGACTAGCAGTTCTGGGATATTGCAGTCCTACACATTCCAAGGAAAGATTTGGCCCTTGACCTATTCCTAGGAGATACCTTTAAGCCCTTGGAATATTCCACTTGATAACAACATCTTTGTTTACCTAGGGCCTCGGGACACACCATAGAGTTTATGTTAACAATGTAATTTATGGTGAGGGCCTTGGGCCACACAAAATCAGTTTGTCCTCTGGAGCAGCTGGAGACTCAGTAACTAAGATCAGCCATGTGGTTACTCCATGTCTGCCCCTAATAAAAATTCTGGACACCAAGGTTTGTGTGTATTTCCCCAGTTGGCAATACTTCACATGTGTCGTCATGCATTGCTGCTAGTTGCACAAGTGTGATCCATGTGACTATATTGGGAGAAGACAACTGGAAGCTTGTGTCTGCTCTCTAAACTCTTTTTTTGCTAACTTGATTGGTACAATTTCATGGTAATAAACCTTAACCATGAGTACAACAGCTTTTCTTAGTTATGTGAATCTATCTAGTGAATCACTGAACCTGAAGGTGGTCGGGAATTCCCAACACACTGTGTCATTTATGGAGTAACACTGCTTCCTCATTTTTTCAGATTGCCCTAGGTTCAAGCTCTGAAATGTAATTTCAAGTATTTTTATTCACATTGTATTATTGGTGGTGGTTTTTTATTTGCCTATTTTTGGTGTGACTTGATTAGTTATGAGGCATGAAAAAGTAACACATGTCCTATGTACATCTTATCTAAAACCTACTTGATATGGTTTTGCTGTGTCCCCACCCAAACCTCATCTTGAATTGTAGCTCCCATAATTCCCACGTCATGGGAGGGACTCAGTGGGAGGTAATTGAATCATGGGGGTGGGTCTTTCCCATGCTGTTCTTGTGATAGTGAATAAGTCTCACAAGATCTGATGGTTTTATAAAGGGGAGTTCCCCTGCACATGTTCTCTTGCCTGCCGCCATGTAAGATGTGACTTTGCTCCTCCCTCACCTTTTGCCATGATTTTGAGGCCTCTCCAGACATGTAAAACTGTGAGTCAATTAAAATTTTAAATTTATAAATTACACAGTCTCAGGTATGTCTTTATTAGCAGTGTGAGAACAGATGAATACACTACTTGATTGGATCATGCTTCTTAAATGTCTACCACTGTTGCCAATGTCTTAATTTGAAAATAAGCAAGGGATGTCATCATGTAACATAAATAAAGTTGGAGTATAAGGCAGTGTAGTCCAAATTTACTCACTTTAACACTTAGATGTATAAGGAAAATTGAACTACTTTTAAATTTTGTTTTTAAGTGTTCTGACTTTTTTAATGAACTGCCATTAACGTGGTGGTGATAATGATAATAAAAGATAATTTACTCTGTACTATATACTTTTCTAAAATGTTTATATGTACTACCCTACTTTAAGTCTCACAAAACACTATGAGATATGTATTATTGTTTTCATCTGCAAGATGAAAATTATGAGCTCCTAATATTAAGTGTATGGTTCAATGTCACCGATTAGTAAGTGACAGACCCAGATTTTAATCCTAGATGGTATGATTTCAAAGCCCAAGCTATAGTCACTCTAATATAATATAGTCAATTCTGGTTAATAGTACTGAGCCTAACACAGATAAATCAAGTTACCTCTTTAGTTATCAAATAGGTAATTGCTCTAACTACAGATACTCCTTTTCCTTATCCTATTCAAAATTACATCTGGGCTTGTGTTAGAAGCAGTTTAGCAAACTTCACAGCAGTGCAATGAAGGGGTATTCTGATTCACCTGGTTTCTTCAAAAATCCTCACTCATCTCAGATACTTACAAATTACATTAGTGCCTACTGCATGTCATCTCTTGCATTCTGCTGGTATCCACTGATGGAGTCTTTCATTATTTTCCTTTGAGTTCTCCTCTTCCTTAGCTTGAGGAAGGCTTGGCAGCACCTACTTTCTAAAAACATCTCCACAGAGCTTCTGATTACTGTCGAGGTCTCTTGAGTCTCTAACACATTCTAATCAGCTTTGTGATCACAGGGGCCAATTCAGTCTCTGTGGTGGGACATTTCTCTCTACCTCAGTGATCCCTGAGTCAAATTTATTGGCTTTCAATTGGATATCCATGCCACACAAAAGTATTGAGTGGAGGTTAGTGAATGCAAAATATACCCCTTTTCTGCCTAATCATGCCACCTAATATCAATGCTCCTGAGGCCTCGGGTGGATCACAGCCACTTGCACAACAATTTTATCACAGAATTGCCAGTAGAACTGAGAAAATAATAAATGAGAAAAAACACTAACACAGGGTTTTTCTCAGTCACTTGCCAGCTGGTGACCCCTGGCTGGAAATGTCCTTGACCAGGCCTTACTTGGGCCTGGGTTTGCCAGAGGAGATGCCCTGTCCACTCGGTCCACCAGGCTGCACCTGGTGGCAATCCAGCACAGATCCTGCAGCCACCGTGACTGCGTACTCAGCCCCTGGCTGGAGCGGGCATGCAAGCGAATGAATGTGGTGCCTGGCCCACTGTTCCAAGTGCCAGCACAGAAGTAGGCCCTGTGCGGTGCTTGTGGCTGGAACAGGTATGTCACATGTCACTCCTGTGGCAGACTCTGGCATCCAGATGACAGGGATGTGGTGATGCCCAGGCAGGGGTGCTCGCAAACTCAAGCTCCAGAGGGGATGTAACAGCATGTTAATTAGCATTCTTTGTCCTGCCCTCTGCAGCCCAATGAATGGGGGCATGTTAACAGCTCTGTCAGCCCCTTGTCCTGCTCCAGCACAGGGCTCTGGGGCTAGCTCAGCCCCACTACTGCTGCTGTGGCATGAGGCAGCTGCCCTCTGCCAGCGGAGGGCAGAGGGCCACGACGTTACAGCCTTCTCTGTACCCACATTCAGTGGGTCCCAAGCTCCTGTCCCATATGCAAGAAGAATGAGGATATGCTGACATTCGAAGAGTGAGGAAGGAGGAGAAGAATGCTATTGATCAATGAAACAGCTCTCAGTGGAGAGGAGACACGCAGGTGGTCAACCACCCAAATTCAGGTGGTTTATCTCCCAGTATGGCTGGATCTGGGGCGTTTATGGGTACAGAATGGGGAGGGGCAGGCAGTAGGTAGTATTAGAAAAGGTAACATGTGACTGGTTAAAAAGCATTATTCAGAAAGAACCCATCAGGAAAGAGTGGGCAAACAGGAATAGGAGTTCTCATTCTGGGCCACGGGTTTCAGGCTGTTTTTAGCTTACAGATGGGGTTTCACTGAGGACTGACCCCTATCTGCCTAGGATTTGTCTGTTTCCTGTCTTTATCAATACTATGTTTTGGAAATAAGTTAGTGAATACTGTGAAGATAACATATCTTACTTCAACAAGTTACATATTATAGCAATCTTAAAAAAATTTTAATGAGATTTTTTGAGGGAGTAAATTTCATGAATATCTCTGGAAAAAAAAACAAGTCAAAATAGTTATGAAATTTGGGAAAAGGGAGATAAATGAGAGGAGAAGTGCTCTCTCATATATCCAACTGTATTAGGAAAATTATGTATGAACACTGTGTTACTGACTTTGATGGCTTTGTTGTGTGACAACTTGGCTGGGATAAACCACATTCCTCAAATTCCCTTTCTAGTATGCTTCCAAACATTATCATGACAGTAAGTGGAAAAAAGAAGAACATGGAAGAAAAATAAGGTGATTGATAGGTATATGAAAGTGTTCTCATGTCTAAATAACAACAAAAGTGCATATTAAAGCAAAGAATGTATTTTTACACAATTGACAAAGAATTAATACAAGGGTAATAGTTGTATTGATAAAGATGACATTAAAAAGAGCATATTCTGAGCTTTTGGTGAAATTACAAGTTGCTAAAATTTTCTGAAAAGTATGTTGGCAGTATGCATCAAGGTTTTAGTAACATTCACACCACTGATGCAGAAATTTTAGCTCTTGTAACCCAATCAAAACAAATAATCAGATAAGATTTACATATAAGAATTTTCATGCCAAATGTATTTTTAACAGTAAAATGTTGGAATCATATATTCTAGACTATTGCAATAGTTACATAAATGATGATATATTCATGTAATCTAGGCATTAAAAGTGAGGATTAACAAATTTAATGCCATGGATAAATGCACATAAAAACAACACTACCAAAACCATTTTCTTAGCGTAATCTCACAATTATAAAAATAAAAATAGCATAAAGAAGTAAATTGAAATCAGTTTCCTCGAGAATAAAATTTGAAATGTGTACGCATGCATTGTAAAATACCATTTACATTAAAAAATAATAATTTCAAAATGAAGTTAGTATCTCTGCTAGTAGGAAAAGAGATTTTTATACTCATTTTAATGTTTCTCTTTTAATTTAATAATATTTTATTGGATGTTACATATTAATAAGAAGATTTATTACCAATATTCTAAAACTATCTTTTTATCTACTTAAAAACTATCTTTTTATGTTGCTTTTATCTGAGTGATAAAATATTAGAACATATTCAAAGCAGACAAGAAAATTTGATAAATGACTTTGGGCATTTTTCAGACTTAAGAGAATAGTGATAAAGTAAATTTAGAAGATGGGGCAAAGGGATATATACTATTACTGAGTCAAAGATAGCAGTAGTTTCTAAGAAAATGCAAGGAAAAACTTGACAAACATTTAAGTCATCTGTTTCAAAATATGTTAAAAATAGCATCATGTCTCAAGTGTTTATTATGAATATGGTAGATTTCTAACTAAGGAGAGATATATTTGTCAAATATCCACGACTTTCTAGCCTCCTAAAGCAGAAAACTGGACATTCATGTGAAGTGAGATACAATATTTGGCACTCTTTTTTATTGTGTATTTATTTTAATAATAACTTTAAGGGTCAGATCAAGTCCTTACATACCTTCATATCTACTCAATGTCTTACATGATGCTCAATAAATATTGAGAGTCTAGGATATAATTCAAAATATATTTTACATATTTATTAATGTAAAATAAGTGAAAGAGGGTGTTTTAAGCTCTTAATTTCTGTTTTCACAAATAAATAGAGGGAAATTACTCTGAAGCAGTTCATTCTTTCTAATTTTTTAATTTTTTGCTGCAGTATGACTACTTGCAATTGTACCAAATACTAGAGATGGTTTCTCAGCACTTCCTGTCTAACAATGTAACGCAATCTAAGGGTAAATGTAGCCTCAGAAAAATAAAAAGATAATTTAATTAATGATATTTGAATAGATAACCCTAATTTTTAGTTTCCTTGTTTTTCTTTGAAAACCTAATGTGAGTCTAAAAGCTAATTTTATGTAATATATACATAAAATCCAGGATCTTTGAACTTACAAATGTCAGTAAAGGTAATATTACATATTTATTTTACAAACAAATTATCTGTTTCCTCAATAAAGGAGTATTACTAGGACTGTCTTCAATATTTTAAGCCACCCAAGCTTGTGAATGTCATCATGCTTAGTAATATTAAAAACGCATTTAATGGAAAATGTATATTGTATATCTTTGGGATTAGGTTTCCAAATTCTTCTACATTTCTATATACTCTATATTCTAGCAGGTTTTACTGTTATTGTTGAGATTTACTTCCTGGTTACCAAAGAGTTTATAAATCCAATTATTTTCATCATCAAGTTCTAAAACTGTCACTCCTTTGAAATCTACCTCCAAGATGATCCTATCATTTTGAAGCCAGCATACTAAATAAGCCCATACTCAGAAGTGTCAAGAATGGGAGAAATGAAAAAACACATATTTTATGTATTCAAATATATGTACACATTTTATATCACCTGCAGGGAGTTTTCCATTACAATCTGATCAAAGATCACTCAATAGAGCAACACCAATCCCTAGAGAACTTCCACTGTTGCCTTTGAAATAGAATGTTTGTTTTAAGCAGTAACGAAAAGTAGAACTAGGTAAAAAGAAAAAAAAATTAGAAACCAAACAAACTCCTTTTAAATATAAAATGCAAAGAAATTCAAGAAATGTATATATTTAATGAAAAATGAATTTGCCAAATGAATATATTTTTCTCAATTTGACTTGAATTTAGTAAGTCATGGAACTCCACCGAGAGAAATGTAGCATACCTCTCTCACTTACTTGTAAAAATATTTTCAGTTGTTAAGTTTGTTTAATTATTTATCCTTTTTATTGTCCAATCACACATATGCTCAATGCATTACAATAAATTTAAGGAGTAGGGATCAATATATAGTTGTGAAACTTGTTTTTGTGATTTACCTTTTTATTTAGCTTCTAATGTATGTTCTGCTATCAGGTTAAAAGTTCTAGTTCCAATATTTATCCAGATAATAGATGCAAGAGGGGAAACAACAGCCTAATACTTTTCATGTAGCATAGCAATGTAACCTTTTGTCAAAGACTGAGAGTTACACACACACACACACACACACACACACACACACACTTCGGCATTTTTTTTTCTCTGACAGACTCAGCAAGACCAATTATATTATCTAAGAACTAACCAAGGAGGTGTATAGTTTAGAAGAGTCAAGAAAAACAGGTAAAATATAGCAAATATGTAAAACAAAAGAAAAGCCACTAAAATGCAAATTTCTGCCTAAGTATTATATGTTATATGCTAGAGAACACAGATAATCATTTGACCAAGTAGGAAGGAAAACAAGAAAATGAAAAAAGTGGAAAGAAGAGAAAGTTTGTAAATGAAAAAAGTTTCAAATGCTGAGTTTCTAAAGAACTGAGAAAAAAAATTAGAAACAGTGATTACTAAAGAGGATAAAATTTCTTATAAACCATGACATTTTGCATTGTAATTTCTAGGGCATATTTGTAATAATTCTGACATTTTTATTCCAGTCATTAATTCAATTTTAAGGCATTTCAGCATTTTTTTTGAAACACAAAATTATATAATTCTGCAACTATTTACTACTTAAAATGGAATTACTTTAAATAAGAAAGGCATTTTTCTTTTTGTATTTGGCTAATCTCATTTAGCATAATGCTCTCCAAGTTCGTTCATGTTGTTGCAAATAACAGGATTCTCTTCTTTTTAAAGGCTGATTAGTATTCAATTGTGTATATATACCACATTTTCTTTATTTATGCATCCATTCATAGACACTTAAGTTGAATTCGTATCTTGACTGTTTTGAATAATGCTGCAATGAACATGGAAGTGCAGATGTATCTTCGACATGCAGATTTCAATTCCAATGGCTATGTACGTAGAAATGGAATTGCTAGATTTTATGGCAGGTCTATTTTCAGTTTTTTGAGGAACTTCCATACTGTTTTCCATAGTGTTTATACTAATTTACATTACTACCAACAGTTTAAAACTGACATCTGGCCGGGCGCGGTGGCTCACGCCTGTAATCCCAGCACTTTGGGGAGGCAAGGCGGGCGGATCACGAGGTTAGGAGATCGAGACCATCCTGGCTAACACGGTGAAACCCTGTCTCTACTAAAAATACAGAAAATTGGCCGGGAATGGTGGTGGGCACCTGTAGTCCCAGCTGCTGGGGAGGCTGAGGCAGGAGAATGGCGTGAACCCAGGGGGCAGAGCTTGCAGTGAGCCGAGATAGCGCCACTGCACTCCAGCCTGGGCGAGAGAGCAAAACTCTGTCCCAAGAAAAAAAAAAAACTGACATCTGCAGAGCAATCTTAAATACTGTTTCTTTTATTTTTCATGAAAATCCGTAGGAATAGACTGAAAAAGAAGAAATCTCACTGTCAGACAACCATGTACCAGAATGTTGGAAATTTCCATCTGCCTTGTAGTGAAATGGGGATTCCTTCATTCAATGGAAAAAAAATCTGTTAAAATTCTACCTCATGCAACATCCATAAAATAGATTAGGTCATAAAGTTGGAAATGGTCTTTCACCTTCCTTTCTGTCTGAAGACCCAGGTACCTAGCAGCCTATGTCTGTAACAGAAACTGGAATATTTTACCTTAATGCTGCAGGTACAAATCTGTGAATTAACCAGAGTTATGTTTCCATATGCTCTGGTTACCTGTTTTGACACTTAGGAAAAGCATTTTCCTAAAAAAGAATTAAGCATGTAGAACAGGCAGCCATTGTAAGGGCATGGTGAGTTCAGGGGTGTATATATCCCTAGGGTGGACTCCATACACAGAATTCCCTGAAAGCAGGGTATGCTGTGAATTGAAGTTCACAGTGAACTTCAGAAGTTACAATGAGCAAAAAAAATCAGACTGTTAGGGCAGGAGAGAAAGTTATCACAAGAAGGCAAAGGAGTGCTAAATGAAATCCATTCAAATAAGAAAACTGTATAGGACATGTGAAAATTAAACTGTCTTTAAAGAGTAGACCTGAAAATAATATGTGACCTAAATCCAATTAAACCAGATTCTGAGGAAAATTTTGTGACCTGGCAAGTTATTTTTCATATATTTTATTTTCTTAAAAAAATTATATACCAAAATCTCCTGAGATTCAAAATACAACTTGTACACCTTTATACCTTTACTTAAATAAAAGTCTAATATTATAGTAAGATAGCTTAATAAGGTGTGTGTTTTCAAATAAATATGTAAAATCAGTAGCTTTTCTTTATGCCAGCAATAACTAATTTGAACATATAATAAAACAGAAACTCCATTCAGGATAGCAACAAAAATGTGACATTTTTAGGAATAAACTTAACAGGAGATATACAGAATTTACATAAAAAAGAATTAGAGGGCATTACAGAGGATATAAAAGAAGAACTGAATAAATAGAAAGACAAGTTACATCATTGAATAGGTATATTTCTTATTGTAAAGATATCATTTATCAATATTAATACATATTTAATGCGAGCATTTAAAATATTATTTCTTTACTTAACAATTTACTTTGAAATTTTTATTCTTAGGTGCTACTTATTAATTTGCATAAAGATGCAGATGCAAATACGCTTATTGTGATGTTTTTGGTGGTGAGGGGGACAGGATCTTGCTCTGTAAGCCAGGCTGAAGCACAGCAGTATGATCACAGCTCACTGAAGCCTTGACTTCCTGGGCTCAAGTGATTCTCCCACCTCTGCCTCCCATGTAGCTGGAACTACAAGCATGCACTGCCCACCTGACTGATATTTTTTTTTTTGTAAAGATGGGGGTCTTGGTTTGCTGCCCAGGTTGGTCTCGAACTCCTGCCTCTGTCTCCCAAAGGTCTGGGATTACTTGTGTGAGCCACCATGCTCAGTCCACCTATTGTGAATCTTATAATAGTGAAATTATCAAAAATAAATTAAATATCTATTAATAAGAAATTGGTTAATATATGACAAATCTCTATAGTATTTTGCAGCCATTAAAATGAATATAACAACACAAAAAGAAATGGATAATAATTTCTTATGTTTGAACATTATGGTCTGACTTAGCATGTTCTACCATTCTGTATTAAAAAGGGGAGGGGACTGGGTGATGAAAACATTACTTTTTAAGCCAAAGAAGTGTTATTCAGACACTGTTACTAAAGACATCGTTTCCCTTGTAGAGAATAAAAATCACTAGAATAGGCTCTCAAGTTATAAAAATGGTAAGCAAATAACCAACGATTATCTTTGGGGTGAATAATAAAGTCCTTATTAACTTGAATACAGAAATTCAGATGAGATGTAAGTTTGTCCTGCTTCTTAACATATTCAACATGCTTCTTTCCTAGGCTTGACCTTAAGTCAAGCACATCAGGAGAGATGGTCAAACTAACCTTGGCAGCTCACACTGGAGAAAGATTCTGAATGCATTATTGTCTCTAGACCAGGCAACCAGTGTCCTTGCTGGTGGCCCCATGCCATAAAGGGCCCCTCTTTCACCTTCCTTCAACAATCACTCTCAGTGCAGCAGCATAATATGGTACAAAGGGGCCAAAAGGGCAGCAAATGTTGGTTCTGGCATAAACTGGTTGTATGACCACAAATTGGTTACTTTATATTACTTAGCTTCAGTTCCTGTATTTTTAAATTAATGTGTTAAAATTCCTCTGAGTTTAAAAATAATGTATCTTTTAACATAAAAAATACTCTTAACATACATTTTGACATAACTACTAGTATTTCCTTCAATAGCTGGTGTCAAGGGTGGAGGTGATAATTACAGCTTCCTTACATCTTACGTTTCCCTTAACCTCTGCCAACACCTTGATTCATATGTGTTTTTTTACCTGGTAGAGAGACTCAAATATTTATTTCCAAAGAATCTAGATCTTCAGTCATTCATTCATTATTGAGGTGGCACATTTTATGTTAATGTTAATAAGAAAATAATCATGTTTCATTATACTGGCCAACTTAGTAACCCTGTTCTCTACTGATTTATAGGCATGAGGAACCACAAATGGACAGAAAACAGCCTCAAACACCAGTTTAGTGGCACTATGGCTGTGTTCCTTCATGGAAACTTCCTCCTTTGGAAACAAAGGCCTCTGTTGCTACCAGTTCCAATTCCACTCCCACCTCCATTCCTTAATTTCCAGCCTTGTGGAGTATGGCTATGGTGGAAATGGCACCACCATTGGTTTCTGGTATGAAGCATATACCACATCCTGTGGGAAAACCCCACTTCACATGTACTATTTAAAACTCTGCCCCCAGGAAGATTTACCTTCATAACTATCTTTCAGGGTTACCCTGGGGTGGAGCTATTGGGCAACATGGAGAATAGACATCAGATTCTGACTAGTGCCAATGTTTCATGCAGACACATCTGTAAACCAGGCCTTCAAATGTTCCTTTTTTGCTACCTTGTCATAAAAATTGTCCAAATGTCAAAAAAGAAGTCAGACAATGAAGTAATGAAGCAATAAGGGAAAGTATCATGAATGTCTGAGTCAACTGCTTGTGTAACTTACATGTGTCTTCTGGAGAGATGTGGACCCCGTCCCTCACATGCCATTCCAATTTAGTAGTGCTGCATGCCAACTTAATAATTCATTGGAATAGAAAACATCAAGATTTTGATAGGCAACTTAGATTTTATATTCATTTGCCCTATGGTCATACGTTCAGTCTTTAACAGGGACCATTAGCCAGGAGCTGCTTATCCATTTTGTGATAAAACCTTAAATAACCATTGTACAAACAGAAAATTGTTACTGACAGAGGATGACAAGGCTTTGCTCCAAAATATGGATCTTCCCAATGTTTCTCCTATTGGAGTTATCAGAGTCTCTATGAAGCATCCCTCTATGCAAAAGACACTTGAAGTATCATCGGTCCTAAGCCCCAAGTCTCACACAGCCTAGAGCCTACACAACAGCCTGGATTTAAAGAGCTCTCTCTTTTTTCTGTGTCTCACTTCAAAATGGAAGCTTCGTAAGTTACTCGAAACAAGGGTCAGAACAGTATACCTAAGTGTAGTACATATTGCTTCCAAAGTTAAAATTCTCACCAAGCATTGTGTCTTACTCTTTGTGGTGAGCAGCATAAACTGCATCAACTGCCTTTACCTTTGGAAAGTCTATTCCAACAAGCCCCAGAAAAGTGAATCCCGTTTTAGGGACATGGCAGGATCTTGCACATTCAGCTGGCTTACTATCCCACTCTCCAGCATGCTGATACATTTCTAAGTAACTAGTATACTTATTAGTTCTTGCTTCTCAAGTCCAATTAGCATATTGTCATAAAAGAAAGGGACCACTATGAAGTTTTGTGGAATATCAAGAGGTTCAAGGTTCCTACCAATTATATTATGACAAAAAGAAGAGTTGATATAAATAATTTAAAATAGGATAATACAATAGTATCCCACCAACCATGTTCTTCTGATTGTCCTTATTAAAGTTAATGGTAATCTGCAATCATTGCCAATATTCATCTGGATTTTGCACTGACCAAAAGGAGAGTTAAGTGGACATGTGATAGGTATCATCATGTTTGGCATCTTTGGTTTTTAATGGTGGTATTATTCTCAATGATTTTCTCAAGAAATTACTTTTGGTTTACTATTATATAGCGTAGAAGGAGAGGAAAGCAAACAGGTAGTAGGAGAAAAAGGGTAGGATTTAAAGGAGCTTCCAGGTTAGTCCTTTCTCCCATAACCACCCTCATTTCCTGAGTCAGGGGACCATTGTGGAGATGTTACCAGTTGCCAATTATGTCTATTCCATTTGTACGTTCAGGAACTAGGGAATTAATCAAAAGATGGCTCTACAGACCTACTAAACTCTAGTAAGAAAAAAAATTGCCAAGGTTCTAAATTGCCAGACTTCATGCTGTCTAGCAAATCACAGTGGCTTTTTTAAGTCAATCAGACAGCTTTGTTAATTCAGACCCATGATTTAACATTACAACCCTCACACCCAAAAGGAATGATTAACCTGTTCTCATACTATACCAAATAATTAATATTTTGTTGGTTCATTCTTATTTTTAAATGTTTTCCAATAAACATTACTTTTAAGTACAATTTATATAATGATATAATTAACAGTTATTTTAATAGTCTGTCTTCCAAATAGGCTTTTTAATTTTTTTGCAAGTTTTAATTCTTCTTACTCTTCGCAACAGCCTACTAAAATTAACTTGCAAATGTACATGGGAAGTTTTTAAATATTCAAAACATAACAAACAGCAACAGATTCACTAAAACAATATTTTAAACACTTGCAGGACTAATATTTGCCATAATTTTAGGATGATAAATTTTAAATAATGTAATAGAATTGTAATGAATGTTTGAAGTATTGTGTTGAAAACAATTCTGGAGACATATTGGGCTTCAACTAGAAACACTCCTCTGATTACTTAGTTGGACCTCGTCTCTGATTTTTTTTTAAATGATATCTATCAAGAACATTGGTAACAGTGCTATTTCCGATATTCACATATTTGACAACTTGATCTTAATGAGTCTACTGGGAGAACTTTCCATTTTGTGATAAAACCTTAAATAATTATTGTACATGCTGTTCTGTCTAGAACTAGAAGAGGATTTTGTTGTTGTTGTTGCTGTTAATTAGAAATATTTTTATACTAAAATGCACCAGAATACATCAAATAATCTGAAGACATAAAAATCAGAGTTTGATTTTTTCTTTCTTCTTTTTTCTCTCGTCTTCCTTGACTGTATGCAGTTTAAGTAGCATCCATGCAATGCTGAAAGTTTAGAAAAATATGACACAAGTTTCTTGTCATACTAGCAATGATCTGACATAGACCAATGCAGAGGGCTTGAATTGAGCACTTTTTCCCTTTTGGGTCAATGATCACAATTTACATTCTGTGGTGCCTTGAAAATGTTATGTTTAGTAATATAAATGAAATGCTAGTTAGTTAGGCTGTCAAAACCTTTTCTACTAGCCAATGATCTAGTTTCTCCTATTGTCTCATGAAAAATGGAGACTTATTTTGCATTTACAAATCCCAAAATGAATTTAGTCCTATCTGACTGTCTCAAACATGTGTCTTTAAATTAAATAACTTGCTAAATATATTGACATCAGGTGCCATCTGGGTTGTATTTGTGTCTACAGATTAGAAGTCTTTTGATATGAATGTTTCAGAAATAGTTTATTGAGATCATATTTTAATTTTTTTTCTATTTTCTATGTCTGTACATGATATTTTACATCATTTATTTAGAATATATTGTGTATCTTTGTACCAATTAATATTTAACTTGAGTAGATCAGAGGTGATATTATTCAGTATAAGAATCTACAAGAATTAACAACCTGCCTTTTATCACAATCTTATCAAGGGCACTTAACAAAATGTTTTCTCCCATCAGATAGCTAAGGGTTATTTTCAGGTAGAATTTATCAAATGATAATTACATAAGACCCACCAGAAAGGTTCACACTACTATTTCACAAAAATCCATAACTAAAAACAATTCTATTTAGATAATATTTTGACACCAAAACCTCCTTTTTTTGTTTTGATGATTTAATAACGTTTAGCATATCATTTATAACAAGGAAATTCTGGGACCGTTATTTGATAAGGAAATGATCTCTCAGATAAAAATCACCTAACTGTCGAATCTAACATTTACAAATAATTCCTTGAGATATAGTAAAACAATTTTTGGAAACTATTTTTACTATTCTAAGGCCACTCTTTATATTTTTGAGGAATGGACATTTGTCTGTCTTTTTGCACACGTATTCTTTGATACTCTTTTATATATTTAAGTAAAATTTGTATTTTACTTAAATTTATAAAATTCCCCCACATGATGAAAAAAAACTTTACTTCACATCATGTTCTTAAATTATATGTTTTATTGCCTCATATTGTAGACAATTGTTTAAAGGGAATGAGGGAGCAGAGAAACACTGATTGTAAGTCAGTTATGGAAGTAACAGGCCTATTTCCACAAGGCAATTTCTCATCCTCCACTGTGATACAAACCTCTCTTTCCATAACTCTTCTTAACCATTCCTCTTCCTGGGAACTACATACTATTTACTTTATTTATATCTCATCTTGTTTAGTAGACACTAATATCTATAAAGGCAGGAAAAGTTATTTTATTCATCTTTGTGTCTTTTGAAATGCTTATTTCAGTACTGGACACATAATAACCAGTAGATAAATATTTACTCATGAAGTAACAAATAAATGAATCAAAGTGAGATAAAGCTCATGCCTTATCAAAAATGCTGATTCTAATGGATCCCAATCATGACTGTCATAGATCAAAGTAACGTACTGGCTAAAATTCTAAGTCCTCCCAATTCACTCCCCTTCTGGAAAAAAAAAAAAAAAAAAAAAAAAACTACTAGATTTATGGGTGTTAGGGAAGTTTTAAAAACATTATGTTTCAGTATCATGCATGAGTTTATTTGCAAATATACTGTCTAGTGCTATTTGACCTTCTTAATTGGGAGGAAAACATCATTGATTATACCATTCCCTTTTCAAAAATAGTTCAACGCTAAAGAATCTCTCTTGCCATTTACAGAAACTTTATTATATTTTTCAGTGTATCAGTAAAACTGCACATTCTCATATTCTGCAGCTAGCAGTAGGTTCACAAACTTTTGAGAAAGTGTCAATATAGTAGACTAAAAATAAGAAGAGTAAATAAAAGTCAAGTGTTTGAGTTTTTTAAAAACTGCAAAACACATGCCCAAGCGATTTATTTAGATCTTCTTATAAGTTATGTAAAATTTTTAGAATACCATTTTTATTATGCTTCAAAAGTATTCAAATAATTATATAAACTATTGGTATACTATATTATTTACATTTATTCTTTGAAAGATGGGTAGAATTTTATCTGTTTCTTCAGATACTTTAGATAATTTTCATATAGCTTTTAGTGTATGAATGTAAAGTCTAGATTACACTACCGCAACTATAGATAACTTCCCAAAGTATTGCATATTATTGTAAATGAGTCAGGCTTAATGTATGATGAACTACTGCAACTATAGATAACTTCCCAAAGTATTGCATATTATTGTAAATGAGTCAGGCTTAATGTATGATGAACATTTTGGCAGACTCTGGGGTTGACTATGCCAAATCAATGTTTTTCTCTCTGGAGTCTGAAGAGCCTGGATTTGGTTTAGGAAGACACTCCATTCCTAGAATCATATATCCCTAGGGAATGTCCTCATCCTAAACCTGTGTTAATCATGATTGGATTCTAAGTTAATTGTGATTATTCCATTCACCTTACCAGAGAATAGTGATGTTGTAAGAATTTGATGAAATCTTGCTCAATGAGTCAGGAAGAAAATCACTCTAGAGTGATTCTGGGAAAGGTTTTCTTGTTCTTAAAAAGAGGTGCACAGGCAGAAATCATTCTTTTCTTCTGATGAAGATCTTTGTGTCTATATGTAAATATTAGCACTGTATCACAAGCATTAAGACAAAACTGATACAGTGAATAGGCAAAGTTAAAAGATAAAAATAAATAAATAAATAAATAAATAAATAAATAATAAGTAAATAAAGCCATGTATGGTTGAATCAACGAGTCAATTAACCCTGAAATTACTCCAATTTTTCTTATAATTTATGAGATTTTTGTTGCAGTTTTTCTTCAATTGCAAAAATTGCCATCCCAATTTTTTTTCAAATTTTATTTTCTCTAATTTTTTTTATCTACTAAAAATATGATATCTGGGGGTTGGGTTTAGTATGAAAAGAAAAGATAAATTTCCTAAATTTATTTTGACTGTAGACTATCAGTCTTATTATCATTTTTTATCACCAGTTTCCTCTTTGACATTGTGATGAATGTAAATTTTAATATATTCACTTAAAATTTTTAAAATTACATTTTTAAAAGTTTGAGGTGTTCCATAAAACTATAAAATTGGTTTGTCTTACTCTTGTGCACAAAGAACATCATTTGATGATTTTTTCAGCTATCTTTGCAATAAATTTTTAGGTAATCATTACTCAAAATGTTCTGACATACTATATTGTTGGAGTTTCTCCATTTTTATTACAAAATCTTCTGGGTCTGTGAAAAATTTAACTTTTTAAAATGTAATAAATGTACACCCAACTTAAACCCCACTTTATGAAAACTAGATATGCTGCTTGACATTCATAGTATCTGGTTTTACAAGTTTCACATTTAAAATGTGAAAACACACATAATTACCAAAATTACATTTAGCATATTCTATATAATGTATATGTTTTACTTTAAAGGGACAGGTGTATGTAACTTTAATGTCACCCTCAGAATCACCAAAAAGTACCCTGGCAATCAGTGGAAAGGTTTAATAGGTTTTCTGTCTTGTTCTTAATTTGCTGAAATTACAAAATCAATACTTTCAGTTGTAGCTGCAGTTACCCGTTTTACTGCTTTAAGATAAAGTCTACAAGAAAGTAACCTTCACTTTCAATTTGTAGCTCAGAACATCAGGTTGTTCTTGGCCACTACTTAAGTAGCTTGTTCGCTGCCATCCTGTATAAGATATTCCAAATGTGTTGTGGTTCCATTTCCAAGGAGATACATACTAAAAGGAACTGTAATTAATATAGAACACAAAGGAATTCCAAGTTTTATACTTTCCCCTTTCCCTTTTCTCTTTACAACATACTGATGTCTCTTTATTTCTTTAGCTTAAACTCATCGAATAATTGCTGTAATTCACAACTCTGGATCTTACACTGGCATCAAATCACTCACAAATCATCAAACACTCTCCACCCAAATAAGAAATAGTTTCATACTCTCTGAACTGTCCTACCTCTAGAATATCTGTAGCAAGGGCACATTCCTGCCACTTTTGAGATAAGGAAATTCTCCCCAGCTACAGTCAGGTTAACTCAAAGTAGACAACTAAATACGTTTCTAAGATTTTAGTTTGAAAACATGATAAATCAGTCACTTTAAAATGTCAAAGGAACTGAAAGTGACAAAAGGATTTTGAATATTAAAGCTATAAATGTTTTCTCATTGTAATAAGTGTCAATAAACATGGGCAAAATTGCTACTGAAACAGGTTTTAGAAGGTATGTCACCTAGTCCTCCATGTACACACTGTTGTTTCATATAAAACCCACATTCCATGTACTTGAAGAAGGGTGAGAATTTGAAATGACCTTTTTTCAGTCCCAAAATCCAGAAGAGTACTATTCCAGTCTATGCAGTGGAAAAGAAACAAATTCCAGATACAGGTTGAGTATCCCAAATTTGGAAACCTGAAATCCAAAATACTCCAAACTCCAAAACTTTTTGAGTGCTTAAATGACACTTAAAAGAACATGACCATGGGAGCATTTCAGATTTCTGATTTTAAGGTTAGGGGCATTCAACTGGTAAGTATATAATCAAAATATCCAAAATCCTAAAAAATTTGAATTCTCAATCACTTCTGGCCCCAAACTTTCTCATAAGTTATACTTGACCTGTAGTGGTGAATATCCTTTCACTTTTGTTTTTATGGTACCTCATGTGTTTTACTCTCAACATCCTGGCTGCAAACACCTAAGGTTTTGCTGCTTGATCATCTCAAGACCACTATGTTTGAGTTACAGTAGTAGCAATCACATTCTATTTTAATCTATCTGTTTACATCCCTATCTGTTCTGATAGACTATAGCTTTTTGAGGGAACTAATTTCTTATTCATCTAGTACAGACCTTATTCAATACAAGGTACTCAGTATACTCTCTAGAATGAATAAAATGAAAAAAAGGAAATTTGAATTTAAATTGAAGGCATGACAAACTTCTGGCAAACTTAACATATGAGAGGTAATAACAATTTTAAGTTTGCCACTTCTAAGATTCACAGGATTCTATGTAAGAAGGGGAAAAGAAAGCTCTGTCATAGAATACATAATACAGGCAAATCACTTCTACCATATTGTAATAGTTTGGACAATGTTTCTCAACCTACGGTTTGTGAGCAATTAGTAGGTCATGAAAATGATTAAGTCAGCACTGAAGAGCATTATTTGTCTTAATAAAATGGATTGAAACGGAATAAAACAGGATAGAAATGAATAGAATAATAATTAGAGTATATGTAGTCAAAATAATTATTTTATAAAAAACTTGTAATTAACTATATATTTGTGTATATACTGTGTTGCAATTTAAAATGCTTTTTTTTTTTTTTTTGAGACGGAGTGTCACTCTGTCTCCCAGACTGGAGTGCAAGTGGCACGATCTCAGCTCACTGCAAGCTCCACCTCCCGGGTTCATGCCATTCTCCTGCCTCAGCCTCCCTAGTAGCTGGGACTACAGGGGCCCGCCACCATACCCGGCTAATTTTTTGTATTTTTAGTAGAGATGGGGTTTCACCGTGTTAGCCAGGATAGTCTTGATCTCCTGACCTCATGATCAGCCTGCCTCGGCCTCCCAAAGTGCTGGGATTACAGGCGTGAGCCACCACACCCAGCCTTAAATTGTATTTTTAACTGAGAGTATTGGTCAAAAAACCTTGAAAAAACACAGTTGGAATATGAGTCTGGCTACTCCACCAGACTCTAAAACTAATTTTGGTTTAGACAAAATTTATCATTTAGATGATTTCTCTCTCATCTAGAGATCCTGATATAAATCGACTAGGCTGGCATCTCCATGGGATCAGTGCCTGTGCTCCTCCTGCCTTGTTGTCCTAGAAGAGTCCCCTCATCCATGTGATCCAAGAAGGCTTACTTCCATGTCCCACATTTTAATAATTGAAAGAGAAGAAAAAGCCAGCCTCGGCAGCATAGTGAAACCCTATCTCTAAAAATAAATAAATAAATAAATAAATTTAATTTGCCAGGTGTGTCGGCACACACCTGTGGTCCCAACTACTCAGGCAGGTGAGGTAGGAGGATCACTTGAGCCTGGAAGTTCGAGGCTGCAGTTAATCATGATGACGCCACTGGACTCCAGCCTGGGCAACAGAACAAGACACTTTCTCAAGTAAAAAGCTGCAAATAAAAGGGCGTGACTCAGAAATTGTCCATAGCTCTTTGCCCATGTCAAATGCTATGTACTTAGTTCCAGGAGAGATTGAAAAATATTATCTGCTTTCTGAATAGCCATTATACAAGGCTAAAAACCTAAGGTTCAATTACTATCTAAGAAGGAGAGAATGAAAGGTGTGGACAAATTGCAGTCCTGGCACATATTTAATAAACTTGAAAGAAGGACCTAATACACATCAGATTTCACTATAATGCAACCGGCTTCATCAGCCTTGAAATACAAGTCTAGGCTTCCTCTTCTCTTTTAATCTCCTGATAAATTTTTATGAAGAATATCATATATTGGTAAGCAGCCTCCAAAATGAGCCTCAGTGGTCCCCACCTTGTGATATTTACACTCTTGTGTATTCTCCTCCCATTGAGTGAAGGCTGGACGTGGAATCACGACTCATTTATGGCCAATAAAGAATGGCAGAAGTGATGCTATATCACTTCTAAGATTAGGTAAGAACAAAAGCACAGAAGCTTCTGGTTTGGTTGTTCTTTTGCTCGCTCTCTAGGTCTCTCATCATTCATTCTTAGAAATCCCCGCCATGAACAGCACCAATGGAGAGGCTTCATGGTGAGTAACTGATGCTTCCTGCCAACAGCTGTATGAGTAAGCTTAGAAACAGATTCCCCAGCCCCAGCCAAGTCTCCAGAGACTGCAACCTCATGAGACACTCTGAGCCAGAGCCACTAGCTAAGCTGCACCCACATTCCTAACTCTCACATATTGAGATAACATTTTCAAATTTTCCAGAGATTTCACAAAATGAATCCTAGTTTTGCAAAGGAAAACCAGAGACCACAATCAAAAACAATAACAAAATAAGTTGAGGACCCACAACTCTAAGGAGCTGAAAATACTCTTCTTTGGAAAATACAAAACTTGATTATGTAAAACATATAGATTAATTTACTTTCTAAATACGAATTCTGACTACACGTGGATACAAACCAATATTTATCCTATACATGCGTGGGTGTGTTTTAATCAAACCTTTAGACCTCAAATAATTCAACAGGGGTATACACACCTGTTATTATCTTCACTTTGGAGGAGGGAGTATAAAAAGGCCTGTACTAGGTTGGATAACACTGCACTCAGCACTATTGCTGTCTTATAAATTACATTATTTTAACTACAAAGCTAGATATACAGAGTATACTGATTTTGGATTATTATATGCTTTTGAGTCAGTAGAATATAACCACACATTTCTTCTCTAAAAAACAATATTTCCTTTGAAATAATCAGATATTATCTGTGGATAATTGTCTATTGTTACTTGGACTCTATTCTCTCTTCTTTTTATATATTTTCTAATACCACAAGGACTAGAGAGCCAAGGACTGTATCAAGACTTCCTTAAACTATGATTCTACCAAATACATGCATACATACCTATTTGTAAGGCACAGTAAGGCGAAAGCCATTGTATTAGTTTTTAACTTCTGCGTAACAAATTACTACAAATTGAGTAGCTTAACACAACACAAATGTATTATCTCATAGTTTCTGTGAGTACTGTTTAGCTAGGTTCTCTGTTCAGCATCTCAGCATGCTGAAATCCTGCTAACTACATACAACGCCCATAGATAAGAATGACACACACATATATGTATAGACAATTGAGGAAAATATGTCTTATAAAATAGTAGTACTGAATAAACACACAAAATACTTGATTCCAGAAAAAAAGAGATTACTCAGGAAACAAAGATGAATTGTAATCCATGTCCTCAGAGAAATTCAATAAAATTTTTTTTATAAAACAATAATGATGAACTGCTATGTAAAAGGACCAAATAGAGGACAAAACTTAGGCTTTGAAAAAGAAAAATAAGACTGTCAAAATTATGAAAATAAAAAACCCAAATATATGGGCTTAATAATACAATGCTATCTGACTAAGAACCAAGTTACTAATTTTCAAGATAAAGTCGAAGAAATTCCCATAATGTAGAAAAATAAAAAGAAACAGAGATAAAAAATATTTTAGAATGTAAAGGAACATATACTACACATACTGCATATACGTACACTTTATTTGTACTTTCCTATCTAAATTCATGCCTTGTGTCATAGTTTTTTTGTGGCATACTTCTTAACTTCCTATTGTAAAATAAATGAATCATAGACAAGACTATATCTCTTTTTTAACTATTTACCTATTTAAATTTTATGAAGTGCTAGATAAAAGTATGGCTTTGTGAGGTATCAATGATTGACAAAGAAGAGCTATAAGAAAAAAAGTGCTTTAAATTTGAGAGTGTTGACACACATGGGCTAGATTATTCTGCCAAAAATTTATAGCTGTTTAGATGTGACAAAACTCAATGTGTCCTCGAGATATATAAGACCAGAGTCTCTAAACACACAGTCCAGGCAAACCATAAAGTTTTGATGGGCAACTTTAAAGACTGGAAGTAGTTGTATGGACTGACAACATTTGTTTGGGACTTGGCGAAGACAGCACTAAAAATACACTTAGAATACAGCTTGGTTTGTTGTGCTACAAAACCCAGAAGAAAAGCAAGTAGCAACGGCAAAAATTTTTTATTGCATTTGAAGCAAATACTGACTAAGTCATCCAATCCTGATAAGATTAAAGTCACTTATTTAGACTTGGGTTTAAAAAAAGTCAAATCATTTGTCTACAAAATAAACAAGTGGCAACCAACTCAATGAAATGACCATCATTCCAGTTTGTTGAGATCGGTCCGTTCGTGTTTTTAGCACACAACTCGGCAGATTCAGAACCCCAAATCTATATTTAATTCAAATATCTTATCATTGCCCCAAGACTTTTCAACAACCTCACTGATATTTAAATAAATAGGGCAAAAGTTACTATGTACCAGAAGTACTTCAATGTTTCAAAAGAAATAATAATTCCAGGAATGTTTTTTGTTTAATTCATGGAAAATAATTTTTAAAAAACACACCCCTTCCTTCCATCTTAAAAGAGTAAGTAGAAGTGTGCATTTCAGTTTAATTTATATTTAGGAAAATACACAATAAAATTAACAAACATGAATGAAAAATAGACTTAAACAATGGAATATAAATTTTCAACCTGAATCAAAATGACTACTTATTTTTAAAATGATTGTTTTATCTATTGTTCATTTCTTGGTCCATTTATGGTCACGGTGCACAGGGATTACCAGCATCCTGGTAGAAAAGAGAATCCAAATCAGACAATCAAAGAGACTTTAAAGAAGGACCTATTAACAGAGATGTGGTTGAGTGTAGGAGAACAAAGAAGAGCTGTTAAGCCAGCCTAGACCTGAAAAAGCAAGGGGAGGAAAGAGTTACTGGAGCCCCATGGGAATGGGAGGCATGGAGGACAGGCTACTTAGGAGGCGCTGCAGCCCTGCAGTCACGGAGGGAGAGTCAATACCAGAATCTGCAGCCCAGGCAGGAGGGGGCAGAGGAAAAGTACTCGGCCTCTCCCTAGACCCTCTCCCGCTCTCATCTCTTGCTGGTACCTCCTGTTAGCTGAAAATAACCACAATCCAGGAGGTAATAAAAACTGGTGATGTAAAAAAGGTGTCATACTCCCAGGGAACAACACACACTAGGGAAGAGTGAAGACAGAACTTAGAGGTCCAAGAAGGGGAGACAGAATCACCAGCACAATATCACTTCTGTTTTTTTTTGCTTGTTTGTTTGAGACTAAGTCTAGCTCTGCCACTTGGGCTGGAGTGCAGTGGCACCATCTCAGCTCACTGCAGCCTCCACTTCCCGGGATCAAGTGATTCTTGGTGATTCTTGTGCCTCAGCCCCCGAGTAGCTGGGATTACAGGCACATGCCATTACACCCAGATAATTTTAGAGACAGGGTTTCACCATGTTGTCCAGACTTGTCTTGAACTCCTGAGCTCAGGCAATCTACCCACCTCGGTCTTCCAAAGTGCTAGGATTACAGGTGTGAGCCACAGTGCCTGGCCCAATACCACTTCTTGATGAATGTGAGTTCTAATATACAATAGAGCAGATGGTAGCAAATGCTGACTCTGCCACTTAGTAGTTTTGGAGATTAGGCCAATCCACTTTCTTTTCTGACATCCAGTTTTCTTTCATAAAGATATATGCAAAATTGTTGCATTGTTGAGCAAAGAATTTTAAAATTTTCCTAATTTTAACTTTGAGGGGTGAATATAAAAATGAAAGTAAATACTGAACATCTGGTGTTGAAAACAAAACAACGAGGAAGATGAAAAATGATCTATAGATGGAATTAGTAGAAGGAAGCACAACTTTGTCACCACTTGACAGACAACAGGTCATCAATGAGTCCATCATTTACACTCAAACACACTGATGTAACTCCTGGAAGACAGCAAAAGTTATGCCTACTGAGGGTGTATTATGTACCAGATGCAGGGCAAAGGTTTTACATACTATACTCATATTGTTTACATGGTTTATATTATTCATATTTTCTCTTTCAGTTTTCATTTGTAATATCATTCACTCATCTATTCACTAGCCATGTCATCAACATTCAGTTTGAACTAGACCCTGTGCTATTTTTCTATGACACGTCAATGAAAAAAGACATTATTTGTCACTTGAGGACCTCTTACAGGTAGAGACTAACTTATAGTTGCAAGAGAAAGATGTCTGCATTTGTCAATAAATTATCTTTCAACAGTGTCAAGTAAATGTTAACATAAAATTCTGGTTCTGTTATCCACATTTAAACACGCTTTGTTTGTTTTTTCTACCTCCTTGGAATTTTTTTCTGTAAGCTATCAAACTCACAGAATGTATGGGTATATAAGCAACAAGAGGCTTTTTATTCTGTAGGTTCTCTTATTGACATAATGGTCCAGTTTATTGCAGCTTCTAGGATACTTTTTTCATAACTTTTAGAAAACCCAAAAGATCACATGGAAGTCTCATTACTTAAAAAAAAAAAGAGAGAGAAAATATTTCAAACAATCTAGATTATTTTAGCCTAGCATTAAAATGAGCTCTCAGATGGAAATATATTTTCTTTCATTAGAAATAGCATTTCCTAGAAAGCATCATAACTTTTTCCTCATTATGATGATTTTAAAGAGTTGCCATCTGACATATACAAATCAAATTTATATGTATGATCAACTGGGATTATTAAGTTGCCAATATAATAAAACTCTAAATAAATCATTGATCTTTTGACAAGCACTGCATTTCCTGTGTTTGTTGGTTTCATTTCATGTTATCGTTTGTCTCAATTTGCTTAGTTGGGAAAATACAGACGTGTGCTCTTTGACATTTTTTTTCTGAGACAAAGTATTGCTCTGTTGCCCAGGCTGGAGCACAGTGGCACGATTTTGACTTACTGCAACCTACACCCCCTGGGCTCAAGCAAACCTCCTGGCTTAGCCCCCAAAGGAGCTGGGACCAGAGGTGTATGCCACCAGGCTCAGCTAATTTTTTTGTTTTCTTTCTTTTATATTTTTTTGTAGATACAGGGTTTCACCATGTTGCCCAAGCTGATCTTGAACTCCTGGGTTCAAACGATCCATCCTCCTTGGCCCCTCAAAGTGCTGGGATTACAGGCATGAGCCACCATGCCAGTTCTTGACACATTTTTAATAATAAATATTTTCATAAATTTTAATTTTCAAAAGTTTGAATTCCTGGAACCTAAAAAAGCAAACAAAATTCATCTGAGCAATTTGATCTTGATCAAATGAGATAGTAAACTGATAATCAAAATCTCTGCTGGACCAATACCTACATGTATGGATAAACAAGGCCCAGCAAGGGATATAATATTACATAACTTCAATAAAGGGGCACTATACTGAACAAAATAATGACCTTGGAGTATGTAACACTTTAGTCTAGAAGCAGCATTGACTAGCACAGATCAGAAACTGTATAGTATATTCATTTTAATTAATTAATATGTTTATTTATTTTGAGACAGAGTCTTGCTCTGTTGCCCAGGCTAGAGTGCAGAGATGCGATCTCTGCTTACCGAGGCCTTGACCTTCCCAGGCTCAAGTGATTCTCCCACCTCAGCCTCCCTAGTAACTGAGACTACAGGCACATGCCACCAAGCATGGCTAATTTTTGTGTTTTTTGTAGAGATAGCGTGTTTCCATGTTGTCCTGGCTGGTCTCAAACTCTTGGACTCAAGCAATCTGCCCACGTTGGCCTCCCAAATTGCTGAGATTACAGGTGTGAGCCATCACACCAGTAATTTATTTATAATACACATTATTTTTGAGATGATTTGGGGCTGCGAGATTTATTATTCCCATGAAGGCTGAGCCAACAGCGCCCACAGTGCAGCAGTTCTTGCCCCCTACTGTTCAGTCCAGTCTTGAAAAACTGGCATTCTACCTTGAATTCCTTATATGTATAACATTTGACAAGGTAACATCATCTGGAGCTACAACACCAACATTCTTGTCAACACTACTCTCATGCTATTTTCCATATTTTAGTCATTATTGCCATCACTAGTACCAAATTTCAGCTTAGATATCCCTCTTTCATGCCTTGCTCAGGACTGCCTCCTGAGGGTGTTATGCCCTCTATTCTGTAGAAATTTGACAAAAAAAAAAAAAAAAAAAAAATGGGCTGAGTGCATTTAACTGCTGGTTGATGAAGACTCAGTGATTAGGGCCATTTCCCCAGTACCATTTTCTGCGTGATTTTGGCTTCCCTCTGCATCATAGTTCCCAACTTGTCTTGTTCAAATTATGAAAACATTAAGCACTATATCAGACTTGATAGTGTTTATAAATGCAAAAAAAGTGGGAAAAAAAATCTATATTTATGTGGAATCAAAAAAGAACTCAAATAACCAAGGCAATCTTAAGCAAAAAGAACAAAGCTGGAGATATCACACTACCTGATTTCAGACTATACTACAAGGCTACAGTAATCAAAACAGCAAGCTGCTGGTACAGAAACAGACACACAGATCAATGGAACAGGTTAGCGAACCCAGAAATAAAGCCATGCACCTATAATCATCTGACCTTTGACAGAATCAACAATAACAAGAAATGGAGAGAGGACTTACTGAATAAATGGTGGTGGGATAACTGGCCAGCCATATGTGGAACATTAAAACTGGACTCCTTCCTTTTACAATATACAAAAATCAACTTAAGATTGATTAAACACTTAAATATAAAACCTAAAACTATAAAAACCCCAGGAGAAAATCTAGGAAATACCATTCTGGACATAGGCCCTGATAAAGTTTTCATGATGAAGACTACAAAAACAATTGCAACAAAAACAAAAATTGACAAATGGGACCTAATTGAACAAAAACTCTTCTGCACAGCAAGAGAAGCTCAACAGAGGAAACAGACAACCTATAGAATGAGAGAAAATATTCACAAACTATGCATCTGACAAAGGTCTTATTATCCAGAATCTATAAGAAACTTAAATCAAAAAGAAAAAAAAACAAATATCCCCATTAAAAAATGAGCAAAAGCCATGAGAAGACATTTCTCAAAAGAAGACATACATGCGGCCAACAAGCATACGAAAAAATGCTCGTCACTAATTATTAGAGAGATACAAATCAAAACCACAATGTGATATCATCTCATACCAGTCAGAATTGCTATTACTAAAAAGTCAAAAAATAGCAGATGCTGGTGATGTTGCAGAGAAAAGGGAACACTTAATACACTGCTGGTGGGAATGTAAATTAGTTCAGCCACTGTGGAAAGCGGTTTGGTGATTTCTCAAAGAACTTAAAACAGAATTACCATTTGACCTAGCAATCCCATTACTAGGTATATACCTGAAGGAGTATAAATCATTTTATCATAAAGACACATGCTTGTGTATGTTCATCACAGCACTTTTCATAATAGCAAAGACATGGAATCAACCTAAATGCCCTTCAAAGGTGGAATGGATAAACAAAATGAAGTGCATATACACCCAGGAATACTATGCAGTTATAAAAAAGAATGAAATCATGTCCTTTGCAACAACATGGATGGAGCTGGAGGCCATTGTCCTAAGCAAATTAATGCAAAAACAGAAAAACAAACATTACATTTCTCACTTACAAGTGGGAACTAAACAAAGAGTACACATGGACACTGAGAAGGGAACAATAGACACGGAGCCAATTTGAGAGTACAGAGATGGAGGAGGGTAAGGACCAAAAAACTACTTATCAGGTACTATGCTCCCTGCTTGGGTGACGAAGTCATTTGTACACCAAACTGCAGCAACATGCAGTTTATCAATGAAACAAACCCACACATCACTCCCTGAACCTAAAATAAAACTTGGAGGGAAAAAACGTTTGAAAAATCAGATACCATAACTGATATAGGAACAGTCTTTAAATGAATTGAGAATATGATTGTAAAACCAGACATTCAGGAACTTTCATATGGGTTCTCTTTTAAGCTGTTTTAATGCTTGTTATCATAAATCACCTCCCTCCCATTCACCTCCACTGGCATCTAATGCACGATCTGTGCTCTGCTCTCTGCATCTCCCTTCCCTTGACCCCACTGAATTATGGAGCCTTTGTTCACATCTACCCTCTGCTCCGTGCAGGGAGTTCTTACTATTTCCAGAAATATTTTTTATTTTTTCCACAAATAAGAATTGGCAACTGTTTTTTTAATATTTCATACTCTGTAAAATTTTAAAAATGTTTTTGGAACACACATTAAGCACTAGAAATTATGCTAATCACTGAGTTGCAATGGAAAGGTGAAAAACATTAGGTCATAATCTGTCTTCAAGAAGCTCATAATCTGGCCAGGCGGGGTGGCTCATGCCTATAATCCCAGCCCTTTGGGAAGCCACAGCGGGTGGATTACCTGAGGTCAGGAAGTTGAGACCAGCCTGGCCAACATGGCGAAAACCCGTCTCTACTAAAAATACAAAAAATTAGCTGGGCATGGTGGTGGGTACCTGTAATCTCAGCTACTTGGGAGGCTGAGGCAGGAGAATCACTTGAACCTGGGAGGCAGAGGTTGCAGTGAGCTGAGATTGCACCATTGCACTCCAGCCTGGCTGACAGAGAGCAACTCTGTCTCAAAAAAAAAAAAAAAAAGTTAATAATCTAATTGAGGAAAGAAAACACGAAAATAAATAACAATAAATTTTTCATTTGTATTTAAGATAATACTAGAAATTATCAAAAGGCTCTACAAAGTAATCTCTTCAATGAATTAGAGAATAACTGTTTTGATTGTTTAGATAAGCATAGATGGTAGGTAGGCAGGGAAAAGAATATTCTGGTACATGTAATATTACAAGTGCAAGTCATGAGAGAGATGAGCAGAGGGACCACCAT
The DNA here is from genome assembly GCF_000001405.40 of Homo sapiens. NCBI lineage: Eukaryota > Metazoa > Chordata > Mammalia > Primates > Hominidae > Homo > Homo sapiens. Next base: position 75,689,582 of record NC_000008.11, on the reverse strand, counting down.
GTGAGTCACATCTTTACTGAAAAAAAATCACTTGGTGAAGAAAAAAGCTGGAGTGAGGCTGGAATGAATACAAGGTTCAAATTATTCAGGACCTTAAATAACAAGCCATCTTACCTTCATCTTACAGGCAATTAAAAGCCATGGAACCTCTTAGAAATAGATAGTACTATGATTATTAATCTAGTGATGGTATAAAGAACAGCGTAAAACTAGCAGGGAGGCAAGCTGGGAGGCTACTGCATGCATTGAATTCTAGGGTGCAATGATAACTTCTAGGACCAACATAGCAGCAGTGGGAAGAGAAAAATGAGCTATTTTCAAGTAATAATCAATTACAATTTAATTTATTCATCCCGAAAGAAGAGGAAACATGGGAGTCAAAAATGATCCTAAGACTTTTGAGTTGGGAGAATGATAGGGTCTTTGGGGCTGGTTTTGCAAAGCCATTTGGAGGAAAAACATGAATAGAGTCTTAAGTAAATATAGATATTCAGTGTGAAATGTAATATGTGAAAAGTTTAGAAATGCAGGTCCAGAGTTTAGGAGACACGCAGGGTCTGTAGGTACGTGTTTTGGAGTGACAGCACAGGGTGCTATTTGAAACTACAAGATGACAAGTTGGAAACTCTAAGGGAGAGGACGTATAGAGAAATGAGAAGATGTGTCACAATCAGTGCAAGGCAATACTCAATATGTGTTTTGTGATGATCATGATGCCACATGCTGAACAAACAAACCTCTGAACAAATAGTTTACAGTAGAAACTCTGACAAGCTCCTGGTCTCTGCTAGCACAGAGATGCCTACCTAGGAAGATAACAGATGATTTACTGTAGTATACATGATTTTGCAAAGTTAGTGTGGTATATTGCATTCTAGCTATGGAACTTGGAGCTTCTAATGAAAACATGAGAAATTATCAAATTCAAATGTATAATATATGGTTTTCTACATGAGGCAGATAACCTAATATTGTAACCATCATTGTAAAATATGTAACTGAAATAAATACTATATTGATTTCCAAAAATTCTTTACTTTTATAAGTATGTCATGTGATAGCAATGGCACCATTATCTCCTGAAATGTTAGGTTGAATCAGGTGAAAATTTGAAGACCCGAAATAGTCAAATATTGGCAATTTTACATGGCTCCCCCTATAATTTAAATATATATCCTTACAGATTTCTACATTTTAAAATTCAAATTAAAATATTAAAATAAGCCAGTGGAAACTTCCTGGTTTTATTTGATTTGATTTACAGATACTCTTTTTGCAACTGGTACTTAAATCTGAAGAAAATAGAATTTTCTGCAAAATAAATTATATTTATTTATAAGCATGTGAAAAAGTCATACAATAGTTATTGTATTATAGAACAAAATAAGATGAAAATGTAATAATTATCTGACAATTTTGTCAAACTACACAATTTAACAAGTAGAAAAACAAAGAAATACAACTTTGTCCACTTAACATTGTGTCTACATTGATCCTATTAATAAGATAATTACCAAACTCTCTTTTACTTTACACTTTGTGGAAACAAGGCCAGTTTATTTAAATGTATTAAAATGCTAAACAAAGAACACAAAAACTGCTTCTAAAATATTGATCTATTTTTAAAGTAAATTAGACAGCTCACCATCATGAAGCTCAGTACAAAACGGATTTTCTTCTTTCAGGGCAGACACTATCATAATGTACTTGCTAAATGCATGCATTCAATATAAGAAAATTATGGTAATGTGACATTCCTACTACATGATGGAATATTCTTTTAGATAGTGAAACATATTAATAACACATAAGATAGAGTTCTTTTTGGTTTTTGACATTTAGATCCAAAATTTTCAAAGCTTGTCCTTATTACTTACGTATACAGTAAGTATTAACCACACCACACATACACACAAATGCCTCTTAGCCTTTGCCTCAGTAGACTTTTACATAATCAACAGGTGATCACAATTTTCCAACCCCTTTTAAAGCAAAGTCTTTAAATTAAAGTAAATAAAAACAGACCAGGCAAGTTGGTTCATGCCTATAATCCCATCACTTTGAGAGGCCAAGGAGGGTGGATCACTAGAGGTCAGGAGTTTGAGTTCAGCCTGGCCAACATGGTGAAACCCTGTCTCTACTAAAACTACAAAAAAATTAGCCAGGCATGATGGTGTGTACCTGTAATCCAAGCTACTCTGGAGGCTGAGGCACAAGAATCACTTAAGCCCGGAAGGAGGAGTTTGCAGTTAGCCGAGATCACGCCACTGCATTCCAGCCTGCTGGGTGACAGAGTGAGCAGAGTGAGACCCTGTTTCTCAAAAAAAATAAATAAAAAAAAATAAAAACATAAAACATTTCTTGTAAAATGATGTGTACTGACACAACCTTTTGAGGTAAGCCTGTTCTCCCTTGTGATAAAAGTACTTTGGATGAAAGGTAAGTTAAAGAGCTACTCAAAGCATAAAACATTGTTGACTCCTACGAAATGTGCAAAGTAACATTTATTAGAGATCTGTATGTGTGTTTGTGTATATTGATATGCAGACTCGGCTATTATATATACATGTATATGTTTGTGACTAAAGTGAAATAATGTTCTAAGAAAGTCATTGTGAAAGTTTTGTATCACAGTCTGAACTCTTTGAGAATGTCATGAATTCTTCAAATTCACTCCCCACAAGTAAGCCCATCTGCACACACATGCAGGATTTTGCATGTCATTGCAGGGACTCAATATGGCTCTGGAGTCTAATCACAAAACTCTGCAGCTGCTGCCTTCAAAATATTAAATCCAATACCCCTTCCAATTTTTTAACTATAATCTAATTTTTAGAATTGAAGTTTTCCATTTTTGAAGGCTAAGTTAAATAATATATCTCAAAATTCACTGCTTTTGATTCCAGGCATACCTTATTATCAGTATCAGTCACACACAGGACACAGTTTTAGGTACTAAGGGCAGCAATGCTGTGATTCAGTGACCTTATTGTCTTTGTAGATTTGTTTTAGATGCCATTGTTACTTTTTAAAAGAAAATGTAGAATTGCCCTATGTAAATAAATAAAGTACTCATCATTAATATTTATTTGAAACTATAAAGAGACAGCTATGGTACAATGACACAGAGCCCCAACTTAGAAGTTAGACTACCTGGATTTGGATCTCATCTCTCCCAGTTACTAGGTTAATTGGTAAGTCACTTCACTTGTCAGTGCCTCAGTATCGTGTCTTCCAGCCATGAATAATACCAATCATAAGCATGTTAAGCATAAAGAAATACTCATAAAACACTTAAAACCAAGCCTGGAACTTACAAACATCAATGATGAGATGCTATTACTATTTGCAGTGTCTGTGTTTTAAGGTATTGATATAACTGCTGCTCTGTGTCTTCTTTCTGTTCATCTTCTGGATTTCCTTTTTTGTATTTTATTGCATATTATTGCTTTAATTTATAGATTATTAAAAGTTCCACTTGTAGTGAGTGGAGTGAACAGGGATTTGTTTGTTTTGCCAAGTATTATGCCACCATGAAGGGAACATGAACTTGATATAATGATACTAATAATTAGCATTACTATAAGACAATATTCAACTACAAAATGTGGTAAGATGAATTGCAGGTCATATGCCTACGTTTTCCCCAAAAAATAGATATATGCTTTATATCAAAACAAGAAAGACACTCTCAGCCAGAAAACTGTGATGTTTAAGTTTTCTTTAACTGATTCTTGAATTTAAGTCATTAGAAATGTTAATAATGCCTTATGCAATCATTTGATGATAGCTTGAAATTGGCTACTGGCTTTTGGTAATTGACTTACTATTATAAAAACTTCAAAAAAATGCTGCCTTGAATTTTGTTGTAGATTTCATATGATTGATTAGCACAATATGGAATACAATTATTCTAGTGCCAAACAATTTGGCTCAAAGAATAAACTAGGAACATGGTGCAATAAAAACCAATCTATAAACTAGCTTTAATTTTCATTAAAAAAAATTGGAAATGCCATGGTTTATAGCATAGGAGCACATATATTTTCCCAAAAAGTGGTATAAAGAGGGAACTATACTGGAAGATTAGAATAGTATAACCAGTCATATCTTATTTTTCTTGGCAAGAAATTCATTTTTCTAAATCTCAACTTAACGCTTTCTATCATAAAACAAGGTGATTTGGCTAGGCTTGGATAGCAAATAGGGCCCTGTATTAGTCCGTTTTCACACTGCTGTAAAGAACTATCTGAGACTGGGTAATTTATGAAGAAAAGAGGTTTAATTGACTCACAGTTCTGCATGGCTGGGGAGGCCTCAGGAAACTTACAATCGTGGCAGAGGGCGAATGGGAAGCAAGGCACATCTTCCCATGGTGACGCAGGTGAGAGAAGGGGGAGGTGCCATACACTTTTAAATAATCAGATTTCATGAGAACTCACTCACTATCATGAGAACAGAGAGAAGGGAAATCCTCCCCAATGATCCAATCGCCTCCCACCAGGTCTCTCCCTTGACTCCTGGGGATTACAATTCGACATGAGATTTGGTTGGGGACACAGAGCCAAACCATATCAGGCCCAGTGCCAACCCTAAGCAATTAATGGTAACTTCCTGGAGCCCTGCTCTAAGACTTGTTATTAGACTCCCTCTCCATCTGGCTCTAGGGAGGAGGATGCCAGAGAAGAAAGTGGAAGCAGTAGTAGCCCACATGTCTTGTTTTTACTACTGTGGAATTATATAAATAAATAAGCTTCTTTGTACATCTTAAAAAAGTATTAATCTCTTATGGTTCCCATTAAAGTAACTTATAACAATACTTTCTGGTATATCTTTTTCTGAAACTCATTTTTTTAATAAATAAATTTGGCATTCACCTGAAATGTATTTGACCTGATAAAGGAATAAGTACAATATAATTCAGTTTTTTAAAACACAATCTCTTTTTACACATAAAAAATCCATATTATCCAATATGACTTGGTTTATATCACATAAGAAATAAATGTTTTATGCTTAGAAAATTGTTTGCTTCACAAATTGACATCTGTTTCTCCATAAATAACAGAGCATAAATTAATGTGGGTTATGGATAGACTAGAAATGCTGCTGTCTTAGTAGCTTCTTGAGAAGAGAGGCCATGTCTTAACTTTGGGTCCCTTCCTGGAGCCTGACACATAAATGGTATTTAATAAACATGGACAAAATTATCCTGTCTTACTGTATCCATTCAGTACATTATTCAGTTCAAACATTCATTGAATACTCATTTATTCAGCAGTGTTGGATGCTCACATAAAAGTTTTGATTTGGTTTTCTTCATTCAGTTATTTACCTCTTAAAGTCATTCTTATAGTTAAAAATTTATTTATAAAATATCTTGCCCATGTTGTGATCTAGTTGTTGGCTGTAGGACACAATGGAGTGAATCTTACGTTACAAGGCCATCTGGCCTGTAGCTCAATTTGCACCCTATTTTAGTGGAGAGTACAGACTGGATTCCCCAAGATGCAGGCTTGAAGATGGAGATTAGTGTGCGAGAGGTTTATCAGCAAATGCCCTAGTGTTCATCTCTGTGAAAGAGAAAGCAAACAGCAATCCCACTCCTGGGTCTCTGCCCAAAGGAAGTCTTTATATCAAAAAGATACCTGCATGTGCATGTTTATTGCAGCACGATTTACAATTGCAAAGATTTGGAATCAACCTAAGTGCCCATCACCTGATGAATGGATAAAGAAAATGTGGTATACATATATACATACATACATACACACACACAGACACACACAAACACACACACACACACACACACACCATGGAATACTACTCAGCCATAAAAAGGAACAAAATAATATCTTTTGCAGCAACTTGGGTGGAACTGGAAGCCATTATCCTAAGTGAAGTAATTCAAGAATGAAAAACTACTGCACATTCTCACTTATAAGTGGGAGCTAAGCTATGGGTATGCAAATACATATAGAGTGGAATAATGAACGATCAGATTTCATGAGAACTCACTCACTGTCATGAGAACAGCAAGAAGGGACATCCTCCCCCATGATCCAATCACCTCCCACCAGACCTCTCCCTTGACTCCTGGGGATTACAATTCGACATGAGATTTGGTTGGGGACACAGAGCCAAACCACATCAGGCCCAATGCCAGCCCTAAGCAATTAATGGTAGCTTCCTGGAGCCCTGCTCTAAGACTTGTTATTAGACTCCCTCTCCATCTGGCTCTAGGGAGACGGATGCCATGCAAGAAAGTGGAAGCAGTAATGGCCCACATGTCCTGTTTTTACTACTGTGGGATTATATAAATAAATTAGCTTCTTTGTAGACCTTCAAAAAGTATTAGAGATGCAGAAAAAGTATTGGAGAGTCAGAAGCGGGGAGGTTTGGAGAGGGAGAGAGATAAAAAATTACCTATTGGATGCAATATACGCTATATTTGAGTGATGGGCATAGTGAAAGCCCAGACTTCACCACTATACAATTCATCCATGTAACCAAAAACCACTTATAGCCCTAAAGCTATTGAAATTTAAAAAATTAAAAAATTAGAAAGAAAGGAAGGAAGGAAGCAGCTCTGGGAGAGGGAGAATATGAACTGTGATGCAGTCTCAGTGGAGGTCTCAACTAGTTGTATGAGAAGTTCCGGAGCAGAGATAAAACTTGAGTTGTCTTAGATGGGGGCCAAGTTTCCCCCATGTTACTTATTAGACCTCTATCTCCCCAGAAAGGAAATGTGGCCTTGGGCCAGGAGCCTCTTTTTAGCACAAGCAATCTCCTTCGTGAGCTGGCACTGAAGCCTGTCCCAGGCAGCATTTGCAGCAGGAAAGGAAAAACGTGAAGGAGCTAGGGGCATGCATCACAGCATCTACCATAGTGAGTCAATATGCAGAGCTAGATCTCACTTTGTAGTGACCTCAAGCTTATTAGGACAGTGGCTGGCACTTTGATAGCCAATCTCTTAACCGAGATCACTCTATCATTGCTGTTGTTCTCTCTTAGGGATTGTCTAAGCACAAGACAGCATAGTCAAAAGACCATCAAATCATATTTTCAGCCATAATTTCTGAGAATTCTGAGAAAAAAGTAACATCAGCCATTAAATAGTGTAACAATCAATTTGCTAGTCTTAGTGCAAACTGTGGCTTGCATCAGGCCACATTACAAAGGGGCAGGGAGGAGTAAGGACCAAATTTGAGCCTATGTTCAACTTAGCAAGACTTGTCCTGGTGACAATCTGTGTCTGCACAGCAGAAGGGGTTGTCTTACTGCAATCTGGCTGCTACAGAGGCAGCATTTTCTAGCTTGTACAAAGGTGCTGTGTATTCTAGCAAGGGCTTGGTCCTTATTGCTTATTTTCACTTTCATCTGAACACTGAACACATGTATACCCCATTTAATTCCTCTTCTTTTCTCTTTCAGATGCTAACAATGATCATGTTGGCAGTGGTGAAAGAATTCCATTTCTGTGCTATCAGCCTAATGGGTTGCATATTGTAAAGAATCACTATATTTAACATATATATATATGAATCACATAATGGACTTATTTGTGCCACTACACAAAACAAACTAGAAGAAATATGATAGTGAAAATAAATATATTAATCAACTTAAGCACTCTGAATTATTGTTTGGTTTTTAGAACACCTTAAAATTTCCAATACTGAAATCCATAAAATTAAGAATTCATAAAGTAAAATTTTGCAGGAAAACATTAATATTATTTCTATTCATATTAAAAAGTAAACACTTTCATGAATTATACTAAATGTGTTCACATTTAATCACATTTACTGCCATAAATTTTAATCTGCATTTCCACTATTTGACATACTGCTGGCTGTATAAATAAATATAATACTAAGTAAATGATAATGATAACAAAATATCCCTGGAATTCTTCAAGTTTTTGTCTGGGTTCTCATTTGTTTACATATATGAAATTATACACAGAGACAACTCTTTTCCAGTTCTTCAATTCAAATCAAAGAGTATTTAGGTAACAGTGCCACCTATTGCTATAAAATTAAAGTAGCCCAATATGTTATCATTCCCCTCTTGTTTGATCCTATAATTCTTATTTTTCTGACTCCTTCTGTTTCTAAGTTTTCATTTTAATTGCAAAGAAATAGATAATTTCAAGTGCTTTAAATATATGAATGCATTAATAAAAACTACATTTAAAAAGAAATTTTATTGAAAAGTTTAAACATACTATGTTTGAAGAAGCAATATAAATATAAAATAATTTAGATCTGCTTTTTCGTTTGTTTTTGAAAACCAGCATTACAGTAAAGCATGCCGGAAATTTATAGTTTTAATTAAATTTCATATTATTATCTAGCATAAAGAATGTTTTATTTCACCTTTGAAAAATTATACTAAAATATTTTAAAATAGATTATTAGAAAAAGAAAATCCAATTTTTTTCTGTGATGAAAATTGTGAATTTCTTTTAAAAAATTGATTATAATATTAACTTGGTTTTACATAACAGTGCTGTCTTTAAATTGCAATAGTTGCATATTTCATTTCCATTTTGTAATAATAGAGTTCAAAATTCGCTATAAGCAAATATTCATATAAATTAATATCAAACATGTTTTCAATAAAATATTATATATGAATTTTTAATGTAACCAAGTTTCTAATATGTATAAAATATGTTAATTTACTTAACTAATTTTGAAAGACTACTGGATAATTTAGTTATATAAGATTACAGTTCTTAATTTTATATTAATTTTATATTGTGATATTTTTGATTCTTTATTGTATGTAAAAATAACTGCATATGGCTTTGTAAGTGATGAGGCTGTCTAAAAATGTAAAGGAAAGTTCTTGAATTATCCAGCAGCAAAGTCTCCAACGAAGTACAAGAAAAGCAGAATTTTCTTTATCTCCTTAAAAGGATTGTGATAGAAATTAACAATTGTAGAGTCTGGAATTTAAAGATACTTTAGGTTAGCAAAAGAAGAGTTGATTTTTAACATATGCCTCTCTGTCCTTAGGGATGATATCAAAAATCATGAATTTCTAAAACCTAATTATATAGATTATATGGTTTTTCAAATTACAATTACTGTAGGTTATATAAAATCATTGTAACTTAAACACAAAAGTCATTTCAACCTTTCAATTATATCTTTTAATTTTTATGTTAAATCACACTGAACTGTTTTGTTGATTGCATTTGTTTATATTAGAAATAGTAATATCTTAAGATCATCTCAAATTGTGCTATTTAAATTCAAAATAAGCATTATGAGTGCCATGTAAAGTCTAAGTATGTTGACCAATATTGAAGTAGTTTAATATCACTGAGTGACTAAATGCTTGTATAGTTGTGCATATGAAGATATTCAAGTTCAGTGAAAATATGGCCAATTACATATTTAGGAGAGCAGAAAATACATTGTTTTTTTATTCCTGGATCTTTAAATTATTTGTGCTGTGGGAAAAATGTAACAAAGTATCTTAGAGACCAGGAATTTTGTTCACAGCTATATCCACACTATTTAGCACAGTTCTTGGCACATAATACATGTTAAACTATTATTTATAAGAGGAAAAGAATAAATATGATTAAAAGTTGGCCTTAGAAAGATCAAAAACATTTTTTCTTAATTTTCCTCATGTATAATTACTCATTTGGTGCAACTGATTATTTTAAACACAATTTTCAGAAATATGTTGACTCTTAGAAGACAATATGTATTTTGAGGTAAAGAAAAAAAAATCGTAAAAGACCTGACTATAGTTTCAAAAATCCTTGTTTTACGTAACACAAAAAAAATTAAAAATTATTGTCAATTGATATCTTCACAAACTTTTAAAAATGCCTCATTTTTGGAAAGTAACATTATATTTCAACTAAAAATAGAAACAAATAAAATAAATAGAAAGTATGGGCAAAGAGCCTTGAAAATGTTCCAGACAACTATTTATAATACCCTAATCCAACTCTCTAATATGAAGCAGTGCATAAAAGCCACTGCTTATATGAAACATGTATTATTGTCAATAAAAGTAAAGAACACTAATAATATATATCAAAAGAAAAATAACTCGTTTGCTTGAGAAAAATAAGCTATTTTTCTCAAGCAACATTAGTCTATATAGCTGAACTTGATAATTATTAGAGTCTGAGTAATTTGGCTTATTTTGCACTGTGGAATTTAAAAACAAGTATTTTTTGTAAAGATCTTCAAGGACTTGAAAATTTAAATTTTGGAGTCATGGTCATCTATATAAGATTATCATAAGAGTATAATCCAACCTGGAGTAAAGGTAGAGAGAGGTGCACAATTAGGTCTAATATTTAATTATTTGGCCTGACATCGCATCCCCCACAAAATTTGCTAAGAATGCAGTCTAGGAATGCAAGTTAAAATGCAAAGATAAGATATACCCCAACAGCCAACATCATCAGTGCTTTAATGTCTCGGCTTCACTAGATCATTGCTTTAAATGAGCATCACGAAACCAATGGAGCTTTCGTCTCCACATTACCCTCTCCTCATAATCATTTTCAATTTATTTTTTTCTTGTGTGTCATCATTTTAATGTAGATCTTTCTTTTTCTTTTCAATAAAATGAAATGATTAAGTAATTCTGCCTTTTGCATGATTAAAGATGACGGATAAGCTTGGGTGGATAAAAATCAAGGCTCCTAAACAGAATCTGTGCACCTCACATGTCAGAATCCTTCTAGCTTGCTCACTGTTAATGACAGGAAAAATTAGCATGTCTGTGGATAGCCTAGGAAGAATCAGAAGATAAGGAAACTATATCATTCTTTTTACCAAAATTTAAATCGCTTTCATTTTTTTACTGTAATTAATCTCCAGCATAGAGAGTAGAAATTAAATTTATGTAAGTTCTAACCACAGTGTAGGTCATATAAAATTTTAAAAGTCAGTAGTTATTTAATAATTGTATAGTAAGTACACAGGCATCAGCGAATATAGGATAGAGAGAAAAAAGTAATGCAAGGACATTTACAGAATCATTGATGTCACAAAACATTGATTGTCGTAATAGTACTGCTGTAACCTTTTCTCCATAATGATTTAGGGAAAACACACACAAAAAAAACCCAATGATATTTACCACTTTATTTTTCACAACATCTTTATCTTGCATTTTTTCATAGTATTCTTAGACCTATCTATCGGAAAGAGACTATTACAAGAAAATACATATATATTGTCATTGTTTCTAGATATAAGAACTGAAATGATGCTAAAAATTGGGCTTTTGGCCTAGCAAAAAAAAAAAAAATGGAACATTTTTAGGGACTCATTCCTAGTTTCTTCATTCAGTCTTAGTTTTATAAAATGAAAACCATTATTTTCTAAGCAGAGGTCTGTGATCAGAGTAAAACTCCCACCGCATGCACTTCGCCAACCAGGATCATACACTATTTCCTGACCTAAGTTTTGTAGACATCTGTATCATGGTGGCTCTGTGTTCCTTTTTTGACAGAAGAAATTACTATTCTTTGAGTCTTTCCTTTTCTGAGTATGTTCTGGATGGCAAAATTAGGGCCACAAAATGCTAATTTCTAACCTAACACCATGACAGCAATCACAGCCGTCACAAGGATAGAATAAAGAGAGCAATCTAACATCCAGGGATATGAGTTTCTCATCAGTGGCTGGCAGACTGCCGTGAAGGCTTACAGTAATCCCATTGGACAACCCTGGTTGATGAAGCCTGGGAACAGGCAGCCACAATGTAGGGAGTTCACAATTGCAAGCATTTGTCCATAATTTAAAGCTATATGAGAAGTGGAGAGTATTCATCTGAACAACAAGCTGTAATTTTACTGGAGTAAAATTTACACAGTTTTTAACCCATTAACTCCTTCTTTTCTCAGACACGCTGTCGTCCTTGTTTTATAAAATACCTCTCTAAAAAGCAACATGCAAACACCTAACACAAGCTTATCTGTTAAGCTGTGAAAACCTGCCACAAGAATAAAAGCTTTTTGTTTGGAAACAGCACCAGTGAGTGACATTTCTAAATCTCAAACCTGGCAGTTTTTTGATAGTTTCCTCTTATGTGGTGCTTTCAGTAGTTGAAATTCATTTTTAGCATATCACAAGCATATCTTGGCTGGTATTTAGGGGTTTTTTTTCATTTTCATCTGTGCTGGATATCACCATCTTTACTCCAGCCTGAGATATTACCAAAATGTAATAATGCAAGTTACTAAAATTTTACCACTCACACAGAACTCTGTGTGTGTGTGTCTTCCTGTTATGGTGCAGAAATATTGTAGACCTTTGCAACATATGGCTTACTACGGTTTATTTGCTTCTCTTATTACTTTAGAAATTAGACATCATTTCAAGAAAAAGAAACAATATGTTCTGCTATATCAAAAATACAGAATGAGAGTTACTAAGTGTACACAGCACTCCCCATTTTAAGAATGCTAGTGCTTAAATTATCTGTAGATTATTTTGAGTAGAAGAACTGTCATTATCAAAAACTCAGAATTGGAAAGTTAAGGACACTTTATCTTCACACAAAATCTACCTTTTCCCCCTCCTTCCTTCCCTTCATACTTTCTCCCCAATATTCTCACATGAATAAATATTACCATCACACCACATTTTTCTTCTTTTCCTGGGTAAAAAGTTAAGATATTCATATATCATATTATCTCAAATATCTACCCTCCCTCCAGTATTCAAAGAAAATCTATTTTTATCTCTATAATAATGGTTGCTTCTCAACTCTGTTGCTCCTTACCCTCAGCTTACTCTTTCCATTTAAAACCACAGAAAAACCTTTGATGACCTATTATAAACTTTATACTTTAGTATTCAAGTCTAAGTTTCTTTCTCAAAAAATTCATTGAAGGCTATAGTAATTTTGCTTTCCTGCTAATTCAACCATTTTAATGACAGCAAACCTCCCACTTGAAATCAAGGTCTTTACCTATTAGATGAGAGTAGCAGTAAACAGAAATAAGATCAGAAATTCTTTTAAGAATTAAACATACTGTTGGGGTAAAGATTTCGTTATCTACTATCTGCCGTTGCATTATGCAAATACAAGAACCCAAAAGATACACTGGCATTAAATTACAACAGACCTGGTATGCATAGATTCTCCCTCTTTCCTAAGCCAGTTGGCTCTTTTTGTGAAGCCATCACAGATGTTACACCACAGTGTTTATGATGCCTAAAAAAGCTTATTATTTAAATATGATCTAGAGCCCTTAAGAATAGCCAAGTACTACTGCTAGATGTCCATAATAATGGTGTTTCTATTCATTCAGCTATTCTCAAATTACCCTGTGGGATTCAGTCTTAAGCTTAAATTTCCAAAACCTGATTCTACTAAAGATAATCAATACATAATTGCATATTATCAAATGTAATTCCAACTCCTCATCTTACCACTCAACATTCCACTCTCTCTAATCTCTTAAAACTTTTTATTATAAAATAAAACACAGATTTGTAAAACCATGTCAGAAGCCCCTCCATGTGCTCCATCCCAATGGATGCCCACTCTCCTCGCATTTTGCTTATGCTTTGATCATCTAACTGTGCATGCAGCCCTAGTCACCATGATATAGACTTATCACAGTTTTAACTTGATGCATCGTTTAAATCTTAAAAAACAAAAATTTAGATTCCCCTGCTCCATTTCTTTTCCATACAATTTTTCAGGTAAAGAATATACAACTCACAGTCTTTTAAAGAAACTACAAACATTTGACTTGAGTTTGTCAGTCTAGATTTACTGATAGCATACCCATGGTGCAATTTAATGTGTTCTTCTGTCTCCTATATTTCCTAAAAATTAGAATTTGTATCCAGAGACTTCATCAGTCTCAGAAATGATCCCTTACAAAATGTCTTCTTTATTAATAGGCATAAAATGTCTTTTTTATTGATATTCGCAGCTGGAATGAAAAATGCTTAAATCCATTCATTCATTGCTGATTGTGAAATAGTGATTTCCTAATTCTATCATTTTCTTTTCATTAATTAGCTGAAATAATTTTATAAATAGGTTTTATAGAGTGGAGTTTACCTACAGCTAGCCTCAGAAAACTGTCTTTTTTTCTCTAGGGAAGCCTGGATGTCTGCCTTTAACTCCTGACCAAGACAAGTACAGTGGCAGTTACGATGTCCGATTTAAACTCCAAAACTCCCGTGGGTGACCCCAAAGCACCAGGGCTGGTTTGTTTACTGACGATTTTCAACTAACACAATGGGTTACACAGCCTGGATGATTGTGTGACCAGAGGGCCATAAAAGATGTTCTAGAAACTTCTGCCTCGAGCTCTTCTAAAGCCAAAATTATTTGCACAGATCTTGATGCTTGAATAAGAGATGTATATCTGTGTTTGAATAAGAACCACATAGAGGTTGCATCTGAAAGTCTCATGGATCCCCAAATGTCTGTCTGAACTCTTTCTTTTGATGTACCATCCCCTTTGACTTTAAATAATAGTCTTAAATGAGTATACTCCATGGAATCTTATGAGTCTTTTCAAGTAGCCAAAATTAAGAAATATTTCCAGAGATACCCCACACAAACCTATTAGTTTTTTATTCTATGATGCAGTGTTCATATAGAAAGGCATGTCAAATATTTATTTTCTCTGATTTAGCCAGTTTTCAAGATAATGAATTCGTTCCCTCAGTAGATAACCAATTATAATCTATATATATATACACGCGCACACAAACACACACACACACATATATATTAAACTTATTGGTTTAAACATATTAAACAAGTGTAGATCAATTTCAATGTTTACTTTTATTAAATCTCAAATTGTCCCATTTATCCCCGCAGTCTTAGAGAGATTCTATGCTCTCTGGTATGCCAAGATGCCAGAGTCATCTTTTGCATTTCCTGCCGCTGACTTGGTGTATTTGTAAGGGTTCTCCAGAGAAACAGAATATAATACTACATATATATATATATATATATATATATATATATATATATATATATGCAGTATTAGTATCTACATCTGTCTATCTATAGATAGATAGACAGATGTAGATATGTAGAAATGGATATATGAGAGGGAATTTATTAGGGGAATTGGCTTACACAATTATAAAGGCTAAGAAGTCCCATGATAGGCCAACTGCAAGCTGGAGAACCACTGAAGCTGGAAGTGTGGCCCAGTTCAAGTCCAGAAGCCTCAGAACCAAGAAAGCTAATGGTGTAGTTCTCAGTTTGAGGCCAAAGGCCCAAAAGCCCAATGTCCAGTGTTAGTCCTGGAGTTCAAAAGCCAGGGAACTTGGAGTTCTTACCTCCAAAATGCCGGGAAAAGAAGGGGACCCTGGCTCTGGAAAAAGAGCAAGAATTCATCCTTCCCCTGCCTTTTTGTTCTATGTGGGCCCCCAGTTCATTGAATGTTCCCATCCACCTTGAGGGTGATGTTTGCCACTCAGTCCACTTACTCACACACGCCAGTTTCCTGCAGAAACACCATCACAGACACACTGAGAAATAATTCTTTACTAGCTATCTAGGTATCTCTTGACCCAGTCAAGTTGACACGTAAAATTAACCATCACACATGGTATCAGCTATTACTGCAGAAGCACAATCTGGATGCTAGGGATGCTCATTGCTACTGGGTTAGTCATTGTCTCCAAGGCTTTTCAGTGAACAAAACTAATAAATAGATAAACATTTTAAAAATATTTTTGAGGTTGTACTTAAATTTTGAGTCAGGACTGTAGGGCATTTGCTTAACCTCTCTTATATGTTTTCTCCAGACTGAATATATAAGACACTCTAATGGATATTTAAGAAGGTTTATATTAAAAGGGGAGAAGTTACAAAAGTTTGGATATAGAGGAACCACAAAAGTTAGTACAATAACACAGAGCTTGTTCCTTGTGAGCTATTTTCAACCCTAAGGACAAATAAATGAGAATGGAGACACAGTCACTGGAACCTAGAAGGATAAAGAGTTGTATAGAGTCAGTCACCTTGTCAGGAAACATGAGCATGGTCAAGGGACCCAGCCAGTCTATGGGAAAGCTGCAGAGAGTGAGCCAGGGAAATTAGTACTTACTCTGATCTTACTCTCATCCCTCCTTCTGATCTCTTTTTAG
The DNA here is from genome assembly GCF_000001405.40 of Homo sapiens. Classification (NCBI taxonomy): domain Eukaryota; kingdom Metazoa; phylum Chordata; class Mammalia; order Primates; family Hominidae; genus Homo; species Homo sapiens. The sequence continues at coordinate 75,673,452 of NC_000008.11, read as the reverse complement.
GGCTTTGCACTGGATAAATTCAAATAAAATCAGATGGAGTAGGAACCCTGCTGATGTAGTCTACAGGAGAGAGGGCAAATCTATACATACAAATGGAAGATATTTGTACTATCAACTCTATTTGATCCTCAGAATTTGCCTGTGTCCTTTGTATTAGTCTGTTCTCACACTGCTAATAAAGACATACCTGAGACTGGGTAATTTATAAAGGAAGGAGGTTTAATTGACTCAGTTCAGCATGGTTGGAGAGGCCTCAGGAAATTTCCAATCATGGTGGACGGAGAAGCTAACACATCCTTCTTCACATGGCGGAAGGAAGGAGAAGAATGAGAGCCAAGTGAAGGGGGAAGCCCCTTATAAAACCATAATATCTCATGAGAACTTACTAACTACCACAAGAATAGCATGGGGAAAACTTCCCCCTTGATTCAGTTTCCTCCCACCGGGTCCCTCTCACGACATATGAAGACTATGGGAACTACAGTTCAAGATGAAATTTGGGTGGGGATACAGCCAAACCATATATCATCCTTCTACCATGTGAAAAGTTTACATCTCCAACACAGAGGATGCACAAAATCCCATCACATGTTATACCATGGAGTCATAACAGTTTGGACATACAACCTACCATACAGACATATCTCAGAAATGCTTCTTTCTATAACACTTTTTTTCTCCTTTAACCTATGCCAGTACTTTGTCTGAATGGGGTACTTTACCTTGTAGGATAAATTCAAACTTCTTTCCTACAATTATTGAGTTCTTGTTTCTGTATTTATTTGGTTGAATGGCCTTCTACTGGACAACAATATTGAGGAAATGAGTAGTCAGAGATGTCTCAACAGAATCACCAGATCCCAAAAGGATTCTTCTTAGCTCCCATTTCATAGCTGTAGGTCAATTCCTTTTCATTGTAATTGAAATCAATTACCATGCTCAGTACAGTGACTGACATCTTTCTCAGGCTTCTGTTATTTCTTTTTATTTTTAAGGGTTCAAATGAAGGAGATATTTCACTAAAATTATTATTATTTTCTCTAGAAGAAACTTTCTTCCATTGGGTACTGGGATTTCCAAACCTATCAATTCCAAGTTCATAGGGATAGGAACTCTGTTGATAAAATCCAGACGGATCAGCCTCCAGGTCAGAAAGTAGAGTAGGGAAAAAATGCAGAATTGATCTAAATATAAAACTAAAAGTATCTGGTTAAAGTCATGTTATACATATTGTTTTATAATCTGTTTTTTATACTTATATATTTGTCAATAACTATTCATCAAAGGCGATATTTCAATTGCTAAAAGGTATTCCATGACATGAATATGCCACAATGTATTCAATTAGTAAATATTTAATCTCTTTATTTCCTGTTAGTTTTCTGCTGTTGAAAAATTTGTGTGGAAATCTGCACAACGAATTATTTGCATGAGTTTGTAGCTATGTGTTGAATAGGTTTGTAAAAATACAGTTGATATTCCAAACAGCATGCACATTTTTAGTGCTTGGGGGATATTTTATAAAGTCCTCTCTAGAAAGAGGGTACTACCTACACTACTTCTAACAATACTTTTTTTACACTCTAGCCAGTATTGGAAGCACAAGTAAATCTTGATTAAAAGTGAGGGCTCGGATTTCAGATTTCCTGGAATCAAAACGTGACTCCACTACTTATTAGACATATGACTTAACCTGTCTTAGCCTCAATGTCCTGTAAATAGAGATGGTAGTTATGGTATCTACTTATAGGTTTTCTAGAAATATTAAGCAGGATACTGAATGTTTAAAATAGTGTCTAGCATAGAGAAAGCACTCAATAAATGTCAGCTAAATAACAGTGGGTTTTATAACCTTAAAAATACAAATTTTTCAATTTCATAAGTACAAAAGTTTATCATTGTTTTAACTTGAACTTTTTAAAATAATCAACTTGATTTTTTAAATTTTCTTACTAATTATTTAGGTTTATGCTTTGTACATACTATTTATATTTTAGTGGCATTTATTTTAATTATCAAGGAAGACATCTCCACATTAGAAATACTTTGTGTATTATATATTTTAAAAATTATTCTCAGGTTATCATTTGGATTTTAATTGTGTTTGTAATGGTTTTAACATATAAACATTTTCACACTATGGGCTGTTGATTCTATCATTTTTAAATGATTTCTGACTTTGTCATCATTCTTGACCTTCCGCAACCCAAAATTACACAAATAATCTTCATAATCTTCTAGTACTTAGATCATTTCATTTTTGGCACCTATATTTTTAATACTTCTGCAGTTTGTTTAGATGTAAGTTGTGAAGTAAACAATCTAAATATCATTTCCCCAAAATAACAAAGGCCTACACTAAGATACATTTTGTATAATATATGATCATATTGCTGACTAAAATAGCGTTTCTATTGTATATGAAATTGTTTATGTAAATATAGGTATAACTTAGGACTTCCTATTGTTGCAACCATATGCCTGTAGCTTTCTAATATATATGAATATATAATAAGGTAAAAATTCCTTTTAACTCTTATTTTTAACAACGTAATTAACTATTTTGTAAAACAGCATAATTTAAATGTAGGTAGGCCATAACCCTTTTAAGGTTCTGGGAATCAATTTCTTAAAATTTAACAAATATTTTAAAGATAATAAAATAAAAATAGTAGACTTTATTGGATGCATTCCAGGTAAATATTATTTATGAAAATTCATTTTCTTTTGTTTGTATATGTGTATTATATGTTTGTATAAACTGGATCACAATTCTAAATATGCCTCATACTATAGGTCACAATCCAAAAACATTTAAAGCCACTGCTATAATATAAATGCTTCCCAATAATACTAAAATAATTTTTTTAAGTTTCAATCAGTCCCCTTACCAAGATTTTTCTACTAGGATTTTCACTGGCATGATACTAAGCATCACCATCTTGACTTTCCATTTTAAAAGGCAATTTTGTCCAAAGTAGTCTGCAGACTGAATCCATTCCTGTGACATTTTAGTATTTTTCAATGTGTTAAAGAAATCTAATTTGGAACTAATATGAATTTGTCTTCTGTAATTTTTTTCTCTGCATCTCTCTGAATTTTATTCAGTATTTGGTAAAGTAACATTTACTGAAATTGAATTTACAGCTTCCTTTTGTATCAAGAAACACCTTTCACATTGGCATGTGGGTGACAGCCATTTCCCATGTCAAATGGGTACCATAATCTACCCTGATACATTTTTTTCTCCTAGAGTTTAAAAAGCAACTGGAATATCACCGAACTGAACTAAACACAGAAATACTGAAAAATATTTTGTCCACACTAAGAAATTGAAGGAGTATGGTTTTTATATGTTGCCTGGCTTTTATAGAAATTTGTGATAGGAAAACAGCAATGATATTAAAATATATTATAAAGTAAAATAGCATTTATAAATTGCCTGAGTTAAATATATATATGTATGTATGTGTGTGTATGTATATATGTGTGTGTCTGTGTGTGTTTTTTATATATATATATATATATATATATATATATGTATATATGTATATATAGTATATCATTCTTGATACTACTCCTGCCAACATCAAAGCTTCAGAGCAGCTGTATTAGCCAGGGTTCTCTAGAGGGACAGAACTAATAGGATAGATGTATATATATAAAGGGGAATTTATTAAGTAGTATTAACTCACACCCATCATAGGCCATCTGCAAGCTGAGGAGCAAGGAAGCCAGTCTGAGTCACAAAACTGAAGAACTTGGAGTCTGAAGTTCAAGGGCAGGAAGCCCTCAGGATAAAGATGTAGACTGGGAGACTGGGCAATTTACAAAAGAAAGAGATTTACTGGACTTACAGTTCCACATGGCTGGGGAAGCCTCACAATCATGGTGGAAGGCAAGGAGAAGCAAGTCACATCTTATGTGGATGGCAGCAGGCAAAGAGAGAGAGCTTGTGCAGGGAAACTCCCACTTTTAAAACCATCAGATATCATGAGACTTATTCACTATCACCAGGACACCACGGGAAAGACCCACCCCCATGATTCAATTACCTCCCACTATGTTCTTCTACAACACCTGGAAATTGTGGGAGATATAATTTAAGATGAGATTTGGGTCGGGACACAGCCAAACCATATCAGCAGCATTTAAGATGTGACCAGGACTGTGCTATGAGCTCTACACGCATTATCTTATTTAAATCCATTCCAAGAGGTTTAAATCTTCATTGCACAAAGGATGTAACTGACACACGTGAGTAAAAAAACTCACCCAAGGACACAAAGCTGGTACTAACACATCCAATACTGGATGTTGGGGATGCTGATTCTAAGCACTATACATGCTGCCCAATGGGCAGAAAAGAGGTGCTTTATTTTGAGTCCAGAGTCCCTTATGGTGCTCAATGTTCTCATTGGGTGAAGTGGATCCTGACTCTTTCCCACCCTGACAGCCTCATTTTGCAGCAGTTGCCCCAGCTCTCTTCACTCTAGGCATAATGGCTTTTTCTCTTTGATTTTGAATTCATATTTTTATTCATATCACTTTTGGAGAGAATAAATGATTCATTTATTTGGACTTCATATACAGGACAAAGCAAGATAAGTTGAATGTTTTCATTTTTCACTTTGGTGGAAAAAATAAGCTTTTAGTAAAATCAACTTAAGAAACAGCTTGAATTGCAAGATAATACTGCTTCTATAAGTAATTGCTTATGTGGTTGTCCTATTCATAGTGGAAGAGCTATGATTTATGAACATTTTTATTTAAAGTATAATCTTGGATTTATTCCAAATAATTGTCATCTTTGAAATGTTGTCAACCTGGGCTAGCCACAGGGATGCCAGAATTAAAGTATTATATCAGCTCACCACATGGTCCGCCCATTGGGCTCAAGTACATTTTTATCCATCTCTCTTTTATCACATATTTCCTTACTTCACATTTATATTTAATCCATTGACTTCCGTGATTTCTTTTATACCAGAGAGCATGTAAAACACAGGAGAAAATGAGTAGACATATTCACTTAGCAGGGGCTTTCTTCCCGGCTCTCTCTCTCTTTCTTGCTGAAACTCCATTAGGCAAAAGTGCCCCTGGTATTAATCTAAGATGATTAGCTGTGAAGTGGAACATAAAGGCAAGCCTGAGGTGGAGTCATCTGAGAATGGGAAGATACTTTAGAGCAAAGGGATCAAGAAGAACATGACTTTAAGCTTTAAGAGACAAACTTTCCAACAGTACTAGGAGCTGGAAGTAATGTTAGCTACAGCTGCAAACCAAATGGGAGCCTATATACATACACACACACACATACACACACATATACATTTATACACGTGTATATATTCACCAATGTGGAGATTATAACTAGCCCTCCATTAGCTTCCATTAGCAGTGCATATAGCCCAGAGAGCAATGTCAGTATATTTCAGTTTAGTTTTTCCCCCTTTCTCTTTGCTATTTTTAAAAATTGTTTTAATCTCCCAACCTCTTTTCTCCTATTCCCTTCCCCATCTTATTTCTATTCCATACCATTAATGTAGGTTAGATGTAGCACTGCTTACCAAATATACCAGGTGTTCTCCTAAATAATCCATCCTCCCTTGTGATTACATTAGGCTGTGAGACTAGTTCCAGTCAATACTAATTTACCAGAAATTACTTGTTTCACTTCTAGGCTAAATGCTTAACAGCTGGTGTGCTACCTCCCTGGGGAGAAGGCAACATTATATCATGTAGGGAATCTGGATCCCTGAGTCACCAGGTGGAATAACAGCTTCATCAACTGACACCAGACTTCCCATGAATAATTACCAAAAGTTATGTATTAACCTACTGAGATTCTGAGGTTAATTTGTTCCTATAGCATAATCTATTTTATACATTAAGATATATTTTACACTAATGTATACAATGGTACTTACTACAAATGTACCAATTAAGTGGAAAGAAAACACAGGCTATACATTAGGAGACCAGGATTTTGCTGCTATCCCTTCTACATTTCTTCTAATAATATGTATGGAGTGGCTACAGTATTTTAATAATTGTTTCAGATATGCACTGGGAATGATGAACAAGCCAGATAAGATCCCCCAGGAAGGGGTCAGAGAAAAAGAAGTAAACAAATAAATAAGTTAGGTAATTCAGAGTTGGTAAGTGCTGTAACAGCAATGCCATTATTACATGAGAGGGGTGACTGAGGAGACTATTTAGTTAAGAAAGGCTTCCTTGCCTTGGAGTTAGGACAGGAATGAAACAAAGGAGCTACCCTAAGTTTTACAGAGAGAGGTCTTTGATTATAAATATTTTACTGCTTTAAGGAATAGAAAGAAGTCCAAGGTGATTGAACATCAAAGCATGGTGAACCTGGGAAGACTGGTACTAGATGAGTCCAGAGAGCAATATGCAGCATCTTGAGTCCATGATAAGGATTTGCAATTTTATTCTAAATTCTATGAGGAAATATTAGAGAAATTTAAATAGGAAAATGTCTTAACCCCATTTACATTTTCATAAGCTCATTCTGGGCATGGTGCAGAGAATGGATATATTTTTAATGCAGAACTGACCAGATTCACTAATAAATTAGATGTGCAAGGTGAACAAAGAAACCAAAAATAACTCCTCTATTCAGGCCTGCACCATTGAGTGTGTGGTGTACTTTTTGCTAAAATGGAGAAGGCTGGGAGAAGAATTGCTTTTCGATGGGGTTTGTGATGTTGATTGGACATCCAAGTGGCATCATTTAATAGGAAATTAGAAAAAAAATACCCGATCACAGTGTAAAAGTTATAGTAACAATAAAATTTGGAAATCTATTTATAAAAATGTTATTTAATGGCATTGAATTGAGTAAGGTTACTTAGAGAGCTTAAACAGATAAGAGGAGTGGTCTGAGAATACACTTCTGAGATCATCCAGCATCTGGCAATTCAGTCTTAATTATTCAATCTCTCACTCCCCCTCAAAGCAGATTGCTCTAAGCAGCCAAAAACTTTGTCTTGAGGGGACCTATAAGGAATGATTCTAGTGAAAATTTGAGGTATGATGGTAAGCTGTTGGGAGAGACGAAATCAGTAAGAGAATACTTTTGGAAAATCCATAAACCACACTGCTTAGGTGGTTGATTACTCTGTATATCTGCAGTCTTAACCTAATTATGCACCAGTCACCAAACACAGATAATCCTCATCAAATGGCTTGGCACAGGCATAGTACTGAGAATACAACTATAAATTTGAAATAAATTTTTACCCTGTGTCCATTTTCTCACTGCTATAAATACCCAAGAATCAGTAATTTATAAAGGAAAGAGGTTTAATTGACTCACAGTTCCACATGGCTGGGAGTCCTCGGAAAACATACAATCATGGCGGAAGGCAAAGGGGAAGCAAGGTACCTTCTTCACATGGTGGTGAGAGGTGACAGCGTGCTGGCAGTCCTCACAGCCCTCGCTCGCGCTCGGCGCCGTCTCTGCTTGGGCTCCCACTTTGGCGGCACTTGAGGAACCCTTCAGCCCACCGCTGCACTGTGGGAGTCCCTTTCTGGGCTGGCCAAGGCCAGAGCCGGCTCCCTCAGCTTGCAGCGAGGTGTGGAGGGAGAGGCGCGAGAGGGAACCGGGGCTGCGCGCGGCGCTTGCGGGCCAGCTGGAGTTCCAGGTGGGCGTGGACTTGGCGGGCCCCGCACTCGGAGCAGCCGGCCGGCCCTGCCGGCCCTGGGCAATGAGGGGCTTAGCACCCAGGCCAGCGGCTGCGGAGGGTGTACTGGGTCCCCCAGCAGTGCCAGCCCACCGGCGCTGTGCTCGATTTCTTACCGGGCCTTAGCTGCCTTCCCGCGGGGCAGGGCTCGGGACCTGCAGCCCGCCATGCCTGGGCCTCCCACGCCCTCTATGGGCTACCCTGCGGCCCAAGCCTACCCGATGACGCCGCTCCCTGCTCCACGGCGCCCAGTCCCATCGACCACCCAAGGGCTGAGGACTGCGGGTGCAGGGCGTGGGACTGGCAGGCAGCTCCACCTGCGGCCCCGGTGCGGGATCCACTGGGTGAAGCCAGCTGGGCTCTTGAGTCTGGTGGGGACGTGGAGAACCTTTATGTCTAGCCCTGGGATTGTAAATACACCAATCAGCCCTCTGTATCTAGCTCAAGGTTTGTAAACACACCAATCAGCACCCTGCGTCTAGCTCAGGGTTTGTGAATGCACCAATCGACACTCTGTATCTAGCTACTCTGGTGGGGCCTTGGAGAACCTTTATGTCTAGCTCAGGGATTGTAAATGCTCCAATCGGCACTCTGTATCTAGCTCAAGGTTTGTAAACACACCAATCAGCACCCTGTGTCTAGCTCAGGGTTTGTGAGTGCACCAGTGGACACTCTGTATCTAGCTAATCTGGTGGGGCCTTGGAGAACCTTTGTGTCTAGCTCAGGGATTGTAAATACACCAGTTGGCACTCTGTATCTAGCTCAAGGTGTGTAAACACACCAATCAGCACCCTGTGTCTAGCTCAGGGTTTGTGAATGCACCAGTCGACATTCTGTATCTAGCTGCTCTGGTGGGGCCTTGGAGAACCTTTGTGTCCATACTCTGTATCTAACTAATCTGATGGGGATGTGGAGAACCTTTATGTCTAGCTCAGGGATTGTAAAGGCACCAATCAGCACCCTGTCAAAACAGACCACTCGGCTCTACCAGTCAGCAGGACGTGGGTGGGGCCAGATAAGAGAATAAAAGCAGGCTGCCCGAGCCAGCAGTGGCAACCTGCTCGGGTCCCCTTCCACACTGGGGAAGCTTTGCTCTTTCGCTCTTTGCAATAAATCTTGCTACTGCTCACTCTTTGGGTCCACACTGCTTTTATGAGCTGTAACACTTACCTCGAAGGTCTGCAGCTTCACTCCTGAGCCAGCGAGACCACGAACCCACCAGAAGGAAGAAACTCCAAACACATCCGAACATCAGAAGGAACAAACTCCAGACGCGCCACCTTAAGAGCTGTAACACTCACCGCGAGGGTCCACGGCTTTATTCTTGAAGTCAGTGAGACCAAGAACCCACGAATTCCGGACACAGTGGCAGGAGAGAGAAGTGCAAGCAGGGGAAATGCCAGGAGCTTATAAAACCATCGGATCTTGGGAGAACTCACTCACTATCGTGAAAACAGCATGGAGAAAACCACCCCTATGATTCGGTCACTTCCCACTGGGTTGCTCTCTCACCACCTGGGGATTACAATTGAAGATGAGATTTGGGTAGGGACACAAAGCCTAACCATATCACCCTCCCACAAATCTTCACTGGGTTTCTATGAATAGCCCACTAGCAAAATAGTCACTTAGTTAGTCAAAGAAGTAATAAGAGGGCCACAGAAATGAGTAATGTACTAAGAGTGATCTGACCTAGTTTGTTATATGGCTTGGGGACATCACTTAAATTTTCTGTGTGTGTTTCGAAGCAAGTGCTTTGAAATGACCAGTAGCAGAAGTTCCAGTTGACATCTTTGTGGCCTATACTCACAGGCAAACTGCACCCATTGCTCACCAGGTAACATAGGTATAGTTTTTATAGACATCAAGGACAGGGGCAGAAGATATCTCAATGAAATAATGATGTTCAGCTGTTGAAAAACTCGTAATGAATTCCAGAATGTCAGCCACAGCTTCTTTCTACAGCACAGAAAACACTATATTCAGAGAAATTAGAGAAAAATGTGAAATAAAATGCCTGTAACAGTCTTAATTAGCAACCTCCGGAAGGATGTTAATAAGAAGCAATTGTCTGAAGAGGAGAAAAATTATTCACTCAATTTGTGTTGGTAATGTCCTACACATCACTAGTAACTCTTGTAGATATAGTTAGCAAAAGTCAGCTAATAGGCTGGACATGCATTGTTTAATTCATCATGAGCTATCTTAGTGCCACAGAATGAGTGCCACTACCATTGGACTGTTGTGAGAAATAATGTTGCTATTATAAGTTTGAGGAGGAATTTAAGAGAGGCAGAAGGTGAAAGAGTACAAAGAAACAATGAATCTCTATCTTAGGTGAAGCCTTAGCTCCAGTACTTCAGCAGTGCTCAGGCCCACAAGAAATTTACAATCGTGGTATTCATTGCTGCTTCTTCAAAGCTTCTCCCATCCCAAACTTGAAGAAATACATATCTAATTTACTTAATTATTAACTCTCCATGAGCTCTATCATATCCTTTTTTATTTTCCAGTTAGACATCTACCCTTGGCAATCTCTATTCCTTTTTGTTTTTCTAGCATGAAGTAAAGTGAAACATTGGATGATTTTAAGTACAGCCGAGTGTGTATTATTAGATGTGGGATATTTGAAAAGGCAAGGTAATACCCAGGCTTATCCTGAGAAATATAGTACATCCACTCTCTTATCTCACATATATATTTGGCCTTTTACTAAATTTTGCCTGTACTCTTTCTTTCTTTCTCTTTCTTTTCTTTCTCTCTTCCTTCCTTTCTCTTTCCTTCCTTCTTTCTTTCCTTTTTCTTTTCCTTTCTTTCTCTTTCTTTCTTTCTTTTTCTTTCTCTCTCTCTCTTTCTTTCTTTCTCTTTCCTCTTTCTTTCTCCTTCCTTCCCTTCCTCCCTCCCTCTCTCCCTTCCCTCCTTCCTTCCTTTCTTGCTTTGCTTTTTCTTCCTTCTTTTTTTTTTTTTTTAATATAATGTCTTGCTCTGTAGCCCAGGCTGGAGTGCAATGGCATGATCATGGCTCATTGCAGCTTTGACCTCTCAGGCTCAAGCAATCTTCCCACTTCAGCCTCCTTAGTAGCTGGAACTATAGACACAGGCCACCACGCCTGGCTATTTTTTTATTTTTATTTTTATTTTTGTATAGCTGGGGTTTTGCCATGTTGCCCAGGCTGCCTGCACTTTCATATATCAAAAACCCTCAGAAAATCAATTAATTTATTAAATATTTTACTGAACATGTGTGCTATATCAGGGATCCCCTTATGATATACTAGATTTGGAGTAGTCAGGAAGACAGACATGTTCTATTCCCGCAGACAATGCATAGTCTAATGTGGAAGCAGGCATTATACTAAAAAATTGCAATGCAATTTGATGGCAGTTACAGTGCACAGAATGATTCTGGAGCTTATTATAGCTACCCTCAGAAATATCAAACAAGTCATGGTCTATTTTAATGTGTAGAAGACCTCTGGGAAAACTAATCCCAGATCATCTCTTGAATTCTGATTCACCTTATTTCCTGACTTTCAGATAAATTAGTATGATTAATCTTTTTCTTCAAGACAATCTGCTTAGGCATTTCCCTGTTGTGCCCAACACTTGCACTCTTTGTTCCCATTCATGTAAATCCTCAAAGCGTAACCCAGCCACAGTAAAAACAAACAAACAAAAAAACCAAAAAACCATAGCCTAGAACTGTCCACTAAATCAGGGATGTAGTAGTTTCAACACAAATGCCAAACTACACTTTGTTGAGAAAGATTCTGAAGTCACATCTGAGATCAGGAAGAAAAAGGACCCATGACAATATCTGACCTGAAAATAAGAAGGGGAGGACTCATTCCTATTTGTCATTCCTGTGCCAGCTGGAGCACATCCTCTGTGGCGAGACTGAGAACTCCACTACAAGGCTGTGAGTTTCCTGAGAGCTAAACGTTGTCCTATTCATTTCTGGCACTTATTTAGAGGCTAATAATTGTACATGAGAGAAAAATTTTATATGGACTCCCTCCACTGAGAATTGTCACTAGGAAAAATCTTTGTGATTAAAATCTATCCCACATTTTTTGAATAAATGAAAAAGGAATTGTTGGGAATTTTCTTAGAAAATGAGACATATCACCCCACTCTTCATTACCACATGATCAAATTGTGCCTTTCTAGTTTATATGATGTCTTTAGTTGCATTGGTATTTTGATACTATTATCGTCTAAATTTATACTCCACCCAGGAAAGATGGCAGTGCTAAATACAAGAAAATTACAGTAGACCAAATTGGCAAGATATGACAAACATGTAATAAAAGGGGGACATTTTTTCTTCTACTTTTTTGGTGACATGGTCTCAACAATCCAAGTACTTGTATGATAAAAATTCATGGAATAAAGAGAAATAAGAAAAAATATATACACTAGTACTCTAATAAACCATGTGCAACTCATTATAAAACCCCCAAATTCTTTTTTTTTTTTTTTAAGACAGAATCTAGCTCTATCACCCAGGCTGGTGTGCAGTGGCGTGATCTTGGCTCACTGCAACCTCTGCCTCCCAGGTTCAAATGATTCTCCTGCCTCAGCCTCCCAAGTAGCTGGGACTATAGGCATGTGCCACTGCATCCGGCTAGTTTTTGTATTTTTAGTAGAGATGGGGGTTTCACCATATTGGCCAGGCTGGTCTCGAACTCCTGACCTCAGGTGATCCACCCACCTCAGCCTCCCAAAGTGCTGGGATTACAGACGTGAGCCACCACGCCCAGCCAACCTCCCCAAATTCTTATACTTCTCTCAGAAATAAAAATATTTTATTGATATGAGCATACGATCATTGAATTTTTCACCTGAACAAATTGTTGCGATGTTTATTCTAATAAGATTTTTCTTTGTTTCTTAAGGAAAAGGCATTTTTTCAGTTTTCTCTTTACTAGCACATTTTCTGGGTCTTCCTCCCCAGTGCCCTGTTTGTTCTGAGCACCTTGTCATTTCACATGCTTATTTGGCACTTCCCTAAGTGCTTATAAAAAGCCTTTCAAATAATTATTCAACCAGATGAAAATTTTAGAAGAGAATACAATTTGTACTTTTGCTGGGGGTAGGGTGGGCAATATTTAAAGAAAATTATTAATATTAGCTATATCACTTACAGTGACTCATGGTGAAAAATATTTCTCAGTTTATTGCCTTCATCTGAACAGCAAATCTATGTAGAAAATCTGATCAAAGAACACTCTTTAATAATGCATCATCTCTCATTATTGACATTTTTAAGTTGTGTTGACTTTTACAACACTGATTGTAAGGTAGGAGAAGGCTAACATTCGTAAGTGGACTGATATTTAAAATATATATTCTCCACTTGAGTATGTGGAAAGTCATTTGAATGGTGTCTGAGGTCAAATATATGTTAAAAAAAATATCTGCCAACAGTTTATGGAATGAATGTGGATCAGTATGGATGGTATTTGTCTCTGTGCATTCTCTTCTCATCTGGTAGAAGAATAAGACATACATCCTGCTGTGTATTAAGGCTGCACTTTAGCTATTGGGTATCCAGTGGGTTGGTCATGAAGGGACTGATTTGTGAGTGGTGAGTTTTCTGATTTCAACACTAGCAAAGGTGTTTCAAGAGTGTTGTCTCCTCAGTTGGTATTCTAATGACCTTTCAACACTGAATTGAGATAAAGCAATGGATGCTACTAATAGAATTTGCTGCAGGGAGGCCCATGGTGAATTGCTGACTTTACCATGAACTCCAGTGCTATGTGACACTGAAACAAAGCTATAGTAAAGGAAGCAAATGTGAATAGAAAATAAAGAGAAAGTACAATTATGTTAAAAATCTGAATATTCAGAAGCTTGTGTAAAACATTGTATAATTTAGCATTCAACAATTTTGTTTGTTAAATATGCAGCCAGGCAGCTGTCTTCTTAGGTTAAATAAGTGCTATAGCAATGCACATGTTTTTATGCTGCTTTGTAATACTTAGGAAGGTATTATACATTATAATAAACAAAATGCAGGAATGTCACAGTTGGCTAAATTCCTATCAATTATGAACTTAATTTTTATACACATTTAATGCTTATCTCATTTCAGACTTTGCTATACTGAGAAATTTTCTTTTAAAGAAAAATGGTTTATACAGTTCACTTCCTGCCATAATCAAGGTCTTTCTAACCTGATATCTGAAGGTTATGCTTCAGTGAATAATTCAGTAGGTTAGTGAAACTCTGGCAGCAAAGAAAGTGCTAATCTTAGATGGAAGCTGTGAGGGATATTAAGAAACAATTGCAAAAAGTGACATATTTAATAGAGAAAGATTACGCTGTGCTACATCTACTTAATTTGAATTGAATAAATTTTGCCAGTATTTGATGAGATGCAGACTAGAAATTATGTGAAACTTCAGAGTGTCACGGAAGTCTTAGAGAGAGAATAAAGGCCTTAAAAATATTTTATTGTGATTTTGAAAAATTCCCATTCAAGGGAATTCTGAAGGAACTGAAAAAGAATTCACTCCAGAACTTTATTAATTTGAAATAAAAATAAGGGACAGTAGAAGTTGATCTACCAAAAAAATAAATAAGGTGTAATAAGGTGTGGACCTAAAAGGAGATAGTCATGTGAGTTTTAAAAACAGGGATTTTCTTCTGAACTGTAACTGAGTGAGGCAGGTTTCCTCCTCCATTTTTCAAAGGAGATTTAATTGATCTTGTTAAGACAAGTCTAAAATTTTGAGTAATTTTAAGTGTGAAAAATGATAGGGGGCAGTTTGGGGCCTTGATCACTAACTAGATCCTCAGATGAGCCCATCTCTGACATTTACAGTTATCTTTCACAGTGTGTTCCCCTGACATAATTTCTACAAAAGAAAACATAAATATTTCGAATGCTTAACCTAGCACTACTTAGTTTAGGAACTTTAAAATGTCAAATTTATTAATATATTAACTTGAATGGTATTTAATTGTGAGGAAGATGTCTAGTATAAAACATCACAGAATCCATTCTCTCTACCCAGAATCTGTCGCATGAAAAGTACAAGTCCACATCAAATAATTTGGGAAAACATATATACTTTATCTCTATTCTTGGTGACTAAATTATATGGTGAAATATAATTCTTGGGTAGTCACCATATAATTTAACATATTAAAAATTCTAAAATGTCCTGAAGTAAAGCAAATTGAAAGGTTAAAATATATGTATTAACCAAAATAACTGTTTAATCTCAAATATTCCTAACTTATTTGGCTTCCAAAGTTGATCCCCACTGCAGATAATATCTACTAACATTCTGCAGAATATATTTTTGCAAATTGCTTCTTACATTGCTTTACTTATTCTTAACTTACATTTTATGTATACTACATCCTTAGGTCACTAAAGTTTCTTCTGTCTTTAGACCACATAGGGACATGGATTTCAGTCTTTTAAAGTTAGAGGCCTTTTAAAAGTGGAAAGAATTGTGGCCTTGCTATCTGTCATCACATCCAGGTTCTGCTACTGTGCTTCCTGGAGTAATTTTTATACTTTCCTGAGCATTAGCCTTCTCATCTAAAGTTGAGAATAGTGACATTACGTTGCTGAAGTGATGCAAAAATGAAATAAGTTATCTTACATAAAAAGTTTAGAACAGTACCTCTAGATGGTAGCCTTTTAGTGTGTGTGGCAGGAAATTATTATGATCATCATTAAAGGAAACCTAAAAACCAGACCAACTAATTAGACCGTTATCAATATTCATTTGCATGCTATAATAATACCACAACAACTTTGAAGCACTTTAGCATAGAAAGCAGCCTCAGTAAACAAGTCCACTGGGTTTCTGATCCCTTTCGTGTTTAGCCTTATGGCAGATTGAGAAATAAAACCTTGCCCATTTAGTTACTGTGGCAGATACTGTCAATTTCCCTGCTCGCATCCTGCAGACCTTACTGATTCAGTGTACTCCTGCCAACTTGCAGTTGCCAGCCAGCTGTGTGTGGGCTAAGTATGCCTGAGGGGCTTTTTATCTAGCCACTTGGTCCATGTGCAGCAGGCTGGAAGTGCTGGTGGAATCTATATCACCCCCAGGATCCTTCAAGAAATTACCCTTGAGAGTTGGGTATAAATCCCCCAGTTCACTTGCCCTTCGGTAGGATAATTCTGAGATAAGGACATTTCTCAGAATTTCCTTGAGGGATTAAGCTCCCTTCCTTACTTTCCTTGTGGTGTCCCTGTACTTTCCAAACAAACTACTTGAGCTTGAAGCTTTTTCTCAAAGTCTGCTTCTGGGAGAAACCAGCCTAAGACACTTGCAACTCATTAGAGTGGGCAGGAGAAAGCCTGTGTAGATTGTCATGCACACACATGGAGTTTCCTCAGGGATGCTATTGTCTTGATCAAGCTACTTTTAAAGTCCAGGTTTTGAACTGCAGTTGTATGAGTTCCACTTGCCTTCATCACCCTTTCCTAAAAATCTTAAAGATTTCTTTTTTGGCAACATTATGAAAATATTAAAAAAATGAACTAGATGAAAACTGAATCCACACTATATATAAAAGAGACACTAATAATATGACTGACACTTGAGTTTCAAGTCATCTTATGTCTCTGGATTCCACGCTGAAACAGTTCAAAGTCCTTATCAAATGTCCTGAAATTTTCAGGGAAGAATGTGAATTCTCATCGTCACCTTTGCTTCCAGGACCATGCTACTAGGCATGCCTCTTTAACTTAAACACAATTCCCACTCACACTAATTAGCAGTAAGTGTAACTGACTTTACTGAAAACTGGGGAGGTTGGAAAGCCAGAAGTAGTTTGTATAGTAACAGAAAGGAGAGCCATTCTTCTGCGATAAAGCATTAGCCAATCCATTGTCAAAATATTATCTGGCCACTATATTCTATGCATTATAAAACATTCTCTCCACTATAGTAGATTCTACCCTGGCCTTACCTTAAATCCATCCCCTGAAGTAAGCTGTTTCTCATGCTCCAATCCATCTTTATCTCTCCTCTCTTTACTCCCCCTCTTTGAAAAACAAATTACTTGTTGCTTGGACCCTCAGAGTTTCATTATCTCCCCTAAAGGGAATGCAAGGTATTTTCTTCTCAGGTTAAGAAAAATTCTGTTGCCATTTTGTTACATAGACATATACCATTTACCTTGCATATACTGTGTACTGTTTATTTATCTAAATAGATTAGTAACTACCATATTAATTTTATTTGCAATTAGTTATTCTCACCATGCCAGAGTAAATAGATGTGGTTGCTTTATGGCATTCAACACAAAATTATGAGATAGGTTAACTTTTTTATTTTATTATTATTATACTTTAAGTTTTAGGGTACATGTGCACAATGTGCAGGTTTGTTACATATGTATACATGTGCCATGTTGGTGTACTGCACCCATTAACTCATCATTTAGCATTAGGTATATCTCCTAATGCTATCCCTCCCCCCTCCCCTCATGCCACAACAGTCCCCAGAGTGTGATGTTCCCCTTCCTGTGTCCATGTGTTCTCATTGTTCAATTCCCACCTATGAGTGAGAACATGCAGTGTTTGGTTTTTTGTCCTTGCGATAGTTTGCTGAGAATGATGACTGGAAGGTGAATATTATTTAATTGGTTATAAAGTTAGTTTATCTGTAGGAGAAGCAACATAACTATAACATTAAATTCAAAGTTTTAAAGAAGTTGTGTAAAAAGAGACTAAGGAATTCTGATTGAAATTAAAGTTGATATAAATAGAAATAGTATAAAGAATGTGCAGGTGTGGTGGCTCACTCCTGTAATCCCAGCACTTTGGGAAGCCAAAGCAGGAGCATCACTTGAGTTCAGGAGTGTCGGCAACTTGCTGAAACCCCATCTCTAATAAACATACAGCAAAATAGCCAGATGTGGTAGTGTGCACCTGTAGTCCTAGCTACTCAGGAGGCTGAGGTGGGAGGATCACTTAAGCCTGGGAGGTGAAGGCTGTAGTGAGTCAAGATCGCACCACTCTACTCCAGCCTGGGTGATGGAGCAAGACCCTGTGTCAAAGTCAAATATATATATATGTGTGTGTGTGTGTGTGTATATATATATATATATATACAAATTATATACAAATTATAATATATATATTTTTATATATATACACATTAAGAAGTCAGTAATACAGATGGCCAACGGAAATGGCAGGAATTATGAAGATGGTATTTGATGGATTGAATGAAACTTTTGAAATATTTCCCTAGGGTAAGGGTGAAGTATTTAATTTAAAAAATGTCTCAGAGAACATTTATTATAATCCAGGGCCTGTTTTATTTATCTCAAACTTTTATAAATTTCTTGAAAATATATGCTACTGCCAGTTGGACTGTTAAGTTTCTTTTATCAGAGCTGATATACTAATTTCAGTTAATTGTGGCTCTCCATTTCACTAACTGTTCAAAGTTTAATACTGACTCTATTGGGGAAAGTTCTATTGCCCTAGTTATTTTTTTCTTATTTAATACTTCATGTATATGTGCACACACATAGATTGGTAAGTAGGTAGGTAGGCAGGTAAGTAGATAGATAAGTAGGTAGGTAGGTAGATAAACAGGCAGACAGATATATAGGCAGGCAGACAGACAGAAGACAGACTGACTGACATAGATGATGATAGATAGATAGATAGATAGATAGATAGATAGATAGATAGATAATAGATAGAGGTATAGGGCTAGATAGAGAGAGAGTGACACCTTCAACTTCAGTACTGTTTTGATGCATTGTCTTCAATATTCCCACTTTCAAAATGCATCTTCTATGCTCTTCTACAGTAAGTCAGCTTCTGTTGACTACTGTAAATTTGAAATTAAGAGCATAACAAATCTTAGGCTAAGCACTTCCTCAAAGAGACATTCTTTTTACTTTTCCTTAGTTTTTTAATCCAAGATTCTTATTTCCTGGCCCCCAAATTGCAGAAATCATGACTAAAACTGACTTTTCATGACACTATACTGGAATTTTATTATTTAATGGTTTTTGGATAGTTTGTCAGTTGTGCTTCAGCTGGTTCCAAAATTTAGGAAAGGACAGGGTGAAGGTTCAAACAACCCTTCTGAATGCCTCTGAACATTAGCAGAGTGATTCATTTATTCAATGAATATGCATCAAACATTCTGCTATGATTCACATAGATAAAAACAAAATGAATCTTGGTGTAGAACAAAATTGAATATTGTTTTTTATTTGTCTCTCTTTGGAGTGAATGCAGTAAGACATTAGCATTTATACTAAATATATAAATATTTATCTTGCATTGACTCAATAGACCACAGCCCAACTTCAAACTTTGCCATCGGTATAATTTATTTCAAAGAAGAGATTAAAATAGCTAAGCAAATTTCATCTATGTTTCTTTTTGTCTTTGAATAACATTTTATACTATTTTTTCCAAAATATTATCTATATGTTACCTAACTTTATCTTCACAACAAACAGATCAACTGGGTAGATTTTGTCTTTGCACCCAATTTATCAATGAGTTATGAGAAGAAGCTTGCAGCCCTTAAGAATGACAAACATGCTTATTTCTAAATCTTCATCTCAGTCTCTCCCACCTTGGTTACATGTCCCATCTCCTAGTTTGCCACAGACCAGTCTTACAGTAAGGAAGTAGTAGCTAGGGAAACAGTTGTTAAATTATAAATCTCAACCATCCAACCATTACCCTAAAGCAACCTGCATTGCTCAGGACCCCTGTGGTGAGACTCTGCTCTGACCTGTGTAACTGTTAAATTACTCAGCTCATATTACATGTCTCCCAATAGTTCTTATTGATACAAACACAAACAAAAGAATAACCCATCAGCTTTTGCCCAAAATATGTGATTCAGTGGCTTTGTTTAGACACCTCATAGAACGAACATTTGTCTTCTGAGATACCAGCCTTTCCACTTCTGCCCTAAATCCTATAATTTTCACTTACCTTCTATTTCATTTCCCCTCCATTCATCCATCTCCTCATTCCTGCCTTCGAGCATAGCCAGGACATTTACTATTAAAAGAAAAAAATATCAAAAATTCAACACTGCAGCTTCCAAGTAGTATGTATTTTATTTTTCCTCCCATTACATTTTTTAAATTTGAATTTTTCACAATCTGTCTTTAGATAAACTTTAAGTAATGTATGCTCTAAGTACTTGATTATATATAAAATTTGAAGTGCATTAAATGGTACTCAGTGAAAAATGCCTCTTCCTTCCTGGCTTCCATCAGAAGCCCAGCTCCCCTTTCCCAGATGCAATCGTTTTTATTACTGTATGTTCTTCCAGACAGCCTAAGCATGTTTAAGCATATATGTTTATATCCTGCTTATACAATTGATTATATACGATGCACACTGTTCCATGTGTTAATTTTTCCACCTGACAGTATATCTTGGAGGCTGGAGAATATCAATACATATGAGACATCCCAGCTCTACTTTTGTTGTTTCTTTCATTTGTTGGTTTGCTTGTTTGTTTTCATACTTGCCCAGTAGGCACGGCATGGGGATGCCATAATTTATTTACCTCTTGAAGACTCAGGTGTCTCAAATATTTGATATTATAATAATACCCTAATGGTTGTTCTGTATACATGTCATTGCTCACCTGAGCATATATATGTGAGATAAATTTCTAGGCATAAAACTGCTTGTTTGAAAACAGAACACACAAAGCTTCTTTCTAATCTTTTCTTTCAGTGTGTTACTGAATGACTCTATGCTCCAGCCAAATAACTGACTCACTAATCCGCACTACCCTCTATTTCCCTTTCTGCTAACATTCATTTTGTGCCCTTCTTTTCAAATGCCCTTGCTGCCACCACCACCTCCACAAACTCAAGTTTCCCTCTTTTCAGTTAACTAAAATCTTTCTCCTTCATGAATCATTCTCTAATTATTCATTCCATGAGGACATACCTGTTTCTTAACATCTCTAATGCATCATGTCTATAATAAACACTTATGACCCTTACTGGTCTCAACTTGGTAATGTCATTATTTGTATTAAAACTTAATTTCCTCCTAGGCGCTTTGAGGACAGACTATATCTTTTTGCTTGGTTTGTTTGATTGCTCCATAATTGCACTTAGCACAGACTGGACATTTATTAGACTCTTAATAAGTATTTGTTGCAGTAGTGTATTGTTAGATAAATGAATACAAATGAATGAGTGAATGAATGAAATCTAAGTTTTGCAGAAGACCACCTGAATTCAGTCATAGAGGACTGTGTTCATTCTCTGGGACTTTTCTCTTTGTATCTACTTGACATTTTTTGTCTTTAAAATCTTTTTTTAAATAAAATCTTATGGTACTTCAGAAAGTAGAGATAAATTGTAGTACTTTCAAATTCAGTGCTGCCCATATAAATTTGGCACACAAATGAAGATGCTGCTAAGACAATGTTATTCTACTCTGCTCATATATAGAGGGCCTAGAAATTAATTCCTAGGTAGTAGTAATTGGGAACGCAGGCATTGCCATGGAATGCCTTATCTTCATCACAGCTTAAGGAAGTTTTGACTTCTTTTGTATTCCCTCTACTGTTTTCTTTTAGAGCCCAGATTCCCCTGGAGTTTGGAAAAACAAACAAGCAAACAAACAGAAAGCTAGTCTTCATGTAAAGCGGAATGCATGACCTCTGACTGGTTCTGGGAGAGATACACAATTGAGAGAACTGCTATCATAGGTGATATTAACCATGTTTACTGCCCCCACTGTACAGATAATAGAATTGACGATCTTGTGTGATAAAGCTCTGTCTTCTCAATAGGGCAGCCTATAAAAACCATTTTTTTGTCTCTGAATCCCAGGGTTGGGTAAACTGTGAAATAATTACTATAAATATTGGAATTTTTAAAAAATTTCAGACATTCTCAAACTGTAGGAAAAAAACTATTTAAAATGCTGATTACAGGATATTGTGGTATAGGAAAAAGATCAATGAATTAGAAATCACAAAAAAAGAGCCTTAGTCTTAAATCTGTCTCTATGTCACATTGTCCAGGTCCTTTTCTTCCCTGTCCTCCATCTTCTCATTGAATAAATAACGATTTAGACTAGAAAATTTGAAGGTCCATTTGAGTTCTAATGATCTATTTAGGAGAGAGAGCTCTGGAGATAGAAAACCTGCCTCCTAGATATAGTTCCACTATTTCGTGCTAAGTGAGTCTTGGCAAGTTATTTAAGTCTCTGAGCCTCCATTGCCTTATTTTTTTTTGAGACTAATGATGCCTTCTTTACACAGTTATTGTGGGTTCAAATGAAACAAAGTTAAGTAAAAAAATTTGTAAATTTAGAGTCACTCCACACAGATAGTAATGATTATAATAGTATTCTTATTTTTTAAAAAATTATTAATAGAGACAATTCTCATTCTCATTGTACAGCGATTTTTAGGTAGAATATGTGGTGAAGAGCCCTGGTGTGTGACACATTGGTTTCCATAATCTAAGCTCTATTTTATGCATAGCATTAAAACTTTGGGAAGGTGACTGACATTATCTCTTTTAGCCATAGCTTTCACTATCTCTAGGAAACAAACAAAAAAATCTTTGTTTCTTAGAGAAAGGAATAAATGCCAATATAAAAGTGCCAAATACTATTCAGAAATATTTTTAAATAAATACCAAGAAATAATAAAAAGAAATGCTTAAACATTACTAAACTTCATGTATTTCTAATAACTATAATAGCAATATGTAACATTTTACATTTGACTTTCGGATATTTTTGTAAGGACTACATACATTGACTCAATTAATACTGAAATCAGGTATATATCTTTTGAATTTTAGAGATGAGGTGAATTGAGAAAAAGGTTAAATAATTTGTTCAAAGTCACATTAGTTAGTAATTTAGCCATCATTTCAATTCACATTTTCAGTTCATAATCAGAGATGACAAATATAAACTACCTAGCTTACAATAGGTGTTGAATAACAAAAAACATAATGTAATTATAATAGTTACTCCAGGCTATGATATCTGCAACAGTTACAAAGAGAAAATTTAATACTGAAACTTTTTATTAATCTCATCTTTTTAAATATGGAGAGAGAGAGAGAGATACTGTGAGATGGGAAGTCAGCGTGTAGCAGAAGGAAGAGTTGAGAAAAAGATATGTGAAAGTTCATTATGAGTTTTGTCCCCATAAGGTAAATGAAAGGGCTATTCCTTTGAGCTTATCATTTCTGAGACAGATGAACACTGATGGCAATGGAAATGTTGCAGCCAGTAACAATAATACCAGTAGTGGAATCAGTATCAGGACATTAGTTAGCATTGGTACATAAAAGATGTTACTGAGCATCCAAATTATAAGGAAAAGTGCATTGCCCAGTTAGTTTACTTTTTTCTTTGATTATTTTTATGTCTTAAAAACATTGCACCAAAATTGATGAAAAAAATAGGTAAAGAAATGCTTATAATTAAGCACATGCACCTGCCCTTGAAAACAGCAGTAGTACAATGTTATCTTGTCATGTATTTCTTCATGAAGGTTGGCATTATTTGTCTTTTATATAATTTATTCTGTTTGTTTATAGAATGTAACATTTCCATAATTAGTGACATTTATCTCTATTCCAATGAGGAAATAAATGAAAAACCTAAAACTATCAAGCATTATCATTGCAATAATGATATCAGTGGGAAGCAACTGGAAATTTTGAGAAACTTTAACTTGCCTTGAATCTTTAGGTTTAAGAAGTCTTAGAATCTAAAGGCGATGATATCGAGGATTTTAGCAACAGGAATTGGTTAAATACCTACATTAGAAAAGAGGGTGTTTCATTGAGCGTAAAGCATTTACTCTTCATATACAAAATGTTATTTTATTTTTAATAAAGGCAGGCTGCTTGAAATATGGCAAAAGTCACTGTGAGCATGTTTATATAGAAATAAAGGACCACAGGCACGGACAACCACAGAGAATGGAAAGAGAATAGTTTTCTTAAAACTCAAAGACCCTGAGTTCATTTACATATGATCAAATGTAATTAAGAGGCCTAAACAGTTTGCCAAAGCCAAGAGATCCAGACTTTCCTTTGCTTTATTTGCTTGTTTTATGAAATGTCTTTGGTATAGGCACTGTAATTTACAAATACACCTTGTTTGTACATGTATCAGTAGATGATAAGTGGTATTATCAGAGATATCACCATTTTATTTAGCCTCGAACATTAGGATTGTGTTTCTTCGGAAGAGAGTGAGAGATGTTGTCTACCAAGTGTTAGATTCTGTGCTTGTTAACTCAAAACTGCACACTAAACTTTCTCTTGAAATTTTGCCACCCTTGGGTTTAAGACAGTTCCTCCAAGTCCTTTGTTTTAAATTCAGTCTGTACTTAAGTAGGGAAGAGCATCTCTGCCTTACAATTGTCTGCAGAGTTTAAAGTCACTGGTTTCCAGGATGACACTTGAAACAAGAGTCACAGGAAACATTTTGTCCTCTTTAAAAAAGCAGGAAAGGAGAAATATGATGCTTAGATTTCTAGAAATATGTAATTAGAAAATACTTTTTTATAAAACAAGTACCCACATGAAAGACAGAAAAAATAAAGAGTCCTCTTAAAAGTGGAGACTTCATTTCTTGCTTTTTTACAGAGTCCTAAACTGTGCATGTTTATATAACATGTATATGTATATATTGCATTACATTTAAAAATCTAATGTAAATGTATGTATATATGTACATCTCAGATAAATAGGTAGTTATAGAGAGAAATGAGCAAGAGACACAGATGGAGAACAAGGCATATTTCTAAAAGAGAAGAGAAGGGAAGGAGACAGAGAAAAAAGAGAAGAAAAGAAGAGAGAAGAGAGAGATTTTGTGAAGAGAGTATCTTTCAGAATCTGGAAACCACTTCATTTGCTTTCATATCCTTTTTTTCCTAGCAGCTATAGGGCTAAGAGGAGCATTCTCACCTGGCTTAGAGAAAAAAGGAAAATCTCTTACCTCTTTTCTAACCTCTCCAATTAAATCCCTGCCAACAACCTGTACTTAGTCTCAAAGCATCTTTACATAATGCTGGGGATTGCATTTCACTATACTCTGGAATTGAGAATACTCACTCATTTGTATATTCCAACACTCGGAAGGAAATTATAAAAATGAAACTAAATCAGTGGTCTGTATTTTAGAATCTATACTAAAACACAAAAACAAACAAACAATAAAGGAAATGTAGATAGATATGAGTAATATTCAGAAAAAATATAGCTTGACATCAAAATATTTATTAAACACCAATTAAAAGGTATATGTTCAAACTGTGAAGATGAGTATTCCTTTCATAGCATCATAAATGTTCAAGTTGTCCTAAACCAAAGAAAAAATAAAATTATATCTCCACCTAGTGGATACTGATGACAAAGCAGGCATTAAGAAGTAAAAGCTAACACATTCCCACCAGGTAATAAAAAGCAACAAATCAGGCTTGACATAAAAATCTCGGAAATGAACCCCAAATTGGTTTATGATGTCTGAAGGGATTCTAAGAAATGCTAAGGTACCCCTAGTTCCAATTGTTTATCTAACACCAGCTTATTCTTTGCTACAAACATGATCCTTGCCCCTTTTGTCGGCAAGACGTTTTCACTGAGTAGTAGTAAATGCTAACTTTATACCTACACATTTGGATTGTGCGATGCAGTTGATCTTTGATGGAAAAATATGAATTTTAAACAAAATTAGGGAGCTTCGCAATTATCACCAGGGCCAAAGAGAATTCCAGATAAAATAGAAATAGAAAGAAGAGAAAAAGAGATCCTTGGGTTGCATTAAGGACCGTCTCTTAATTATTTGGATGCGTCGGAGGGAAAATCTGGACACTTAAGCAAACTCATTCAATACCAATAGTTAGGTACCGATTATTGGTTATAATTTAATAACTTGAAGAAAACTGTAGTATTTTTTATCCACTACAAACATTTTAACATTAGGAGCAAATGAAAAATTTTATTTTGGCTTTCTCCCTTAAGTGTTCAAGGGAATGTTATAAATATTTAACAGCTGTGATTTACAGCTATAAGATCTGGAAGCAGTGGACTGAAGTAATCTGCACTATGTAATATGTGTAGCACAATAACGTTCATCACAAAGATGTATATATGGGGTGTGTGTTGGGCAAGGGTGAAAAATGCACTTCCTGGAGAGCCAAAGAACAGACTGCATGAAAATACCATGATTTCTCAACACAAAAAAGTACTTTGAATTATTGCATGAAAACTTAAGCCATGTCTAAGTTTTTAAAAATTATTGAGCCCAAAACTAAGGATAACTTTAAAATCATAAATTAAAAACAAAGAAAAAAGAAAAGAAAGAAATTTTTAAATGAGTATAGTAAAAAGTAATAGAATTGATAGATTCCCTATGACAAACAGGAATGAAAATTTATAATTTATTAACTAGATATCTACATATCAAAAAGGTATATTAATTCTAGCAAAAAATATTCAGCAATAAGAAAATCGTTCTACTAAAGACTGTAGTTGCATTTAAACAATAAAATAAAATGGCAGCCGAAAAATAAAAGAAATACAATTTTAAAATGGTCCAGGAACTGATATGCTGAGATTTATTTTGCTTGTACTTTTATGGTTTGTTTTTATTTCTTTTTTTTTAATTCCTCAGACTTCTAAAATATGATATTTTGCCATTCTTTTCATTTCGAAATTTTGTGATATATTGTTGTTTTATAGATAAGCTTGTCTCAACAACTTATATTGATAATTTCAAATGTAAAGGAAATAAAATTTTCTACCCAATTTTGTTTTCTCTTGGAAGACTGAAAGTTAATTTATAATCTTCTTGTATATTTTTTATTATTTATCACAATCTTTTGCTGTCCTTGAATTTGGAAAAGATGTTGAATGACATTTTCATAATGTTGGCATATTTAATATTCTGCTGCCTAAGTCTACGATTTTCAAAATTTACATTTAAACCCAATTTTCTAATTTTACAGCAATTTTTTAAAAGAATAAAAACTTGTAAAAACACTAGCAAAGATTTTAAAAATATTGTTATTGGCAAATTATCCAAAACGCATAAAATTAAATATGTTTAACAGTATTTATTGTAATTTTTCAGGCCTGTGTCACAGTAACTGAGAAAGCTGATTTAGTCATATAGTTGCTTCCAGTATAGACTAACAGCAATGAGACTCTTTTTCTACACTTATATTCCTGCAAATGTATTTGGATTTTTTTCTAGGCCTTTTCCTCATTTCTTGTGAAACTAAATATAGATACCATGCCTCCTGTTGTCCTTCTACTAAAGATTTAAATTTAAGAAATAATAAATGCCTGTCTAGACAACCCTAAAATTGTTTTAGTTACTGATGTATGGATGACTGATAAATGTCATCTTTTCTGCCTGCAGTGCATTTTGAATCTAGTCTACTGACATTTGTCTATAGCTGACCTGTGTCTGCAATTTAGATTTACATGAAACATTTAAGTTTTACAACTATAAACCTTTTGGTTTCATTGTTCCTACTCTACATTCAATACAATAAAACAATTAGATCCTGTACCATGTTTCTTCTTCCTCACATGGATGTTTTTAATTAAACCAGCAGGGAAGATTGTAATCAAATGAAAGGCAATGGAATTTACTTCATCTCTTACCTAGTGAAACAATTATTAAATTCCCTAGCTTCATATTTCTCATACCGATAAAATTAAATCTGCAGCTCTGCTAGGAAAGGCAAGAAAAAAAAAAAAAAGCTGTCCCAAGTAACCAAAGCCTATAGTTCTTCAGAAAAATAATGCAAAATATATAATTCCATTGTCTGGAAAATTGTTAGCTTACTCCTGTAGATTTCATATCAGTTTTCCTTATTTTCACATTATTGGAAAGTGTTCCTATATTTTACACATAATAACAGAACAGTAGCCCTTAGAAATGTGGTTATAAGCCCTAATTAGGTTATTTCTGAACCATGTTTTTATAGAATAATGGCTTACCTTGAGTTGACCCATGATTCTATTGAAAGAAATAGTTTTCCTTGCTTATACTATATTATAAATGGGAAATTATCAAGAACATGAATATGAATAAGTGCTTTCCAGGTTGTGTGCCTATGGGTCTACGTTAGACATCTCATTACCCTGATACAGTGTGACATGTGACATTCCCACTTTTCACCTTTTATGCTGTTTACACTGCTTGGACAAGTTTAAAAATTTATGTTAAAAACAATCATCCTTACATTTCAGACATATGGAGGAAACAATTTACATAATTTCTAGCCAATAAAAAAAAAGAATTTGAGCAGCTACAAAAGTGATAACTTTAGTAACGTGAACAGGGATTGCTGACAGCCTTTCATCTGATATAGGTTTCCACTAGACTATTAGCTAGCAATAGCCAGTGAAGATGTAATTTCCATGCACATACCCCGTTTTCAGCACTTATCTCAAATATATCAGTATTTGTCTCACTCATTTGACTGTGCAATTAAGAGCAGAAAACATAACATTTGTCGCTATCAAATACTTGACTCATGGTAGGCACTCAATGAATATTTAATGGATTAATAAATATTAAAAGAATGAATATATGTGATGGGTGACATGTTGTTACTAAATCCAAAGTCCATCTTCTTTAACACCAAAATATCGAAAACACTTGTTAACGTGCCACAAGGCCTTCTAAAGAAACCTGAAAGTCATAAATAAAATTAAGCAGCACATAAAAGCACAAAGATCTTGAGAAGAAAAGGGGGAGACCTTCTAGATAAGTAGTATATTTGCATAATATGAGAAGAGAAAAAAACAATTAAGATGGGCATAATTTTACAGTATTTTTATTATGAATGTGAAACTTTAAACTGCATTATTGAAGGGACTTAGTAAAAATTAGGCTGCAGTCCCAACCTCATGGCTCCTTATGATTTATTTTGTCTGGATTCAAAAATAAATTCATGTTCTGCGAGGAATGCTGACTCTAATTTATGAAATGATTTATATGGGCAGATGCAGACGACTTTGGCTGAAACTGGTGTTTGGCCAGGGATACAGGAAATGGAGTTATTATATCTGTGGTAAATGTTACTGTGTAAATGTGACTAGAGTCAATGCAAATTTTTCAGACAATATAATTAGTAAGATGATCATGATTTTTGAAAGTAATTTACAAAGATAAATTATGCTATCCTATGCCATTTTGGATATGGGTATGGATATAGAAAGTCAAGAATAGAGTCCACAAATAATAAAAGAAATCCACTTAGAGAAAAAAAGAATATTTCCCAAAGAGGTACAGTTAATGAAATAAAGCAAAATATAAACAAACTCATTATTGCTGTCCTTAAAAGAGGTATTACCTCTTCATTAATTTCCTTAGTTATTATTTTTTATAAATTTATCATGTATTTTCTACTAGCTAACATAAATGGGAAGTGAAACCATAATTTATCTCTAAAAATAAATACTAACAAGTTATTAATCAAATAATAAAAGGCAAAAATTAGTTTATAAAACACAATTGAATTTAGATAAAAAGAAATGAAATTATTTTTAGAATAAAGTTGAGTTTGATTTTCTACAATTGTCTTCACAAATTATCCCAAATCACTCAAAATGAACTTTACAATGCTGAGCCATATGCTTCCTTAAAAATTAAGGTATATAATCCAGAATATCTCTGTGTTTGGGAGGTAAATGTTGCTCAAGTTAGCTCAGCCTACCACATTGCAGAAACCTCAAATTAACTTGCAAAGTGAATGGATAATTAAAATTTAGAAGATAGACTCAATAAATTTACCCAGAATGCAATACAGAGAGATATAAACTTAAGAAATATGAACAAGACTTTAAGATATTAAGGCTAGAATGCAAAAGTACTAGATATGCCTAATAGATATTGTAAAGTTTCGCTTTTGATACAGTGGAATAAGTTTTCAGTGGGCTGAACTTCCTGCACCTATTTATTGTTATAAACTCTTGGCAAAATACCATAAAACAACTACTTTAGGAGTTTGAAGTATGCACGAAAGCCATCTATTTTGGATGGGAGCAGACAATTGGAAATATAAACTTTCCAAGGGAGAATCCTCTGTCTTGGTAGCTTTGGCCTGAGGGCAGGCTGGCATTGTAACATGGGCTAAAGTGACTCAAGCTCCTATAGAAAACCTTCCATCTTTCTGGTATAAGAAAGAAGCAAGGCAGACTGAATTCCATCATGGTGGATGAGAGCCAGGACTAAATTGCAGCTCTGACTCCAACAGACAGAGCAGTGTGTGGAGGCCCGCATCATAAATTTTAGCTCCAGAATGACTGCAGGAATAAATCAGGAAACCTGAGAGGACCCACAGACTGTCTGAAGGAAGTGGATTGTTCCTGCAGAACCCTGAAGACCCCCCAAATACTGTACCGGTATACACAGCTGAGAGACCCATAGATGGTTCACATCACAGGACTCTCTGAAGACAGCTCCCAGTACCATCCTGGAGCCTGGTAGACTTGCTGGGTAGCTAAACCCAGAAAAGAGATAACAATCACTACGGCTCAGATCTCAGGAAGCCACATCCATAGGAAAATGGGAAGAGTACTACATCAAGGGAATACCCTGAGGGACAAAAGAATCTGAAAAACAGCCTTCAGCTCTAGCCCTTTCCTCTGACAAAGCCTACCCAGATGAAAAGGAACCAGAAAGTCTACTCTGGTAATACGATGCAACAAGGCTCTTTAACACCCCTAAAAAATCACAATGACTCACCACAATAGATCCTAACCAAAAAAAAAAAAAAAAAAAAGAGAGAGAAAGAAAGATCCCTGATTTACCTGAAAAAGAATTCAGGATGGTAGTTATTAAGCTAATCAGGGAGGCACCAGAAAAAGGCAAAGCCCAGTGCAAGGAAATACAAAAAAAAAAAAAAAAAAAAAAAAAGGCACAAGAAGTGAAAGGAGAAATATTCAATGAAATAGTATAAATAAAAATAATCAAAACTTTAGGACACATTGGACACACTTACAGAAATGCAAAATGCTCTGGAAAGTCTCAGCAATTCAATTTAACAAGTAGAAGAAAGAAATTCAGAGCTCAAAGAAAAGGTCTTTGAATTAACCCAATCCAACAAAGACAAAGAAGAAAGAATAAGAAAATATGAACAAAGCCTCCAAGAAGTCCTGGATTATATTAAATGACTAAACTTAAGAATAATTGTTGTTCCTGAGGAAGAAGAGAAATCTAAAAGTTTGGAAAACATATTTGGGGGAATAATCAAGGAAAACTTCCCCAGCCTTGCTAGAGACCTAGACATCCAAATACAAGAAGCACAAAGAACACCTGAGAAATTCATCATAAAAAGATCATTGCCTAGGTACATTGTTGTCAGGTTACCTAAAGTTAAGACAAAGGTAATAATCTTAACAGCTGTGAGACAAAACACCAGGCAACCTATAAAGGAAAACCTATCAGATTAACAATGAATATCACAGAGGAAACCCTACAAGCTAGAAGGGATTGGGGCCCAATTTGTAGCCTCCTCAAACAAAACAATTATCAGCCAATAATTCTGTACCCAGCAAAACTAAGCTTCATATATGAAAGAAAGATACAGTCTTTTTCAGACAAACAAATGTTGAGAGAACTCACCACTACAAAGCCCCCACTACAAGAACTGCTAAAAGGAACTCTAAATCTTGAAACAAATCCTGGAAACACATCAGAACAGAACTTCTTTAAAGCATAAATCTCACAGGACCTATAAAACAAAAATACAATTTAAAAAACAAAAACAAGAACCAAAAAACCAAGGTACACAGGCAACAAATAGCATGATGAATGGAATGGTACCTCACATCTCAATACTAACATTGAATGTAAATGACCTAAATGCTCCACTTAAAAGATACATAACTGGGCTGGGCGCAGTGGTTCACACCTGTAATCTCAGCATTTTGGGAGGCCAAGGCAGGTGGATCATCTGAAGTCAGGAGTTTGAGACCAGCTTGGCCAACATGGTGAAACCCTGTCTCTCCTAAAAATACAAAAATTAGCCAGCCTTGGTGGAGGCATCTATAATCCCAGCTACTTGGGGGGCTGAGGCAGGAGAATGCTTGAACCCACCAGGTGGAGGTTGTGGTGAGCCAAGATTGTGCCACTGTCCTCCAGTCTGAGTGACAGAAACTCCATCTCAAAAAATAATAATAATAATAAAAGATACATAACTGCAGAATGGATACGAATTCACCAATCCACTATCTGCTGCCTTCAAGAGACTCACTCAACACATAAGGACCCACCTAAACTTAAAGGGGTGGAAAAAGGCATCTCATGCAAATGGACACCAAAAGGGAGCTGGAGTAGCTATTCTTATATCAGACAAAACAAATTTTAAAGCAACTATCGTTTAAAAAGACAAAGAGGAACATTATATAATGGTAAAAGGCCTTGTCAAACAGGAAAATATTACAATCATAAACATATATGCACCTAACACTGGAGCTCCCAAATTTATAAAACAATTACTAACAGACCTAAGGAATAAGATAAATAGCAACACAATAATAGTGGGGGACTTCAATACTCCACTGACAGCACTAGACAGGTCAACGAGACAGAAAGTCAACAAAGAAACGATGGATATAAACCATACCTTGGAACAAATGGACTTAACAGATATATATAGAATATTCTATCCAACAACTGCAGAATACACATTCTATTCAACAGTGCATGGAACTTTCTCCAGGACAGACCATATGATAGACCACAAAATGAGTCTCAATAAATTTAAGAAAATTGACATTATATCAAGCACTCTCTCAGACCACAGTGGAGTAAAACTGAAAACCAACTCCAAAAGTAACATTCAAAACCATGCAAATACATGGAAATTAAATAACATGCTCCTGAATGATCATTGGGTCAAAAATGAAATCAAGATGGAAACTAAAAAATTATATGAACTGAATAACAATAGTGACACACCCTATCCAAACATCTGGGATACAACAAAGGCAGTGCTAAAAGGAAAGTTCATAATCCTAAACACCTACATCAATAAGACTGAAAGAGCACCAATAGGCAATCTAAGGTCCAACCTCAAAGGATTAGAGAAACAAGAAAAAACCAAACCCAAACCCAGCAGAAGAAAGGAAATAACCAAGATCA
Source organism: Homo sapiens (assembly GCF_000001405.40). NCBI lineage: Eukaryota > Metazoa > Chordata > Mammalia > Primates > Hominidae > Homo > Homo sapiens. The sequence continues at coordinate 75,640,602 of NC_000008.11, read as the reverse complement.
GAGTGGAACTAAATCAAAATGAAACAAAAAAAATTACAAAAGCTAATGAAACACAAAGCTGGTTCTTTGAAAAGATAAATAAAATTGATAGACCATTAGCAAGATTAACCAAGAAAAGAACAGAGAAAATCCAAATAAGCTCAATAAGAAATGAAACAGGAGACATTACAACTGACACCACAGAAATACAAAAGATCAGTCAAGGCTACTATGAACACTTTAAATACATAAACTAGAAAACCTAGAAGAGATGGACAAATGCCTGGAAAGATACAATCCCCCTAGCTTAAATCAGGAAGAATCAGATACCCTGAACAGAACAATAACAAACAATGAGATTGAAATGGTAATTTAAAAATTACCACCAAAAAAAGTCCAGGACAAGATGGATTCACAGCAGAATTCTACCAGACATTCAAAGAAGAATTGGTACCAATCCTATTATAATATTCCACAAGATAGAGAAAGAGGGAACCCTCCCTAAGTCTTTTTATGAAGACAGCAGCACCCTAATACCAAAACCAGGAAAGGACACAACCAAGAAAGAAAACTACAGACTGATATTCCTGATGAATATAAATGCTAAAATCCCAAATACTAGCTAACTGAATCCAACAACATATCACAAGGATAGTTCTATATGATCAAGTGGATTTCATACCACGGATACAGGGATGGCTTGACATATGCAAGTCAATAAATGTGATACACCACATAAACAGAATTTAAAATAAAAATCACACAATCATTCAATAAATGCAGAAAACACATTCAACAAAATCCAACATCCCTACATGATTAAAACTCTCAGCAAAATCAGTGTACAAGGGACACACTTCAACGCAATAAAAGTCATCTATGACAAACCCACAGCCAACATAATACTGAATGGGGAAAAATTGAAAGCATTCTCTCTGAGAACTGGAACAAGACAAGGATGCTTACTCTCACCACTCCTCTTCAACATAGTACTGGGAATCCTAGCCAGAACAATTAGACGAGAGAAAGAAATAAAGGGCATCCAAATTGGTAAAGAGAAAGGAAAACTATCACTGTTTGTTGACAATATGATCATTTACCTTGAAAACCCTAAGGACTCCTTCAGAAAGCTCCTAGATCTGATAAAAGAATTCAGCAAAGTTTCTGGATACAAAATTAATGTACACAAATCAGCAGCTATTCTATATACCAACAGTGACCAAGTAAAGAATCAAATGAAGAAATCAAACCCTTTTACCATAGCTGCAAAAATAAAAATAAAAAATACTTAGGAATATACCTAACCAAGGAGTTGAAAGACCTCTCTACAAGGAAAACTACAAAACACTGCTGAAAAAAAAATCATAGATGACACAAACAAATGGAAACACTCCCATTCTTTTGGATGGGTAAAATTCATATTGTGAAAATGACCATACTGCCAAAAGCTATCAAAAAATTCAATGCAATTCCAATCAAAATACCACCATCATTCTTCACAGAATTAGAAAAAACAATTGTAAAATTCATATGGAACCAAAAAAGAGCCTGCATAGCCAAAGCAAAACTAAGCAAAAAGAACAAATCTGAAGGCATCACATTACCCAATTTCAAACTATATTATAAGGCCATAGTCACCAAAACAGCATGGTACTGGTATAAAAATAGGCATATAGACCAACAGAATAGAGTAGAGAACCCAGAAATGAACCCAAATACTTACAGCCAACTGATCTTTGACAAAGCAAACAAAAACATAAAGTGGGGAAAGAACACCCTTTTCAACAAATGGTACTAAGACAATTGTCTAGTGACATGTAGCAGAATGAAACTGAATCCTCCTCTCTCACCTTATACAAAAATCAGCTCAAGATGGATTAAGGACTTAAATCTAACACTTGAAACTATAAAAATTCTAGAAGATAACATTGGAAAAACCCTTCTAGACGTTGGCTTAGGAAAGGATTTCATGACCAAGAACTCAAAAGTAAATGCAATAAAAACAAAAATAAATAGTTGGGACTTAAATAAACTAAAGAGCTTTTGCACAACAAAAGGAACAATCAGCAGAGTAAACAGACAACCCACAGAGTGGGAGAAAATCTTCACAATCTGTACATCTAACAAAGGACTAATATCCAGAATCTACAACAAACTCTAACAAATCAATAAGAAAAAGACTAACAATCCCATCAAAAACTGGGCTAAGGATCTGAATATATTATTATCAAAAGAAGATATACAAATGACAAAAAAATATAAACAGTGCTCAACTTCACTAACAATCAAGGGAATACAAAAAAAACAAAAACAAAAAACACAATTTGATATCATCTTACACCCGCAAGAATGGCCATAGTCAAAGACTCCAAGATGGCCAAATAGGAACAGCTCAAAGCTACAGCTCCCAGCGTGAGTGATGCAGAAGATGGGTGATTTCTGCATTTCCAACTGAGGTACCAGTTTCATCTCACTGGGGCTTGTCGGACAGTGGGTGCAGCCCACGGAGTGTGAGCCAAAGCAGAGCGGGGCATTGCCTCACCCAGGAAGTGCAAGGGGTCAGGAAATTCCCTTTCCTAGTCAAGGGAAGCCATGACAGACGGTACCTGGAAAATCGGGACACTCCCACCCTAATACTGTGCTTTTGAACTCAACTCTGCACCAAGTGGACCTAATAGACATCTACAGAACTCTCCATGCCAAATCAACAGAATATACATTCTTCTCAGCACCACATCGCACTTATTCCAAAATTGACCACATAGTTGGAAGTAAAGCACTCCTTAGCAAATGTGAAAGAACATAAATTATAACAAACTATCTCTCAGACCACAGTGCAATCAAACTAGAACTCAGGATTAAGAAACTCACTCAAAACCACTCAACTACATGGAAACTGAACAACCTGCTCCTGAATGACTACTGTGTATGTAACAAAATGAAGGCAGAAATAAAGATGTTCTTTGAAACCAATGAGAAATAAGACACAACATAGCAGAATCTCTGAGACACATTTAAAGCAGTGTGTAGAGGGAAATTTATAGCACTAAATGCCCACAAGAGAAAGCAGGAAAGATCTAAAATTGACACCCTGACATCACAATTAAAAGAACTATAGAAGCAAGAGCAAACACATTCAAAAGCTAGCAGAAGGCAAGAAATAACTAAGATCACAGCAGAACTGAAGGAGATAGAGACACATAAAAACCCTTCAAAAAATCAATGAATCCAGGAGCTGGTTGTTTGAAAAATACCCACAAAATTGATAGACCACTAGCAAGATGAATAAAGAAGAAAAGAGAGAAGAATCAAATAGATACAATAAAAAATGATAAAGGTGATATCACCACCAATAGCATAGAAATACAAACTACCATCAGAGAATATTATAAACACCTTTATGCAAATAAACTAGGAAACCTAGAAGAAATGGATAAATTCCTGGACACATACACTCTCCCAAGACTAAACTAGGAAGAAGTTGAATCCCTGAATAGACCAATAACAGGCTTTGAAATTGAGGCAATAATTAATAGCCTACCAACCAAAAAAAGTCCAGGACCAGAAGGATTCATAGCCAAATTCTACCAGAGGTACAAAGGGGAGCTGGTACCATTCCTTCTGAAAATTTTCCAATCAATACAAAAAGAGGGAACCCTCCCTAACTCATTTTATGAGGCCAGCATTATCCTGATATCAAAGCCTGACAGAGACACAATAAAAAAATAGAATTTTAGACCAATATCCCTGATGAACAACCATGCAAAAACCTTCATTAACATACTGGCAAACTGAATCCAGCAGCACATCAAAAAGCTTATCCACCACGATCAAGTTGGCTTCATCCCTGGGATGCAAGCTGGTTCAATATACACAAATCGATAAATGTAATCCATCTTATAAACAGAACCAAAGACAAAACCCACATGATTATCTCAATAGATGCAAAAAAGGCCTTTGACAAAATTCAACAGCCCTTCATGCTAAAAACTCTCAATAAATTAGGTATTGATGGGATGTATCTCAAAATAATAGGAGCTAGTTATGACAAACCCATAGCCAATATCATACTGAATGGGCAAAAACTGGAAGCACTCCCTTTGCAAACTGGCACAAGACAGGGATGCCCTCTCTCACCACTCCTATTCAACATAGTGTTGGAAGTTCTGGCCAGGGCAATCAGGCAGGAAAAAGAAATAAAGTGTATTCAATTAGGAAAAGAGGAAGTCAAATTGTCCCTGATTGCAGAAGACAAAATTGTATATTTAGAAAACCCCATCGTCTCAGCCCAAAATATCCTTAAGCTGAAAAGCAATTGCAGCAAAGTGTCAAGATACAAAATCAATGTGCAAAAATCACAAGCATTCTTATACACCAATAACAGACAAACAGAGAGCCAAATCATGAGGGAACTCCCATTCACAATTGCTTCAAAGAAAATAAAATACCTAGGAATCCAACTTACAAGAGATGTAAAGGACCTCTTCAAGGAGAACTACAAACCACTGCTCAATGAAATAAAAGAGGACACAAACAAATGGAAGAACATTCCATGCTCATGGATAGGAAGAATCAATATCATGAAAATGGCCACACTGCCCAAGGTAATTTGTAGATTCAATGCCATCCCCATCAAGCTATGAAAGACTTTCTTCACAGAATTGGAAAAAACTAGTTTAAAGTTCATATGGAACCAAAAAAAGAGCCTGCATTGCCAAGAAAATCCTAAGCCAAAAGAAGAAAGCTGGAGGCATCACACTACCTGACTTCAAACTATACTACAAGGCTACAGTAACCAAAATAGCATGGTTCTAGTACCAAAACAGATATATAGACCAATGGAACAGAATAGAGCCCTCAGAAGTAATACCACACATCTACAACCATCTGATCTTTGACAAACCTGACAAAAACAAGAAATGGGGAAAGATTCCCTGTTTTATAAATGGTGCTGGGAAAACTGGCTAGCGATATGCAGAAAGCTGAAACTGGATCCCTTCCTTACACCTTAAATAAAAATTAATTCAAGATGGACTAAAGACTTAAATGTTAGACCTAAAACCATAAAAACCCTAGAAGAAAACCTAGGCATTACCATTCAGGACATAGGCATGGGCAAGGACTTTACGTCTAAAACACCAAAAGCAATGGCAGCAGAAGCCAAAATTGACAAATGGGATCTAATTAAACTAAAGAGCTTCTGCACAGCAAAAGAAACTACCATCAGAGTGAACAGGCAACCTACAAAATGGGAGAAATTTTTTGCAATCTACCCATCTGACAAAGGGCTAATATCCAGAATCCACAAAGAACTTAAACAAATTTACAAGAAAAAATCAAACAACCGCATCAAAAAGTGGGCGAAGGATATGAACAGACACTTCTCAAAAGAAGACACTTATACAGCCAAAAGACACATGAAAAAATGCTCATCATCACTGGCCATCAGAGAAATGCAAATCAAAACCATCTCACACCAGTTAGAATGGTGATCATTAAAAAGTCAGGAAACAACAGGTGCTGGAGAGGATGTGGAGAAATAGGAACACTTTTACACTGTTGGTGGGACTGTAAACTAGTTCAACCATTGTGGAAGCCAGTGTGGAGAGTCCTCAAGGATCTAGAACTAAAAATACCATTTGACCCAGCCATCCCATTACTGAGTATATATCCAAAGGATTATAAATCATGCTGCTATAATGACATGTGCACACGTATGTTTATTGTGGCACTATTCACAATAACAAAGACTTGGAACCAACCCAAATGTCCATCAGTGATAGACTGGATTAAGAAAATGTGGCACATATACACCATGGAATACTCTGCAGCCATAAAAAAGGTGAGTTCATGTCCTTTGTAGGGACATGAATGAAGCTGGAAACCATCATTCTGAGCAAACCATCGCAAGGACAGAAAACCAAACACTGCATGTACTCACTCATAGATGGGAATTGAACAATGAGAGCACTTGGACACAGGAAGGGGAACATCACACACCGGGGCCTGTCATGGTGTGGGGGGAGGCAGGAGGGATAGCATTAGGAGATATACCTAATGTAAATGATGAGTTAATGGGTGCAGCACACCAACATGGCACGTATATACATATGTAACAAACCTGCACGTTGTACCCATGTACCCTAGAACTTAAAGTATAATAATAATAATAATAATAATGGCCATAATCAAAAAATCAAAAAACAGCAGATGTTGGTGTGGATGCGGTGATCAGGGAACACTTCTACACTGCTGGTAGGAATGTAAACTAGTATAACCACTATGGAAAACAATGTGGAGATTCCTTAAATAACTAAAAGTAGAACTATCATTTGATTCAGCAATCCCACTACTGGGTATCTACCCAGAGGAAAATACGTCATTATATGAAAAAGATACTACACACGCATGTTTATAGCGGCATAATTGGCAATTGCAAAATCGTGGAACCAATCCAAATGTTCATTAATCAACAAGTGGATAAACAAACTGTGAGATATATATATATATATATATATATATATGATTGATATATATCACATATATATGTGATTGATACATATATATCACATATATCATCATATATATATATATGATGGAATACTACTCAGCCATTAAAAGAAATGAATTAATGGCATTTGCAGTGACTTGGATGAGATTGGAGACTATTATTCTAAGTAAAGTAACTCAAGAATGGAAAATGAAACAAACATGTGGAAGGTAAGCTATGAAGATGCAAAGGCATAAGAATGATACAGTGGACTTTGGGACTTGGGTGTAAGGGTAGCAGAGGGGGAGGGATAAAAAAAGATAATAAAAGAAACAAGGCAGTTCAGCCAGAGAAGCAAGAAAGTGAGAGAACAACTTGGACAAAAGAGATTGATGAAAGAGGATATCCCATTCTATATACAAACAGTGTCCAAGTCCCAGCTTACCACTGAACCTATCATGCAAGAAGCAGTCTATAAATAAACGAGCAAATGAAAAACACCTCAAAATAAACTTAGATCTGAACTGCCACCCACAGTAGGTAGAACAGAGTTTTCAGTTTGAATCTAATCATGTTAATTATTTGCTAGAACAAAAGTATCACATGCTTCAAAAGAAAACAGCAGAATCCAGGGACTCCACAGCCTAATATTCAAACTCCAAAAAATTCAATCCAAAGTTACTCAATGTGCCAAGAACTAGGAAACCATGATTCATTCACAAGGTCAGACTGGAATAGGATGGACTCTAACTGCAGTCACTGGTGTCCTCATAGGAAGAGACTAGGAGATACAGAAGAGACAGAAAGAAGAATGTCATGGGAAGATGGAGGTAGAGATTGTGGTTATGTTGCCACAGTCAAAGAACACCTGCAATCACCAGAAGCTACAAGAGGCAAAGAAGCATTCTTCCCTAGAGACTTTGGAAGGAACATGGCCCTACCAATCTATGATGACATACTTCTAGCCTCTAAAACTAGGAAATAATAACTTTCTGTTGTTTGAAGCCAGCCAGTTTGTGTCAGAGCAGCCCTAGGAAATTAATACAAGAATAAAATGGAAAATTTTAAACTGCAAAACACAATACAGAGCATTTTTTAAATTAACTGTATAGGCTTAATAGCAAACTGGAGATGATAGAGCAAAAGTTTAGTATATTTGAAGAGAAATCACAAGAAATAATCTAAACTGAAGAATAAGGAAGAGAAAATTAAAAAGAACAGCCTCAGGGACTGTGGGACAATATCAAAACATCCGATAGATAGATAGTGTGAACCCCCAAAATTTGAGACAGGTCTCAGTTAATTTAGAAAGTTTATTTTTCCAAGGTTGAGGATGCACCCATGACACAGCCTCAAGAAGTCCTGACCACATGTGGCCAAGGTGGTCGGGCACAGCTTGATCTCATACATCTTAGTGAGACATGAAACATCTATCGACATGTAAGAAGTACGTTAGTTCTGTCCAGAAAGGTGGAGACAGCTAAAAACAAGTCCCCACCACTGGAGGCTTCCAGGTCACAGGTAGGTGACAGACAGATGGTTGCATTCTTTTGATTTTCTGATAGGTCTTTCCAAAGGAGGCAATCAGAATATGCATCTATCTCTGTGAGCAAAGGGATGACTCGAATAGAATAGGAGATGGATTTGCCTTTACTGGTTCCCAGCTTGAAAGGGCCCAAGATATTTCTCTTTCACAATAGAGACAGATAGAGACATACATACATACATAAATAGATACATAGAAAGATGATATGTAGGTAGAGATCAATAAAATTAGACTTTCCAAAAGAGAAGAGAGATAATGGGACAGAAAATTATATTTGAATAGATAATGGTTTCAAATGTCTCAAATTTGGTGAAAGACATAATTTGATAATTTTTAAAACATCAAGATATCCCTAACACCATAAATAGAAAGAAACCATGCCTAGGCATATTATAGTCAAACTGCTGGTAACCAAAGGTGAAAAAATACATCTCAAAAGCAGCCAGAGAAAAGTGAAAGATGACATACAAGGAAACTACAATTAAATTAATCATGGACTGTTCATCATTAACTATGAAGGCCAAAAATTAGAAATAAAATTTAAAAAAATCCAACAAAGAATTTAACAAAAAATAAAATATTCACAACTAATAATATGAAAAAAAACCCTTTCCAAAAAAAGAAAAAGAAAAAGAATAAAGAAAACTAAGAGAATCTATCACCAGCAAACCTGTACTATAAAAGGTAGTTTTTCAGGCTGAAAAACAACTCAAGTCTTCTCGAATAAAGGAAAAGTATCCCAGTGATTATTTAGAACAAAAATTACAGCATCATCTTCTTGGGTTTATAACATATGGGGATATAATACACTAGGCAGCTATGTCAGAGGCATGTGAACCACAGCAACTCCATCTTACATAGGAACTGGGTAAAATGAGGCTGAAACCTACTGGGCTGCATTCCCAGATGGTTAGTGCATTCTAAGTCACAGGATGAGATACGAGGTCAGCACAAAATACAGGTGATAAAGACTTTGCTGATTAAACAGGTTGCAGTAAAGGAGCTGGGCTAAACCCACCAAAACCAAAATGGCAACCAGAGTGACCTCTGGTAGTCCTCACTGCTACACTCCCACCATGCCATGACAGTTTACAAATGCCATGACAATGTCAAGAATTTACCCTATATGGTCTAAAAAGGGGAGGTATCAATAATCCATGCATTTTTTTAGCATATCATCAAGAAATAACCATAAAAAATGGGCAACCAGCAGCCCCTTGGGGCTTCCCTGTCTCTGGAGTAGCCATTCTTTTATTCCTTTACTTTCTTAATAAACTTGCTTTCACTTTGCCCTGCAGAGTCGCACTGAATTCTTTACTGCTCAAGGTCCAAAAACCCTCTCTTGGGGTCTGGATCGGGACCCCTGTCCTGTAACATATTTCTGGTGGACCATGGAAGGGATGATACTGAAGAGACCCCCAACCCAAAGGAAAATCATCTGTGTGCACCAGTTGGCTGACTTTGGGTAAGTGTGGTGCATATACCTGCGTAAAGAGTGGGATTAGGTTAGAGGCCCAACTTAGGGGAGTTAGAGCCTCTCCTAAGACAGGGTGGGTTAGAAACCCCTCTTAATAAAAGCCAAGGACACTTGACTAACCTTGGGTTAGAGGCCCAACTTAGGAGGGTTAGAGTCACTTCTAAGATTTACGGGGTTAGAGGCCCCTCTCAGTAAAGTCCCACTCGGCTAAGAACAGGTTTGACAATGTAGGATGTTAACTACTATTCTCTTTGGATTAATCTGCCTTGCACTATTTGCTGATGGCTGTGGATGACAGGGTTAGGCATGTACAGGATCATGGGACACGGGGAGTTTTTTCCTCCCTAAAAGTGGAAACTTGAGAGCTGATGGGACTGCTGGAAAAGATCCCTTTGCTAACAACAAGCAGCGACTTGAACTTTTCATTGTTGGCTACAATGAGTGGGTCTTTTCTCTGGCCTCCCTAAGCTCTTCGCCTTTCCCACCCTGCCACAGGCAATACTTTCCTTCTCTACTTTTCCTTTCTTATCGTTTTGGTTACTCAGGGCAACCATCTTGCCCAGAGACCATGGGTTGAAACTCCATGTTGGAGGTTGGATTAAGATGATGGGGTTCATCTGGGGGCAAATATAAGCCTTGCCAGTTTGATATTGGGTGCTGAGCAGAGTGGCTAATGTCTATGTTTTATCACACATATTCTTCCCCGGGCAGAACAAAAAATAATAATTTTCCTTTATGGTGTGGCTCGGCCCCCAGGGTGATATTGCCACAAGCCAGATCACTAGGGCTATTCATGGAAAGGGAACCCAGAAGCCTGGCATGCTGGCAAAATGGTAAGAATTTCTTACCAGTCAGATTTCTGGCTTTTCTCTCTCTGTGCAAATGGTTGAATGAATGGGGAAAAAAAAGTGTTTATCTCTTCTGTAAAGTTTTGATTAATGCAAAAAAGAATCCTAAGGCTAGTCTTAAGGTGGTGTCTTTTGTGCTATGAATTTGTTTTTCTGTGTCAAGGGATACTTCAGGATAAAACACGGGCTTAGAACACCTGTAAACCCACTTTTCAAGCTGACCCAGCAAGCTGGTCGGTAACAAACTTGGCTGCAAGTCTCTGGAACAACCAGAAAAACTGGATGAAGTCTCCACCTTGTTTTATGTCCTTGGGAGCTTGACCTTTTAACCAGGTGGCATACTTTATCTTGGTCTCCACCTTTCAGGGAATGGGAATTTTAGGGTTCATGTCATAGTTAGCTCTAAAAATCATATTAAATACAAGCCTTTGCAAGCTCAAAATTAACTACTCTAGACTCCTTCTAGGAAAGGAAATGGAGATTCACCCATGCTTTAAGGTCATAAACTGCTTTTTTAACTTTTAAAAACTGTTCAATTTACCTACCTTAAAGCCATTAGATTCTAGATAAGGCCTGGAGACATGTGGAATTAGCCATGCCCCCTAGCTATACAAAGACAATTATAAAGAAAAAGATTTTATATAAGAAAGGATGTTGTGCTATAAATTCTTGTCCTAAAGTAAAATGACTGGTTGTTTAAAAGGAGGGATGTTTAGGGCAAGTCAGAAAGTCCAAGAATGTCTCAGATGGTCTGTGTAAGCTGTGAAAGGATTTGTGAATAGGAATTTATGCAAAAAATGTTGTACAATTCAAAAGTTGTTAGGTTTCCTAAGTGCTTCATAAAATGCCACTGTGACTTACTGTACAACTTGCCTGCTTTACAGCTAGACAAGGTCTGGGGACATGTGGAGTTAGCCATGCCCCCTAACTATGCTGGAGAGTCAGCTCTTATCTGCACTTCTGCCTGGTGTGTCCTAGGCTAGGCTCCACACCTAGTACATAATTAAAATCTCAAAGTTACCAAGGTTTTCACCAAAAATAAAAAATAAAATATAACATGTAACTGACACTACTAAAGAAACAATTTTACATGCAAAGTGTGTAAAGAAAGTAAAATGTGTTTTTTGTGAAAGATTATAAGAAGACATGGGAATGTGGATTTTTTCTGCCTAAAGTGTTAAAGGATTGTTTTAAGTAAGAGAAAACGCTAAAGATTTAAACAAGTTGTGGAAGGCTTATAAAAATTAATTGTAAGAGATTCTGTGTGTGAACATATTGGCTAAAGTTAAAGGGGTGTTATTCAGTTTTTCCATAAACTAAACATTGGAATAAAAGCACAACAGGTTTTTCTTAAAGCATTGATCTGCTCTTTCACACACAAAAATGTAAAGGGTTGTAAAAGATTTATAAAAATCCTACCTTATGTTTAAACATTAAAATTGGATAAATATGTCTATAAGGTTTTATTAAAAATTGGATTTAACATTAAGAATACATTAATGTAAACATGTAATTTGGCTTATTTAGTATAAAGATCATACAGGAAGCATTATCAAATGTCAAATGGTATTTTGCTTTCTTTGGGCTGTATTTGCATAAACTTATTATTGGTATATGTTCCAAAGTTATGGGAAACTCCTATAATTGTAACATGACATAGTGTATGGTATTAATAATTATAATTGTTATATAACATTTTGTGTGCCACAGAAGTAACCAAATTTCCTTATCAATTGTGGCTTTAATAGTAGCTGTCCTAAAACTTTTTATCATCCACAGACAATTATTGTCTTTTTTAAATCCTCTTTAGAAGGTGGTTTATAATCAACTGCAGAACTCTAGCAGCTGTTCTTAAATGCAGGTTTCTAATAACTTCGGAAATTGTAACATTAGAATAGAGGAAACAACTTTCAGAGTTCTCATGAATAGCTGGAATGTTCATGGATATTAAATAGAACAGGAGTTAACTGAATTAACTGAACCAATAGAAAATGGAAGTAATCTTTTTAATTTTGCTTAAAATGCTGCTGATCCTTTGTTTTGTTTTTCAGAGTCAAGGAAACTTTTCTTTTGAGCTATTTACAGCTTTTAGCAATTGAGTAAAGTATACTCCTGTGAACAAAATTTGGAGCATATTTGTTTCTCTCTCTCTCATTTCTCCAACATTTGGAAACTATTTGTAAGTATTCTTAAATTAATGACAATATAGTTAATTGCATAAGTGCAATAAGAATTTGTTTTCCTTTGTAACAAGACACAATTGGGGAGATTGATTATCTCACCAAGGCTTTAACTGAAATGGTGTGCTTTCCTTTAAGGAATCAAATTTGACTTGTAAAGCCAATAAAAGATCCTTGGAGAATTGGCCTCAGACCTTGCCTGCAACAGTCCCTGTACAGGGTTTCTGATCTGTGATAAGTAAAGAATGTCACTTTCTGACAGGTCCAGGAGCCCCAAGTTATCTTGGGACACCAAGAGGACAGGAATTTACTCAACTCATAGATATTTGAGGGTACAAACTCATGGTTGAGCTTGGCTTTAAAAAGTCTAATCTAAGATTCCTTCTATGGAACAGAGTTCCATCAAAGGCAGTTAAAAATAGCCTATATGCAGTGAGGCTCCGCCTTGGTTTTCTCAGCTGTGATGTGTAGTCTCCAAACAGCTTAAGGGTTTTTAAGGAGTTTTCTCACATGGTCACCTCCACTCCACTCAGTTACCATCAGCATCAGAAAGGTTAACATCCCTGGGACCATTCCAGTTTTAAAAGAGATGAACTAGTGTGCTTTCTCCCCTTTTACAAGTGTGCCATCCATATACAGTCTCCTCTTGGCCAAGTTCAACAAGTGTTTCCAGGGAACCCTCTGGGTTGAGGCAAAATAGCCAAGATGTATTGAGTTTAAGTTTTTCGGGGAGGAGCCAAGATGGCCGAATAGGAACAGCTCCGGTCTACAGCTCCCAGCATGAGCGACGCAGAAGACGGGTGATTTCTGCATTTCCATCTGAGGTACCGGGTTCATCTCACTACGGAGTGCCAGACAGTGGGCGCAGGCCAGTGTGTGTGTGCACCGTGCGCGAGCCGAAGCAGGGCAAGGCATTGCCTCACCTGGGAAGCGCAAGGGGTCAGGGAGTTCCCTTTCCGAGTCAAAGAAAGGGATGACGGACGCACCTGGAAAATCGGGTCACTCCCACCCGAATATTGCGCTTTTCAGACCGGCTTAAGAAATGGCGCACCACGAGACTATATCCCACACCTGGCTCAGAGGGTCTTACGCCCACGGAATCGCGCTGATTGCTAGCACAGCAGTCTGAGATCAAACTGCAAGGTGGCAACGAGGCTGGGGGATGGGCGCCCGCCATTGCCCAGGCTTGCTAAGGTAAACAAACCAGCCGGGAAGCTCGAACTGGGTGGAGCCCACCACAGCTCAAGGAGGCCTGCCTGCCTCTGTAGGCTCCACCTCTGGGGGCAGGGCACAGACAAACAAAAAGACAGCAGTAACCTCTGCAGACTTAAGTGTCCCTGTCTGACAGCTTTGAAGAGAGCAGTGGTTCTCCCAGCACGCAGCTGGAGATCTGAGAACAGGCAGACTGCCTCCTCAAGTGGGTCCCTGACCCCTGACCCCCGAGCAGCCTAACTGGGAGGCACCCCCCAGCAGGGGCACACTGACACCTCACACAGCAGGGTATTCCAACAGACCTGCAGCTGAGGGTCCTGTCTGTTAGAAGGAAAACTAACAACCAGAAAGGACATCTACACCGAAAACCCATCTGTACATCACCATCATCAAAGACCAAAAGTAGATAAAACCACAAAGATGGGGAAAAAACAGAACAGAAAAACTGGAAACTCTAAAACGCAGAGCGCCTCTCCTCCTCCAAAGGAACGCAGTTCCTCACCAGCAACAGAACAAAGCTGGATGGAGAATGATTTTGACGAGCTGAGAGAAGAAGGCTTCAGACGATCAAATTACTCTGAGCTATGGGAGGACATTCAAACCAAAGGCAAAGAAGTTGAAAACTTTGAAAAAAATTTAGAAGAATGTATAACTAGAATAACCAATACAGAGAAGTGCTTAAAGGAGCTGATGGAGCTGAAAACCAAGGCTCGAGAACTACGTGAAGAATGCAGAAGCCTCAGGAGCTGATGCGATCAACTGGAAGAAAGGGTGTCAGCAATGGAAGATGAAATGAATGAAATGAAGCCAGAAGGGAAGTTTAGAGAAAAAAGAATAAAAAGAAATGAGCAAAGCCTCCAAGAAATATGGGACTATGTGAAAAGACCAAATCTACGTCTGATTGGTGTACCTGAAAGTGATGTGGAGAATGGAACCAAGTTGGAAAACACTCTGCAGGATATTATCCAGGAGAACTTCCCCAATCTAGCAAGGCAGGCCAACGTTCAGATTCAGGAAATACAGAGAACGCCACAAAGATACTCCTCGAGAAGAGCAACTCCAAGACACATAATTGTCAGATTCACCAAAGTTGAAATGAAGGAAAAAATGTTAAGGGCAGCCAGAGAGAAAGGTCGGGTTACCCACAAAGGGAAGCCCATCAGACTAACAGCGGATCTCTCGGCAGAAACCCTACAAGCCAGAAGAGAGTGGGGGCCAATATTCAACATTCTTAAAGAAAAGAATTTTCAACCCAGAATTTCATATCCAGCCAAACTAAGCTTCATAAGCGAAGGAGAAATAAAATCCTTTATAGACAAGCAAATGCTGAGAGATTTTGTCACCACCAGGCCTGCCCTAAAAGAGCTCCTGAAGGAAGCGCTAAACATGGAAAGGAACAACTGGTACCAGCCGCTGCAAAATCATGCCAAAATGTAAAGACCATCGAGACTAGGAAGAAACTGCATCAACCAATGAGCAAAATCACCAGCTAACATCATAATGACAGGATCAAATTCACACATAACAATATTAACTTTAAATATAAATGGACTAAATTCTGCAATTAAAAGACACAGACTGGCAAGTTGGATAAAGAGTCAAGACCCATCAGTGTGCTGTATTCAGGAAACCCATCTCACGTGCAGAGACACACATAGGCTCAAAATAAAAGGATGGAGGAAGATCTACCAAGCCAATGGAAAACAAAAAAAGGCAGGGGTTGCAATCCTAGTCTCTGATAAAACAGACTTTAAACCAACAAAGATCAAAAGAGACAAAGAAGGCCATTACATAATGGTAAAGAGATCAATTCAACAAGAGGAGCTAACTATCCTAAATATTTATGCACCCAATACAGGAGCACTCAGATTCATAAAGCAAGTCCTGAGTGACCTACAAAGAGACTTAGACTCCCACACATTAATAATGGGAGACTTTAACACCCCACTGTCAACATTAGACAGATCAATGAGACAGAAAGTCAACAAGGATACCCAGGAATTGAACTCAGCTCTGCACCAAGCAGACCTAATAGACATCTACAGAACTCTCCACCCCAAATCAACAGAATATACATTTTTTTCAGCACCACACCACACCTATTCCAAAATTGACCACATAGTTGGAAGTAAAGCTCTCCTCAGCAAATGTAAAAGAACAGAAATTATAACAAACTATCTCTCAGACCACAGTGCAATCAAACTAGAACTCAGGATTAAGAATCTCACTCAAAGCCGCTCAACTACATGGAAACTGAACAACCTGCTCCTGAATGACTACTGGGTACATAACGAAATGAAGGCAGAAATAAAGATGTTCTTTGAAACCAACGAGAACAAAGACACAACATACCAGAATCTCTGGGACGCATTCAAAGCAGTGTGTAGAGGGAAATTTATAGCACTAAATGCCCACAAGAGAAAGCAGGAAAG
This sequence comes from Homo sapiens, assembly GCF_000001405.40. Lineage (NCBI taxonomy): Eukaryota > Metazoa > Chordata > Mammalia > Primates > Hominidae > Homo > Homo sapiens. Next base: position 75,624,438 of record NC_000008.11, on the reverse strand, counting down.
ATCCAAAATTGACACCCTAACATCACAATTAAAAGAACTAGAAAAGCAAGGGCAAACACATTCAAAAGCTAGCAGAAGGCAAGAAATAACTAAAATCAGAGCAGAACTGAAGGAAATAGAGACACAAAAAACGCTTCAAAAAATCAATGAATCCAGGAGCTGGTTTTTTGAAAGGATCAACAAAATTGATAGACCACTAGCAAGACTAATAAAGAAAAAAAGAGAGAAGAATCAAATAGACACAATAAAAAATGATAAAGGGGATATCACCACCGATCCCACAGAAATACAAACTACCATCAGAGAATACTACAAACACCTCTATGCAAATAATCTAGAAAATCTAGAAGAAATGGATACATTCCTCGACACATACACTCTCCCAAGACTAAACCAGGAAGAAGTTGAATCTCTGAATAGACCAATAACAGGCTCTGAAATTGTGGCAATAATCAATAGTTTACCAACCAAAAAGAGTCCAGGACCAGATGGATTCACAGCCGAATTCTACCAGAGGTACAAGGAGGAACTGGTACCATTCCTTCTGAAACTATTCCAATCAATAGAAAAAGAGGGAATCCTCCCTAACTCATTTTATGAGGCCAGCATCATTCTGATACCAAAGCCGGGCAGAGACCCAACCAAAAAAGAGAATTTTAGACCAATATCCTTGATGAACATTGATGCAAAAATCCTCAATAAAATACTGGCAAACCGAATCCAGCAGCACATCAAAAAGCTTATCCACCATGATCAAGTGGGCTTCATCCCTGGGATGCAAGGCTGGTTCAATATACGCAAATCAATAAATGTAATCCAGCATATAAACAGAGCCAAAGACAAAAACCACATGATTATCTCAATAGATGCAGAAAAAGCCTTTGACAAAATTCAACAACCCTTCATGCTAAAAACTCTCAATAAATTAGGTATTGATGGGACATATTTCAAAATAATAAGAGCTATCTATGACAAACCCACAGCCAATATCATACTGAATGGGCAAAAACTGGAAGCATTCCCTTTGAAAACTGGCACAAGACAGGGATGCCCTCTCTCACCACTCCTATTCAACATAGTGTTGGAAGTTCTGGCCAGGGCAATCAGGCAGGAGAAGGAAATAAAGGGTATTCAATTAGGAAAAGAGGAAGTCAAATTGTCCCTGTTTGCAGACGACATGATTGTTTATCTAGAAAACCCCATCGTCTCAGCCCAAAATCTCCTTAAGCTGATAAGCAACTTCAGCAAAGTCTCAGGATACAAAATCAATGTACAAAAATCACAAGCATTCTTATACACCAACAGCAGACAAACAGAGAGCCAAATCATGAGTGAACTCCCATTCACAATTGCTTCAAAGAGAATAAAATAACTAGGAATCCAACTTACAAGGGATGTGAAGGACCTCTTCAAGGAGAACTACAAACCACTGCTCAAGGAAATAAAAGAGGACACAAACAAATGGAAGAACATTCCATGCTCATGGGTAGGAAGAATCAATATCGTGAAAATGGCCATACTGCCCAAGGTAATTTGTAGATTCAATGCCATCCCCATCAAGCTACCAATGACTTTCTTCACAGAATTGGAAAAAACTACTTTAAAGTTCATATGGAACCAAAAAAGAGCCCGCATCGCCAAGTCAATCCTAAGCCAAAAGAACAAAGCTGGAGGCATCACACTACCTGACTTCAAACTATACTACAAGGCTACAGTAACCAAAACAGCATGGTACTGGTACCAAAACAGAGATATAGATCAATGGAACAGAACAGAGCCCTCAGAAATAATGCCGCATATCTACAACTATCTGATCTTTGACAAACCTGAGAAAAACAAGCAATGGGGAAAGGATTCCCTATTTAATAAATGGTGCTGGGAAAACTGGCTAGCCATATGTAGAAAGCTGAAACTGGATCCCTTCCTTACACCTTATACAAAAATCAATTCAAGATGGATTAAAGATTTAAACGTTAGACCTAAAACCATAAAAACCCTAGAAGAAAACCTAGGCATTACCATTCAGGACATAGGCGTGGGCAAGGACTTCATGTCCAAAACACCAAAAGCAATGGCAACAAAAGCCAAAATTGACAAATGGGATCTAATTAAACTCAAGAGCTTCTGCACAGCAAAAGAAACTACCATCAGAGTGAACAGGCAACCTACAACATGGGAGAAAATTCTTGCAACCTACTCATCTGACAAAGGGCTAATATCCAGAATCTACAATGAACTCAAACAAATTTACAAGAAAAAAACAAACAACCCCATCAAAAAGTGGGCGAAGGACATGAACAGACACTTCTCAAAAGAAGACATTTATGCAGCCAAAAAACACATGAAGAAATGCTCATCATCACTGGCCATCAGAGAAATGCAAATCAAAACCACTATGAGATATCATCTCACACCAGTTAGAATGGCAATCATTAAAAAGTCAGGAAACAACAGGTGCTGGAGAGGATGTGGAGAAATAGGAACACTTTTACACTGTTGGTGGGACTGTAAACTAGTTCAACCATTGTGGAAGTCAGTGTGGCGAATCCTCAGGGATCTAGAACTAGAAATACCATTTGACCCAGCCATCCCATTACTGGGTATATACCCAAAGGACTATAAATCATGCTGCTATAAAGACACATGCACACGTATGTTTATCGCGGCACTATTCACAATAGCAAAGACTTGGAACCAACCCAAATGTCCAACAATGATAGACTGGATTAAGAAAATGTGGCACATATACACCATGGAATACTATGCAGCCATAAAAAATGATGAGTTCATGTCCTTTGTAGGGACATGGATGAAATTGGAAACCATCATTCTCAGTAAACTATCGCAAGAACAAAAAACCAAACACCGCATATTCTCACTCATAGGTGGGAATTGAACAATGAGATCACATGGACACAGGAAGGGGAATATCACACTCTGGGGACTGTGGTGGGGTCGGGGGAGGGGGGAGGGAGAGCATTGGGAGATATACCTAATGCTAGATGACACGTCAGTGGGTGCAGCGCACCAGCATGGCACATGTATACATATGTAACTAACCTGCACAATATGCACATGTACCCTAAAACTTAGAGTATAATAAAAAAAAAAAAAATTAAAAAAAATTAAAAAAAATTAAAAAAAAAAAAAAAATGTTTTTCCAGAGGCAAAAGTATTTCTTGTCCCTTTCCCCTCATGCTCATATGTTTTAGCTGAGGCTTAAATGCCAAGTTGAGTAATGTCTCTGGAACTGAAACAGAGAGCCAGGGACCCATGTACCCAGGGACCAGTCCCCTGGGGAATCACACAGTGGCTCAGACTAGACTGCTCTATCCCACCAGAACTCTGCTGCTGTTCATTTCCATCAGGAGCACACAGGAAAGCAAATAAGTTAGCCTTCTCATCATTAGGTCACCTAATCCCTTGGACTGCAGGATGACAGCATATATAGATCTCCTGTTTAGACAGAGTGTTCAAAATTGTAGAAAGGGGTAGAAAATTGAATAACCAACAAGCAGAGTCATTTTTGAAGAGGAAGGCAAGGATGACCCCAAATTAGCTCAACAAAACTGGGAATCCAAGAAATGGTGCTTGTAGGGAAAGAGAGGTCAGTTGTGGTCCTTAAACCTCTTGGCACCTGGTGTGGGTTATAAAACAAGGAGCTGGAGTAAAATTGCCCTTACCCCCAATTCAAATGCTCTCCAGGATTTAGGAGCTACCCAACCTGTGGGTATATGGTCTTGGTTTCCATTTTTTGTTTGTTTGCTTGTTTCCAAAACAACCTTGCTTGGTACTGCATGGAAAGTCAAGCTTTTCTTCTTGCCCACTCAGGACCACCTGTCTGGGTGGGCCTCTTCCCTGTGTCTTCACAGCGTTCCTAAGGAAGATTTTTGCAGTGCTTTCTGGAGCTGAGGGGAGTGGAATATTGTCCAGAGAAGGTGGAAGGAAATAGTTTTCCTGTTTCCTTTTCTCAAGGCGGATGTTCTCAGCCTTCCTTCATACCTCCTTCCCATGGGTGTGGCTGATAGTACAGTCAGGTTGTGGAGGAGGGCTGAGAAGAAAGGGACACTGGTCCAGCCCCAGGTTTGGTCCGAGACAGGTACACACCAGATACCATCCCACCTTCCTCTCTTAAGAACAGGCCAGCCACACATATAACCCCTTTCCCTACTTTACTAATGTGTCCCTTATGTCGTACCAGCAACAGGGGACAGGCAGACTTATGCCCTGCAATCTAGAGAGAATATTGTTACTGTCTGTAAAACGTGACCACCCCCATATCTCGCTCCTTTTTGTAAAAACAAATGCTTAAACCTGTGAGCCTGCCGTTCCTTTCTATGCGTTAATCAGTTTCCTTCCACTTGAGCTGTGTGGAAGGGAAGGGCATTGAAACTGTAGGTTGTAATCTTGTGCCAACCAATAAAAACCAGTATTTCTCTCTCTCTCTCTCTCTCACACACACACACACACAGAGCCTATATGAAAACTAATTATTTTTGCTGCACTTTATACAAATAATCAGGCCAACAGTAATAAAGAAAATCAGTCTTACCATGACTTATTTTAAGTAAAAATGGGAAACTCTAGAGAGAAATATATGTCTCAAGAACTATGGTATACTTGTCATTAAATTACTGTCTCATTAGTTGTTTTTAAGTTTGTTTCTGCAACTTAGGTTAACCCTGCTTACTCCTGTGAAACAACTGGTAAACTCTGTTGGCTACTCAGAAGAAATAAGAGGGTTGGGTAATGTAAAAATCTGAATCAATATGCTAACCCTGGGTATGTATTGTAGTCATCTAGCAACCCCATATCAGTTTGGTTACAACAGATGCCCAGTTCATGGAAAGCTTTCTAATTTAGTTTACTTGGAATAACTTTATTTATTTTGCTTTACTCTTGTGGAATATATTGCTGTTACAGTCTTTGTGTAGGAATACAGGACAAATTTACTGAATGTTTTCTTAAACGCTTATTAATCTTCCAGATATCACCCTTTGTCAAAACTCAAGAGTTATAAATGGACCTTACTATACTGATGGTTTCTGACTGAGGTTCTCTCTACCCTGAATGCAAGAGACCCTCATAGTTAGGCAGGTATATCATTGCCCCTATTCAGCCTGAAGAAGTTACAGAAGATGAGTCTTTGTCCCTCTGCAACCCTTAGGATTAAGGGTTCTCTTGTGAAAGGAAGGGGGGAAATGTCAGAAGTGTGTGTACCAAAGCAATTCCATCTTAAATAGGAGCTGGGTAAAATGAGGCTGAAGCCTACTGGGCTGCATTCCCAGATGGTTAAGGCATTCTAAGTCACAGGATGAGATATGAGGTCAGCACAAAATACAGGTTATAAAGGGCTTCCTGATTAAACAGTTTACAGTAAAGGAGCCGGCCAAAACCCACCAAAACCAAAATGGCAACAGGAGTGACCTCTGATCGTCCTCACTGCTACACTCCCACCAGAACCACGGCAGTTTACAAATGCCATGGCAATGTCAGGAAATTACCCTATGTGGTCTAAAAAGGGTAGGCATAAATAATCCACCCCTTGTTTAGCATATTAGCAAGAAATAACCATTAAAGTGGGCAAACAGCAGCCCTCAGGGCTTCTCTGTCTATGGAGTAGCCATTCTTTTATTCCTTTACTTTCTTAATAAACTTGATTTCACTTTGCACTGTGGAGTCGCACTGAATTCTTTATTGCGTGAGATCCAGGAACTCTCTCTTGGGGTCTGGATCAGGACCCCTTTCCTGTAACAGCTACAACAGAAACAATTGTTGCAGGGGCAGGGACAATCAGGGAATGTAAATTTACCTATACAGTTGTAAAGCTATTGCACTGTACATGAAGTGGTACAAGTTTAACACTATGTTGCCTGTTGAAAGTGGAAGACATATATCTAGCTCTTAGAGCAACCACTTTTTAAAAGAAGTTCTATCTTAAAAAAAAAAGTGCATAATAGGCAATGCAAAAATGAAAATACATAAACGTATAGAAAATAAGCTAATTTTGAATTGGTGATATCTATCTTAGAAGTGACATAATTCTAAGGGAAATAAATATAAATAAAGGTACCTTTAGGTATATTATAGTAACACTAAAGATAAATACAACCAGAAAAAAAAGCCCCAATTTTATGCCTAGGGCTCATTAAAATTTAGATGAAAGCATAATTCTTATAAACAAAAAGATTTCAAAAGACAAATTAATATTTCAAATGCTGGGGAAAAAACTCTCAACCTAGAATTCAATATCCAGCCACATGCTTATCATAGAAAAATGAGAAAATAAAGACATTTTCAAACAGAGCCAATACATAACTTTCATGCCTTGAAATGAATGTTAATATTCTTAAATATTTGTTAAGAAGGAAATTGAAGTCTTAAGAAAGGCTATTGGAAATTCTAAATAAATACTAACTACAAAAACAGGAATGATTGCTTTAGCAGAAGTAAAAATCAAAGTAGGACTAAAGTACTAGACAACAATAAAATGAAAGAATTCATTGGGAAGTTGTTTTGACTTCAGATATTATGCGGCTTTGTATTGTTCAGGGTGGTGGTAGCAATATTTATAATTTATAATTTAGTAAATGTAAGATGAAAATTAAAATATAAGAGTAACTAATAAAATAATTAAAATATAGTCAATGTCATAATAACTATAAAAATATATATATACCTCTCTTAAACAACAGCAATTGCCACATTGGGGGAAACACACAAAAAGCATAATTTATTCAAAAAAAGTTTAATAATATTTTCAATACACACACACTGAGAGAGGTAAAAAGAAAGCAAGGACTAACTGGTGAGCAACATTACCACCAGACTGAATGTATCTTAAGGGTCAAAGCAATGTTAGGATTATGGATTGTTGCATAATAATAAAGTAAAAAAATTACCATAAACATATAACTAATTCTCAATCTATATACATTTAACATGTTGCCTGTAATTAGTAAAAAACAAGATTCAAAGAACTAGAAGTAAAAGTGAAATAAATGACAGAGTTGAATAATAAATTGGGATTACAGTTGAATGTGTGTGTTTGTGCACGGATGTGGGCATATATATATATGTATGTGTGTGTATTAGATGCAGGAGGCAGATAACGGAAGTTACGCGGAGAATCTCCAACATGCCCCACAAGTGTTTACATCAGATACTTTTGTGTAGATGAGGAAACCTGTCCAGGGTGTCTGAGCATGCCCCCAACAGGCTGGGGGCCCACCTGCAATATTGATAGAGTGAGGTGGAGCCACTGGGAATTCACGCCTTATGCAGGGGGGAGGAGCCTGGCCTCTCAGCTCGTGTGTGGTGGCCTGGTATTCAATATGTGAGGTGGAAGCCTGTTGGCAGGACCTCTTTTATTCACTGAGAGCTTTCTTTTAATAAATTCTGCTCTCCTCATCTTTCAATATGACCATGTGCCTAATTTTTTCTGGTCATGTGACAAGAACCTGGATTTTAGTTGAACTATGGAGCAAAAACTCCTGCATCATTAGATAGATAGATAGACAGATATAAAGAAAGAGAGAGAGAATTCTGAACACACTACTTAAAGAGTACATATGCTTTTCTAGTTATATGGATAATTACACAAATTAAGATTAGCCCGCAAAGCAAATTTTACAAATACCAAATATTATTCCAAATTTTTTTTCAGATCATACTGATTTAAAACTAAAATGTAGCATTTTAGAAAGCTTAATTAAAAAAATCTAAACTTTTAAAACAGTTCTAATTAACATTTGAGTAAAAGAAAACCATAATGAAAATTACAAAATATTTATGACTAAAAGACAATAATATCACTACATATTATATGCATGTGTACATAGCTAAAATTAAAAATTTACAGGTTGAAATATTTATTAAAAACTAACAAAAATTAAAAATTAACAGTTAAAGCATTTATTCAAAATATTTTTAAAATAATGAAATAGAAGAAAGTATAAAAAGAAATAAGACAAAATATAAAATGAAGAAGCAAAAAGATTATCCAAATCTAAAGCTAGTTCTTTATTATTAATCTTTAATTAAACAGACAAAAGACTGAAGCATTTATGCAAATAAAATTAAAAACATTAAAAATATAAAAAGTAACATAACAGTAAAAGTAAAATATTTTTGAGAAGGCATCAAACTGTATTATGTTAGTCAATGTTAATTAGACAATTAGTTATGAAAGTATAACTTTCAAAAACTGATCTAATAAGATACAGTAATCCTAAATAGACATCTAACCATTAAGTTAACTGCATCAGTAGTCAAATATTTTTTCTGAAGTCTCCAAATAAATTCATTTAAAGATTAAGAGTAAGCAATTATGAAGATACGTGTTAAGCAGATGTTTTATAAATACCAACAGAGTTAAAGCATTTGAGATATGGTGCGGCCAAAGGTCTGAAAGTGGGAGTAGAGGGTGGGTTGTGTTTTCCTCCTGATCCTGAGGATTAGGGAGGACTGAAGAAGCAAAGGCTGCAATACTAAAGGGAAGTAATATATTCAGGAGAAATGCAAATTAAAACTGAGGAATAAAAAGACAGAAAAAAACAATCATATCATTTCATAGGGGTCAGGAGTGATTGACAGGAGTATGTAAAGAATCCTTCTACCCTGAAAAATGGCTGTAAGGGATTGACTGAAGGTAAACTTAGAAAAAAATAAGAATGAGCTGAATAGGATTGAGAGAAGTAGAAAGCACATTTTCAAAAAGATAAGTCAATTACCCACTGAGGTGTAAATACTGATAAATGGATGAAAATAATTTACTGCTAGGTGTGTATGCATGTGAATGTGTGATCGTGACTGTGTGTGTGTGCATATGCATGCACACACAAATGTGTAGGATGAGAAAAACTGGGGGTAAGAAAAATAAAGACTGGAGAGTTATTAAAGGCAATATATTTTTCTTCTGGAAGTTTCTTGGACAAACTTAATAAGGTCTGATTGGACTAGAGTAAAATGGGATGATTTCCAAAAACTACCAAATATGCTTAATGTTGCTAAGGGAGTGCAGGTAGTCCTAAAAGCAATTCCATTTCAAGCACTATTTTCAAAAATAGATTATACCATCTATACCCATCTAGAAATTTAGGGGCAATGCTTTTTATTTGGGACAATACCGGTTGAACCAACGTAATACCTCACTGATTTTTATAAACACAATCTCTAACTTAAATAAATGATTGTCTCTGTCTTTGGCAAGTACAAATTTACAATGCCAATGATAATTGGAAGCCCATGGAACAGGATGGAAGGAAAAGGATAAGAGAAATTTTATAACTTAGCCCACAATCACTATCAATGCCAACTTTTTTCTGTAACAATAAGAACAACAAAAGCACATTATATTTAAATATAAAAAAAACTTTCATGTTGTTGCTGTAGTTTTCTTAATCAAGGACTAAATATGGTAAAATGAAACAAATTCCATTTTGTCACTATTCTTTAGATGGTGCTGTTGACCCAGATTCTCACTCTCCACACTAAAACAGGGACTCATACAGTTGTCTGGTCCACTCGCTCATAGTAATATAATATCTAAACCAGTTCCTCACAGAAGTGAAAACCTTTTTTAAGTTTTCAAAGTTTTAAATGCATTTTCATCTAAAAAACTGAAAACTGTTTTTAAAAAAGTAATAATAATAACATCCTTCAAAAATTAGCAATATCATATCTTTTAATATTTTAGTTAAACATATTTAACATTTTCTATCTTTTCACACATGAAACTTGCAACTTTATTCTTTATGCCACATTGAAAAGCATTTTCCTATTTCTAAAAATAATCCCTTAAATATCTGAATATTCCATTACTTACTTGTAAAGGTATTCTTTTCATTTAACTTAGGTCCTTAATGAAAAATTTAATTGCAACATAAAACTAAAATCTGAGTATAAATATAGAAAAGAATTTTATGCATACAACACACATATGAACATATGAACTGTGGAATCGATCAGTGCTCTGATGTTAACTGTTAAATCTTTCTCATGAAAATTGATAAACTCTTCTGTCCATTATGGGTCTGGAGAATGTTCTTATTCTAAGCTAGGTTTGTGTATTCTGTTATTCTGGCTCTCAATCATCTACAAACTGATTTCTGCCAGTGTCACCCATTAATGATACAAGTAAGATGGATTTGCAGAGAATTATTTTTCAAGTTTGCAAATGTTTAAAAGTAGAGCATTTGTCTTCTACTGTTAAAATATTGTTTCCATAGTGTTTGCAAAGCTCTGGCTGTTTCTGTCTCTACTTGCAACTGTACACATTTGAGAAGTTCAAAAATTCCAATGTGCCTATTGCAGGTGACTAGGGATGCAGGTGACCAGGGATGCAGGTGACCAGGGAAAGCCTTTTTATAAACTGCTGTTACAGTGACAGAATTTCATAGCCCTCCATGTCACTTGATGGGATATAAACATCTTTTATACTGGTGCCATCTGGAAAAATGTTTTTGTTTCTTTAATTTGGATATCCTATAGTTTTAGAGGATATACATTTTGTGTTGCATCACCAACATTCAACCCAGTGGCTATAATGATTCTTGAAAATAGTCCAATTATTACCTGGGGATTTATGTTTTAACTACTTGACACTAAATATATAAATTAAACTTAATTTTCTTTATAGTGCACAGCACAAATATAAATATAATTTATTTCCCAGACTATGTAAATATCCCCACGATTATCCAGAAAATATTAGAAGCAGTAACATATGAACTAAACAGCAGTCAGTCTTCTCTCAGATATCTGGTTCACTATGAGAAGATGACAAACTTTTTCTAGATCTAGCCTGGTGGAGTCACTGTGACGATTTATTTAGTGAATGTTTATCTGGTACCAAAGGATGAAAGTGATGAAATAATATAAAGAGGGAAACAGAAATGTATTATAAGCTTTTCTTGTTGGTTTGTTATTGTTGATTTGGGGTTTCGTGATTTTCTTCATTTTATTATAAGTAATTATGTAAAACTGTGGCATATTTTTGTCTCCTCCAGTCTTCAATAATCAGGGCTAGACTAGACACATGGGCGCCCTAAGAAGTCTCATAAACTGATACCTCTTCAAACATATATCATCAAACTACTTATAAACACATTTTGATAAGGAGGATGCTAGGGTGCACCAGAGGAAGAAAGGAAAATAAAGAATTGCTGTGTTAATACTATATTGTCTTGAAGAAGCCATCTCCAAACTCCAAGCTCCAAACTTGCATTTTCCACTTAGCAAATGATATGGTTTTGCTGTGTCCCCACCCAAATCTCATCTTGAATTGTAGTCCCCATAATGCCCACGTGTTGAGGGAGGGACCAGTTGGGAGGTGATTGGATCACGGGGATGTTTTCCCCCATGCTGTTCTTGTGATAGTGAGTGAGTTCTCAGGAGACCTGATGGTATTATAAGGCAGTTTTCCCTGCTCTTGCTCTCTATCTCTTCCATTCCACCATTTAAGATGTGCCTCTTCCCCTTCCACCATGCCAGTTTCCTGAGGTCTCCCCAGCCATGCAGAACTGTGAGTCAATTAAACCTCTTTTCTTTACAAATTACCAACTCTCAGGTATGTCTTTATAGCAGTATGAAAAATGGACTAATACAGAAGAAGACTGCAATTTCCTCAGAAGAGAGTCTATATAAATAGATGGGGTTGGGAGCCAAATTTCACCTTTAACATTCCATCTTCAAACTACTCACAGAACTTTCCACAAGAAGAGTTCTAGGGAATACTTTTTTTTTTTCAAATCTTCTTACATTTCTGGTGGTGTTTAACTGCTTAGAGAATATTGAGCAATTTCCATTCTGGTCTTCCCCTTAACCCAGCTCTGACATTTTCAGCATTAGTCTTTTAAGTGTGAATTCTGAGAAAATGATTACTTCTTTGTCTTGTAAGCATTATACATATGATGCTTTCAAAAAATTCTTCATTTGCTCAATATACAAATGGTCATTTGGAAAACAGAGACTAATAGAAGATATATATAAGTGATTCCCTACACATTCTTTCAGTACTCCTCTTTTTTTCACCCAAAGCCCTGTATCAGAACTGCTTTTCCTGGCTTGATTTCCACATGTTAATCCCTTCAACTGAGATTTGCCACAATCTTACCTAGTCCCTTATAATGTGACATTTTGGGGTCATATGTCTTCAAAATAATAGCCATGGGTGCAATGAATTATGACACAATGGGAGGCAGGTGAGTTCCTTGATAATTTGTTTGCACCAATGAATTAATTGCTATAAAATTTAGACTGAACCAATAATAAGTTTTTTCCAATGGGATGGCTATCTCAAATCCCTTACATAACATCTAGTAGGAGGCCTACAAATATTTATTTTTGTATTTATTTATTTAGGTAATGAAATCAAATACCTGCAGAAAGATCTCTATATAAATCCAGGTAGGCCATGATTCAGAGTCACCTATGAATGCCATTTACTGCCTTTGTCCTCTGGAAAAGTCATGAAGCTTCTCTAAACCTCTATCTCCTTGCTATAAAATGTAGATATTAGTAGTACCTATTTTATGCAAGGATTTTTAGAGTCAAATGAAAAATGCACATACAGTACTTAGTACAGTGTGTGGAAAATAAATATTTCCTACTATTGATGTTATTTGCTCCAAATAAACACGAAAATAATTAGGATCCTGTTGATTTAGTGGCTAAATCTAACATGTTCGGTACTAAAATATTACAGAATACAAACAGCGGAATAAAAAATATGTAACTTCTATTACATCCTTAAACTCTGGAGACTAGTGACTCAGTTATACAATTATAAATTATATTTTTTAATATGTATCCAGTCACAAACAATTCTAAGCACAATGCTAATATATTTTTCAATTTTACTTTTTTTTTTTTTTTTTTTTTAAGACGAAGTTTCACTCTGTCGCCCAGGCTGGAGTGCAGTGGCGCGAGCTCCGCTCACTGCAAGCTCCACCTCCCAGGTTCATGCCATTCTCCTGCCTCAGCCTCCCGAGTAGCTGGGACTACAGGCGCCCGCCACTACGCCTGGCTAATTTTTTTTTTGTATTTTTAGTAGAGATGGGGTTTCACCATGTTAGCCAGGATGGTCTCGATCTCCTGACTTCGTGATCCGCCCGCCTCGGCCTCCCAAAGTACTGGGATTACAGGCGTGAGCCACCGCGCCGGGTTCAATTTTACCTTTTTAAAAAATAGATTCTTAGCAGCAACCTGGTGGCACTAGAAAACAATGAGACTCTAGTGTCAATTTCCTTAGTTTTACTTGAGTATCAATATAACAAATGTGGGTGCAACTGTTTTACTGATGTTGAGAAAATGAAAGTAAAATCACCATTGAAACAAATGGAAGTTGATGACTCCCCCATCACATTATATGACATAATTGTTAAACATCATTTCTTTGGGGATGTGTTTATTGTCGAGTCCTATTGACATCGGTGAAGATGCCTTCATTATCTGATTGCCCTGACCGAATGTTCATGCAGTGAAACTTAGAAAGTTTTTCTGCCAGTACACAGCAGCAATCTGATGATGTTAATGCTTTTGCTCTTTCAAAACTCAGATTTTTTTTTCTGAACGGCCAAAGGCAGTAATGCCACACTGCTGTCCGATTATTTGGTTTAAGAATCAAACTAAACTCCTAAGTCCAGTTATATCTTTTTGACAGATTTTGAAACCAACCACCAGAGCTATACTACAAACTGTCAAAAAAAAGTTGTATTTAAATCGTATAGCCTCCCCAAGGCCTGGTTACCATTTGCTATCCTTAACTTACTTATTGAATTTTCAGTCAAGTAGTCTGGGTTTCTGAGAATTGTCAAGCTTCTCTATTAGCAAGAAAAGCTTATTTGTAAAATGGCAATGAAAACATGGCTCAGCCAAAATTATGACAATTCACTAATTTTCACCTCTCACATGGAGTATATGTCATATTTGGACATAATATTCACTTGGCTCAGAATAATCAATGTCTAGAGAGTTCTTGGTGGAATAACTACGGGTAAAATAAACCTGGTCTTTAATTTTATTTTATGTCAAATTTAAATATTTTGTTTCAAATCACTATGAATATTGCAAATTGTTTTACAGATTATGTTAATAAGTTGTAGTAGCTTTCTAAACAGAGGAATCTTTTGGAATACATTCTTTTCTTAAAAACACAGAATAGTAATTCTTTTACACATTTTTGACATTTTATTTTGCTGGCAAATATATCGTGTGTGTATATACACACACAGGGAATATATGTATATATACATATGGATATATATGGATATCCATATACATATATCTATGGATATATATATGGATATATATGTGTGTGTATATATATATATACGTTTTCTTATATTCTGTCCCAAATGTAAATTTTTTATAATGACCAATTACTAATAGCCCTAGAATTCAAGTAATTTATAGGTATCCTAGATATAAATTAAACAGAGCAAGTCAAGCTGCCATATATGTGGCTAAATGTTTGCTTAAAAATAAATCTTTTTTAAACAGGATATCAGGTAGATTTGCACTTCTAAAAGTGCATTTTAGAGAATATATAGGATAATTATCTTATTATACAGCTATGAGGATACTGTACCAATGAAGGTAGTTAACTTACCCATAGTCATAGCTATAGCATCAAAGCCATCATTATCCTGATCCCCAGTTCTGATGATTTGCCATTAGTTCATGCTACCAAACATTTATTTATTTATTTAGAGACAGCATCTCGCTCTGTTGCCCAGGCTGGAGTGCAATGGCACAGTCTGGGCCCACTGCAACCTCTCCCTTCCAGGTTCAAGTGTTTCTCGTGCCTCAGCCTCCTGAGTAGCTGTAATTACAGGTGCGCACCAGCATGCCCAGCTAATATTTGCATTTTTAACAAAGGCAGGGTTTTGCCATGTTGGGCAGGCTGGTCTCAAACTCCTGGCCTCAAGTGATCCACCCATCTCAGCCTCCCAATGTACTGCGATTACAGGCATGAGCCACTGCGCTCAGTGCCCAATCATTTATTAATTCCAACTTTGTCAACCCAAGCTGGTGTACACAACAATGAAGTTAACAGAGAAGAGTTCTGTTAATCACTCACCAATTACCACTTTTCTAACACTCTCCCTAAATTTTAAAATGTTTCACAAATAATAGAACAACAATTCAACACAAATCTCCAATCTGAAACTTTTTGCTCTAAGATTAAAAAATGACTGTAGAAAAAAAATTAGTGTTCAAACATGATTTTCATTTAAGTAATTTTGGTGGTAAATGTGGTAGAAAAGATAAAACTGAAAAGGAAAATATTTTATACTTTAACAGTGGGGAGTTGAATTTTGGTAGGCGTAACCTTATTTTAATCTCAAATACACATCCAGCTGGTAGAAGTTCGACAGTGTTACTATTTTTATATATTTGCATATGTGGCTATACATGCAAATACATACATACAAATATATGCAGAAAAATAAGAGAGAAGGCAAAAATTGTCCTTAGGAAGTTTCATTTTTGTTCTGTATGTGAGTCCTTCCCTCATATCATTTCTGTGTTAATTCTCAACTTTAAAGTTCTTCTACATTTTGTTTGAAGATCATGAGCTCTATACTTTTATACTCTTCCTCTCTCCTTTAAGTATGCAGATGTCTCTCCAAACTTCTACAACTTCACACTGTGGCCACTGGCAATAAAATGCAGTGATAGAAAAAAAAATTATCTGGGGTGCTATGTGGTTACCATATTAACACTTTCTGTCATTTTTATTCAGGTGCCTGAATGATGTACTCTATAGCTTGTTTGATATTGAATGATAATATGACTATTCTAAGTAAAATGTGTCAGTTCAAATAAACATTATGGAATATATAACAATTTTAAATGAAAATTGAATAAGATGATTTTCCTTTATACAAGTTGCTGAGGTGTATGTTATTGTTTAGATTGATAAAAAAGTTTTTGCTATATTCTGATGATTTGGCATGAATTAGTGACAACAGTAGCCCTTTCAAGAAATTCTCCAGAACCTCTTTGGCTACTTTTGACCAATCATCTCAGAAAAGAAATAGAAGAGACAGAACAAAGGAAGAATAGTTGCTTAATATTTATTCTATGCCCAGCAGCATAATTTGAAATATGCAGGCTATATAGCTCAACATTTACATTAATAGAAATATAACATATGACGCATATACCCTAATGCCTATCAGTTTATTCTATCAGATTATTAGGGGATACTGTGACACTATAAAATGAGTTGTTGTTGTTTTTGCCACATAGAGCAAATATCCAAAATACTCAGCATCTCAAACTCAGGTAATACACACTGGCTTCAAAGAGCTTTGCTGAGTAAAATGCACTTTGTTCTTTATAACTACCTGCTCTCAGTCCTCCACCCCTCTCTCTCTCTCACTTTAGATCAGCAGCATGGGTATTGTTTTGAAAAGTAAAACTACATATATATAAATATACATATATACACACATACACATGTATAGATAGCTAAATAGAGATATAAAAAATAGCTTTGACAGTGTCTATAACTCCTAATTATTTAGCTCTCTAATCTTTTGAGACAAACTTCATTTTTGCAAATGACTAGGTGGAAAACTATACAACTCCTCATACTACTCTCCCATTGTTAATTCCAACATGGTGTATGAACATGTATCTGGGAAGTTTGCTTTCTAAATAGGTTATGGAAGAACCTAAAATCTGCTCAACTGCGTGGGTGCCCTGCAGCAGTTCTCATTTATTTCACTTGAAAAGACAAATTTTACTTTTTGAAGCTGTGCAAAATATTAAGCCAAAAGAAGCAGAAGTTGATCTAGCATAAAGAATAAAAAACTGGAGCAAAAATTCGAAAACTCTCTTCAGAGTTACCTGCTGGTGTGGTATAGGCAGGAATCCAGAAAAGGAATTGGTAAGAGGGTACAGGGCAGTTTTGTATCCTTTAGGAGAGAATAGATGGGTTGAAGTTGGGCTGTTTTCTGTTCGGGCAGTAGCCAAGGACTACAAGACAATTAACATGAATTCCCAGCACTTAGGAACTGTGCTTGAGGAAATGCTTGACAACCAAGGTCAGCACATCGGCCTAGAGAAAACAGCAGCATGGCTACCAGGTGGAACAGGGAGCATGTCCAGTATGGAGTGAAAAGCTGTGGCACCCACTAAGCCATTTGTCATGGGAGTTTCAATTATTAGCACTTTCCTCTACATGGTATGTCCTAAGCGAGGCTGGAAAAGAAGCACCTAGCTGACATGGTTGGTCATCTATTGAGTGGAAACAATAGCTTTTGATGTTTTTAATCAAAATTACTGTCTCAAATCCTTCTGCTGCCTCTATGAAACTCACAGGAGGCCACCAGTATAATGGTTGACAGTCTTCTTCCATCTCAACATTGAGTTCATTTGTCCTTCCTGAAAGTTTCCATTCAGCAACATGACCTGCATTTATTTCATGTCACACTAAGCTTCTTTCATTAGTTCTGATTCATCAAGAATTCACTTTTTTAAAAAATTAGCTAAGAGGTTTATATACATCCACACATGAATGTGGGACTAATAAAAATTAGCATTTGTAATAGAAAACTATACTGAAGGAATGTCCCCAACTAAAGCAATGAGAGAACACAATGAAAATATACAAGTAATTACCTGTGTATTTGATAGAGTTATGTACTAAAATATGACTGGCACAGACTGCAGAGAAAAGAAAAAATTATCCTGATAGGTGATTTTTAATAGTAAAGATGGGGATAAATTTGGTCACTAAAAAAAAGCCTTTAAACTGGTTGATATCGTATGAATTCATATCTCACATACCAGGAAGAGACATTTAACATGATTATGTTCTGAAAAGTCCCTTGGTTAGCCAATTGATCACACATTGAATCTAATAATTTTAGTCATACACACCCTGCCAATAAAATAACACAAAAAAATTCTAACATCCAAATTAGCTTCACATTTTTTCTAACCAGTCTTTTGTTTCCACCTAAAAGTTTTAGTTAAGGTGTAAGTTATTTAATAGTCTTAGTACATTTACTCCTCTACAGAAACGCAGTTACTAAAAGAATTTTGTTCATTTGTTTTGCCAAGGTTTGAAACATTTGTAAGGTATTTATGGACAGAAAAGCACCTATTCCTGTAACCTAGTAAACATAACAGCTGCATCTTTAAGGTTTCATGTAGCCCACATTTAACTCTTAAGTAAATGATACCTTAGAACATAATAGGCTTCTATGACTAAGTAATTTAAAAAATTTTTGTTTCTCAGAGTATTCTAAAAGTTAAGTTCCAATCATTTATAAAATGTTTTTGGATACTGCCTGGCATGGTGCAGGTCTTTAATGAATGTTTAATAAGATATGATACTGAACTGACACAAACAAACTCTAACAATGGAAAATCAGAATCAGATACAGTAACATTCACTCATTGAGATTTGAGATCACTAACACCTGAGATGTTTCTTCTGTCCTATTTCTTATGCTTGAATTGTTGCCATAATTAACTGTTTTTATTGATATGCTCATTAATTTATTTCATTGCTTCTGAAAGAACAATAACACTATGACAAAGTCATTGAAACCAGTTAATAGAACACTAAAGAGTTGATACATATCTCATCAAGTATCTGATGTATGAAGCATGATAGGAAGTAATTTGCTAATTTGTAATTTTTTATTGTCTCTTCTTATTAGGTATTTTTAACATTACTTTTTTGCTTCCCTTTCTGTTTGTCAAGATCTGCTATTTTCTCCCTCCCACACATTTCTTTGTCTCTCTCTGTCTTTCTCTCTCTCTCACACATTTTTCATTTGTAAAATAATCACAATTACTGTTTACACATTGACAAAACTGAATTTTTTCCCAAATATCAGCTTTTTATTAGATCTTATCTTTTTGGGTCCTCATGAATTTTTGTGCATTAGGATCAATTATTATATTCAAGGTATTTTTCTCTTTTCATTTTGACCAAAATAAAATGTTAATTCTACATTTTATTATATTCTTATCTCATGTAGTTCCTTAATTATTACCTTATAGTTTAAATAAGGGATTTAATATGATATTTTAAAGTTTCCTCTACTCATTTAAATTATATGCAAAATGTTGGTGTGGTTATATGTGCATTATTATAAGTTCCATCAGTCTCATGAAATTTTCAAAGCTTTTGGTTGGTTGAACTTTTATGACTAGCTTACATAACAGGTAGGGACTGTTAACAAAATTATAAACTGAAATATCCCTCAATTGGCCAAGTAATCACATACTGAATCTAATAATTTTCATTATACACACTTACAAAAAGAAAGCCTACAGATAATTATTCTAGCATCCCAAATAGCTTCATGTTACTTCTTATTGGTGTTTTTTTGTTATAACCAGCAAAAAGTTGAAAACTACAGGTTAATCTTCAATGCAAGTATACAAGAAATTATTGAGGATATGAATAATGAAGGAGATAATATACAGAAGGAAACAGAAATGCTTGTCTACTTAATTTTGCTGAAAACTTTTTAATGATTTATATACCACCATGTAAGCTTTTTTTGTTCATGTATGTACTATTATTGGTAGCCACATTTTTTAAAAAATATGACAATCTCTGGGAGAATGTTATTTTTTCCATTAGAACTCAAGCTATTAAATCCATTATCCATTTTTGTTTCTCTGTCAATGCAATCTGTCTCTTTGCTTTGCCCCTATTAATGCCACATTGAAAAATTGAATCTGTTCCCTAAGTTAGTCTCTAACCTCTTTTATTATTTGAAAGAGAGTTTAGTGCTTGGAAACTTGCTCAGGGAAATAGAATTCCCTTCCTAAAATTTTCCATTTCACAAACATTAGTATTGCAAGCATGTTCACCAGTGAGCCTCTGGCCTGCTTTTGAAGAATTACTGAACAAAATGACTGAGGTCAATATAGGGCTTCTCAGAGGCTCTGCTAATTCATATGTTCTAGGACGCTGATCCCTTCAGACTAAATGAAAAGCCACTGCTTTCTAATGCCCGCTGTATGTGGGGGAAGTGAAGGTGGGAGATGGGATGGGGAGAGATTGTCTGTTTGGTCTATGGGCTTGGTAGAACTAAAGAGAAAAAGCTTATTGAAACTCAATGCCACTTTCAGATAACTTAAAATACATTTCTTTTTTAGTCTCAAATGTATTCTGTTTTTAATATTAAATTATTTTATATATTTCTTGACAAAATTTTTGTTTATTATACATAATTTGCAAACATTAGATGAGCTAGAATAATTTGAGTGCTCAACTCCAACATGTACAGTGGATGAAGTAATCTAAAAAATAAATCAACATTTTTTTCTCAGATGAATAAGAAAATAGGGTAGGCACATCAGCAGATCTCATCCACCTCAGCCACCCTGAACTCTGATCTCTGTCTCTTGACTTCAACTCATTGAGACCACTCTGCTCTGCGATGGATTTCCCTGACTACATCGTGGGTGACCAGGTTGGACTGATCCTCCAGGCAAAAAGCTGGGGTGATTGAGGACTCACAGCACTTGAAAGGAACACTTTCCCACTTTTGCATTTCCTGCTCTCCAATGTCTAAAAAGAGTATTTTCATATATTTTGTTTAGTTTTCTACATATTTACAATGGGAAAATAAATTCATTCCCATCTACTCTCATGAAAAGAAGCAGAAATCCCTACCTTCATTTTTGGATTGGAAAATTTTAAATTGAATTACATGGCCGAGCATGGTGGCTCACACCTGTAATCCCAGCACTTTGGGAGGCCAAGGCCGGCAGGTCACCTGAGGTCAGGAGTTTGAGACCAGCCTGACCATGTGGCGAAACCCTATCCCTACTAAAAATACAAAAATTAGCTGGGCATGGTGGCCTGCACCTGTTATCCCAGGTACTCAGGAGGCTGAAGCAGGAGAATCACTTCAACCTGGTAGGCGGAGGTGGCAGTGAGCTGAGACCGTGCCACTGCACTCCAGCCTGGGCGACAGAGTGAGACTCTGTCTCTAAATAAATAAATAAATAACCTCATATAAAAAAGTACACAAATCATAAACTCAAAGATTAATTTTCATAAAAGAAACAAACTCATGTATATAGCACCCAGACTAAGAAATAAAATATTAACAACACCCCAAAGCCCCATGTATGCCCCTTTCTTTAACCATTGTAAACACTGTGCTGACTTCTAATCCCATTAATGAGTTTTGCCTGTTTTTTAACTTTATAGATGGTTCACACTCTATTGGGCCTGACTTCTTTTGCTCAGCATTAGGTTTCTGTGTTAACTGTGTTGTTGTATATGACTTGTTGTAGAATATACTTCTCTATTCAATTTTAGATATACACCACAAAAATTGAGCAGTTTTTAGTTGGGAGCTATTACTAATTGTGTGCCTACAAACATTCCTGAATGCTTCTTCAAAAACATATATTCATATTCTCGGTATATATCTAGAAATTAAATTGTTGAGTTACCTGTTCATTTAACAAATTCATACTGCAAAATAATTATACAGAGTAATTTTTCTATAAGTCTGCTAACAATGTATTATATTTCCATTTGATCCACATCCTCATTAACACAAGGTATTTTCAGTTTTTTTCAATTGTTAGATATTTGGGTAAATGTGTGTTAGCATTGCAGGGTTGTGTTAAATTCCATTTTCCTGATGATGATTAAAGTTTAGCATCTTCTTTTTTTTTAACTATACTTTAAGTTCTGGGAAACATGAGCAGTACGTGCAGGTTTGTTACATAGGTATACATATGCCATGGTTGTTTGCTGCACCCATCAACCCATCATCTACATTAGGTATTTCTCCTAATGCCAACCCTCCCCTTGCACCCCACCCCCTGACAGTCCCGGGTACGTGATGTACCCCTCCCCGTGTCTATGTGTTCTCATTGTTCAACTCCCACTTATGAGTGAGAACATGCTGTGTTTGTTTTTCTGTTTCTGTGTCAGTTTGCTGAGAATGATGGTTTCCAGCTTCATCCATGTCCCTGCAAAAGACAGGAACTCATTCTTTTTTATGGCTGCATAGTATTCCATAGTGTATATTTGCCACATTTTATTTATCCAATCTGTCATTGATGAGCATTTGTGTTGGTTCCAACTCTTTGCTATTGTAAATAGTGCTGCAACAAACATATGTGTGCATGTTTCTTTAGAGTAGCATGATTTATAATCCTTTGGGTATATACCCAGTAATGGGATTGCTGGGTCAAATGGTATTTCTGGTTCTAGATCCTTGAGGAATTGCCACACTGTCTTCCACAATGGTTGAACTAATTTACACTCCCACCAACAATGTAAAATAAAAGCGTTCCTGTTTCTCCACATCCTCTCCAGTATCTGTTGTTTCCTGATTTTTTGATTGCCATTCTAACTGGCATGAGATAGTATCTCATTGTGGTTTTGATTTGCATTTCTCTAATGACCGGTGATGATGAGCTTTTTTTCATATATTTGTTGGCCACATAAATGTCTTCTTTTGAGAAGTGTCTGTTCATATCCTTCACCCACTTTTGGATGGGGTTGTTTGTTTTTTTCTTGTAAATTTAAGTTCCTTGTAGATTCTGAATATTAGCATTTTGTCAGATGGATAGATGGCAGAAGTTTTCTCCCATTCTTTAAGTTTCCTGTTCACTCTAATGATAGTTTCTTTTGTTGTGCAGAATCTCTTTAGTTTAACTAGATCCCATTTGTCAATTTCAGCTTTTGTTGGAATTGCTTTTTGTGTTTTAGTCATGAAGTCTTTGCTCATGCCTATGTCCTGAATGGTACTGCCTAGGTTTTCTATAGGGTTTTTATGGTTTTAGGTCTTACATTTAAGTCTTTAATCCATCTTGAGTTAATTTTATATAAGGTGTAAGGAAGGTGTCCAGTTTCAGTTTTCTGCATATGGCAGAAAGTTTTCCCAATACCATTTATTAAATAGGGAATTCTTTCCCCATTGCTTGTTTTTGTCAGGTTTGTTGAAGATCAGATGGTTGTAGATATGTGGTGTTATTTCTGAGGCCTCTGTTCTGTTCCATTGGTCTATATATCTGTTTTGGTACCTGTACCATGTTGTTTTGGTTATTGTATACTTGTATAGTTTGAAGTCAGGTAGCGCGATGCCTCCAGCTTTGTTCTTTTTGCTTATGATTGTCTTGGCTATAAGGGCTCTTCTTAGGTTCCATATGAAATTTAAGGTAGTTTTTCTAATTCTCTGAAGAAAGTCAATGGTAGCTTGATGGAAATAGCATTGAATCTATAAATTACTTTGAGCAGTATGGCTATTTTTATGATATTGATTTTTCCTGTTCATGAGCATGGAATATTTTCCCATTTGTTTGTGTCCTCTCTTATTTCCTTGAGCAGTGGTTTGTACTTCTCCTTGAAGAGGTCTTTCATATCCTTATAAGTTTTATTCCTAGGGATATTATTCTCTTTGCAGCAATTGTGAATGGGAGTTCACTCATGATTTGGCTCTCTGTTTGTCTATTATTGGTGTATAGGAATGCTTGTGATTTTTGCACATTGATTTTGTATCCTGAGACTCTGCTGACTTTGCTTATCAGAGTAAGGAGTTTTGGGCTGAGACATTGGGGTTTTCTAAGTATACAATCAAGTCATCTGCAAACAGAGACAATTTGACTTCCCCTCTTCCTATTTGTATACCCTTTATTTCTTTCTCTTACATGATTTCCCTGGCGAAAACTTCCAATAGTATGTTGAATAGGAGTGGAGAGAGAGGGCATCCTTGTCTTGTGCCAGTTTTCAAAGGGAATGCTTCCAGCTTTTGCCCATTCAGTAAGATATTGGCTGTGGGTTTGTCATAAATAGCTCTTACTATTTTGAGATGTGTTCCATCAATACCTAGTTTATTGAGTGTTTTTAGCATGAATTGATGTTGAATTTTATCAAAGGCCTTTTCTGCATCTATTGAGATAATCATGTGGTTTTTGTCATTGGTTCTATCTCTGTGATGGATTACATTTATTGATTTGCGTATGTTGAACCAGTCTTGCATCCCAGGGATGAAGCCAAGTTGATCATGGTAGATAAGCTTTTGGATGTGCTGCTGGATTCACTTTGCCCATATTTTATTGAGGATTTTCCCAACAATGTTCATTAGGGATATTGGTCTGAAATTTCTTTTTTTTGTTGTGTCTCTGCCAGGTTTTGCTATCAGGATGATGCTGGCCTCATAAAATGAGTTAGGGAGGAGTCCTTCTTTTTCTATTGTTTGGAATAGTTTTAGAAGGAATGGTACCAGCTCCTCTTTGTACCTCTGGTAGAATTTGTCTGTGAATCTGTCTGGTCCTGGGTTTTTATTGCTTGGTAAGCTACTAATTACTGCCTCAATTTCAGAACTTGTTATTGGTCTATTCAGGGATTCGACTTCTTCCTGGTTTAGTCTTGGGAGGCTTTATGTGTCCAGGAATTTATCCACTTCTTCAAGAATTTCTAGTTTATTTGTGTAGAGGTGTCTATGGTATTCTCTGATGGTAGTTTGTATTTCTGTGAGAGCAGTGGTAATCTTCCCTTTATCATTTTTTATTGTGTCTATTTGGTTCTTCTCTCTTTTCTTCTTTATTAAACTGGCTAGCAGTCTATCTATTTTGTTAATCATTTTGAAAAACCAGCTCCTTGATTCATTGATTTTTTGAAGGGATTTTTTGTCTCCATTTCCTTCAGTTCTTCTCTGATCTTAGTTATTTCTTGTCTTCTGCTAGCTTTTGAATTCATTTGCTTTTGCTTCTACTTGTTTTAATTGTTATGTTAGAGAGTCAATTTTAGATCTTTCCTGCTTTCTCATGTGGGCATTTAGTGCTATAAATTTTCCTCTAAACACTGCTTTAGCTGTAGCACCATTTTCACATGTTTATTGAACATGTGGATATTCTCCTTTGTGTGGTAAATATATAAGTCTTGCACATTTCATATTGGCATGTATTTTGTATTTGACATTAATTTGTTGAAATTTCTTATATATTTTGATAAGCCTCATTCATCAGATATTCATGTTGAAAATATCTTCTACTATATGGCCTGTTTTTTCACTATTTCAATAGCATTTTAATACAAAATTTTAAATTTTATTTTGGCCTATTTTTTCTTCCTTTTTTTGTATCTTTTTTAAGGTTTGCTTAATCCAAGTCAACATTGATATTCTCATTTTTTAATCCCAAAAAGCTTTGTTGCTATGCTTTTTAACATTCTGAATTTGATTCTTAACATGGCTGAAGTAAATTTCTTTATTTGTTTTGTAGATATGAATATTTAATTGACACCACAACTTACTGGAAATATCAACTTTTCTCCACTGTGCTGAAGTGTCATCTTGTGATATATGGGTGTATCTGTTTCTAGACTCACTATTCTGTCCAATTGCTTTATTTTCTATCTTTGTACCATTTATGTACTCTTAATTTTTGACCTTCAAATAGGTTGGTTATATGGCAGTGTACCTCCTCCATCTTTATTTTCTTATTTAAGAATTCACTGGCTATTTTGGGGACTTTAATTTTTAGAAATAGATTACCAATTTCTACCAGATAAATACTGGAATTTTGACTTTGGATTGCACTGAATTAATATATTTACAATATTAAACATTTCTAACGCATGAACATGAGTATCTTGGTCTTCATTCCAATGTCTATAGGGTCTGTAGTGATGTCCCTCTGTTTAGTTGTGAGGATGAATTTTTAAACTGTTTGCACAATTTTACTAATCTTTTAAAAGAAATAACCTTCAGCTTTCATGTATTTTTCTGACGTACTTCTGCTCTTATTATCCACATGTTACACTTTTTCAGGTTCATATTCCTTTTGAACTTATTGGAGTAAAAGTATAGGTCGTTTATTTTCCACCACTTTTTTTGCAAATATACATTAAAATATAAATTTTCTACCAAGAACTGTTTATCTACATCCCATAAATTTAGGTAGATCACATATACAATTCCATTCAATTAAACATCATAAATAATTTCATACATAAATTCTTATTTTACTCATGATTATATACAAGTATGTTGCTTAATTTTCAGGCAGCTGTATATTTTTGATTATTGATTTCTAAGGGAATTCAGGGATACTTTGAGTCATTTAAAGTCTTTTAAAATTTTTTGAAGTTAGCTTTGTGACCCAGAGAGTATATTTTACGAAATGTTTCATGTGAACTTGAAAAAAAAATTATTGTCTTATAGCAGGATTCATTGTTCTTTATATATCAATAAGTTTTTTTTTAGATTTGGGACTCAGACTTTCTTTTTTTTTACTGATTATTTTTGCCTTTGTTCTATAAACTATTCACACAAAAGTGCTAAAGTCCCCCAGCATGAATGTGGATTAATCTCTTTTTTTTTTTTTTTTTTAAAGACAGAGTCTTGCTCTGTTACCAGGCTGGAATGCAGTGATTCAATCTTAGCTCACTGCAACCTCCAGCTCCTGGGTTCAAGCAGTTCCCCTGCCACAGCCTCCCAAGTAGCTGAAACTACAGGCGAACGCCACCCTGCCTGGCTAATTTTTTGTATTTTAGTAGAGATGAGGTTTCACCATGTTGACCAGGATGGTCTCAATCTCCTGACCTCGTGATCTGCCTACCTTGGCCTTCTAAAGTGCTGGGATGGATTCATCTCTTTAATCCATTAATTCTGCCAAATTTTGTTTTACATATTTGAAGTGGTTAATTGCCCCATAACAAACTAGAAGTCTTTGCCTTAATATTTGCATAGTATATCTGCCATGCATTCTTTTTCCAGTTCTACATCTTTTACATAAAATGTGTCTCTTGTAAGCAGTATATAGTTTTGTCTGTTTGCTTTTTTTGTTTTTTGTTATTTTTCCCCAGCTTCAAAGCCTTAGTCTTTTAATTAGAGGATATTTTCCATCGATATATAGTGTACATATTTGTACATTTGGTTTTGTAGCAATCATTTTACTATTTGTTTTCATACTATACCATCTCTTTGATAAACACCTCTTTTATTCGTTTAGATCAATCAAATAATTTGAGTACTCTTTTTCCATTAACTACTTAGTTATACATATGTTACCCATATTAAAAATGCATTATTAATTTTATAGTGTAATGCAAAGTATTTCTATTACTACTTATTATATATCTGAGTGTGTGTGTTAATGCAAATGTGTTTGCGTTAAAATTTTTTAGTTTTATTTGCAGCCAAACATCTTTACATCGCTGATATATTTGCAGGATTTTTGCTAGGTATAAAATTTAGAGTTAGCAGGTGTGTGCATTTGTGTGTGTTTATGTGTTTAAAGATAACATTTTATCACCATCTACCTTCCACAATTTTTTGAAAAATTAGTTTGCAGTGTTATTTTTACTTTTGGAATGCAATATATTAATTTCCTCTTGGAACTTTTAAGATTTGTTTTTGTCTTTCATTTCTAAACTTTTGTTATGATATACCTAGATGTCACTGGTATTGCCCCATCCTTTTGTATTGTTTTGTATTTATTGTTTCTAGCTTTCATAGATTGTTGTCTCTGGGGTAACAGTTTTAATGGTTTTGGAAAATTCTCAGCCACTATTTCTTCAAATATTACTCTGCTCCTCCTCTTCCACTTTCACATATGTTAGACTTAAGCATTTCTCACATTTCTTAAACTGATTCATAAGGTTCTTTATTTCAGATTTCTAAAAATCAGTAATAGAAAGTTCGTCTAATTTTTAAAAAAAATTTCTATTTTATAGTAAATTTTACAATCTGTCAATATTTTTCCATTTTTTTCCAATATTTTCCTTTAAATATTAACCATGATTATTTTAAACTCTTCCTCTGATAACTCCAAAATCCAGATCATAACTTATATCTTCTTATTTTTCTTGATTTCCTTAATATATCCGTGGTCATTGGTCACATTATTTATTACACAGCATGATAAAATAATTTTAGAGTCTCTAAATAATATTATAGTGTTCCAGAGAGTTTTTCCATTTATTTCCTAGTCATATAAAGGGTAAGTTGGTTACTGAGCAACTTCAACTGAAGAATTGGTTTAATCATCACAACTCTTCTCTCACAAAGATTTCTCTTTGGTACCACAAGATTTCTGGAAACTCCATTCTTACTTTCAGAGTCTTTCCAGTTGGCCTTTAGTCACTTTCCATGCGTAACTTCAAAATTCATCAAATATCTTGAAACAAATTTGGCTTTGTGTTGGAGGTGTTTAAGACTATAAATCTTCTATTCTACCCTAGCAAGACCATCAAAAACTTTACAAATATCTCTTCCTCAGTAATGAACTTTGTCTGGTCCAAATCTGAATTTCTAATCTTTTTCCAGTGTCTAGAGTTGATAATTGTCCCAGAGAAAAAGAAGCCATAGATTATCAGCTTTTCTCTCAAAATATTTTCTCTCCAAAATCATAACACTTAGTACTTCCTTTGCTTTATTGGCTTTTCCTATGCTTTTAAAAACATGACTTTTAAAAATGTATCTGGATTTTTTAACTTTCATAGTCAGAATAACAGTCTGCCACAAAGAACTACATTACACTATATCATTTCTATGGAGCAGAAACCTCACATTTTTTTCTAACATTGACCGTGTTTTGGATGATTTCCAGGTACCGCATCATTTGAAACACATTTATAAGATGTTATCATATACTCAGTCAACATACTACATTTCTTTAGTAAGAAAACACATGAGGTTAATATTCTTATAAATTGGTCGTTGAATCTAATTCTCTTCTAGAAAGACAAAATTGATCTAGGTGTTGTATAGGGACATTAGATCAATGGTAGTAGAATTTTAGAGTTTTCATTTGTCATTAGAAGTATCGTAACAGTGACATCAGCAACATGGGCAAATAGGAGGCTCCTGACTATCCCTCCTTCCACAGGCACATCAAATAAACATCTACACGTGGATCAACTGTCTTCAAGGTATAGCCAAAATCCAGTTGAAAAGTTCCTACACATCAGACTACTGAGAAAATATCCACATTAAAATGGGGAGGAAAAGCAAAGGTAAATTTTTACATGAATCCCACCCTACTCATAATACCTTATAATCAAGAAGAAAACTCCAATTCCTAGCTTTTCCTGAGGGGTGAAGGGCTTGTATCACACATATAGCATCCAAATTTTACAGTCCCTCCAGAGAACTTGATTTTTAAATCACTATACTTGACAAAAAGCAGGTACAGGACATCAGAGGATTTCCTTCAATCACAAAGAGTAAGGGAGCACTTTGAACCATATGAACATTTCTAGCAGCGGTAGCCCCCCGGAACAGCTCAGCTTCCAAATTCCTCCTGGAAAGTGTTTGGATGCATGCTTTGCCAGCAGCTTTATGTGGCCTGGCTTCTAACAAGCTAGTATCTGAGAGCCTGTGTAGCAAATAAAAAATAAATTTATTTGAGCTTAAATGGAAATCACAATATTCCCACACCTTCTTCTTCAGCTTGCTGTAGCAATAATTCTACCTCTACAACCTCTACATGATAAAAGGCTGGAGGTCTCTGCCTGAAAGAACAGCAGGGACCACATCCCTGAACCTTCATTCCTGGCTTGTCCTTGAGGTAAATTTCAGCAACTTCTCAATAAAGGAAGGCTGGGGACCTGTCTGTGCCTGAAAGGGGAAGTGGATACTCTACATGCTGTCCTCTTTTGCTTGCTCAGTGACAACTCCAGACAAGAAGTCTCCCTGGGATAGAAGGGTTTGAGATTTCTCCTTGCTTGAACAAGAGAGAAGACACTATCTTCCACGACTGGCTCCAGAAATAAATCCAAACCTGCAGGCTCTCCCTGGAAGCATATCTGCATGAACCAAACACCTCAACTTTTATAGCTTTCATCCAAGGGACTGGCTCCTAAATTAACTGGCTCTGGGAGCTGATTAAGCTTTGTACTCCTGTGTCAACTAGACCACAAAGAACAAATACATAACTTTTAAACTTGCAAACATTCAGCATCTATTTCTCCAGCTTCAAAGTAAACAGTCTTATCAAAACTATGGGCATTGCCTTGGACCCTCTCCTTCATGTAGGGCAGAATGAGTGGGATATAAACTTTGGCTCTCAGCTTCTCTGTAAAGAAAGAAGGAACTGAAAAATGCATCTAACACCCTAAGTTTTCCAGTTGTATCCCAAGGGACTAGCTTCCTACCTTTCTCAAAGCAATTGCATGACTTGACACTCTCAAATTTCTTGAGGGCCGCTAAGAACAAAAACAACATATTAGACAAGCACAAAGAGCTTAGAGGCACCTAAACTCATCTCTGAATGGGATAAATCGGGAGAAACATCTCCTATACAAGACTGGTCCGACAAGATTGTGAAAGGTGTTTCTTCTCTCTACTGTGCAGAAACTACCAAGATAGTAAAAAATAAATAAACAAATGGGAAATATGTTCCAAATAACAGAACAAAATAAATCTCCAGAATCCAGCACTAATAAGATTGATACATGTTATTTACCTGGCAGAGAATTCAAAAAGACCATCAGAAAGATGCTCATCAAGGTAATGAGAACAATACATAAACAAATTGAACTTCAATAAAGAGAAAATATTTAAAAGTACCAAATATAAATCAAGCTGAAGAATTTAATAACTTGACTAAGAAATTTAATAGAGTCATTCAACAGAAAACTAGATCAAGCAGAAGAAAAAAAGTAGTGAACTTGAAGACAGACTATTGGATATCATTCAAGATGAGGAGCAAAAAAGAAATGAATAAAAAAGAGTGAAGACAGCCTAAAGGACTTACGAGAAACCATAAATTTAAAAAATACATATACATTGTTGACGTACCAGAAGGAGAAAACAGAAAGTAACACAATACCTATGCCAAAAAAATAGTGGCAGAAAATTTCCCAAGTCTGGGAAAGAAAATAGAAATCAGATCCAAGAAGCTCAATAGACATCTAATAGTATTAATCTAATGAGAACTATGTCAAGGAAAAATACAATCAAATTATCAAAAGTTAAAAAGACAGAATATGGAAAGCTGCATGGGAAAAGCAAGTTGTCACATACAAGGGGACATCTATAAGACTTTCAGTGGATTTTGCAACAGAAACAACAGGCTACAGCAATGATATATTCAAAAAGCGGAAAGAAAAAAATAATGCTAACTAAGAATACTATAGCCAGTAATCCTGTCCTCAGAAATTGAATGGAGATAGAAAACTTTCTGACACAAACAAAAGTTGAAGGTATTTATCAGCAGCACACTTGCCTTACAAGAAATGCTAAAAGGAGTCTTTCAAGCAGAAAAATAAGATCACTAAGCAGCAAAATAAAAATATATAAAAATATGAAACTCACTGATAGAAGTAAGTATGTAGTCAACCTCAAAACATTTTTATACTGTGATGGTCATGTAAAAATTAATTATATCTTTAGTATGAAAATCAAAGACAAAACTATTAAAAACTACAGGAATTTGTTAAGAGACAGAAAGTATAAAAGTACCAAATGTGTCAACACAACCAAAAGACAGGAAACTTCAGGCAATATCTGTGATGAATATAAATGCAAAAATCCTCAACAAAATACTAGCAAGTCAAGTCAAACAGCACATCAAAAAGCAAATCCATCACAATCAAGTAGACTTTATCCCTGGGATGCAAGGTTGATTGAACACACACAAATCAATAAATGGATTAACAACATAAACAGAACTAAAAACAAAATCCACATGGTCAGAAAAGGCTTTTGAAAAAATTCAACATTCCTTAATGTTAAAACCCCTCAGGAGGCGGGGCACTGTGGCTCACGCCTGTATTCCCAGCATTTTGGGAGGCTGAGGCAGGCAGATCAGGAGGTCAGGAGATCGAGACCATCCTGGCTAACATGGTGAAACCCCGTCTCTACTGAAAATACAAAAAATTAGCCGGGCCTGGCGGTGGGGGTGCCTCTAGTCCCAGCTACTTGGGAGGCTGAGGCAGGAGAATGGCGTGAACCCACGAGGCGGAGCTTGCCATGAGCCGAGATTTTGCCACTGCACTCCAGCCTGGGCGACAGAGCGAGACTCCGTCTCAAAAAAAAAAAAAAAAAAAACCCTCAGTATACTAGGCATTGAAGTAATGTTCCTCAAAATAATAAAAGCCATCCACGACAAACCCAGAGCCAGTGTGATACTGAATGGGCAAAAGGTGAAAGCATTTTCCTTGAAAACTGGCACAAGACATAGATGCCCACTCTCACCACTCCTATTTAACATTGTTCTGGCCAGGGCAATCAGGCAAGAGAAAGAAATAAAAGACAATCAAATAAGAAAGAAGTCAAACTATCTCTGCAGATAATATGATTCTATACCTAGAAAACCTCATAGGCTCTATACCCCAGAGCTCCTGGATCTGATAAACAACTTCAGCAAAGTTTTAGGATAGAAATCCAAAATCAATGTACAAAATCAGTAGCATTTCTATATACCAGTAACATCCAAGCTGAGAACCAAATGAAGAACTCAATCCCATTCACAATAGCTGCAAAAAGAATAAAATACTTAGGAATACAGCTAACCAGGAAAGTGAAAGATCTCTACAATAAACATTACAAAACACTGCTCAAAGAAATCAGAAATGATACAGATGAATAGAAAAACATTCCATGGATAGAATCAATATTGTTAAAGTGCCCATACTGTCCAGAGAAATTTGTAGATTCAATGTCATTCCTATCAAGCTATCAATGACGTTCTTTATAAAATTAGAAAAGACTATTCTAAAATTAATATGGAACCAAAAAGAGTGTTAGGATTAACCCCACAATCCTAAGCAAAAAGAATAAAACGGGAGGCAGTACATTACTTGACTTCAAACTATACTATAAGACTATAGTAACCAAAACAACATGATACAGTTAGAAAAACAGACACATAGAGCAATGGAACACAACAGAGAGCCCAGAAATAATGCTTCCTACCTATAACCATCTGATCATTGTCACAGTCAGCAAAAACAAGCAATGGAAAAAGGACTCCTTATTTAAAAAAAAAAAAAAGGTATTGGAAATACTGACTGGCCATACGTAGAAGATTGAAACTGGACCCCTTCCTTACATCATAACAAAAATTAATTTAAGATGGATTAACAACTTAAATGTAAAACTATAAAAGTCCTGGAAGATAAACTAAGAAACACCATTCTCAACATAGGCTTTGGCAAATATTTCATGACAAAGATGCTAAAAGCAATTGCAACAAAAACAAAAATTGACAAATGAGGCCAATTAAATTAAAGAGCTTCGGCACAGCAAAAGACACTGTCAACAGAGTAAGACAACCTACAGAATAGGAGAAAATATTTGCAAACTATGCATCCAACAAAGGTTTAGTATACAGAATCTATAAGAAACAAATCAACAAGCAAAAAACAAACAATCTCATTAAAAAGTAGACAAAGATGCAGGGCTTAAAACCTAGATGATGGGTTGATAGGTGCAACAAACCACCATGGCATAAGTATACCTATGGAACTAACCTGTGCGTTCTGCACAAGTATCCCAGAACTTAAAGTAAAATAAAAAATAAAAATAAAAATGAGCATGAACAGACACTTTTCAAAAGAAGACAGATACATAGCCAATAGGCATAGGAAGAAAATGCTTAACATCACTAATCATTAGAGAAATGCAAATCAAAACCACAATTAGATACCATTTCACATGATTTAGAATGGCTATTATTAAAAAGTCAAAATATAGCACATGCTGGCAAGGTTGCAGAGAAAACAGAATGCTTATACAGTGCTGGTGGGAAAGAAAATTAGTTCAGCCATTGAAGAAAGCAGTTTGACAATTTCTCAAAGAACTTAAAACAGAACTAGGCCAGGTGTGGTGACTCATGCCTTTAATCCCAGCACTTTGGGAGGCCAAGGCTGGCAGATCAGGAGGTCAAGAGATAGAGACCATCCTGGCCAACATGGTGAAACCCCATCTCAACTAAAAGTACAAAAATTAGCTGGGTGTGGTGGTGCACGCCTGTAGTCCCAGCTACTCAGGAGGCTGAAGCAGGAGAATCGTTTGAACCTGGGAGGTGGAGGTTGCAGTGAGCCGAGATCACGCCATTTTACTCCAGCCTGGCCACAGAGGGAGACTCTCTCTCAAAAAAGAACCAAAAAAATAAAATATAAATAAATAAATAAAAAGGACTACCATTTGACCCAGCAATCCCAATATTGGGTATATGCCAAAAGGAATATAAACCATTCTAACATAAAGACACATGCGTGTTTATGTTCATCACAGCACTGTTCACAATTGCAAATATATGGAATCAACCTAATTGTCAGCCAATGATAGATTAGTTCAAGAAAATGCAGTACATACATATCATGGAACATTATGCAGCCATAAAAAAGAACAAGATTACACCGTTTGCATCAGCATGAATGAAGCTGGAGGTCAGTATCCTAAGCAAGCTAATGCAGCAACAGAAAACCAAATACCACATTTTCTCACTTATAAGTGGAAACTAAACATTAAGTACACATGGACACAAAGAAGGAGAAAACAGACACTGGGCCTACTTGAGGGTGGAGGGTGAGAGAATGATAAGGATCAGAAAACTACCTATAGAGTACTATATTTATTTGCTGGGTGATGAAATAATCTGTACCAAACCCCCATGACATGTAAGTTACCTGCATAACAAACTTGTACATGTACCCCTGAACCTAAAATAAAAGTTTTTTTAATGTGTCAACAAAAACAAATTGTGGAGGGAAGTAGTAAAAGTTTGTGCAACTTATCAAAGTTAAGTAAAACTTACTAAAACTTATAGGATGTAGCAAAAGCAGTCTTGACATGGAAGTTTATAGCAATAAATACCTGTGTCAAAATGAGAAAGATCTCAAATAAACAATCTAATGTTACACTTCAAGAAACTAGAAAAAGAAAAGCAAAGTAAGCCTGAATTTACCAGAAAGAAAGAAATAACAAAGATCAGAGTGGCAATAAACAAAACAGAGACTAGAAAAACAACATAAAAGATCAACAAAACTAAAAGAGTTTTTTTAAAGATAAAATTGGCAAACGTTACCTAGATTAATAAAGAGAAAAAGAGAGGACTCAAACAAAATCAGAAGTGAAGGAGGAGACATTGCAGCTAATATCACAGAAACACAAAGTATCATAAGAGACTGCTATGAACAACTCATCGCTATGAACAACTCATCTGTGTTCATCAAGGATACTGGCCTGTGCACACACATACATATATATGTATATCAATATACATGTATGTAGGTATGTATGCCAAAATCTTAGATGAACACAGATGCAAAAATCCTCAACAAGATAATTGCAAACCAAATTGAATAGCACATTGAAAAGATTATTCACCATAATCAAGTAGTATCTATCCCAGGGATGGAAGGATGATTTAACATATATAAATCAATAAGTTTGATCAAAATATTAACCAAATGAAGTGTAAAAGTGATATAATCATCTCAGTAGATATAGAAAAAGCAATTGAAAAAATTCAGCATCCATTAATGTTAAAAACTCTCAAAAAATAGGTATAGAAGGAATGTACCTCAATGCAATAAAAGCCATATATGAAAAGCCCACAGCTAACATCATGCTAAATGGTAAAAAGTTGAAAACTTTTTCTGTAAGATTAGAAACAAGACAAAAATGCCACCTCTCCCCACTACTATTTAATTACTACTGAACATCTAGACAAATTAGGCAAATAAAAGAAATTTAAAAATTTATGTGAAAAAAGAAGTGAAATTGTCTCTCCTTGCTGATAACATAATCGTATATATAGAAAGTCCTAAAGACTTAACCAAAAACCTGCTAGAATTGATAAATGAATTCAACAAAGTTGCAGGTTACAAAATTAACATACAAAAATTACTAGTGTTTCTCTACACTAAGAGTAAACTATCTGAAAAGGAAATTAAGAAAACAATCCCCTTTACAATAACATTAAAAAATAATAAAATACTTAGGAGTAAATTTAACTAAGAAGGTGAAAGATCTATACTTTGAAAATTATAAAACATTAATGAAAGAAATTGAGGAAGACATGAATAAACAAAGAGATATCCCATGTTCATGGATTAGAAGAATTAATATTGTTTAAATATCCATACTACATAAAACTGATCTAAAGATTAAATGCAATTTCTTTCAAAATTCCAATGTCATTTTTCACAGAAATAGAAAAGAAATCTTCAAATTCTTATACAGTCAGAGAAGACTCCAAATAGCACAAACAATTTTGAACAAAAAGATCAATGCTAGAGGCATCATATATTCTAATTTCAAGATATATCATAGAGCTATTATAATCAAAACGGTATGATATTAATGTAAAAACATACACATCAATCAATGGAACAGAATAAAAAGCCTAAAAATAATTCCAGTTATGGTCAACTGATTTTCAACAAATATGTCAAGAACACACAATGGGGAAAGGACGATCTTCAATAAATGGTGTTGAGAAAACTGGATATCCACATGCAGAACAATAAAATTGTACTCTTTTCTTACACCACATACAAAATCAACTCAAAAATGGATTTAAAACCTTAGATGTAAGACTTAAATTTGTAAAACTATGATAGGAAAACATACGGGCAAGCTCAACAACATTAGTCTGGGCAATGATTTCTTGATTAGAACCCTAAAGCACAGGCAATAAAAGCAAAAATAGACAAATAGGATGGTATCAAACTAAAAAGCATTTGCGCAGCAAAAAAAAAAAAAAAAAAAAAAAAAAAACACACACACAAAACACAATTAACAGAGTGAAGATACAACCCACAGGTTGAGAGAAAATATTTACAAACCATGTGTCTGATAAGACTGAAGGAGGCAGATCACTAGGTCAGGAGTTCGAGACCAGCCTGGGCAACATGGTGAAACCCCATCTCTACTAAAAATACAAAAGTTATCCGGGCATGGTGGTGCAAGCCTGTAATCCCAGCTACTCAGGAGGCTGAGGCAGGAGAATTGCTTGAACCCAGGAGGTGGAGGCTGCAGTGAGCCAAGACCGCACCACAGCACTCCAGCCTGAGTGACAGAGCGAGACTCCTTCTCAAAAAAAAAAATAATAATAATTAAAATAATAAAAAATAGATCTATAGAAAAACACTAAAATCTTTAATAATATTATAAATATGTGGTAACATTTTTACAGTAATTTATTATAGTGATTTTTTTCAAATGAATTGTATATGAAAAGTTTTATTTTTCATGAACTTTGAGACCATTTTAAGTTTTCAAATTTATATTACAATATAAAACTATATTTCTTTATCTGCTTGGTTTCAAGCTGGTAAGGCTTATTAACTTCTACTCCTGCTTCAAGCATGCAAAATTAAAACATAGTTGAAGTAATGAATAGGAAGACAATAATAAGATAGGTATGTCATTACAATGATGAGGAATCTCACAAAGTTGTAACACAGCCATGGTTTATTTTTGATACACAAAAATAGGCAAGTTTATATCACACAGTGATTTTGAAAGTGTGATTAATATGCAGGTGATTTTTGCATATTTTTCTACTCTACATACTCAAAGGAACAGATTTATTGAAAACACTGGTACAAAGTTCAAAGATTAACTACATGGCAGGATTTTACCAGTGGAATCTAACTGCTTAATAGGGGTTATGGATGAAAATGTTTGTTAGAAAGCTGAATTTGAGAAATCAAGTTTTCTATTTGGAGATCACTTCTACTCCATAAACTCCCTTTACTCCGCACTATCCAGGACCTGGCTTTAATTCTCTCTTTTACTTTGTTTTTCATGTATGTACATCACCTTAATGTTTAGAGCACTGCCTGTAGATTAATTATATAAAAATCATATGGATATGTTGATATAAAAATATATCATACATATTTTATATATAATTAGATAAAATAATATTTATAAAATTATACTAACATAATATAAACACAAGTATTTATATCATATATGTGCAGGTTATAGAAATTACAGATATTTAGTGTTGTACATACAATCTTAATTGAACACTGTGTAATCCAAAGATTTCATTATTGCACACTCCCAAGCCCAAAGTCCAAATCAGACAAATGAGTCACAAGTGAGCATCAAGTCATATCATTGGAAGGTTATTCATAAACAAGATAGTGCTCTTATTTGTATTCTTAAATACTAAATTCACTTGTGAAGATGATTGTGTCTACATATTTAATAAACTGTGGAAGATACCTGGCTAATAAAGGAAAGATACTTTTGATTTATTTGTGTAAAGATTTTCACAAGTCAATTTTGAGGTTGAACTGCTGTAGTGATTATCTTAGTTTTGTACTTTAATTAATTGGTTCTTCAATTAGCTATTCAATCCCTACTCAGGACCGTCCCCAACTGTCTCAGACCATTTTCTTTCCTGTTCATGGTTGCTACTATACTTACATCTTGCTCCCCAGATTGGAAATCTCCTTTTGTGAATTAAGTTCTGATGAGAATTCTTTCAACACTAAGTATTATAGAACCAAACCTTGACAGCTAGTTGGATCAGACTATTGCTATGTGCCTCAAGCACAACAAAAAGAGAATAATTTTATATACACATAATACCTTGAAATCTTATAAAAGTTCTCTTTGAAGAGCTTAGAAACATCTCTCTGGACTTACAGAAGATTGAGAATATATTTTAGCAGTAGGATCCCAGTGCATGACTATATTTCATTCACTGATAAAATTACAAGATAAATCTGAATGTGAAAACAGTAAATGAAAGAAATTTATAGAAGATCTGAGAAAGAGACTTGATAAAACAAAAGAATAATATTAAGCAAATTCTTAATTAAAGAACTTCTGCTAAGAAATTCAGGATTTATATTTTAAAACACACTATTAAGAATTTTCCTTTCTTTGTTGTAACATGCTTAGTTTTACCAGTCAGATATGGTTTAAAGTTTGGTGTTATTTTAAGCATTAGGGTATATTGTCTCCTAGTTTCATTTTATACTCACTGCCATTCAGTGACACTCATACTAAATTTGGAAGTGTCAAAGCATTTCTACATTGAAAGATTGCCAAATTCAAAGACTGTAGTTTTGTTTGTTTGGTTTTTCTAATTTATGCTTGAGAGCCAGTTTTATTGTACACTTTAGATGCTTTCAGAGTTGTAATAGTTGGATTGCTTGTCTTCAAGATTCTTGGTGCAACTTCCATGGCTGCCAACAGTAAAATAGTGTTATGAGCAAACCACTCACGCAGGATGAAACTGCTCAAAATGAAAGATGATCTGATGCGCTATTTTGAGGATTATGCTTCTTCAAAATATGTTTACTTGTGTTTATTTGAGATATACCATTCTATGACATGAAAGGACTGAATAACCATGATTGTTAATACAGAGTGTCAACTTGATTGGATTGAGGGATACCAAGTATTTATCCTGGGTGTGTCTGTGTGGGTGTTGCCAAAAGAGATTAACATTTGAGTCAGTGGGCTGGGGAAGGCAGATCCACCCTTAATCTGGTAGGCACAATCTAATCAGCTTTCAGCAAATATAAAGCAGGCAGAAAAACGTGAAAAGGAGAGATGAGCCTAGCCTCCCAGCCTACACCTGTCTCCAGTGCTGGATGCTTCCTGCCCTCAAACATGGGACTCCAAGTTCTTTGGTTTTGGGACTCAGACTGGCGTTCCTTGCTTCTCAGTTTGCAGACAGCCTATTGTGGGACCTTGTGATCACATAAATTAATACATAATAAACTCTGTTTATATAGATATATATCTCCTATTAGTTCTGTCCCTCTAAGACAACCCTGACTAATAGAAGAACTATTAATGAAATTCTTGAAAAATCAAACTTAAGTTTACTGGTACATTCCCAAATTACCCAGTGTAATTTTTTTTGTATAATAAATGCAAGAGTAAAGATTCATGGACTGTTAATCTGATTTTCAATATATATTTTCATTAACTTTATTTCAAAAGTTTCAGAAATTTTCACACTTTAAAGCAAGATTTTCTGTTTGTGTTTATATGGCATAATAAAACGATAAATGTATATTTTAAAAATTCGTTGCAACTGAATAATAAATTTAGCATTTACATAAAAGAGGTGTCAGAAAGGTGAAGAGATCAATGTCAAGTTGCTATATCGTCACATACTTAAGATCAGTAGTTATGTTATACAAAAAGCAAACTGACAATATTTAAAAATAAAAATAACATTAGTAAGTTAATGTTTAAAACTATAATTTTAACACATAAACAATGTAGACCACAAAACTTAACATGACTTTACATGTCTATATTAGTTTTCTTTTAAACTAGATCAATAATATCATATCATACAAAACATAGATAACTCAAATCAAACTGTAATTAGAAGTACAGTGGAAATGAAGTTATTGCCTTTGTGTGGTCTGGAGCTGAGTTATGAAAGTATACTGGCAGAAAAATTAGCCAGACCTTTTTTGCAATAGGTCTGTCATGGGAACCACCATTATTAAACACTTTAGAAAAGTTTTTCTTTCATTTTACAGCAGGATTGAATAGACATTATTTTTAGATCAATTTAGGGTTCACAGCAAAATTGAACAGCAAGTACACAGAGCTCCCTTATATTCCTACTTCCACACACACAAACTAACCTCACTATCCGTAATACCACAATAATAAGTTTATTAAAAGCAATGAGCTTTCTGTGATAGTTCATTATCACTCGAAGTGATATCACCTTTCATTAAGGTGCAGTCTTGGTGTTGTACATTCTATAGGTTTTCACAAACGTATAATATGTATCCACAACTAAAGTGTTATACAGAATAGTTTCACTGCCCTAAAAATCCTGTGTTCTCCCTATTCATCCCTTTCTCCCACTAAACTTCTGCCAACCACTGATCTTCTTGTTGTCTCCACAGTTTTACCTTTTCCAGAATGTCATATAGTTTAAATCATACAGTATATAGTCTTTTCATATTGGCTTCTTTCACCTAGTAATATGCATTTAAGTTTCCTCTATGTCTTTTCATGGCTATCGCTCTTTTCATGGCTTGATAGCTCATTCTTTTTAGTATTCAATGATTCCCCATTATCTGGATATACCACAGTTTATTTATCTTTTCAACCACTGAAGGACATTTTGGTTGCTTCCAAG
The DNA here is from genome assembly GCF_000001405.40 of Homo sapiens. NCBI lineage: Eukaryota > Metazoa > Chordata > Mammalia > Primates > Hominidae > Homo > Homo sapiens. Next base: position 75,583,383 of record NC_000008.11, on the reverse strand, counting down.
TTTTGGCAATTGTGAATAAATCTGCTATTAACACCAGTGTATTTGTTTTTGTATGAATGTAATTTTTCAATTCATTTGGATAAATAGTAAGAAGCAAACTGCCGTATTATGTGGTAAAAGTATGTTTCGTTCTGCAAGAAACTGCCAAATTGTCTTCCAAAGTGGCCCTATCATTTGACATTACCACCAGCAATCAGTGAGAGCTCCTTTTTTGTCAACGTCTCCACCAGCTTTTGATGTTACTGTTTTGGATTTTGGCCATCCTAATCAGCCTGTAGTAGCATCTCATTGTTTTATTTTGCCTTTTCCTAAAGACACATGATGTGGAGCATCTTTTCATATGCTTATTTGCTATCTGTATATATTCTTTGGTGAGGTGTCTGCCTAGATCTTTTGCTCATTTTTCAGGTTGTTCATTTTCTAATTGTCAAGTTTTAAGAGTTCTTTGTATATTTTAGATAACAGCTCTTAAACAGATATGTCTTTGGCAAATATTTTCTCCCATTCTGTATCTTGTCTTTTTATTTTCTTGAAAGTATCTTTCACAGATAAATTTTTAATTGTAGTGAAGTTCAGCTTATTGGTTATTTATTTTATGGAACATGACTTTGGGATTTTATTTTAAAAGTCATTGCCATATCCAAGGCCATCTAGATTTTCTCCTATGTTATCTTCCAGGAGTTTTGTAATTTTGCATTTGACAATTAGGTTTATGATCCATTTGAAGTTAATTTTGGTGAAGAATGTAAGGTCTGTGTCTAAGCTTATATATTTTGTTGAACTATTTATTTTCAGCTATCCCAGTTCTCTTCTAGAACTATTTGTTGAAAAGACTATCTTTTCCCGTAGTACTGCATTTGTCCTTTGTCAAATATTAGTTGACTATATTTATGTGGGTCTGTTTCTGAGCTGTCTATTATGCTTGCTTTATCTGACTATTCTTTTGCCAATACAATACTGCCTTGATTACCATAGCTTTGTAGTAAGTCTTGATGTTGGATATTATCCATCTTCCGACATTGTTTTTCTCTTTCAATATTGTGTTGGCTATTCTGGGTCTTTTGACTCTCCATGCTAAGTTTAGAAATAGTTTTACTATATATATATAAAATAGCTCCTTGAGATTTAGATGGGATTGCATTGACTTTATATATCAATTTGGGAAGAACTGACAACTTAACAATATTGAGTCTTCCTATCCATGAACAAGTAATATCTCTCCATTTGTTTATTTATTTATTTATTTATTTATTTATTTCTCTTTTAAAATTTCACTCATCAAAACTTTATAGCTTTTTAAATATAGACCTTACATACATTTTGTTAGATTTATACCTAGATATATTATGGTTTTGGGTGGTAATGTAAATGGTGCTGTGTTTTTTATTTCAAATTCCACTTGTTTATTGCTGGCATAAAAAAGTGCTTAACTTTTATATATTAACCTTGCATTTCTTAACTTTGTGTTAGTCATTTATTAGTTCCAGGAGATCTTTGTCTGTAGATTTTCTACATAGACAATCATGTTATCTGTAAAGAAAAACAGTTTTATTTCATCCTCACAAAACTGTATACTTTTTATTTTCCTTTCTGTGTTATTGCATTAGCTAGGACTTCCAATAAAGTGTTCCTGATCTTAGTGGAGAAGCTTTTAGTTTCTCGCCATTAAATATGAGGTTAGTTGCAAGGTTTTTTGTAAATACTCTTTATTAAGTTAAATAAATTCTCTTCTATCCTAGTTTGCTTAGAGTTTTTATCATGAATAGGTACTGAATTTTGTCAAATGATTTTTCTGTATCTATTTATATGATCATGTAGTTTTCCTCTTTAGCCTGTTGTTGTGATGGATTGTATTAATAGATTTCCAAATGCTGAACCAATCCTCATACCTGAACAAATCTCACTGACTGTGATTTTTAATTTCTTTTATACATTATTGGATGTGATTTACTCATAATTTGTTGAAGATTTTTGCATCTATGCTCACGAGAGATACTGGTTTGTAGCCTTCTTTTCTTGTAATGTCTTTACCTGATGTTGGTACCAGGGAAATGCTGGACTCATAAAATGAGAAAATACTTTCTCATTTTTTCATTTTCTGGAAGAAATAGTAAAGAATTGGGATAATTTCCTCCCTAAATATTTTTTAGAATTCATCATTAAACACCTCTGGGCCTGTTATTCCTGTTTTAAGAAGCTTAATTATTAACTCAATTTATTTAAAAGGTATAAGCCTATTCAGATTGTCTATTTCTTCTTCTGTGAGTTTTGGCAGATTATGTCTTTCAAGAAATTCGTTCATTTTATTGAGAAGATAAAATGTGTAGGCATAGAGTTCTCCATAGTATTTATTTATTATTCTTTTAATTTTTATGGACTCTGTAGAGATGATACTAGGAATTTGTGTTTTCTCTCTTTTTCTGTTAGCATAGCTAAAGGGTCAATTTTATTGATCTTTTCAAAAAACCACCACTTGATTTTGTTAATTTTCTCTTTTCATTTCTTGTTTTCAGGTTCATTGATTTCTGGTCTTGTTTTTATTATTTTTGTTCTTATACTTACTTTGGATTTAATTTTTCTCTTCTTTTACTGGTTTTCTAAGGTGGACATTTATATTATTGATTTTAGATTTTTTTCTTTCTGATATATGCATTCAATGATATAAATTTTCATCTAAGCACAGCTTTCACTGCCTCCCACATTTGGTAAGTTGTATTTTCACTCTTGTATACTTTAAAATGTTTTAAAATTTATCTAATATTTTTTCTTTGACCCATGTATTTTTAGAACTATATTTTTAAATCTCCAAGTATTGTGGTATTTTTTAACTATTATTCTGTTATTGATTTCCAGCTTAATTTCATTGTGGGCTTAGAGCAGTCATTATAAAATTTTTATTTATTCAAATTTTTTCAGGTGCAATTTTACGGTCTGAAGTGTGGTCTATCTTAGTGAATGTTCCATGTGAGCTTGAGAAGAATGTGTGTTCTGCTGTTATTGGATGATGTTGTCAATGGATATCCTGTTGATTAACGGTACTGTTGAGTTCAACTATGTCCTTATTGATTTTCTGCCTGCTAGATCTGTCTACTTCTGAAAGAAGGGTATTAAAGTATACACATGTAATAGTAAGTTCATCTGTTTCCCTTTGCAGTTTGATCAGTTTTCGCTTCATCTATTTTGATGCTCTGTTATTAGGTGCAAACACATTAAGGATTGTTATGTCTTCTTAGAGATTTGACCACTTTATCATTATGAAATGCCCCACTTTATTGCTGATAATATTCCTTACTCTGAAGACTGCTCTGTCTGAAATTAATATAGTTTCTCCTCTTTATTTTGATTAATGTTAGCATAACATATCTTTCTCATCCCTTTACTTTTGTTTTATATGATTCTTTGTATTTAAAGTGGGTTTCTTATAAACAAGACATACCTGAGTTTTTTTTCTGTTTTTTTTTTTTTTCAGTCTAGCTTGGCAGTCTCTGCCTTTTAATTAGTATATTTAGACCATTCATGTTTAAAAGAGTTATTGATTGATTGTCTTAGTCTGTTTGCATTGCTCTAAAGAAATACCTTAGTCTAGATGATTTATAGAGAAAAGATGTTTATTTGTATCATGGTTGTGCAGGCTGTACAAGAAGGATGGTGTATGCTAACATTTGCTTCTGGTGAGGGCTTCGGGACGCTTCCACTTATGGTGGAAGGGGAAGGAGAGTAGGTCTCACATGGTAAGAAAGGAGGAAAGAGAGATGGGAGAGAGGTGCCATACTCTTTTTAACAACCAGATATTGCAGGAACTAAGAATGAGAACGCACTCAATCTCATGAGAATGAGAATGACACAAGCCATTCATGAAGGCTCTGCCCAAACACCTCCCACTAGACCCCACCTCCAACTCTGGGAATCAAATTTTAACATGAGATTTCGAGGAGACAAACGTTCAAATTAAATCATTGGTATAGTCGGATTAATGTCTACCATGTCTGGGCCGGGCACGGCGGCTCATGCCTGTAATCCCAGCACTTTGGGAGGCCAAGGCAGGCGAATCACGAGGTCAGGAGATCGAGACCATCCTGGCTAACACGGTGAAACCCTGTCTCTACTAAAAATACAAAAAATTAACCGGGCGCTGTGGCGGGCTCCTGTAGTCCCAGCTACTCGGGAGGCTGAGGCAGGAGAATGGCGTTAATCCGGGAGGCGGAGCTGGTAGTGAGCCGAGATGGCGCCACTGCACTCCAGCCTGGGCAACAGAGTGAGACTCCGTCCCCCACAAAAAAAAAAATAAAAACTACCATGTCTGTTACTTCCTTTTATGCATTTTTTCTATGCATTTTCATTTGCATTTTTTACTTCACCTTTTTTTCTTATTCATAGTTGACCTAATAGATAATAATTTGTTCAAAATAATAACAACAATGTATTCCAGCAACATAGTTTATTGATAAGTGGAATGAATAAAGCAATGAAACAAGAAACAGGAGGAAGAAATTAAGAATATTTTGTTACTATAAGGTACTAGTTGTGAAATGCTATAATGCTATTTGAAAGTGGATGTGGACTAATTGCAAATGTATATTGTAAACTTTAAGGTATCTCCTAAGAAAAAGCAAAGTTAATGCAACTGCTGGCAGCCGTATTACTTGTTCAGCAAATATTTATTGAACACCTACTATGTGTCAAGCACTATGCTAAGTAATAATTACGCAAGAGTGAACAAGAAACCATTTCTGCCCACAGGGAGTTTGACTTAAATATCTTTTTTTTAAAAAAAAGGAGCCTATTTTTGGAAGTTATATAAAATTGAATAGATATTATGAAAAAAGAAAAACTTAATATTGATATTTTATAAATTATATAGTCCAGTTGCATCTTGCTTGAAGATTGAGCTCTAAAATTAGAGTTAATGTGAGAAGTGAATTGTAAAAGATTACCCTTTAAACTTTGGAATCACATCAAGAATTGTCAGATACTCACACTCTCAAAGACATCATGGTGTTCAGCTGCCTGTAATTCCAACACTCTGGAAAGCCGAGGTGGGTTGATCACTTGAGGCCAGGAGTTACAGACCAGCCTGGGCAACATGGTGAAACCGCGTCTCTACTAAAAAAAAAAAAGTTAGCCGAGCATGGTGGTACACGCCTGTAATCGCAGCTACTCATGTGGCTGAGGCACGAGAATCACTTGAACCTGGGAGGCAGAGGTTGCAGTGAGCCAAGATTGCGCCACTGTACCCCACCCAAGCCTGGGCGACAGAATGAGATTCTCTCAAAAAAAAAAAAAAAAAAGAAAAAGAAAAAAAAAAGATGTTATTGAAACAGAGAAGAGCAAATCAGTAACTATTCTCTCATGCTATCTCCAAGAGCAATACCTTGTGAAAAGCAGGAGAAATCTCCCCTACTAAAATTGGTATTTCCTTTTTTATTTTCTGAACAAAATGTTAAAGGTTAAATTAAATTTGGCTATGATCCAGTTTCACAATTTAGAAGAACAAAACTTTTTAAATGTTACCTTCACTTATTCCTTCTCTAACATTCTATTTTTCTTTATAAAAAGCCCACTTTCTGAACTTCATCATTTTCTCTCTCAAAAAAGCTTTTAACATCTCTTTCAAGGCAAGTCTACTGGCAACAAATTCTCTCAAAATTTGTTTGTCTGAGGGACCTCACATTTGAAGGGTAATTTTGCATGATACAGAGTTATAGCTTGGTGTGTGTTTTTTTTTTTCTGTCAACATTTAAAATATGTCACTCTATGCTCTTCTTGCTTTTATGGTTTCTGAGAAGTCTGTTGTAATTCTTACGCTTGTTTCTGTATAAGTAGTGTTTTCTTTTTCCTCTGGCTTCTATCAAGATCATTTTCTTTACATTTGATTTTGTGTAGTTTAAATATGATATAGCTACTTGCAGTTCTTTCAGTGTTTAACCTGGTTGGTTTTCTCTGAGCTTGCTAAGTCTACGGTTTGATGTCTGATATTAATTGGAGAGAATTCTGTTATTATTACTTCAAATATTTCTTCTGTTCTTTTCTGTCTTTCTTCTTTCTGGTATTTCTATTACATGCACATCACACTATTTGTAGTTTTCCCACAGGTCTTCAATATTCTGTTATGATATCTGTTTTGTTTTTCTGTCTTTTTTTTCTTTGTTTTTCAATTTGGGAGGCTGTTATTGACATACTTTCAAGCTCAAAGATTTTTCTCAGCCATGTTCTGTCTACTAAGGAACTCATAAAAAGCTTTCTTTATTGTTTTTTACCTTCAGAATTTATTTTTGGTTCCTTCTTAGAATTTCCAGCTGTATTCCCACATTATCCATCTGTTCCTGTGTATTGTCTAATTTTTTCACTAGAGCCTTTACCATATAATCATAGTTGTTTTAAATTCACACTCTGTTACTTCCAACATCTCTGAAACATCTGGTTCTGGTTCTGATGCTTGCTTGCTCTGTCTTCTCAAATTGTCTGTGTATGTGTGTGTGTGTGTGTGTGTGTTTTTCTACTATGTCTTGTAATTTTTCATTGAAAGGGAGACATACTTTATTGGGTAAAAGAAACTGCAGGTAGTGATAAGGTGTGGGGGTAGAAGAAGCTTTCTATAGTTTTAAGATTAGGTCTCAGTCTTCTAGTTAGCCTGTGATATGGTTTGGCTGTGTCCCCATCCAAATCTCATCTTGAATTGTAGTTCTCATAATTCCCACATGTCGTGGGAGGGACTGGTGGGAGATAATTGAATCATGGGGACAGTTTCCCCCATACTGTTCTCATCATAGGGAATATGTCTCACAAGATTTGATGGCTTTATAGGGGGAAACCCCTTTTGCTTGGTTCTCATTTCCTCTCTTGCCTGCCGCCATGTAAGACCTGCCTTTCACCTTCTGCCATTTCAAATAGGATCATTTTGAGCTGCATTTCCCAAATTATAATCACATTTTATTTTTCTTTCATTAATATTCTACAACTATAAATAAGTAATTGAACTCCTGATACTCCCATCACAATACACCATACTTTGGAGGGTTTTCTCAACATCATTGATCACCAGAGAAATGCAATCAAAACCACAATGAGAAACAATCTTATGCCAGTCAGAATGGTGATTTTTAAAAAGTCAGGAAACAACAGACGCTGGTGAGGTTGCAGAGAAATAGGAATGCTTTTACACTGTTGGTGGGAATGTAAATTAGTTCAACCATTGTGGAAGACAGTGTGGCAAATTCTCGAAGATTTAGAACCAGAAGTACCATTTGACCCAGGAATCCCATTACTGGGTATATACCTAAAGGAATATAAATCATTCTACTATAAAGATACATGTGAGTGTATGTTCATTGCAGCACTATTCATCATAGCAGACACATGGAATTAACCTAAATGCCCATCAATGGTAGACTGCATAAAGAAAATGTGGTACATATACACCATGGAATACTATGCAGCCATGAAAAGAAATGAGATCATGTCCTTTGCAGGGACATGGATGAAGCTGGAAGCCATCATCCTCAACAAACTAACACAGGAACAGAAAACCAAATACCACACGCTCTCACTCATAAGTAGTAGTTGAACAACGAGAACACATGGACCCAGGGTGGGGAACAGCACACACCAGGGCATGTTAGAGGGTGAGGCATGAGGGGAGGGAACTTACAGGAGGAGTCAATAGGGACAGCAAACCACCATGACATGTTTATATCTATGTAACAAACCTGCACGCCCTGCACATTTATCCCAAAACTTAAATTAAAAAAAGAGAAAAGAAAATAAAAACTAGGGAAGCCCATTCTCTGTATCTGATCTTATCTGAATCTACCTTGGAGTCAGGAGACAATCTTGGCCCCAGAGTAAATTGTTATGATTAGTTGGCCAGATCTCAAATCCATGTGAGATGAGTACTTTGAGCCTTCTGTAACTACAGAAAGTTCTCAACCTACAGGAGTTAGAGTAGTTCTAATTTATAGCACTCTTGCAATTGCACCTGTGTAATTATTTATGGCACTTAGACCAGCAAGAGCACAGATTATGTCACTCAGACTGTCTAAATCTTGAGTATTGCCACATAAAACTTCAACCCTAGGTTATGTCCTTGAGATCATTCTAGCTACATGTTTCAGATACACCACCAGTTCCTGGACAAGGATTAACCACATTTCTTGCATCTCTGTCATTCCTTTTCCAGCCAGGCATTTCTTATATAATCAATAAATGTGTGAAAATAGATATTTCGTTTCCTTTTAAAATGATTATTTACAAGTTCAAAAAGCCTTTTGCTGTACCATGTACAGATATTTTTCATTTCATAGTTAAATAATTATAATATTTTTAGTCATGTTATAAGCTGTTAGTGAGTAGGTCCTTTGGTAACTATTGCAATGCTTTACCAGAATTTAAAAAACAGCATTGTTATATCAGAGTCCCATACAAAAAGTAATATGCAACATATTTAAGGATTCTTTGTATATCTTAGAGTTATGATAAATATTTTATTATGTCCATGACTTTTCAAATAAAGACTATAGTTTGCAAATTTAGGTTAAAAATTGATTTATCTAAGCTCTTAAAATTAGCTCTTAAAATTCACATAACAGAATTATTGATGATTTATCATAAATAGCCTAAAAAAGAGCCACATTATTTTTCTAAATCATATTTTAAAGATAAATTTTTCCAAAAAATGTTCTAAGAAATGAATGAAAGGGATATGTAACAGTTAAAATACACTTAAGACAGATATCTAGTATCTCCATCAAATCATGATTTCCAAACCATAATTTAATCATGTTTTGTTGAAGATAGTCCTGCCAATGAAATATTAAAATAAATAGTAGGAGATTATTTTTACAATTTATTTGCCTATTCTTTCAAAAGATTTTCCAGATTTAAAGTAATTTCAGCATCTTCCTGGGTTTTTCCTTAAACGGGAATTTTTTTTTTTTCCATTCGTGATATGCATCCTTAGCTATTTCACCTCCATTCTCTGGGTTTTGCCACTTGCCTCTTGGCTAATGGTTTCATTTCAGTTACATTCATTCCATGATTTGACTACAATGACCATAGTTTTCCTCAGCTTTTATGTTCTTCATGTCTTTGGTCCGTCAGCCAAAAATGTACTTCACAACCCCATCCCATATTGTTCTGTATTCAAATCCTGCTTACAAGCTCAATTCAAAAGTATGTCATCTGTTAAGTATCCCTAGTACTCATACGCAGAAATAATTGACATTTTATTTGTGTTCTCAGGCTCCATTCTTTGTATCTTTGATGATGGTTGCTAACATTTATTTTTAGTGCTTGCTAATTCCCAGATTTCATGATAAGCACATTTTATAAACCATCTTGATTCACTTAAATAATAATGTAACTCATGTTAGTATTATAAATATTCTTTTGTTTGTTTTGTTTTGTTTGGAAACTAATACTCAAGAAGAATTTGCAAGTAATTTTAAAGAGATTACACAGTAGAGCCCACATTTGTATCTAGGCTGATCCTAAACTCTCAGTCTCCATGATGCATTGTATCCTAATACTTATCGCATTCTCTGTTATAAGTATTAATAAGTTATCAATCTTCCTCACTAAACTTCAAACTCCTTGAGAACAAAGATACATACACATCATTCATCTTTGTTTCTGGCCACATCCTACTTAGTGCATTTCTTGACCCTAGTCTGGACAAAATAAATATTTGTCAACTTTTAAATATGCTTATATTAAAATTCCAAATTCCATTTTTATTCTAGAATTACCAGGATATTTTTTATGAAAGATTATTTTCTATATATTGGTAGAGAAATGTAGAGGTAATTCTATGGCTATTCAGTAGTACATTACTTTAATTATGCTGCTGAAATATCATCAAATTGTGTGTCTCATGATGCCATTAGAAATCATTTCAGAATTTCCTTCTTTAGACAAAACTCTAACTCTAGACTAAGGTCAGTGTTTTGCTAAACAAATGTCACTATGGGTTTTGATTTGCACATCTGATCTTATCTGCCAGCTAACTACTCATTAAATCTTTACATTTATATTTAGACTCAATTATTACATAGTGCAAGGGCAGTGATGATTTATAAATAAAATAATCAATTATTTAAACTTATTTAAATCCTGTCTTTTACAGTCATTATCTTAGGGTGATTGGGCTTTACATTTTTTCTCTAAATTATCATTGTACTAAATTCATGGTATTTTATAGCTAAAAAAAATAAAATAAACAGGTTATATTGTAAATGTACCTACTAAACTGCCTGTGACCTAATATCTAATATGACTAGGAGAATAATGTGTGACTAACAATTCAGATTAAATGAATTGTTTAATCTATTAACAAAAAGCCTAACCTATTATAAGGGTAAAAACCTTTGTGTTTTGATGCCATTTTGGCCATATAAAAATATAATACATTGTGTTTTGGGAAATATTTTTACACAGCGTATATTTTAAAATAAAGAATATAAGCCAAAATCAGAATTAAAAATATCCATGAGAAAAAACTATAAGTTAAAAATATAGACAGGCATTAAATGATAATGTTTCACTTACTAAAAAGTTGAATCCTTTTTTACCATTTTTATTTTCAAAAATTAATACGACAAATAGATTATCATATTAAATCATCATTATCTAAATTATAATTTGTGATAATTTAATTATAATTTTAGATAACTAATAATTACTTTAAAATAACCCATTGAAGAAGTATATATATTATTTTTTCTTCAGCACATTTCTTTCTCAATCTTTACTAACCAAAAATAATGAATAATGTGACTAATCTCTTGTCTAATTTACAAATCGCTACTAATCACCTAATAATTGCTGGGAATTCTGTTGAATCTTGGAAATCCAAAAATGTAGCCAACATGGTCTTTGCTCTGCTGGGGTTCATTGTAAAGGGTAATAAATAGCAATTAAAATATTAAAATAAATGCTATAAATAGAAGGATATACAACAAGTAGTGAGACACATGAAGGAATTCCTTAATTTTACCCATGAAGGTTGTAAAAATGTTCACTCAAGGGTGAGGGTAGTATGCTAACTAAATTTTTAATCTAAATCTTTAAGAACTGGTAGGAGTAAGCTAAGAGATCAAAGAAAAGAAGAAAACACCAGTCAGAAGAAATAGCCTGTGAAAGGGTGAAGCTAGAAATTTGTCATCTGGAACTCATCCATTATGAAATTCTTAACTACAGTATCTTTTTCTGACCCAAACTTAGATCTTGCCAGCCTTTCCATTTTATTTGTTATTTCTAAACATCTCTAGTTCAATCTCCTCCATACTTTTTAACATCTCCCTTTTCTCCCAATCCATTTATCTTTGATGTTCTATTTTACCTGGAAATAAATTAGAATCATTCATGTTTCATAGTTTTTCTTGTTTCAGTGTATTTTTCATTAGATTATTTTATAAATTTGAATTCTGGTGGTATTGTAGTCTACAAATCTGATTTTTACAAATTTGGGTTTTACAAATTTGATTTTTGAAGATATTGTAATCTATATTGTGATTAATTTCATTTTATAACTCTCTTTGCTAATATATAAATACATTTTGTGTGTCATTTTAGGTTGGCTTCCCTAGGAATAGGACTCTGAGATTTGTGTGTAGGATATTTACTAGGAAATGCTCTAAAAACGCACACCCAGAAGGGAGATGGAGGCAAACTTTGGTAGAAGAAGCTAAGTTGTGATGGTGACTCAACAAGAGGGTCCGCCAATCCCACAGTGAGAGCAGAAATTGAGATGGCTTTCAGAGTTTTTCGGAATTGAGGCAAGAGGTCCAGGTCTGGCTCCTCAGATTCACCATTACATCTCTCTATGAAGCCAACACTGCTGGCTGAATAGGAACCAATACAACATTCTGTAAAACATTTTATCTAGTGTCTTTAGACTAGATGATGGCAGACGATAGGGGAGTCAGCATACCCTTGGATTGAGGTTGTAAATATAGACTGTTTCTGATCCTTCTTTCTGGTAAGAATGCAAAAGAGCATGCATTCATACAGATTAATAGGCACATACCTCACAATTGCAGCCATGTTAATTACTACGATTAGGGCTACTATTTAGTGGGAGTCTAGTATCAGTCTTCAACATCTATCTGCCCTTTTAAGACATTTTGATGAATTAAGCAGAGATTTAATGAATACTACTATTCTTGCATTTTACAGTTCTTTACGAGATCATAATATTTGCTCCCCCAACACACACTCAAAATGTGATATTCTTATTCTGATTGAGAAGAGCATTTTATTATCTTTTTCTAAACACAGTTGCCCCCAGACAGAGCTGTCAAATTTCATTGTTCTTGCATTTATCATTTCCCTCATTTTTCTTAACTCCTGATATATTGCACCCACTAGTACATTTTCTTTCACCAATATACCATTACAGTTCATTATAGGTGAAAATTTAAATAATTTCACTACTACTTTGTTCCAGGAGCTATCCATTGTCCAATAATTACCAGTGACAAGGCTCCTGTTGAGAGCTGGCTGTTGGGTAATCCTGTTTCACAGTCCAATAAGGCAGGGAAATTGCTGTGGCCCTGTCCCTCCCCTGCCCCTATCAGCTTGTCTGCCTCAAGGAAAATCAGTGCATCACCTCAAGCATAAGCTCAAGTATCAGCTGAAGCATGGCCAAAGTAGGGAGATCCTGTCTCTACAAAAAATTCAAAAATAGCCAGGTGGGATGGCTTACGCCTGCAGTGCCAGCTACTCAGGAGGCTGAGGGGAGAGGATCCCTTGAGCCTGGAAGATCGAGGCTACAAAGAGCCCTGATTGCACCACTGCACTCCAGTCTGGGCAACAGAGCAAGACTGTCTCAAAAAACAAAAAAACCTATCTGCTCAAACAGCCACATTGAAAAGGATGTCAAATTGCACTCACATATAGTGTTATAATAAACCATATTATTAATACATTCTTTTCTAAAATTCTGTGTCATATTCCAAATATGACCCAGAGCAAAGCCTTCCTTCTCATTTTTCTCTGTAAAATTAGGTTATATCTCTTCTACTCTCCACTGAGATATAAAAATTATCTGTTAAATATTTTAAAAAATTGTTTGAAATTATTTAAATAGTGCCTACTAATGTAATAAAAATACAGATTCATTAAGAAATTGGGAAAACATGGGGGTTATCTGTATGAAAGTAAATGTGCTAAAAACATCTGCTTTCATAGTAGAAAGACAGCAAGTAATGTCTAAAATGAAAATAAATAAATAAATGAGATTTAAATATGTTTTCAGATTATAGAGAAAAAAACCGATATAGTATTTGAATGTTGTTGCTGCAGAAGTGAACTTGGATAAGAGATGAATGGTAAGAAGGAGAGCTCCAGGTTTCATTGTAGGCCTTAAGTGTAATTTGTCTTTTTAAATGATGTACACGTATTACCTTAATATGAGTAAAAACAAAATTAAACTTAGAATTTCATAAGTATAAGATTAACAGGTCCTTATAATTTAAGACATTTTACAAAGAAGCTTTAAACATCAACAGAGGGTACCAGAAAATTGAAGGATCTAGGTTAAATATTTATATATCAAAAGTATATTCATATAATGTTTAAGCCAACTTAGGGCATATATTTTTATTACTATGACAACACTAGGTAGCAAGAAAAACTACATAACTAAAGTACAAATGTAAGGATTCCCTTTTCAATCAGTGTCCAGTGGTTTATTTGGAGATGTGCTAATTAATTTTGCTTTGGACTCTAAAGACAAGCGTTAACGTATAAATTTAATTAAATGATGATATGATTTGGCTCTGTATCCCCAACCAAATCTCATCTCTTAATTGTAATCCCCACATGTCGAGGGGGGGACCTGGTGGGAGGTGATTGGATCATGGGGACGGCTTCCTCCATGATATTCTTGTGATAGTGATTGAGTTATGTGAACCCAGAAAATCTGAGACAGGTCTCAGTTAATTTAGGAAGTTTATTTTGCCAAGGTTGAGGACACGTCCGTGTGATGATATGTGCCCAGGGAGGTCGGGGAACAGCTTGGTTTTATACATTTTAGGGAGACATGAGACATCAATCAACATGTAAGAAGTACATTGGTTCAGTTTTGAAAGGCGGGACATCTTGAAGCAAGGGCAGGAAGACTAGAAGGGGAAAGGGAGCTTTCAGGTCACAGATAGGTGAGACACAAGCAGTTGCATTCTTTTGAGTTTTTGATTAGCCTTTCCAAAAAGGCAATCAGATATGCATCCATTTTGGTGAGCAGAGGGATAAATTTGAATAAAATGGGAGGCAGGTTTGCCATAAGCAGTTTCCAGCTTGAGTTTTCCTTAGAGATTTTGGGGGCCCAAGATATTTTCCTTTCACAGTTCTCACAAGATCTGATGGCTTAAAAGTGTTTGGAAATTCCCCTGCCTTGTGCTCTCTCTCTCTCTTGCTGCCCTGTGAAGAAAGTGCTTGCTTCTCCTTCACCTTCTGCCATAATTGTAAGTTTCCTGAGCCCTCCGAGTCATGCAAAACTGTGAGTCAGTTACAACTCATTTCTTGATAAATTACCCAGTTTCAGGTAGTTCTCTATAGCAATGTGAAAATGGGCTAATACAGAAAATTTGGTACTGGGAGTGGGGCACTGCTATAAAGATAACCTGAAAATGTGGAATGGACTTTAGAACTGGGTAACAGGCAGAGGTTGGAACAGTTAGGAGGGATCAGAAGAAGACAGGAAGATGTGGGAAAGTTTGGCACTTCCGAAAGACTTATTGAATGGTTTTGACCAAAATGCTGATGGTGATATGGACAATGAAGTCCAGGCTGAGGTGGTCTCAGAAGGAGATGAGGAACTTGTTGGGAACTGGAGCAAAGTTCTTGCTATGCTTTAGCAAAGAGACTGGCAGCATTTTGTCCCTGCCTTAGAGATCTGTGGAACTTTGAACTTGAGAGAGATGATTGAGGGTATCTGACAGAAGAAATTTCTATGCAGCAAAATGTTCAAGATGTGCCTTTTTTTTCTTTTCCGAATGCATACAGTGATATGCATTCACAAAGAGATTATCTGAAACTGAAACTTTTGTTTAAAAGTGAAGCAGAGCATAAAAGCTTGGAAAATTTGCAGCCTGGCCATGTGGTAGAAAAAAAAAAATTTTCTTGAGAGAAATTCAAGTGATTGACTGCAGAAATTAGCATAAATAAAGAGAAGTTGAATGTTACTAGCCAAGACTATGAGGAAAATGTCTCCAGGGCATTTCAGAGATCTTCACAGCAGCACCTCCCATCCCAGGCCTGGAGGCCTAGGGGGAAAAATAAATGGTTTTGTGGGCCAGGCCTAGGGTGCTGCTGCTCTGTTCAGGCTCAGGACATGGTGCCCTGTGTCCCATCCACTCCAGCTCCAGCCATGGCTAAAAGGTACAGCTCACAGCTCAAGCCATTGCTTCAGGGGGTGCAAGCCTCAAGCCTTAGTGGTTTCCATGTGGTGTTGGGCCTGTGGGTGCACAGAAGACAATAGCTGAGCTTTGGGAGCCTCTGCCTAGATTTCAGAGGATGTCCGGAAACACCTGAATGTCCAAGCAGAAATCTGCTGCCGGAGCAGAGCCCGCATGGAGAACTTCTACTAGGGCAATGCAGAGAAGGAATGTGGGGTTGGAGCCCCCACACAGAGTTCCCACTGGGGCCCTGCCTAGTGGGGCTGTGAGAAGAGGACCACTGTTCTCCAGACCCCAGAATAACAGATCCACTGACAGTTTGTACCGTGCACCTGGGAAAGCCACAAACACTCGGAGCCAGTCCTTGAAAGCAGCTGTGTAGGGGCTGTACCCTACAGAGCCACAGGGGCAGAGCTGCCCAAGGCCTTGGGGGCCCACATCTTGCATCAGTGTGCCCTGGTCATGAGACATGGAGTTAAAGGAGATTATTTTGGAGCTTCAAGATTTAATGAGTACCCTGCCTGGTTTTGGACTTGCATGGGGCCCCTTTGTTATGGCCAATTTCTCCCATTTGGAATGAGAACGTTTACCCAATGCCTATATCCCCATTGTATCTTGGAAGTAACTAAGTTAAGATTTTGGGGAATTGTTGTGAAGGCATAATTGGTTTTGAAATGTAAGAAGGACATGAGATTTGGGAGGGGCCAAGTACAGAATGATATGGTTTGGCTCTCTGTCCCCACCCAAATCTCAAATCAAATTGTAATCTCCATACATCTAGGGAGGGACCTGGTGGGAAGTGGTTGGATCATGGGGGCAATTTTCCCCATGCTGTTCTTGTGATAGTGAGTTCTCACAAGAGCTGATGGTTTAAAAGCATTTGGCAGTTCCCCTCTCGCTTTCTCTCTCTCCTGCTGCCTGTGAAGAAGGTGCTTGCTTCTCCTTTCACCATGATTATAAGTTTCCTGAAGCCTCTCTAGCCATGCAAAACTGTGAGTCAATTAAACCTCCTTTCTTTACAAATTACCCAGTCTCAGATCGTTCTTTATTGTAGTGTGAAAATGGACTAATACAAATGACTATATAAAATATATTATCAGCATCTGTAAAAACACGAAATCATTTTTGAACACTAATGAAGCACCTGGTTTCAGTGATTTTTTTTTTCTCAGTTTTTATTTAGAAAGTTTAGTGAAACAAACATAGCATCACAGTTTAGTAATACTTTAATCTCACTATAATTTAACATGGTAAAAAATCTACTAATTTTTGATTTCCAACAATAAAATTTATAAAAATAATTATACATTTATAAAATGAATTATTTCACAATAAATTATTCACTTCTATTACCTGAAAAAAGTTGAATACTATATAAAAGTAATAACTTCCCTTATCAATATTTTGAAAATATGCTGAAAACATCAGTTCCTTTTTTCCAGCATCTATGGCAGTTCAGTATATAAAAATATAATATTATAAATTCCCTGACCATAGTTATTGAAGCAGAATCATTACTAACAATTTCAAAGATACAGCTGTTTAGTAAATATACACGAATAAATTACAGGGTTCACTAAAAATGAATTTTATCTTTTATACTTCAAAGGTATTTGCTATGTTCTGAATTTTTGTGTTTTCCAAAATTCACATGCTGACACCTAGTCCCCAGAGTGATGGTATTAGGAGGTGGGGCCTTTGGAGGGTGATTCAGTCATGAGAATTAGTATCTTTATTAAAGAGACTCGAGAGAGCTACCTTTTTCCTTTTATGTATAAGGACACAGCTAGAAAATGCCATGTATGATCCAGAGGCCTAATTTGTTGATCCCTTAATCTTGGACTTCCCACCATTGAGAACAGCGAGAAATAAATTTCTGTTGTTTATAAGCTGCCAAGTTCATAGTATTTCATTACAGCAGCCTGCACAGACCAAGGCAGTATTTTTTTTTAATGTCTTCTAAGGGAACCCCCCCAAAAGTAAACAAAAATCTACAAAAGTTATTTGTATGATCAAAATCAAAACATTCTTATTCACGAAATAGAAGCTACAGTAAATTTTCAAAAAATAAGAGTTAAAAAACTCCCCCCATATGATATATTTTACAGTTTCACAAGGGTACCAGGTCGTGAAGGAATTTTATTAAATCTATTAAATCATAGATAGCTTTTAATAAGTTCAATTTTACTTTAAGAGCTAATAAGTTACTTGATATTAACCTTTTTACTTATAAGGTAAGTGGGAGATATGACATCATAATCTTAGACATTTAAAAAATCCTGAGAAAGATTATTTCAATCTTTTACAGTTTGGGATCCTCTTTTTAAAAAAAATTATTGATAATTACTCGACCAGTTTTTCCAATTTTCCCTCTCCTCAACCAGAGAGGAGCCACTGCATCATGAGGTGGCCCATGCTTCATTTGTTTTAAAATAAACTCCAGCTTTAAGTGATATCAGAGAGTTTAAGACTCCAATGAACTCTACTCCTCAGTCTAGAATTCGACATTTGGTACATCCCTGGGCTGCTACATTTCAAAGAATCTGCTAAGCCAGTCATTTTACTTTGTTTTCGTTTTCATCAGAATCCATCCGGTGAATCTTTTATTTTATCTAATGTTTTTAAGAGAAAGTCTGGTTAAAACTACAAAAGTGGTTTCTTATTCAAGCTACAACAATTTTACACTCACTGCTTATCGGTAAATATATATTATAGGCAATATGATGAATAGTATCCAATCATCACTCAACTGCATATATTTAAAAACCACACTATGAGTAAGAAGTTCACATTTTTCATTCCACACCAAAGATTCATTAAAGTCAACTAGACCTGGGCTTGAATGTGTTTCTCTCACTCGTTATGTTTGTGAACTTTGGTTATGTTCCTTAAACCCTCAAGCTAAAGTTTCCCTTATTTATAAAACAGCGATAATGATATCTCTCCTAAAGTGTTATTGTGAGGACCAAATAAGGGACATGGGTGGTAGATGGCTAACTTGTCCTCAGAATCAGTTCTCTCAGAGTGACATGGCTTTGGCTGACACAGACTTTCCACCTATAGATAATTCTCCTGGCTACCGTGGGAGCCAGCTGTGGGCATGTACTAATTTCTAGTCAATGGATAACTATTTTCTAAATTGTTTCAGGAGAAAGAAATAGATTCCTCTCTTGATTTAGTCACTGTTTTAGGGGTTTCTTTGTTACAGTTCACCCTGTATCCTAACTGATAAAAGCAACATGTTTTTGCTTAACATACATCTTCAAAGAAAGTCAGATTTCAAAAAGTATCCAGTCATCCTTGGAATGGTTTTTTGTATTTTTCTAAACTTAAGATAGGAATATTTAACTCTAAAGCAAAGAGTTGCTTCTTTACCACAGACTGTCCATAAGAGATTCTTCTTGAAAAAGATACAGCCTATTCTACAGCAACTGCTTTATTTTTCTAATCTCCAAGTTTATAATTTATTTTTAAAAACTTAGCTCATTTTATATTAAACTGAGATTTCTGATCTACTATTTTCAGTCAAAAACGAACACTTTGTTCTGTATCACATCACAATAAAGCAATTATTTACAGATTTAAATTAACATTAATAAAACAAATGAAACTCATACATAAGATTCAATTGGTTCAGGCACAATGCAGGGGCAGTTGGAAAAAATACCCTATATAAACATCTTCAAACTCAGATATACATTGGTTGCATGTGAAAGTTTTACATAGTAGCAATAACAAACAGAATGAACGTATAAACAAGAAAATAGGACACCATCTTATAACAGCACCAATGAAGAAGCCTTGGCTAAGAGTTTGCCAAAAGTGCTATCCTGAGATATTTCAAGATCAACAACTTTTCACATTTATGTAGTGCCGTTCTGAAGTAAACACATTTTCACAATTGCTTTTGTTTGGAGAGATGCTGGTGTGAAATGACTGATGCTTGGTTTGCAGCTATTTTGTACTGTTCTTGCCCAGAGCCTTGTGGTGGGGAAGGGAGTGGGGTTTCAGGAGTTGCTGAAAAAGAATCAGAGAATTGAGTCTAATGGTGGCAGTCAGTCTTCCTCACCCCATTAAACCCTACATAACACCAATACACATTAGCGTAATTTGGAAATGTTTTTAAAATATCCTACACAGAATAGTGATTTGTAGAATGCATTATTGGCCCATGACGTACTGTTAGAGAGTACTCTCACCTTACTTTCCAAATAACATTAAATAGAAAGAGGTCATGTTAAAAAATTTTTTTCATAGTTACTTTAAGGTGTTTTCTGCCTTTCCTAATAGCATTTATAAGCATTTGATTCTCTAACAAACCTAGCAGGAAAAAAAGGCAGTGAAAAGAATTAACAGAAGGACAGTTTTCTCAAATATTAGAAAACAATGTTTATATTTTTTATAATCAAAATTCACATAAAATAAAAATATATTTGGTTTGGATTCCACTAATTCAGACATATTAGATGACATAAAAAATTAAGGTTAAGATACTTTATAAATGTTCTGAAATCTAAGTTGTAGTCAAAAGCATCTGAAAAATACTGGCTTTTTTTTTTTTGCTTCAAAATTATTCTATTACAATCGAGCTTGCCTGTCGCATCCCCTTTGATGCAAAGAGCAAGCCTGAGTAATTGAATATAAAGTAACTGAATATAAAAAATTGAATTGAATGTAAAAAGTTACAGTTTCAAAACTTCATTGTCTAGAATAGTAGTTCTTTCTATTGTAAAATCTAACCATATTATAAAATAATCCAGGAGTTATTCTGTAATTTTTAGAAACTTGAAATATTTTAGTACTCACGCTTATTGTTATTGTATTATTCCACATAGTAAACAGAACTAACAGAAAATGTTTGATGATCAGGCTGAGGCTTTGTAAACTTTATAGCTTATGTCTCAACAGTTTTAAAACATTATATACAAAACAAGAACAGTCTCCTTTTACCTGGTGTTCATTAATACATTAGCTTTATATTATTGTTAAGTATGGATTAGCAATTACTTAGAAGCAAAATTTTTAAGTGCAGTTTAAATGACAAATCAATATCAAAATCTGCTTTTACAATTATTTCTGGCTATTTAGACCAGATCTAAGACTGCAGTAGCCTTCTCTAAAAGACCAAGAAAATATGCATGAATTTAAATTTTGGTTGTGTTTAATATCCTGCTTTGCATAAAATATAAATTATTTCAAATGAGCATAGTAAAGCCAAGTTTTCTTTTGCAAACAAATCCCACAAATAGTATGTGGAAAGAACAAGAATAAAAATGAAAGTAACAATGTGATTTTTAAAAGACTAGGGTCAGCAAATATGTTTTTAAAATACTATAATACTAGCCCTTAAAAAGTATTCAACCACCAGCAGAACTGTCCAACTCTCTTGTCAGTTGATTCCTACAATGTTTATTGTGTTGTTAATGTGTTTTATTTTGTGAGTTTATGAATAACTGATCTTTAAGAGACACAACTCCATAAACGCTCTAGTTTGGTATTAGGCTTGCCCCTCTCTTTCTGCTATTGATTATCTGTTAAATGAAAATGGTAAGATCTATTCTGCAAGGATGGTCCCAAATAATGTCTTTCAAGTACATTGGAAATCCAAGATTATGCCATATTTTTCTAAAATTTATATTTTTTCCTAACAATTTCATTTCTTTCTCTTTCTCATATATTCAAATAATTTTGGTTTCAGATACTATTTACACAAAGATCTACCTGTGCTTGTATCTAAAAGATGGCATGGTAGCACGCAGTCCCATGGCTTCTACGTTCCCTACCAATGCCTAGAAGTCAGGTGGTACTGGTAAATTGTTGTTACATTGCATACAACATTTGGAAGAAAAAAAAAATGCTGTAGCTAGCTATTAAAGACTATTGTAAATTCAGTAGGCAATAAGTGTATGCATAATAGTTACATCACAATAACTCAAGTCATCTCAGTGAGTTAGTAGTAGGTTTGGTGTTCAGAGGCAATAGATCAAAGGTAAATCTGGGATTAATTAGAGTAAATTCAGAAGCAATTAATCAGTTAATCTAGATATTTAATCAAATAATTAGAGATTTGTATCACCAGAGTAGCTTAGAAAAAATAGAATTAGCATGAAAGCTACAATAATAGATTAACTTAGCTACTAACAATCTCTATAGTATTTATATGGTCATTTGCATTCCAAGGAGTTTTCATAAGCAGCCCTCACTGCACAATTCTGATGTGAATGAATTCTGGTTACCAAGGCTTAGTTAAACACCACCAGTCTGGCAACAACATGGTTCAAGTTTCAATTACCACGGTAACTCACAATTAAGAGTGAGCAATTTCATAAATACAGACCCCACTGCCAACTCTTCAGTCTGCAAACAGCTACCTAAATAACAGATGTGCTTTATGATCAGTGACTGATCATGTCACAACTTTTAGTCTGTCCATGATTGGTCATTGAGCATCTTCTATTCAGTTCAGGCATGGAAAACAAACTGCATACGGTGGCTGTGTTGCCTCCTTGTTTCCTAGTGGTAAATTCACATCACATTTTACAAAATTGAATAATTGAATTAGAATTGACCAACAACAGTGGAAGTGCAGAAAGGAATAAAAAGTGATAATGCTGGAAGTGACATACAAATAAAACATAAATGCAGTCACAGAAGAAGTAGCTGACCATGGGAATGTTGCCGCTGCTGTTGTTTGAGTCTCTAAATATGCAGCCAAGAACCCAGCGAAGGAAAACGTGTCCACATAAATGAGAAAGCTGGATGTGTCGAAAGGGGAGAAGGTGTCCCAAAATAAGTGAAACCGGCAAGAAAATTTCACATTAAATGAATTCTCAGAAACATGCCATGACATTGAGAATGCAAGGGATAAAATGTTGAAAGCTGATCCAAACTTCCCAACGAGTAAAACTCATCAGGGCATAGAAAAAATCCTCACTTCCTAATGTAAGTTTCAGAAGGTGACAAGAACTGGTCAAACTGCATTTCACAATTTTTTTTTATAGAGAAATAAAACCCTTCGATTGTCAATATTCCTAATGTTTTAATTACAGTGTACCAACTGAAATGTTTTGTATTGAATTCTACAAAATAAGTATAAAGATTATATTTCTTTAGTCTCCATAAACATTAAGAGAGTTCTTAATATTTTGACAAACGTTTTTGAAGGTGCCAAGCAAGAAATAATTTTCCCATTGATTATTAAGATTCCCTTGCATGGTTTCAGCTTGCATTGTCGTTTTTATGGTCTCACACTACCATGCAAAGCAAGGACTACTTGTATACTCTTTTGTGCTCCCCAGACCTATGAAGTAGAAAGATTTTTCTTTCATTTTCATTTTAGGAAGCAAACTTATGTCTAGGGAGAATAAGTGACAAGCTGAATAACAGTCTTCTACTGCTGAGTCTCAGATGGGAAATTACACCAAGTTTTTGCCATTTCTGGTTACTAATAGATTCTTTCCCACAATTCCACTTTTTCTTGGGTAATTAAGAAATATCTTGGTTGAAAAGTAGTCTATAAACTTACAGATCTGGTCTGCATGAACCAGTGTTGACATGGGACCTAAAAGTATAGTTTGTCCAGTTAATGGGTCTTGAGACAAATGTGGATGCATTGGATGATGGAGATGACTGCCATCATTGGAAGCCCCTACAAAAGATAAAAAGATGCTGTGTTAGTGATATTTAATCAGGAACAGCAAGTTTACCTTGAAACAAATGTTTTGATTGACAGCTTAAATATCGCTATTTTTGCCAAGTGCTTTTTGGGAATTCAAAAATAAATTGACAGAACCACTGGCATATTAAGAACAATGTCAGCTTTCACTGTACATTGGCTAGATTAATGTTGCATCATATTATGCTGTGTATTAATAATGGACCTTGTGTGCCGTTTCCTGGAATCATTAGGTTCGCTGCCTGTTGTTAAGGCAATTCCAAGAATCACTTACCTCAAGTTTATAGTATTTGGGATCACTGTAATAGCATGAACAACTTTCATTTCAGAAAGATATCATTAGGAACAAATTATGCACCAGAAAACTAAAAATAAATATAATGATTTTACAAGGAAATTTAATCTAGATTGGAATGCAAAATAAATGATTTCTTAACTTATTCCTGACATGTATTGCAACAATGAAATATCATTTTCCCTTTCTACTATTTTGTGTCAATTAATTATTTCAGGAGCACAATGTTCATTTTTAAGATAGTATATATATATATGTATTAGGTTGTATTGCAATTCCAGTATCCTTGAGGTTTTAAATGAATCAGGGCATGAAAAACCATGATATATTTGA
This sequence comes from Homo sapiens, assembly GCF_000001405.40. NCBI lineage: Eukaryota > Metazoa > Chordata > Mammalia > Primates > Hominidae > Homo > Homo sapiens. The sequence goes on along the minus strand of NC_000008.11, from coordinate 75,559,688 downwards.
AGAGGTCATAAAATCAGGAAATTTGTTTCTCTTTGCCATGTTTGGAAGGATCTGAAAATTTAAGTCAGAGGGACTGTGGAATAGAGGTGGTGGAGGCTAATAAGAATGGGGGTTTCAGGCTGGGTGCAGTGGCTCACGCCTGTATTCCCAGCACTTTGGGAGGCCGAGGCTGGCAGATCACAAGGTCAGGAAATCAAGACCATCCTAATCAACACGGTGAAACCCCGTCTCTACTAAAAATACAAAAATTAGCCAGGCGTGGTGGTGTGTGCCTGTAGTCCCAGCTACTCCGGAGGCTGAAGCAGGAGAATCACTTGAATTAGGGAGTCGGAGGTTGCAGTGAGCCGAGATTGTGCCACTGTGCTCCAGCCTGGCGACTGAGCGAGACTCTGTCTTAAAAAAAAAAAAAAACAAACAAAAAAAACGAATGGGGGTTTGAATCTGTTCAAGTATTTTTGTCTCTCTGATGGGTCTTGCAAATTTTCTAAATGTAAAACCTTGAGTTCATTATGTCATAGCAGAAGGAAAAAAATTCAGGAGCATCACAGCAACTTCAGTAGATGAATTAAATATGGACAAAAAAATCAGTAGGTCAAACTTATATTTAGTGTGATTCTAATCAATAAAGTAGAAATTATTCAATGTACTCACCACCTAATAGCATTTCCTGAAGTAGATTGTCAATTTTAACCATCCCAAAAAGTTTAACAAACTGTATTTGCTCAATCATTTGCCACGTGATGCTCTGCAGTGTGGGCAGGAGCAGAAGCAACTCTCCAAACCTCCCCCGGGAGTCATACTGCCGATCATTGATGTAGTCCTCCAAACCGATCTGCACTTGGAACCTCATGTTCTTAATTTTTACTGGATCGCTTAGCCCTTTTGCATCTAACAAAGGAATAAGAGAGGCAGTGTACAGATTTAACCTAATTACAGTGTGAGACAATAAATATTCTAATATTGAAAAGTAGTTCAATTTTTATTATATTAATTCTCTAGTGGAATTTTGAAAACCAACCTGGATCAAAAAATACAATTGCCTTTAAACAAGCATACTCATTGTCATCAATCTGGATTTCTTGAAATGGTCTAACCAGCTCATCTAGAACACGATTGGCCACACGGCTAATCTCAACTTCACAGCTGTTGCGGTGAATAACATAGTTGTTTCCTATGAGAGAGAAAACAAAACAAAACAAAACAAAATAACCACCTGTCTCCCCAAATTGTCAGCACTGTTTAAAATTTAACAAACCGGTGTTTAAAATAGTCTACCCTTGAAGGAATAGTGATGTACTTCCTCTCTCAGTGGTGTTGTTAGTTATGCTAGAAAAACTTAAGCATGCTTAAAGGACCAAGAACATTAATAATGTGATCACATGCATTTTAACGGGATCAGTCACTGGTGATAACACAAAAGTGCAGACTAATAACATGCTGATATTTGACAAAATCTAAATATAATGATTAGTTTTTCTCTGTGTCAGACATCTATTAGCGTTTTATTCACTAATGACTACAATACAAACCCTAAAGAATCTTTCTTGTTTACAGCGGATTAAAAACAGCACTTTGATACTCTAGGCATTCTAGGCATACACTATTGAGACAGTTTTAACACACCTAAGTAAAGGAGGTTGATTTTTTTTTTTAAATTAGCATGTGAATTCTCATGAGTTGCCTCTGATAGTATGTTTTCTCTTCCAGGACTTCTTTAAATAGAGGTGGGATAACCACTTTATAAGGCTGACTTTAAGGGAGTTCAGAGATTGGGTAGCGAGCTGGACCACCTATTCCCTAAAGATCTTTCTAACTTAGAAATTCTCTAGCTATAATATGATGAAAATTTTTATAGCTTCCAAAAATAACAGTTAAATTGTTATTTTCTGGTTTTATAAAAAGACAAATATTCTAAATTCTTTCACTGCAGGCAAAGACAATCCTCAGGGTAACAGCATGTTCAATGGTAGCCTCACTCTTTTTTCTCCAGCTTTATGGAGTTATGACAAGCAAACAGAATTGTATATATTTAAGGTGTACAATGTGATTTTTTGTTTGTTTGTTTGTGTTTTTAGATGGAGTCTCTATCGCCCAGGCTGGAGTGCAGTGGCACGATCTCAGCTTGCTGCAACCTCTGCTGCTCAGGTTCAAGTGATTCTCATGTCTCAGCTTCCAGAGTAGCTGGGATTACAGGCTCCCGCCACCACGCCCAGTTAATTTTTTGTATTTTTAGTAGAGACGAGGTTTCACCATGTTGGCCAGGCTGGTCTCGAACTCCTGACCTTAAGTGATCCTCCTGCCTCTGTCTCCCAAAGTGCTGGGATTACAGGCATGAGCCACCATGCCTGGCCCAATGTAATGTTTTAATTTGTATCTACATTGTGAAATAATTACCATAGTAAAACTCATTAACATATATTTCACCTCACATAGTTACTATCTTTTTTTGAGTTTCACTCTTTCTTTATGAAAGGTTAGCTTACCTAACTATTCTGGGTAAATCAATTTAGAACTAGAATGTATACAGTAGGCATTTTGTTTTCTAGGTATATTGCATTTAGGTCTATAACAAGAACAGTATTCTAGATGTTTACTAGAAATTCAAGAGAGGTATTTAATAGCATTTCAGGGCATAGTCTCCACAATCACATTATGTGGTTTAGAATCTTGGCTATATTATTTTCTAGCTTTGTGACCTTTGGTAAACTTTCTCTGTCTCCATTTCTTCACCTGCAAAATGGGCTGAAAATAGTAGTACTAATCCCTTAGGGCTATTTCAAGGATTAAATGAGAGAATATATATACATATACATGTAATGTACTTAGACCAGTGCATTTACATAGTAAACCTGCAATAATATTAAATATTGTTATATTGTCTTCAATTTATTTATATTTGGGGCTAAAACATCTAGCACAAAAATAAAATAATCTAGTCATATTTTCACACATGCCAGAGAGAGGTAGAGCTAGTAAGTGTCAGAAGGATCTCAACCCTCAAAACCTAACTGTTTAAGTTAAGTAAGGTAGCGGGATTGGAGCAATTAATGAAGACAAATGTCTTTTCTTTATGTCTTCTCTACCCCACCACCCCACACCTATTATCCTTCCTTAGCCTCTTCTAGCATTCCTGTCTATCGAAATTGTTCAGTCATTACCACCAATACTTTTTTACTTGATCATTTTGTAGCATATCGTGGGCTATCATGGGCAATAAGATCATAGGACGTAAACATGTTTTTTTAAAGTGTGTAAAATAAAAAGCAGACTCTGAGGAAATATGAAAACACATTGAGACTCCATAAGGCAGCCATATAATTTACTAATTATTCATTCTGATATAATTTGAACATACCTCAATATTATGTTTATTGAGCAACATCTCTTTTTTATTTTTAAATCTTAATGCTCCCTGATTGTCTCATGGACTCTGAACTTACATACAGTCAAGGCAAGGAAAAATAAGGCCAAGTGAGGACACAATTAAATTAAACCTGTGAAGTGACAGCACCATTTGCCAGTGTCTGTAAATACTTGGTACATACAGAACAGACCCTGTATAATATTGCAAGAATAAAATATGCATAATTTCTTCTTAAATTAAAAAAAAAAAACTTACCCAAAAGCAAAATATCTTTATACATCATGGATCTCTTTGTAGCTCCAAGCAGTAAGTGCTCCCCTGCGTGAGCTCTCAACAGTGCCACCTTAATGAAAAATTCTCAGTTTAACAATTAATTATAATATATAATGATTAAAAGATGACATGAGTCTTGTTAACTTAGAGTGTTCTTTAAGCCTGGGACTTTTTGTTTAACAAACTATAGTATTCATAGATACATGCCATCATTAAGCCTTCCAGTTTTCTATCATAGCATGTCAATAGAACTTACTTTTCAAAAATTTTAAAACTATCTAGCAAATCAATACAATGGCAGCAGAAAGAAAAAAAAAAAAAGCAGACAAGTTAACTGTTTGCAAGGGAAACAGAATCAGACCAGAGTTCAAATCCCAGCACGGCCACTTACTACCTGTTTAACCTTGTGTAAGTTAACCAGTACGTTTGAACTTACTCATTTGTTTTCATCTACAAAATGGGAGTAGAGATAAAAAAAATCTCATCATGTACTCATGAGTACTAAACGATAAAACATATATAAAACATAATCTCCTGCACGTAATAAACTAAATAAACAAAAGCAAAGCAAAGACTTCTTGTAAGGAAAAGATGGGAGGTCTGGGTTCTGCCGCTTTCTAGATTATTCTTCTCAGTAAGCTCTCAACTGAGCTTCATTCGTACACTCAATTACCTGCTGGGCATCACCACTAGGAAGTATAGGAAGCATTACAAATTTAACACCTACCAATGTAACACTTCCCCATTATCTTCATCTAGTAAATGACACCGTAATCCAAAGTGCTTGTTCACATCAAAACAAGAGACTATTTTGAGTCCTCTCTAACTCTGCAGTAAATTCTAGTGCTGCTTCTCAAAATACAAGCCAAAGTGATCCACTTCTTTTCATCTCCATTGCTACCACCCTAGTCCAGGCTGAAAACTCTTTGAATGGTTTCTTATTGTCCCTAGACTGAAATCCAAACTCGTCAAACATGGCCTCACAGGTGATGGGAGGCGTGAGAGGGGTCAGTGCTTTGCCTCCCAGCCCTCATGTCTCTGACTTCATCTTGCAACACCCCTTGTTCACATTGTTGCTGCCTGACTCAGAACCTTGGACATGCTGTTCCTGTATCTGGAGTGCTTTCTTCTCAGATTCTCCTGGGCTTGGCCCCTTGTCTTTCAGGGTCTCAGGCAATAACTTCTCTGGTCCTCAGTTTAAAGTATCTCTTCTCATTTTATCCCCATTCTCCAACAACTCATCCTATTCCATTTTATAGCATTTTATAGAGCTTATCTCCACTTGGAATGAACTTTCTCATAATTTTTGCATTTTTTAAGTTATCCACCTTTCTCAAATAGAGTGTACATTTATGAGAATAGTGAAGAAATCTGTATTTTTACTGCTAAATACCCACAGTTCCTAAAACTGAACAGTAATCTCCTAATAAATATTCATTTGATGAATTTATTGAATGAATTTTACTGATCTAGGGTTCAGTTTTAGAAACTGTAAAATGGAGATAATAACACCTGTCACCGAGCTCCTGAGAGAATTAAATGAAATGATGTAATTTATAGTGCAACTGAAAGCTAATTTCCCATGCCTTATTCATAACAGACATTTACTAATTTGTGGCTAATTAATAAATGTTATACTGTTAATATTAAAGAATCAGTTGGCAAATTAAAACTGTTTTTCACTGGTTACTGGATTTTAATTTCCCAATTTTTAAATCACTGAATATATAAGTCAGCAACTTCTAAAGAAGAATGATAATAAAAATATAAAACTGATAAATAACGTAACCCTACTTATATTGCTTGGGGTGAGACTGGTAGGTTTTAGCAATTTAGCGTTATTCACTGGCATAACCTTCTGAGCCATGCTATCTTTATGGTATGTCAATATTCGTGACTCACACCAGGAAGGCAGTTACAGAGCATTTTAAGAATTATTTCAGATTTCACTGTATTTTTTTTTCCTGTCACCAGGTGAAACGCTCTCTTAAAAATAAATATACACTGGTTATAACACTTACCATGGTTAATTTAAGGTGAGAGAAAGGGAATTTTTCCAATTATTTTCATCTACAAAAAATTATACCCTACTTAGTAAGAACGGTTCAAAATGAATCTGAAACCAAAATACTTATCTTTATAGTACAATTAGGAAATTCAAGTTCCTAAGTATTTATTAAAATATCCTAATGGGCATATGACAAAATATGAAAATAGAAGTATTAGTAAAAGATCACTCTATCTTTTGTTGTGTAAATTTTATTTCTCTATAAATTTCTGATCATGTTTCTACAGATGTTTTTCTTTTTGCCAGACATGTAACTTTTATACAATAAATTCTAGAATAAAATTGACAGCATGAAAGGTAAAACTTTATGTTAATTGCATGAAGTACCCACCAAGACAACACCACAACCTGTGTGGTTTCTGTCTAGGAGTGACCTGGTATTTCTGAGGAGTTTTATATAGCAGCTTCAGTAAACGCCAATACACAACATCCACCATTTGCTTCACAGACATTCACTCTTCTAATACTTTGTCTCACAATGATAGTTACATGCTATCTACCTTTCTCCCTCACATGACCCTTTTAAAATTCCAAAAGGGCAGAGGAGTGTTTTGTTCAGTTCTTGTCCAATCAATAAATTTGCTACACCCCTAAAATAGAAGTCAAACAGTTGTGCCTCTTGATAGAACAAGGTGAATGGGTAAGGAAACCCAATCCTTCCTCCTAATTTATCTTTTGCCAAATACAGTAATATAGAATATGCATTACAAATAATATGGAAAGAACATAAACTTAGCAAAGTTCAAGAAGCATTTTTAAAGCATTTATAAAGTTTTAAATGTGTACCTGATCATCCAATGGTAATTCACAGAAGGCAGGAATATATTTAGCCCATTCCACCAAGACTAAGAGCTGCTGTTTCATAGATTCACAGACATCACCAATACTTGCAATTTTCTTAACGTTTATGTCAGTGCTTGACCCAGGGCTTGAGACTGAGATCTAGTATTAAGAAAAGCATTATATTATCATTTAAAATAATAGATGGCCAACATTCCCCTTTTTTTCTTTTGACTATGATAAGTAAAGGCCATAGAAGTAGGCACTATTGTTGTTACAGTATCTTGACAAATACTAAACATTTTAAATTGAAAAATGAAATACTGATTTAAATTGAAAAATAAAATACCTATAAGTTTACAAGTTAATTTAAAAACATTTCATATATATAGCACCATCCTCTGGGAACAGTATCTTATGTTAGTGGTCAAATCTGTACACTAAGTTTTACCCCAACTTTTGAGGAATTTCACAATTCAAAATGGCTATAAAAATAGATAGATAGTATCCATATGTAATATGCTCTTTGATTTTATTTTGAATTAAAGGTGATATTTTCTTTAATTTGTGGAAGTTTATGAAGAAAATGTTTTCATAACGTTTACCCAGTTGGGGAGACAAGAAGCAAGAACTATTTGTCTCGCTGCATTAAAAGGAAGCCCATCAAAATTAAATTAAAAAACCAATGTGTGACTCAGCAATGTTGAAGAGCTTAACATATAATAAATTTGTAAGATTTGTAAATTTGTAAATTTGTAATTTTAGACTATATAAAAATATAAGTAATAAAGCTTTTCTGCTGAAAGAAAACACAGTCTAAAAGTTTTTATAAACTTATTTTTGAACATGCGTGTGAGTGTATCTTTATCTGTATTTGAATATTTTCTCATAGCTCCCCTTTAGGTCATTCTCTAAAAGCTTTATTGCCCATCAAGCAATCTTCAAGTAATAATGATAACGGTGATGTTAACCTCATCATATTACCCTTGTGTTATCAAAAATGAAAGTAGTTGCACTGACTCATTATAGGACCTGATTAACTACTTGGCAATTTTATAATCTGCTTTATAATAGAAAAATAATATTAACATTTCTAATAAGGGCAATGCTAAAGTAAGTTTGATTTAAGGATTTCTTTATACAACACTAAATAATTTATTTTTATGTATATAACTAATGACTTATTTTTTTAACTGTAGAACTGTTATTTGAGAAATTTAAAATAATAAAGTTTTCTCTCTTCTGTGTTTTCTGAATTCTGACTCTTCATTTAAATGTCTGCTTCCAAAGCAGTTCCCAAAGATCCAGAAGTCATTTTCAAGGAAAGAAGCTCTGATAACAAATATCAACCAAACTCCCCAAAAGTTGTGGTAGCTGGTTGTACAGATTCCATCAATAAAATAAAATACTGCCTACAGAGCTTTGTGCTATTCATTATTTTTAATCAAACTTATAAGCAAACTTTTTAAAAAACAATCTTAGACTGAAATTTGTTTTATTTTTCCATTTAAAACTAGTCTTGTTCAAGAACAGTCAAAATTAAGTCAGCAGTCCCACTCAAACTTTCAAAGTAAAACTCTTAATTGTGTGTAGATGTAACTTATTTTAGTAATGAGCACCTTTGAAAAAACTTAGATTATTTTAGCATGATGCCTACATGGACATTTGATTTTATTAAATAGGGTTTGATGCTGCCGTGCCACAGGTACCTGGCGAGACCGAACTTCAGCTTGTGCCAGTGTGTTAATGGAGGGGATGTTGCTGCCATCAAATGTGCTTCTTCTGGTGCTTATTCTGTCACGTTCATTTTGTACAGCTAGGGGGAAAAAACACAGTATTTATTGAGCACTTCTCTTTAGTGTATGTTAGAATATAGATTTTAAGGAGTTTTTTTTTTAAGTAAAAAAAGTGAGAAAAAGTCTTTCTAAAAGACCTTGGAAGAAAGATATTTTCATTCTCCACTACTTTCAAAAATAGCAATAGTCAGGTTTGTCACTAGAGCTCATAAAACAATGCTGTTTGAGACTTCATGACAGCATGCATGTTAGAAAGTGTTGGGTCAGCCAGTTCCGCCACGCTGTATTTTTAATAGGGTGGTTTTCTATTCTCTCAAAGTTAATAAAACTATAAGATAACTAGAGGAAGAGCATTGCCTATAAGATTGACCAGGTCAAAGATAAGAGTGTATTCACTATCAGAAAATATGAGTCATAGATTTTGAAACTTCCATTTTCTTTTCTCTATAAAACACGAGCAAAAATGGAAAGTAAACTTAGTTATGATGATTTTAGGATTGCAATATTATGATCTCTTATAAAACACTGTCCATGGGACAGTTTACCAACATTAATAAAGCAAAAGATGTACCATGGAGCAGTCTCTCCTGAGAAAATTGAGGTTTGAATATCAGCATTTTGGAAAGATGAAGAAATCCTATATATTATACAGGTTTCTAAGAGAAAGCTAGATCTGCTTCTTTACTTCAGGGTTAAAAAAAAAAAAAGAGTAATGTAATTCCCCAAATCCCTTACTGAAAACTGCATTTTTAAATATAAGGAAGAGTGACAGGGAAAATATTAACTCACATGTTTACCAGAGAGAGAATAAAATCAGGCCAAGTGTGGTTCAAGTCTGTAATCCCAGCACTTTGCGAGGCTGAGGTCAAAAGTACGAGACCAACCTGGCCAACATGGTGAAACCTCGTCTCTACTAAAAATACAAAAATTAGCCAGGCGTGGTGGCACACGCTTGTAGTCCCAGCTACTTGGGAGGCTGAGGCAGGAGAATCACTTGAACCCAAGAGGCGAAGGTCAGAGTGAGCCAAGATCGCACCACTGCACACCAGCCTGAGTGACAGAGTGAGACTCCATCTCAAAATAAAATTAAAAAAAAAGAGAGAGAGAGAGAATAAAATAGATATCAAAGTTGAATTTCAAAACTTTAGAGGTGAAATTATCTTTCATTAACCAAAGAGAAGGGAAACAAGGAATGTAGCCCCTAAATTATTTCGGTTAAGGCTGTAATTTGTTCTGCTGGAGCAACAAGGCATTAAAATATCATTTTTTTTCTGCAAGTATGCTTTTGTTAAAGAAATCCACCAATTTCTAGAGACCTAAAACTTACTATTAAATATCCACTCCATTAAGTTAAAGGAGGAATTACAGGACTTTTTGCTTTTAAGAAAGAGTGAGTTGTCTGTGGGTTTGTCATAGTAAATGTGGCACATATACACCATGGAATACTATGCAGCCATAAAAAATGATGAGTTCATGTCCTTTGTAGGGACATGGATGAAATTGGAAATCATCATTCTCAGTAAACTATCACAAGGACAAAAAACCAAACATCACATGTTCTCACTCATAGATGGGAATTGAACAATGAGAACACATGGACATAGGAAGGGGAACATCACACTCTGGGGACTGTTGTGGGGTAGGGGGAGAGGGGAGGGATAGCATTAGGAGATATACCTAATGCTAAATGATGAGTTAATGGGTGCAGCACACCAGCATGGCACATGTATACATATGTAACTAGCCTGCATGTTGTGCACATGTACCCTAAAACTTAAAGTATAATAATAATAATAATTAAAAAAAAACAACTACCCAGAAGCATTCTGAGAAACTTCTTTGTGAAAAAAAAAAAAAAGAAAGAGTGAGTTTTTGTAAGTTGGAGTGAATCAGTAATATTTTATTTTAAAATCATACTTACTGGTAGCTTGCTCTTTTTGTTTTACAGAAATTGTTATTGATTTTTAACCTAAACTGACTTATTTGGAAATGCATATGCAGAGATAAAAAATTAAGATGTTAGCTAAGCGTTTATGAATTTCACTTACATGATTATTCTTTAGAAAAATGCTAAAAGATATTGTAAACATTTATAATCTCAGTGCTATCATTTTTGACATAAAACTATGCTTCTATTTGTTTCCATCTAATTAATCTTGCTACTATGCTGTTAGTGTAAAAAAGAGAAATATATCAACTTTAAAACTTGAAATTACTTTCCAGTTTATTTAAGAAAATAACACATTCTTTTATGAACAAAAGATAAAATTTACCTATTTTAAAACATAATTGTATTTCACAAATTGTAAAACTCATAAAGGAAACATAGGATTGTTATTTGCTTACACTTTTGTGGGGATAAACATGGAGTTCAAGTAAAAATGGAGGAAGGCAATTGACCAAGTGTGTAATTAGTTCCATAAACTGCCAAATAGAGCTTCCTATGAAATTAGAAATAAATCACTTTTTAAATGAGAAAGTGCTTCTCCTTTAATTTTGTGAACTTTATTTTTTGTTGTCTTCGACACTACCAACCTGAGCAAAACTAATGGTATTTCTGTATCCTTAAAATATTGAATGGCAAAGAAAAATCTAACTATGTTAAAGATGGGCTTCATATATTTTACACTTCTTTAGTATAGTGGTTTCATTTGATTATTTTAGTTTGTGAAATAGTTGTGAAAAACATCTCTTTGTATATGATAGGCATGACCAAACAGCAAAACTGACAAGTATAAAATTTTGTAGCTGTTACACACTGTCACATGTTTACAATGTGTTCAATACATTTGTTTCTAAATTAATCATATTTAAAATGTAGGAGAATATAATCAGATTACTTAATATATTCAAGATGAAATTAGTACACACTAAAATAGCACATCTAGTCTCTTGTCTCGGTCCCTCGATATAATACAAGCTTCCTGAAAGGGAAGATTATTTTGTCTGCTATGTTCACTATTGAAGCTTTAGCACCTAGAACAGTGTTTGGAAAATTGCAGTGTTCAACAAGTATTTAGTAAATAAATGAATGCATGAAAAGTAGATGTTCATTCAATGTTCATCAAAAGAAAAAAGATATTCAGTTGTTATTGAGAACAACAACAACAAAAAATACATTTGTGTCAGGTGTGGTGGCTCAAGCCTGTAATCCCAGCCCTTTGGGAGGCTGAGAGGGGTGGATTACTTGAGGTCAGGAGTTCAAGACCAGCCTGGCTAACATGGTGAAACTCTGGTTCTACTAAAAATACAAAAATTAGCCAGGCGTGATGATGCGCACCTGTAGTCCCAGCTACTGGAGAGGCTGAGGCAGGAGAATTGCTTGAACCTGGTAGGTTGCAGTGAGCCATGATCATGCCACTCTGCACTCCAGCCTGGTTGACAGAGCGAGACTCCATCTCAAAAAAAAAAAAAAAAATCTGTAATTTCAACCCACTAACAGAATATTGGTATACCATTTAGTCAATAATTTTGTTGCCTTGGACAATGTAATGGTGGAGAGAATGATATCCATAATCAGGTAGTCACCAGATAAATACTGGCTATACCACTCAATAACTGGATGTCCTTGGGCTAAATTCTTTAACTTGAGGAATCATAGATTCCTCCTTATTATATTGAGGAAAATTAGAACTCATGTAAAAAGTTATACTAATCAATGAGAATGTGTGTGTATGTTTATCACTTTTCATCAATAATGTTAATTATCATCATCATTATTATTACCTTCTTTTTTCATTCCCGCTCTAAAACACTTTCTTAATCGACAATATCTACATTGATTCCTTTTGTCCTTGTCAACAACACATTGCCGACTGAACCTATAACATAAAGATATATCAGTTTGCAGAAAACTATAATTTACAAAAGAAGCAAATAAACAGACAAATGGATTTTAAATATGTATTGTCAAATTCGGTTCGATAAAAAGAAGGTATAGGAACAATCAGCTATGACCTTTCCAGTCTCTCAATCAGCATGTGCGTGAAAACGCGAGCCTCACCTCTCACTTAGTCTTTATAGTAAAATAAAACTGAATGACTATCTTCATTTTGGCTGCTGTGCATAACCACTTTTATCATGAGTCATGAAAGCCAAACCTAGTTTTGAATATCTTTGGCATTCAAGTTTTTGTTGCTTATTGCTAAATGATTTCAGTATGAAGGAGGCTATTGTCAGAACTTCATGGCCCTGTATTTTCATGCTTTTCTCTTTTCAAATATTCTTCTATTAATTTTAAGTGTACCCCACAGCCCACTGAAGTTTACCCTAAATGGCAAATTATCTATTAAGAGGTCATTGAGGACAACATTGAGAGTACAGTTGGCATCATGGGGTAAGACTTTACACACAGGTAAACAAAATAAAGAAAAAACAAATGTTGGTGAGGATGTGGAAAAATTGGAGCCCTCATACACTGCTGGTTAAAATGTTAAATGATGCAGCTGCTTTGGAAGACAGTTTAGCACTGTCTTAAAAAGCTAAACATAAAGTTATAGTATAACCCAGCGATGCCATGCTAGGTCTGTATGCAGAGAAATGAAACATATGTACACATAAAAACTTCTTCATAAATGTACACAGCAGCATTATTCATCATAGCCCAAAAGTGGAGATATATCCAAATGCCTATCAACTGATAATAGAAAAACAAAATGTGGCATGACTGCACAGTGGAATTTTATTATTTGTCAGTAAATAAGAATGAAGTACTGATAAATGCTATAACAGGGATAAACCTTGGCAGCCTATTCTATTCTAAACAAAAGAAGTAAGTCACAAGAGATCATATATCGTATGATTTTGTTTATACAAAATGTCCTGAAAAGGCAAATCTGTAGAAACAGAAAATAGATTCATAGTTGCCTCATATTGTTGGGGAGGGAGTTGGGAGGAAATGGGGGAGTAACTACTAAAGGTTTCTTTATAAGGTGATGAAAATGGTCAAATTTGACTGTAGTGATTGTTGCACCACTCTGTGGATACACTAAAAAACTGACTTGTATACTTAACCAAACAAACAAACAAACACATAAAAAAGAGTACAGTCTCTGAAATTAAATCTAAGCTTGATTCCACCATTGACTCTCAGCAGAACTTGGGGGTGTTAAGTAACATTAATTTACAATTGTAAAATAAAGAGAAGGACTTGCACAAAAGGTTGTTGTGTGAATGCACTTCAAATAGTTGGGGGCAAATATTAAGCATACAGTAAACGCTAACATTTCTTCAAAATTCTGGCAAAAATTATCCATACATATTGATATGTACCTGTTTATTTATAGTTGATGATTAATGATAAGAATAAAGACATATATTTTGTGACCTATAAAATGTACTTCTTCTAAAAACTATCGGTGTCCACTTAAAATTGAATGAGAAGCAAAGCCTATCATCAACAAATTGAGCTGGAAGAGAAATGTGCTTTCAGAGTGAGAACAAGGCATTGCCCATTTGGGAACAAATGGCTGATGAGACTCAGGAGAGAGGACCAGATTGACAAAAACACAAGGAGAATGCATTCAATTAACATTAAATTAATAACAAAAATTGAATACACATATTATTAAGCACCTACAACATACAAGATCCTGGTGTAGGGATTAAACAGATTAATGCTACTTGTTTCCTCCACTCAAGGAAATTATAATCTAATAGAGTACACATACAAATTGTACATAATGTGAAAAACATAACATGAAAAGTATTGAAACAGCAATTAAAAGTGCTTTTGAAGGAAATCCCAACCTCAGTTTGATGGAGCAGTTACAGTAGAAATGGAACTTTGTAATCTAAGGAAATAGATACATTTGAGACCAGCACAACCTGAGCTTCAAAAAGTCTCCATGCCCTTAAACTTCCATCAATATACTAACCATTTTCCAAATGAAAAATCATAACATTTGCTGAATACTAAAATATGTAAAGAAAGCTAGGTTGGCAGTAGCATTCTTAATAGGAAGGTGCAGGAGTTAAACTCTATCTGTTGTTAGAATATTTTTTAAACCTCTAAAAGCTGCTCTGAGAGCATCCCTTTTCCACTCTTCCCATAAAGAAAGGACAGAAGTCCTCATAGCCTTTGTGATTCTCTGATTCTCACAAGTTGTAGGATTTAGTTGTTTGGATCATCATTTTACACACACACACACACACACACACACACACACATTCAATTTTAACAGAGCACCTGACTCCAGAAGGTATGGTTTACAGGTTATTCTGTATTTGTTTTAGTTTAGAAACATTCATACAAAACTATTTTTGATGAGGGAATGAAGGACATTGATCTACCTTTTACCTTTAGAGTTTTAATGTAAATAAAGGCAAAACTTATCTAAATACACTTTTTTTTGTTTACCTAGAAAGTTTTTAAAGTGGGCAATTTATATTTCTCTTAACCTGCTTCAAACTATCTTGGAAAAATTACTAAAGAATTACCAGAGAACTAGACAGATATTTGGGGAGTTATATATTAACTTGTATTGCACCCTAGGAAATCACATGGCAAGACTTTGAGAAAGTTAACCTCTTCCCAAATGTCCAATCTGTTCTTAAAAGAACATAATTCTACACGTACCTTTTATTGACAGAACCAACATAGTTATTTTTATGTTAAATTTAACCATTTTTGTTAATAGCCTATATTCAATCTAAATGTAATCTGCATTCAAGGACAGTCATACAGATGAATCAAGATGCAATATGTATACTTAAATCGTGTTATGATGTTGACTAGGTATTAATCAAAAAAAAAAAACCCAAGAAAACAGCCTACTGGAAATGCGTGACAAATATAATATAGTTAAATAAGCTTCTGACAAAACATTTAAATTTAATGACAAAAAATATGGCATGAGAAATACATTCTAAATTTTAGGACTGAAAATTAAATTTCACTCATTGATATCAACAAACTACCAAAATCATCTGCACTTTCATAATTTTGTTTTTAGACCTAGGATGTAATGGCACTTAAAAAATAAACATGAAGAAAAATACTCTTATTAAAAAACCTTTTAAATGCAGATTTTAAAATGTTTAGAGGTATATGAACATGTGGTAAAATAATAAAGAAACACAAGGAAAAGATAACATGAAATGGCAATGGTAGTTACCTCTAGGAGACGAGGGAGAAAAAGTGACAGAGGAGGTGTCCATTAAAGGCTTCAACTATATTGGTCTAAGCTGGGTGGTAGGTAGGTGGATTTTTTATATACCTTCTGTAAGTCTAAAATGTTTCATAAAAAAGAACACCTATGTGAATACATCCTGTGTACATACCCACACGTTCTTACTTGTACCGCAGTTTAGAGATTGTATTTATAGACTTACAGATATACGAAAACTCTGAATTTTCTTCTCTTACTTTTTGCGTGCCAAACTGAAACATCTGTAAAGATAACTTGCCTAAAAGGGCATTTAAAGTACCTGCAAGAATAAACGTGACTCTTACGAATGCTGCGTCTGAAGAAACCCTTGCACCCATCACAGCTGGATGCCCCATAGTGTTTTCCTGTTGCTCTGTCCCCACAGATAGCACACAGACAGTTGACACCGTTGTCTGTGGTATTCATACTTGTCTCTGGGGCAGAACTATCTGTCAATAAAAAAGGAAGATTACAGTTAGAGTTAGTACTATTTCCTGACTAAATTGTCCTACTAATTATTTATAGGCTCATAACACTCCATTCATTGGCTTCTTGGAGACCCCACACTGGTGCTTTCCTTTTAACCCCTGGCTGGCTGCTTCCGTTCTAAGCTCTCCTTTCTTATTTCTGAACATTTAACTTTGGGACACCATAGGGCTTAGTTCTCCAACTATGCTCTTTCCCAAGGGAAGTTTATCAGTTCCATGACAATAAATATTAGCTGTAGGATGAATAATTCCAATATTTTATCTCTAGCCCCGATGTCTCCCATGGGCATCAACATGAAATGCCCAAGCACCTATTGAAGAACTTCATTGTGAAATCTAATCAGAATTGTAAATTAACATATCAAAAACAAAAGTCTTTCATTTTTCCCCTAGAACTTGTTCTTCCTTCCTTCAGTCTCCCCTGTATCAGTCAATGGATCCATCCAGTTTCCCAGGGCCAATAATCTGTGAGTCTTTATTGTATTCTCTCCTTTATCTTTTATAACCAATCCCTTGGTAAGTCCATGTTTACAATACTTTTTATTTATTTATTTACTTAATTTTTTGAGCCTGAGTTCCCCCTGTTGCTCAGGCTAGAGAGTAGTGGTGCGATCTCGGCTCACTGCAACCTCTGCCTCCCAGGTTCAAGTGATTCCCATGCCTCAGCCTCCTGAGTAGCTGAGATTACAGACGTGTGTCACCATGCCAGGCTTATTTTTGTATTTTTAGTAGAGACGGGGTTTCACCATGTTGGCCAGGCTGTTCTTGAACCCCTGACCTCAGGCGGTCTGCCCACCTCAGCAGGCGGTCTGCCCACCTATAATCCCAAAGTGCTGAAATTATAGGCGTGAGCCACTGCGCCTGGCCTGAAATACATATTTAATTCACAACTTTTCACTATGGACATCCTTATTCAATCAACCATCATCTTTCCTCTAGATTATGGCAACAGCCTGCTATCTAAGTTCTTTCCTTCCATTCTTGCTGCCCTACTGTTTGTTACCTCAAAGCCACCTAAGTGATATTGCTGTAGTAATTCATATCATGTCACCCTCTGCATCCAACCCTGTCGTAACCAGATACAGAATAATGTCTAGGCATCTTCCCACAGCCTGTAAACCCTGCATGTCAAACCCCCGTAAAACTCCCCGAAATCTCTGATCCCAGTATCTGGTACCACTTTTCATTCAGTTCACTATTCTCCAGCAATACCGTCTTTTTTTTTTTTTTTTTTTTCGTCGTCATTGAAGGCTACTCTCATCTCAGAACTTGTTCACCTGCTGTTCCTTCTGTCTGGAAAGAAAGTTCCTCCCTAAACGTTTCTTTGAGCTAGCTACCAGGTTTCTGTTAAAGTCTCACATTTTGTGTGAAACCTTCTCTGAACACACATTTAAAAATGTCACCTCCCATCTGTCCTTCAAGTAGAACCTAGACCCCTGCTTATTTTAAGTATTATTATTATTTTTTGAGTCAGGGACTTGCTTTGTCACCCAGGCTGGACTGCAGTGGTGCAGTCCTAGCTCACTGCAACCTGGACCTCCTGAGCTCAAGCAATCCTCCCACCTCAGCCTCCCGAGTAGTTGGGGCTACAGGAGTACATCACCACATCCAGCTAGTTTTTATTTTTTTTTATTGTAGAGACAAGGTCTCACTATGTTGCCCAGGTTGGTCTTAAACTCTTGGGCTCAAGCGATCCTCCTGCCTTAGCCTCCCAAAGTGCTGGGACTATAGGTGTGAGCCACCACACCTGGCCTTAGCTTTTTAAATGGCCTTAGTTTTTTATATAACTTTATTAGTGAAAAGTATATTCTGCATTGGTCTGCTCATTTATTACCCATCTTTACACACAGAATATAAGCCCCATGTTGGTAGAGAATTTATCTGTCTTATTTAGTCCTCTGTTTTCCAGCTTTTAGGATTATGCCCAGGATACAGTGGGTCATCTAATACATAATTCTGAAGGAATAATTATTTTTTAAATGTAGATATTTATAATAAAATGAATATTTCTTAAATGAGTTAATATTGTGGATTACATCTTGAAAAATCTATATGCATTCAAAAGATATTAAATATATGTAATAAAACTTCATTATAAAATTGTATATTAACAACTGATTATTGTATAGCTAACAAAAGGATAATACTAAAGGTTGTCATGTCCTGATTATATTTTGTAACTTACATATATTCTACTTACTAATATTTCTGAGTAGACAAATATTGTCATATATAATTTCATGAAGTAGAAAAAAATTTTAATGAGAATATGCTTAGGGTTAGTCATGTGACATAGGATTAAAATGCTAAACATTTTTCTTCTGGTAACATTAACAAAACAGATATTGACAATATGAAAGTTAGAACTGTTTGGAATTGATTGTATTCTGAGAGACTATATAGAAATATGAAAAATTCAACTCTTGCTTCAAGTTTAGTGCCATACTTACATATTGCTGACAACATTATTACAAACAAACAAGTTACACCATACTTTGGATATAGCCATACAAAATCGTTATTTCAGTACATTTGTTAAACACTTATAGTAAATAAGTGTTATGATTATGGCAAATATGTCCCTACCATTTCTTAATCATGAGTGTTTTTTAAATTCAGGATTCTGATGAAATACTCTATTAAATATCTCTAGTCAAGTCTAAACATAAGGACACAAAACAGTGATTTCCTGAAAGTTGCACTACAGGTTTATTTTAACTATAGTTGTGCTAAATTTTCAGAATTCACCTTTTGACTATTTTTTAAAATCCCCACTAATAAGGAACTGCTTATTAAAAATAGAACCAGAACACCAGTCATACAAATTATACAATACAGTAGAATAGTAAGATATCCTCAGTACAAGATATATTCTCAATCTTGCATTAAACACACACACACACACACACACACACACACATACACATTTTCCAAAGTATACATAATTACTCGATCTTAGGAGTTCTAACAGTTATAACATATTTTAAACAAGATTTTTTTTACCGGGTATTAAGTCTAAATTCAAAGTCAATAGTAAGCTGTATTACATAAAGACACTACCCCTAAAAAACTCATGTCTTATTTAAAGTTAAAATGTTACAGTAATTAAATACCAACAGCTTTGTGCGGCTAAACATTAGCCTGTCAGGTGAGGTTATAATACAAGCCTTATTCCCTTTCATATTTGCGTTCAATGCAAAAACCTGATAGTAATTTTAAATGTAGTTTCTCATCACTAGCAATTGAGAACTGGAATTATAAGGAAAAGGGTAGACAATCAGTGAAACTCCCTAATGTTCTATGGAAACTTTGTTCCATAAGTCATTTTAAATATTGCTTAGAAAATATACTTTCACAGCCAATCTGCCAATATGACATATTACTATGATTTACAGCAAATAAAATAACAGCTGAGACTACTCTTTTTACCTGTCTAACTGGCCCATGACAGAATTCTGACATTACTTTATTACACAAAACCAGGCTTTTTCTACCTCTAACACAAAATAGCCACAGCATTATTAACTTAAATTTTGTAATGAAGTGCAAAAGCTCAGATCTGTGGCCTTAAAAGCAAGCCCTAAACTCTCCAGCAAAAAAAACATTGAGCCACCACCTTTGGAAGCTCAGTCTTCCACCTTCTCCAATTATACTTACTTTTCTTTACATCTATAAACAGATGATAACTCACCACTTGAATTATATAGAATCTGCATAGTTTCAAACTCCAAAGTTGTGTAAGTTGGGTCCAAAACTTCACTGTAATTTGCCATGTCCATGTCCAGTATTGGTTCTGATACCCTCATCATTGATTTAGAAACACACATACAAGTGGCACCACAAGCCCAGAGTGCGTGATGAGTGTTTTGATGTGTTTTGCTTTCAATCTGTGAGTGCTAATCCAAAGTTAACTGTAACTGAGTGACTTAAGAGCTGCAATGGGAGGGGCTGTAAAACTGTAACCTTCTTCAGCAGGCCATATTCTGCTTATTTCTTCTTTTATGGCATATGAAAGCAATTCCTTGTGATAATCTTGGAATGCTTCATGGAATAGCCTTATCTGAAGTGCTTAGTGGACTAACATGATTTCCTAAATTGATTTCCAGTAGACAATAAATGAGATCATTAAGAGAAGGATTAAAAATAGAAAAGAAAATCTCATAGGTTTTAAACTGTAATAATAATGTGAGGTATCCCATTTAAGGAGCTGAAATCACATACCTCATATTCTGAAAAATGGGACTTACTTTACTGCTATAAATTTGGTAAATCAAGTCTGTAAGTTAACATTTCACATAAACACTTTACAATTTCAAGTTTTCTTAAATGTACAATAAAGCTACCTTTATTTTGGAGTAAAGCAAATTTTGTAATTTGAAATGTGGGGAGTTATGACATATCCTGACAGCCCCCTAGGCGTAACCCTTATATGGCCTTTAACAATATTCTCTTTAATTATCTATTTATAGGCCTGTGTCCCAGCTATGCTAATAAACTTCCCAAGGGCAGAACCAGTACAGCTGCTAGTACATGGGAGGCATTTCAATAATTGTTACATGTATAATGTTTCATTTCTTTTGAATTCTGATGTCATTAAACTGAAATAAAATTATCCCTAACGTGTAGATCTACATATTCCTATCATCAATCCTCATCTATATAGCACAGTACATCTTCTGTGTGTATATTTGACAAGGAACATCTAGGGTTTGGGGAATATTTAGACAATAGTTCTCAATCAATATATTTTACTTCTGAAAATATGTTTATTGATTCTATTTTCCAAGAAAGAATTCCAGCCCCATTTACATTATAAATTCAGAATGTCCTTTTCCACATTTGTTAAAGATTGCAGAAAAGTAATATTTCTTAACACCACAAACCTTATGAATACTCTGTCTTAGAAACTATTGTACTTTTCACCCGGGAAGGCTGGCCTCTTAAAGTACTCTAAACCATGTGACAAACTGTAAAGAAAATAGCTTAGAGTCAATTTAGCAGCCAGATTCACTAAATCAAACAGTGATCATTGGAATAGTCCTCTTGCCCTCATATTCTGTATACTCTTAATTGTGAAGATAATATGTTGGAATAAACTTTCTTTTTTGGCTTTCTTTAATGAAGACTAGACATAGGTTATTCAGTTTTTAGAGAAGTAGACAGAAGTGGTTTTTATTTGCGTGAAGTAGTCCTTATTTTAAATGAGTTAACAAACATTTCTTTTCTATAGGAACCAAAGGGATGAATTGTGCAGAGCCCACAAACTTTCTAATCTATGAAATAACTAACCAATACAGAGGGATGTCACTGACGGGAGTGTCCCAACAGAAGAAAAAGTAAAAAAGAAAAAGATAGGAAAAGCTCATTTATACATCTGGAAAACACTAAAAGAAATGTGGCTGTAGCTCAGGAGAACAATGCTGTCATAGTTTTATCCTTCTACCCTAGTCTGTTCCCGCGGGTGACAGTACCGGATCCAGGCATTTGACTCTAAGGTGAAAGGGGCTACAGATGGATCTAAGCACAGATCTTCAAGTAGCAATTAGCAACTAATCAGAGTTGGCATTCAAGAAGAAACCTGTGCCCCATGCATGTTAGTTTATGTTATTTTCTTCATTTCATAGAGTAAGAACTCAAGAATTTCCAGAAGATATGGTAGATTTGAATAGCAAGCATATCTCCTCAAGTGGGTAGTCTTTGTAATGATATTCAGATGTAGAAACACCCACGGAATTCAGTCAGCCTCAGCCTAGCAAAAGAAGCGGTTTCTTTAGCTTTTCTCTGAAGGAGAGTACAAAGTACAGTGGAAGCCCTCTTTTCTTAAATTCTAGGACTCATAATTTACCCAACTGATTAAGCAAATAAAATAATTAAAACAGAAAGTCATAAAAAGATATATCTTTACTTCATCTTATTTTACATAGGGGGATATGGATGCTACTGTTTGTAAAACCAAGACCTTTTCATTGAGTAAGAATGCACTGATTGGGGTTCTTTACTAAATTTTTTTTCATAAGTCTCATACATTGCCTTTGATTTCTAGTTTTTTATTTTTTAATGGAGAAAAAAGTTAAAGCAACCCATAAGGCAATCCAAAGCAAAAATTCTAGAACCCTTCTAGAATTTTAGTTTTTCAAAATATTGTCTAAACTTTAGTCGATTTGCTTTTATCTACTTCCACAGTATTTCCCTTGGTTTTTATAGTGGAGGAAAAAAAAAGTCTTTTAGCCAGGCACGGTAGCTCACGCCTGTAATCCCAGCACTTTGGTAGGCCAAGGCAAGTAGATTGCTTGAGCCCAGGAGTTTGAGACCAGCCACAGCAACATGGCAAAACGCTATCTCTACTAAAAATACAAAAAAACTAGACAGGCGTGGTGGCATGCGCTTATAATCCCAACTACTCAGGAGGCTGAGGCAGGAGAATCATTTGAACCTGGAAGGTGGAGGTTGCAGTGAGCCAAGATCATGCCACTGCAGTCCAGCCAGGAGGACAGAGTGAGAGTTTGTTTCAAAAAAATAAAATAAAATAAAATAAAATAAAAGCCTTTTAATGCTCATGTTGCATTAGATAGCACAATTTTTAACGAAATTGTGAAATGAAATAACAAGAACAAATGGCAGTCATACACTAGGTAACAAATCCAAATGACTCTTGATAAGTGCATAAAATTGGTAAGATGTGCCTACCCTGAAAACTAATTAGTATGATCTACAAAGGAAATTGAGTACTTTAGTTAATCCCAGGTTTTGGCTACATGGAGATTACAGGCTCTCTTATATTGATTTTAACTTGAGATAACTTGTGTTTATAAATTAATTTACATTCCTCTTTATAACCAATCTTCCTCTCTACTTCTAAAACTAGTTAAGCTACATTCAGAATATTTTTATTTATTTAAAGAGGAGAAGGGAGAATGAAGAGGGTGGATGAGAAAGAAAAAAAAAGCCACAGAGAAACAATTTAAGTTACAGTTAATTTTAGGTTTTTAGTTATGCATCATAATCAAAACAAACAGCATACTCTTAATACTAATTCTTTGTGTTTCCCATTCATTCGTGATTGTGGTGTTTTTATAACTCAATAAACATGTCTATGGCACAATTAAAAAATGAAATTATTAAATTAAGTTGCATAAACCTTAGATACATGAAACAGTTACCGGTTTTTTTTATATATATTCACATTAAAATTCAGTTATTTTCAGCAAGGGGACTGATGGATATTAGCCAAGCAGCCTTTCATGATGGCTTCATCAAGTACTTTACATGGGTAAATTCATTAAGGCTACATTAGATTAAGAACTTAAGTAGTTAAAAATAAAACTATATTAATTTTATGCCTAAGTGATAGTAGAAGAAAATTATCCTTAAATAAATAAGACCTATGTTATTAAACCCTACATTCAACAGAAATTTATGAGTGCTTTTAAGTTTACTTCTAAAGGTTAAATTGGGAAGCACATCATTTATACATAGCAATACATAAAACAGTAATTTATAATAAGTAGCACACATTTTCTAAAGATATATAAATTTAATCTGTATCAAAAAATATAAATATATGATGAACTATGAACTACTGAAAATCTCTCTTAACATTGCTTTCCAGTATCTGTTCTCTAAACTGAGCAAAACATTACTTTTACTTAGTGAAATCTCATGTTTTGTAGGCTAAGATGTTCCATCTTAGCTCTAGTTAGGTCAAACACTCCAGAGAGAATGACAACATTATTTGTAGATAAAAGGTTAATTTTAAATAGCACAACTAATTGTCTTGAAAAATGTTTCTCCCAAGCAACTGGCATGTGAAATATTTAAATTTCTTTAGAGCAACATAACAAGCAGTGAAAACAGCATGATGTTTAAAGAAGACAACCCAATCCACTATTGATTCTTCAAGATAATAGCAGAAACATTTCTATCTTATCTGGAAGACCATTAAGTCATTTAAATTGTTCCATACTTTATATTTGATTTAATCATTCTTACACAGCGTGATTTAAAATAGAAAGCAAGCTAATAAAATAAGGGTTATTTCCATAAAATAATTTTCATGAAAATAATTTGGAATGCTAATAACAATATAAAAACATTTTACTGTAAAATAGAGTTAAGAAAATTTGTTTTTTAAACTTATTTCTTTGAGATTATTTTTCACTAGCAAAAGCACTACATATCAATCTCCAAAGCACATCTATAGTTCTTGTTGTTTTCATATTCTACTTTTCAAGTATGAAGATTACACAAATGAGATCACTAAAAGCTAAATGAAGAAGAATAACAATCTAAATCAACCCAGTGTATTTTTCAGTGTAAGCAGGAAACCATTAAGTGAAGAACTCTACCCAACATAAATGACTTTTTAATTCAAAGCAAAGCCACCTTTTGTTTCTCAAAAAGGATCTCAATTAAAAAAAAATCATATTTCCTTGCTGCCACTGTCCTAATCTAACCATTCTTCCTCTTTTGAAATAGAAATCTTGTATTTTCTTCTTCCTAATTTTGATGGGGGAAAACAAGTAAATTCACAAATTACAACAAACAAAGATGGGTATTTTAATATTTAAGGCAAGTCACTACCATGTATATACAAAGAAGTTTGAAATTGCCTCTTATGATGGGATTCTATTTCCAAAGAGCTTTATACATTTTTTTCCTAAAGCCCAGATTATGTGTAATTTTTAGATAAACAA
The DNA here is from genome assembly GCF_000001405.40 of Homo sapiens. Taxonomy (NCBI): domain Eukaryota; kingdom Metazoa; phylum Chordata; class Mammalia; order Primates; family Hominidae; genus Homo; species Homo sapiens. The sequence goes on along the minus strand of NC_000008.11, from coordinate 75,535,078 downwards.
AAATTATTTTTTCTTATCTCTTTCCTTTGTTGTTCAGTTTAGATCTATGCAATCGCATTAACTCATTAACACATTTAAACCGAAGTTATTATAACATGTAAAAATTCTAATTTTGATATTATTTTTGAAACATGTTCCTGTCCTCGATTTGTTGAAAATTTTAAAAATTTAAACTGAACTTCTATAGCTTTGCTTACATAGTTTTATTATAATAATACAGCTTTGCTTACAGTTTTATATATAATAAAATTCTATAGCTCATTTCTCAATTCATGTTGAATTTCAATTCACAAAATGTAGTCCAAGGAACCAATTTTAAATCTTTATCACATCACTACTAAAAAATGCCATTTGACAGTAAAATCTAAAGAAAGTTGACAGAAATACATAAGCACCTTGTGAAATAGCAGAATTTGTTTAGAAAGATGCTACTATATTCTTTCTAGTATTTATGGTTTACCTGAACTATTTATATTTATTTTATTTGCATATTAAAACACTACGTTATTTAAAACTAGTTATACAAATAAATGTAAAGTCCAAAACTAAGGAAGAGTAAAAACTATCGTTATTAAATCAGTTACTGTTAGGATAGACAAAATGATGATTGCACAGCTCTGAGCTAAATGTAACCAAGAAAATGCTCTGAGTAAAAAAAGCTTAGAGGTGATATAAGAAATCTGCATATATTAAACCTACCTTCAAGGTCAGCTGCCTTATGATTCAAAGCAGACTCTCCTTTTCAGAAGATAAGGAGCTGATTAGCATTAAATTATTAACTGGAATGTAGATTATACTGGTAAGGAAACTGAAGTGTGGATATAAGGAACATGTTAGGATTTGACAGTCACTATTTCTGCATTTCGTTTTTACAATGGGTATTATCATTGTTGCTACTGCAAACTCAGCAAAGCTAGTCAGAATATTTAAGATTGTGGTGGCATTTTGAAACCAAAATTGCTGTATTATGCAAAATGAAGGGAAGGAAGTTATCAGTTTGGGCCAGTACCTATTGCAAATCTGTTCTGAAGAGGTATAATGTTTAAGAAAAATAGCAGCAGTTTCACTATGCTGAGTGCAATTTAGACTTGAACATTTTAATGAACTATAATGTACTATAATGAACATACACTTTAGCATCTGGAAACCAGATAAATAAATAAACATATAAATAAGAGAGTTTCTCCATATAAAATACAATAATAGATTATATGTTCAGTCAAGTAGTCAAGAACTGCTCAAAATTCCTCTTTAAAGCTTTCTTAGATACATATGGAGAATAACATTTTAATGTGATATTTGATTGAGATAAAAGTAAACAATATTTGCATCTCCATTTAATAGAGGTAGGTGTATAACTGGCTCAACTGAAATGTTAAATATTTCACCTCCTTTTTGATAAATGTATTTTTAGAAAATAGTGTTGGTTGGTTTCTCAAAAATACCATAAGGAACTTTTTTTTGGTTCAAGAATATAGGACATAATTAAAATAATATTAATAGTAAACATATGAATATAATATGAACTAAACACAGTGGGTAAAGTGGTGGCTTTTGTAACACAATCTATTATCACTCTCAAGTAAGAAACCTGGAATTGTTTAATGCCAACTTGTATATTAGGCCAATGATTCAAAAATTCTGGTGCACATTACAATTATCTGGAGAACTTTTGAAGAACCCCCAAGGTTCAAGTTGCATCAGACACGAATTAAATCAGAAAGTCTGGAGGTAGAAGCTGGTATCAGTGTTTTAAAAACTCTTTAGGTGATTCCAATGTGCAGCAAAATCTGAGAACTACTGCTTTAAGAAGCAAGTTCTATGAAGGCAAAGACCTTCTATTTTCTATTTACTATTTTGTCTGCAGTTCCTAGAATACTGTATGTCACCCAGGAAATGCTCCACAAATACTTACTGAAAGTGTGAATAAAATACATATGCAAATAATAAACTTTGAAGTGTATAGCATTTACACTGAGTACATGAGTACATTTTATGTGTCAAATGCTTTTCTAGTGACTGGGTATTTCTACATGAAAAAATAGAGAAAAATCCCTGCCCTCATGGAGCTTATAATCAAGTAATCATGATAAAATAATGATCATGATGATAATGATGAAGACTTATATCTGTATAAAGAGACAAATAGCTGAACCATTGTTTTTCTACAGGATCCATGAAGCTGGACTGAGAAATAGAGTTATTATCCTACACATTTAGACTTCTGCAACAGAACAAATTTATTGGTTTGCAGCTAGAGGTGTAGCCCTGATACTGTCTGACTCTTGAATGCCTGTCATAATTTACACTGTAGTTTAGTCATGGGTATTTCAGTGGGAAGTTGCAAAATATACATATAGGATTACTAGCCTGGGGCTAGTCTAAATAGGAAGAAAATCTTATTCCATTTTTGATACAGTCTCCTGTATATGATTGCATATGTGCCTCATGTTACCAATGCTGACTTTCCAGAGCACAAAGAACATTCTTCTCTTACCCCATTCACTTCCACTCTAGGTGTAAATTTAAGAGGTAATGTTTGGGAAGCATGATTCAATGTGGTATAAAAAGTAAGCACTGGAATAGAAGGTGCCCACATAAATATAATTTTAAAAATATACCAAAACTCAACATTGAACATATTTCTAAATGGCGATGTATTAAGATCATTTCCCTTAATCTAGAACTACTACAAGAGTATGCAATGTCACCAGTATTAATCATTATTATTTTTTATGTTCTAGTATTTACAATAGGGAAAGAAAAAATAATTGGTATAAATCTTCGAAAATGATATGAAAATAACATTTTAGAAAATAATCAGCCAGAAATGAAAACAATAATTAAGATTCAATTTCTTATATGTAAAAACTAGTATTATAAAAATAACTCTTCTCTCAAAATAACATGTGCAGTTCCAAGTACAAAGACAGCTACAGGAAGAATTTATTTATTTATTTTTGATGAGGTAGAGGGGTTTTTAGATGTTATGACTTCAAACTCATATTAAAGAATAAAAATTTTAAAATAGCCAAAAGTTATAAATGAAAGAATAGTGAAGATGATCTTATCTGATATGCAAACATAATATAAAGCCATTATAATAAAAACAGAATAGTTGTGTTTAAGAATAAATAGTATCCGGAGATAAAAGAGAAATTCCAATTTATTTGGTGTATATGGCCAATGAATACAGTTGTCTTTTAGTATCCATATGGGGCAGTTTCAGTAACCCTGTGGATACCAAAATCCTCAGATGCTCATTTTGTATAAAATGGCATAGTATTTGCATATAATCTATGCACATCCTTTTGTATACTTCAAATTATCTTTAGAGTACCTAATACAATGTAGATGCTACATAGTCATCATAATTATTTATTTGTATTATTTTATTATTTTTCATTTATTTATTTTTGAAAATATCTTCAGTCTGTGGTGAAATCTGTGATTATGAAACCCATAGATATGAAGGGCTGACTGTATAATATAAAAGTGTTTAAGTTCAGTGTGAAAAAGGGATATTTCATCCAAATAATTATTTTGATATTTTATTATCCTAGACAAAGGTAAGTTGGACTCATACTGCACCACAGAGAAAAATACTTAGATAGTGGAAAGATAAGATGCCAAAGTCCTTTAACCTCTATATTTTGTAAATGTAATTTTTATCAATTCTAACCTCTTGTATTGAAATGCTAAATTTGACTGTTGATACTTGGAATTGAGTTTTACCATATGTCTAGGAATGCATCTTTTAATTTTATTTTTTCATAATCCTTCATGGAACTTGATGAGCTCTTTCTATCTGTACTTAACATTTCTTCATCAAGAGAGAATTCTTCTATTACATTTTTATAGCTTGTTTTTTCTTTATTCCTTTACTACAAAATTTTTCATTATTCAAATGTTATATTTCTCTAGAATTTCTATCTCAAAGGGTTCTTGTAACGATTAACTAAGTTAAAAACAAAAAGCACATTGAGGCCGGGCATGGTGGCTCACACCTGTAATCCCAGCACCTTGGGAGGCCAAGGCGGATGGATCACCTGAGGTCAGGAGTTCGAGACCAGCCTGCACAACATGGTGAAACCCTGTCTCTACCAAAAAATACCAAAATTAGCTGGGTGTGGTGGTGCATGCCCGTAGTCCCAGCTACTGGGGAGGCTGAGGTGGGAGAATCACTCGAACCCAGGAGGCAGAGGTTGCAGTGAACCGAGATCGCACAACTGCACTCCAGCCTGGGTGACAGAGTGAGACCCTGTCTCAAAAAAAAAAAAAAAAGCACATTGAACAATGCCTGCCACTGTCTTCTGTCTTGTATGCTTTCCTTTATGATTACCATCTCTTTGCAGCTTTGCTCTTGTTCAGATACATATTCTAGTGCACCTTCTGGACCACTAATTTAGATCTCCATAGGGACCATATTCTCACTGAATCCTTCTAAATTTTTGAACTCAAAATCATACATTTTAGTCTTAGAAAATGATTTAAACCTAAAGTTACCCTAAATCTTTATTATTTTTATTCTAATTGTCATCAACCAGCTGCAGAAATTCTGCCTAAATGTCAGTTTGGTACCTGAGTGTTCTACTTATATTTCCTTTCTCTGGCTGCTGGGTTTCCTTAGGTAGTATTTTTTTTTTTTATTACTGGTGGATCTATTCACCTTCATATCCAGATCTGCCTGCCTGAGTATAATAAATGAAGGAGTCACACAGCAGTGTAAGGCACAGTAACCTTGTGGGCAGGTGCTAGAACAGCTAAAAAATTGCCAGTTTTGTTGCAAAGTGACAAGTAGAACCTCTCTGCTTGTGATGCCTTCAACTACAAAGTCTGGTGCCCTGAGGATCAAGGATAGGGGAACTCAGCTTAATATCACAGCTCTGCTATTTTCCCGGAGGCCTAGAACACCAGCAGCTCTCCAGGTATAATGTATTTAGGCCGGCACAATCTATCCTTGAGACGAGTGGGACAGGTCCAGATATCTTGGTTGGAACTCTGATTCTTGCTCCAGGATCCTGTGGCACAAGTCCCCAGGTTCACATCTAGAGCAGGGAACAGTAGCCTCTGCACACGCACTCTGTTCTGCTTTGTTATTACCCTCCTGGCCTTACCGCCAGCTTATTTTGGTAGCTCCTCTTCTTGAGAAAGGTGAATGGTGGTTGGATAAAAGTTTGGAGGAGAGGACAACAAAATTAAGTGTTTAAAAATTAAATATTTTTAAAAATTAAAAATAAGATAAATGTTGTGATGAGAAAGGTGATCCAAATTCAAAATCTTAAAAAATACAACAGGAGTCCTGAGTATGCCTAAATAATTCAAGTAGAAATTAGTGAAAGGAAATTCACATCTAATTTAAGGTGAATCTTCCCCATAGTTCTCTCTCACAGAACCCTTTTCTGTTTCTTTTTGGTTCATTTGGTAGTTATGTAATTAATTTCATTTACATGATCATTGTCCATTTCCTATATTAAACTAATAGGATTAAAAAAGCATCACTCATCCCCACTACCATAGAAAATGGTACCCTACCTTCACCCTCTGTCTCCTAGGCTTATATTTTTGAGATAGTGGCATTTCTAGAAAGTCAAAGAATAAAGATATATCCCATTTTTTTTGCCTACAGCTAAGATGATATGGTTTGGCTTTGGGTCTCCACCCAAATCTCATCTCGAATTGTAATACCCATGTGTCGAGGGAGGTGACTGAGTCATGAGGTTGGTTTCTCCCATGCTGTTCTGATGGTAGTGAGGGAATTCTCACGAGATCTGAGGTTTTTTTTTTTTAGACAGAACCTCGCTCCGTTGCCCAGGCTGGAGTGCAGTGGCGCGATCTCAGCTCACTGCAAGCTCCGCCTGCCGGGTTCACGCCATTCTCCTGCCTCAGCCTCCAGAGTAGCTGGGACTACAGGCGCCCGCCACCACTCCCAGCTAATTTTTTTTTTTGTATTTTTAGTAAAGACGGGGTTTCACCGTGTTAGGCAGGATGGTCTTGATCTCCTGACCTCTTGAACCGTCCGTCTCGGCCTCCCAAAGTGCTGGGATTACAGGCGTTAGCCACCGCGCCCGGCAGAGATCTGAGGTTTTTAAAGTGGCAGTTTCCCTTCTTTCTCTCCTGCTGCCAGGCAGGAGGTGTCCTGCTTCGCCTTCTGCCATGATTGTAAGTTTCCTGAGGCCTCCCCAGCCACGCGGAACTGTGTCAATTAAACCTCTTTTATTCAGAATTACCCAGTCTCAGGTAGTATCTTTATAGCAGCGTGAGAACAGACTAATACATAAGAAAAACATGAAAAAAGTAGAAGTTTAGGCTTTTCACTTTTTGGGCATTACTATACAATGAAACTAGAGAACCAGTTTCATAAATCCAAACAGAGAGGTAACAAAGTTTCCTATGAATTTGCCTCTGCAGACCCATCTGAACTCATTCTATGACATCTGCATTGAACCATTTTAAAACAAATTATTGTAACATGTTACAGCTTAGAATTAAATGACTCATTCTCCCATAATACTGACCTTGTTCTATGAGGGACCTCATTTTTCAAACACAGAGAAAGTGAAGTATTTTACAGAAGAAAAGATAGAGTACTAAAAATGCCTTTTATTCCTCTGATAATCACAGTAATGCTGTGAGAGAATTAGATCAATTGTTCAAATCCTTTATCTTAAAAGTAGAGAAAATATGTTTCATTGAGGTTTTACATGAAGTTTAAGGCTGCAAACAGCAAGGCCTGAATGTAACTAACCACTCATATTTTCCGATGTTATAGTCTCTTCTATATATTGGCAGTGTATCTAACAAAAAAAACTTAAAGCTTAAAAAATCTTCTAGGAGCCTTGGTAGGCCCATATTATTGCATGCCACTAGTACCAAGACATGGATAAGATATCCATGGACTTGCCCTCATTTTCTACCTACTACATGGGCCACTCATATATTATCACTTTTCCCAGCCTTAGGAGTAAGCAGATAAACAACAGAGAACAAATGAGACAAGGAAATTGCAAAATGCACAATTATGCACTCTCACATGAACAGGGTTAGAGATAAAGGTATTGCCATCAGGTTTAAAGGCTTTATTCAAGATTTCAGAAAGACAAAAAATTGAAGTAGAAGAGTCAATTGATTTCTCTGAACTACTAAATTCCTATCAAATAACAGAGAGCTCAAGAAGCATTGTTTAAATAAAGTTAGCAGAGAAAGTATCGAATTTTACTTAATTTACACAGAAAAGGAGAAATCCTAATATAGACTCACTCAAAGATACATTTTATAAATGAGTCAATCACAATAACTGAAAGATCTCATATATCTACATTTATAAAATTTACTTGTTTATGGTATCAAAACAGCTAAATGGTGCACCAGTTTCAGAAGCAAATATTAAACAAAATTATTTGAATTCTGATTGTAATATAATGAAATTTACTAATGGCTTAAATATGTTTTTATAGTTGTATTCTTGGAGACTGTAACTAATACTGGTATACTACAATTTTCTACTTTAACTTCTTAAACACAAAAAGGATGTGTGTATGTCTGTGTATATATATGTTTGTATACCGATTCTCATTATCCATGGTAATCATTTTTTTACAAAGTCATTGTGAACATTGAATTAGCGAATACTGAACGACTGCTCCTAGGAGAAATAGGGCTATGCTCCTGCGAGCCTTTACTCACACATTTTCATGAACCAATCAACATATAACCTTCCTTTTGTGTGTGTTTCTATTTAAAGACACTGATTTAATATATATTGTTGATTAACATTAAACTCACATCCAACAATACCATAACTCATATCTGAAAGCTTATCTAACACATATTTTCTCTATAAGTCACATATTTTCTCTATAAGGCACATCATAGCCGTTTTGCTCCAATGAACCCTAGATAGTAGTTCAACAATATGCTTGAGGACCATTTTAAACACCAACAATAAGCACAAAAATGAGGCAAACAGGGCACTAAACATGTTGTGAAAAGAATGCTTGTTGGGCCAGGTGCGGTGGCTCATGCCTGTAATCCCAGCACTTTGGGAGGCCAAGGCGGGAGGATCACGACGTCTGGAGATCGGGACCCTCCTGTCTAAAACGGTGAAACCCCGTCTGTGCTAAAAATACAAAAAGAAAAAAAAAATTATCCAGGCGTGGTGGCGGGCGTCTGTAGTCCCAGCTACTCGGGAGGCTGAGGCAGGAGAATGGCGTGAACCCGGGAGGCGGAGCTTGCAGTGAGCCGAGATCACGCCACTGCACTCTAGCCCGGGCGACAGAACGAGACTCCATCTCAAAGAAAAAAAAAAAGAATGCTTGTTAACCTGGGCAACTGAAGAGTGAGTCCCTGTCTCTACTAAAAAAAAAAAAAAAATTTTAATTAGTCTTGTGTGGTGGCATGCTTATAGTTCCAGCTACTTGGGAGGCTTGAGGTGGAAGGATTGCTTAATCCTGGGAGGTCAAGGCTGCAGTGAGCTATGATGGTGCCACTGTACTCCAGCCTGGGCAATAGAGCAAGACCCTGTCTCAAAAAAAGAAGAAGAAGAAGAAAGGAGAAAGGAGAAGGAGAAGGAGACTTACTTTCAGCATGAGAACTGAAACAAGAAGGAAGAGCATTGCTCATTGCCTTGGACTTCAACTGGGAATATGCGCACTGAGTTACTCAAACATTTCCACCACTCTGTATATGTCCAAGAATGAATGCCAAAGTGTCCACGTATTGATTTAGAGGTTAAACATAAATTTGAGGCCAGGTGCAGTGGCTCAGGTCTATAAACCCAGAACTTAGCCCAGTGTGGTGATGTGCACCTGTGGTCACAGCTACTCGGGAGGTTGAGGTGAGAAGATCGATTGAGCCTGGGAGATTGAGGTTTCAGTGAGCCATGATCATATCACTGCACTCCAGCCTGGGTGACAGAGTGAGGCCCTATCTCTAAATAAATAAATAAATAAATAAATAAATAAATAAATAAATTTGAGCAAGTAGAGAATTCATAAATATGGAATCTGCAAATAATGAAGATCGGTTCTATTTACATGAGTCCTGACATTTCAGTTTCTAGCTTCATTTGAAATCTCCCTCCAACTTACCAAATGCAGTAAATATTTTTATTTAAAATTATATGCTTCTGATTCATCCTTTACATTTGTGACAACTCCCTTTTTTGTTTGTTTGTTTCCTCATCCACCTCATAAATACAAACATTCTCTAAGGTTCATTCTTTAGTTTGCTGCTATAATTTTCCTTTGGAATCTCAGGCATTTAAAATGACCATTACTATTTAGAAATATGAGTTCAACTTTTTCTTACAGAGACTGCTCCATTTCAAAATATAATCTTATATCTTAATTGGTTGAATAACCCTTTTTTTCTTAGAGTGCGTTTTGTGTCACATACGGTAAAACTCTGCCACAACAATGTACGTGTGGACCAAAATATTCAATCTCATCACTATGAGGTTAATAAAAAATCACAAGTGAACCTGTGGAGCTAGCTGGCTTAGAGGTGAGGTGTCAGGTAGCACAATCCATGTCTTTTCAGGTCCCAGAGGTGGTTTTCACAGGGTAATAATTGCTCATTAAAGCTGACATATTATTAGAAAAACCAATGGAGGCCGGTTGCGGTGGCTCACGCCTGTAATTCCAGAACTTTGGGAGGCCGAAGCGGCCAGATCATGAGGTCAAGAGATCGAGACCATCCTGGCTAACGCGGTGAAACCCCATCTCCACTAAAAATACAAAAAATTAGCCGGGCATGGTGGCGAGTGCCTGTAATCCCAGCTACTCAGGAGGCTGAGGCAGGAGAATTGCTTGAATCGGGAAGCGGAGGTTGCAGTAAGCCAAGATCACACCACTGCACTCCAGCCTGGGAGACAGAGCAAGACCCTGTCTCGAAAAAAATCAGAAAAGATGTTGGAAAGTGTGATTGGTTAAAACTGCCAAGACAGTGACAACTCTTTGTCTCATTAGTTCCCAGTGTGGGTTTACTGCTATGACCTCATCTGTCCTCTTATCTTCTCTAACACTTTGAGAACTGGGGCTTTAGGAAGAATGAGAACCAGCTGCCAAAAACTGACATTGTGCCCAAACTGTCATATTTATGAAACAGGTTAATACAAGTTTTAATATACACACACTGGAACCCATTTACCTGCTGCAAATGTAAAAGTTTGCCTTTATAATTTCCCTAATTTTATTTTGGCATAATTATTCTTCAAATAACCCATATACTATATACGCACACTTATATTCTTAACAAACATAGCAAATTCTGTCTACTTTAATCTTTTTATCAATTCAATAACCAAGTTATGTTGATTCATCCTAAATAACACTTTTCTTATTTGTCTCTAACTATTCATTCCCCTTGTCTTCCTAATTCAAGGTGAAAACATTTCCTGTGTAGGGTGTTGCAATATTGCCTTTCAGTACGTTTACTTACTCCATCTTTTCCCTCATCCATTTCTGTGTACTGTATACAGGCTATTGGTCTTAAAATACTTATTTTATAATGTCATAATTCTGATACACAAATTAATGGCTACTATAATAAAAATATGTAACATATGGACATAAATACATAAAGTAGGTTTTCGAAACTATGCATGATACAATACTAAATGATGAAACATTTCTCAAGATTACCATTTTAATCAGACAGAGTGATCATGTGATTTCTTGAGTCTTTGTTCCTTTCTAAGGAAGATGAGCTTGGGCACACAACAGTAGAATGTTTTGAATTGTTGGCTAAAGTTTCCATTTATATGCCTCCCAAATTCAAAGAAATTCTTTACATTATAACTTTGCGTAGTTATTCATATATCTTATGGTACCTGATAAAATACTATGTATAATATTTACATCATTCATTTTTATTTAATAACTGCATTAATAAGAAGTCAAACCATGTAAAATGTGTGTCCACTATAGGTCTTTTAAAAATCCTCATGTCTCTGTGCTTAAATCCTAATCTGTGGATACATAGGCGTGTATAGTTGTAAACGTTATCAAGCTATAGGTGGATAATCTGTGCACTTTTCTGTATCTATATAATAAGTATATAAGTATACTCATACTTCCTTGAGATATAATCTCACAGCAGATTAATTTTTAATTAAAATTAAAAGGTACCCCATATAAGGTGTCTTCTAGTAAATATTTTCATTATACTTCTTATATTATTACACTAAGAATATTATTTGATAAAGATAAGACAATTACCAATACTTCTATAAAAATATAGAAGTATATAAAATTATTTGTTTCTCATCAGTTATAATCAGTGTGTTACTGCAATGACATGGTTTTCTTTTTGTGATTTAATACTCTATTTAGTATTATAAAATATAATACTATTTTATACAGCAGGGAGAAGTTTTTAAAAAATTCATTGCATCTTTCTACTTTAGAAAAATGTTTGATTTTTCACTAGTCATACCTGGATGCTTAGATAGCACTATTACACATACCAGTTTCCCCATACATTTAACGTACACTAAAATGACTCACATAGATACCTCTCTTCTATATTTATTGTTTATCACTAGGGTTCAAAATATTGAAAACATTAGTTTATTATATATCTAGGAGTGTTTTGTGTGTATGACTGGGAAATGCAGAAAATAAAATAAAAGATTAAAATATTTTCTTAAAAAGGAGGCATTGCAGTCATGAGACCTAGATGCCAATTAGAGAGCCTGTGAAATTGAATTGATTCAAGAAGTTGAATTAGTATCTGGGAGAAGATTTAGAGAGAAGGAATTAATTATTCTGTGGATTTGAGAACATTACTATTTCTTTGCATTATTTACATAGAGCTGGGATTGAAAAATTGTCTTTCTTTTTTTTCTTTTTTTTCAGACGGAGTCTCACTCTGTTGCCAGGCTGGAGTGCAGTGGCGCGATCTCGGCTCACTGCAACCTCCACCTCCCAGGCTCAAGCAATTCTCCTGCCTCAGCCTCCCAAGTAGCTGCGATTACAGGTGCCCGCCACCAAGCTCGGCTAATTTTCTGTATTTTTAGTAGAGATGGGATTCACCAATTTGGCTAGGCTGGTCTCGATCTCCTGACCTCGTGATCCACCCTGCTAGACCTCCCAAAGTGCTGGGATTACAGGCATGAACCACCGCGTCTGGCCTCAAAAATGGTCTTTCTGATTGCAAAGGCTTTGTTTCTTTGATGCCATCTCTTTGTCAAGCTATTTAAAGTAAATAAACTCCAGTGAGAGCATTTCCATTATATAGACATGCTATAACTCCAGCTTCATATTAACTTATATGAAATATCGCTCTACCAAAATTTAGGTAACATATTAGAGAAATCATCAGGCGGCTACATCAGTGGTTTCCAATGGCAGATGATTTTGCCTGCTCCCCAGGAACATTTGACAGTATCTAGAGACATTTTTGGCTGTGATAACTGAGGGAGAAAGATGCTACTGCATGTAGTGACTACAGGCCAAGAATGCTGCAAACATCGTAAAATGATGGAGGAGCTGTCCACAACAAAAAATGATCTAAGTCAAATGTTAATAATGCTCAGGTTGAGAAAATTTGACCTACAATATAGTAGATCTATGTCTGCATTTACCACTCATGGGCTCTTGGGCAAAATATTTAACATACTTCAAATGGGATTGTGATAATGTGTTTCAGTGTTTGAAAACTGTAATGATGGACATGAATGTATGATTGAGCCTTTTGAGAATTATAAAGAACTATTTAATCCATCATGTTATTACTTTCATAACATTAATATTCATGTAAGTATACTCTGGTATATTCCAAGCTATATAAACACTGGCTCTTACAGATCATCATAATCCCACTATCTCCACAGTCAGACAGTAATAGGCATATAAAAAAAGTTTGTTTAATTAAGGAACTAATATACTAGCATAACAATTGTGATTCCTGGGCAGAATCTTCTACACAGAAGTCTAATGAATACAGCTTTTGTCATTCATTGAAAAAGCTTTATAGCCTCCAAAGCTAATTCTAATAACAAAGTACAAATGTTCCTTGACTTGCAAAGGAAACGTGTCCCAATAAACTCATCATAAGTTGAAAACATCGTAAGTATAAAAGTGTGTTTTCAAAGTAACCCCATCTTAAGTCTGAATGTATTGAATGTGTACTGCTTTTGCACCATCATAATAAACCCAAAAATCCTAAATAGGGCCATTGTAAGGCAAGGACTGTGTGTGGGGGGAATGGAGACATACAAAAGTGTAAGATGTGGAGTGACTATAACTTTAAAAGAGACATGCAATGGACTTAATGTTAAAAGCCTTTTTATCCAAAAGATAAGGATTATATTTTTAATGTAACTGCAGAACTCTTAAACTATTGTACTTAAAGACCAGCTAGTCTAAGAAGAAGTTCAAAAGGAAACAAGATATATCAAGTAAAAGATGGTATCAAATTAGTTTTCTGTAGTAACAGTACACATTTATCTCGGATCATAGCTTCAACTGGCTGAAACTGCTAGAACCAGAATTCAGGACTATTAGAACATCCACACACATCCAAATCCTAAAAAGAGTAGTAAGAATCCTCACTAAATTAAAGCAATGACCACCATTATTAAATGACTGTTGGAAAAAGAAATCATTCACCTACTTATCACATGAAAAGCAAGTAAAATTTGTATTAAAATATTATCAATAGATTTTTATACATACTATCTACATAAAACTGTGCAGCTGCTATCAAGCAAATAATTTGCTTGTGTCGCACTGTAAAATATCTTTCTTCAGTCTTCCTCTAAAAATATATTTCACTGGTCTTCTTTTAACCAGGGAATTTTAGCTTGGGCTCGATGACTTGAATTTATTTGTCTTCTTCTCATTCTATCTGGGAAAACTTAAGGAATATTTGTTACTTTTTAACAGTTTTAAACCTGATCTGATTAATCTCCAAATACATGTTGTTTTAGACTTGAGTAGGTTTTAACAATAGTTCTTTTGTTATTTTCCATTAAAAATATCCATGTATAAAATATATCCACTTGAGATAATACTTTAATTAAGAATTGGGCAACAGTAAATGCAAATGCAGAAAACTTGGCATTTTTTATATTAATATTACATATATTAGTACTTTCACTTCAAATATATTCACACAATAATTAAAGATACTATCAAAATATTAAAAATATTTATAATCTGTTTATTAAAAAGATTAATTTTAGGTTACTTGTGAAAGTAAGCTACCTTTATAGAAAAATAAGTTTTGTCAGAAAAATAAGCAAGAAGAGCTATTTGGCAGCCAGAATAAGCAAAAAGAGATAGTAGAAGAAAAAAAGAAACATGAATTTAATTCACTAAGTGAAAGTAAAATCATAGGCTGGGCGTGGTGGTGCACACTTGTAATCCCAGCACTTTGGGAGACTGAGGGGCATGGATCATTTGAGCTCGGGAGTTTGAGACCAGCCTGGGCATCGTGGCAAAACCCTGTCTCTACAAAAAATATAAAAATTAGCCAGGCATGGTGGCATCCACCTGCAGTCCCAGCTACTCAGGAGGATGAGGTAGGAATATTGCTTGAGCCCAGGAGGTCTAGGCTGCAGTGAGCCAAGATCATTTCACTGTACTCCAGCCTGAGCAACAGAGTAAGACCCTGTCTCAAAGAACAAAAATTTAAAAAAAAACATAAAAAGAAAGAACGAGAAAGAAAGTAAAATCATAATTTAAAAATTTACAAAGTAATATAGACATATTGGAATGACTTTCATTAAAAGAGCAGATAATATTAAATAAAATAAGAATAGTGAAAGAAAAAGTTTCTTATATCATAACTACTATTGAGCTCTTTCTATATTCAAGACACTGTTAAATTCTTTATTATGCTATTTACTATATCTTTTAGTTATACAAACAATTATATGGTTGAGGTAAAAGTGTTTTCCACCTTTTACAATGGTTTATAGAGAAATTATCTTATTAATTCATTTATTCAACAAAAAACTAAAAAGCACTTATAATATCTAAGGTAGATGTAAAAAAATAAGTAAACAAAAGAAGTAAAATGAAATCATGAAAGACATTCAATTTAACACAGAGAAGGCTGGAAGAGAGAAAAAAAAGAAACAGAAAACAAATGGAACAAATAAAAAACAACTAGCAAAATGGTCAACTTCAATCCAACATGTTAATCATCAGTTTAAATGTCAATGGTTTAAATACACCAGCTGAAATACAGAGACTATGAGATTGAATAAACACACACACACACACACACACGCTCACATGCACAATTATATACTGCCTACAAAACCACACTTTAAATACAAAGACGTAAACAGATTAAAAGTTTAAACAAGAAAAAAAGTTGTATCATTTATATGGTTTGGCTGTGTCCCTACCCAAATCTCATATTAAATTGTAGCTCCCATAATTCCCATGTGTCATGACAGGGACCCAGTGGGAGGCAATTGAATCATAGGGGTTGGTCTTTCCCATGCTGTTCTCATGATAGTGAATAAGTAAGACATGACTTTGCTCCTCATTTGCCATTCTCCATGAATGTGAGGCCTCCTCAGCCACGTGGAACTGTGAGCCCATTAAACCTCTTTTCTTTTATAAATTACCCAGTCTCGGGTATGTCTTTATTAGCAGTATGAGAACAGGTTAATACAGTAAATTGGTACTGGAAGAGTGGGATGCTGCTTTAAAGACACCTGAAATGTAGAACTGACTTGGGAACTGGGAAACAGGCAGAGGCTGGAACAGTTTGGAGGGCTCAGAAGAAGACAGGAAGATGTGAGAAAGTTTGGAACTTCCTAGAAACTTGTTGAATGGTTTTGACCAAAATGCTAATAGCGATATGGACAATGAAGTCCAGGCTGAGGTGGTCTCAGATGGAGATGAGGAACTTGTTGGGAACTGGAGCAAAGGTGACTCTTGTTAGGCTTTAGCAAAGAGACTGGTGGCATTTTGCCCCTGCCCTAGAGATCTGTGGAACTTTGAACTTGAGAGAAATGATCTATGGCACCTGGTATGAGAAATTTCTAAGCAGCAAAGCGTTCAAGAGGTAACTTGGGTATTGCTAAAAGCTTTCAGTTTTATGTATTCAAAAAGATATGGTTTGGAATTGGAACTTATGTTTAAAGAGGAAGCAGAGCATAAAAGTTCAGAAAATTTTCAGTACGAAGATGCAACAGAAAAGAAAAACCCATTTTCTGAGGAGAAATTCAAGCCGGCTGCAGAAATTTGCATGAGTAATGAGGAGCCAAATGTTAATCACTAAGACAATGGGGAAAATGTCTCTGGGGTATATCAGAGATCTTCGTGGCAGTCCCTCCCATCACAAGCCAGGAGGTCTAGGAGGAAAAAAAAAAGATTTCATGGGCCAGGTCCAGGGCCTTGCGGCTTTGTGCAGTCTTGGGACTTGGTACTCTGTGTCCCAGCTGTGGCTAAATGTGGCCAACATAGAGCTCAGGCCATTGACTCAGAGTGTGCAAGTCCCAAACTTTGGCAGCTTACAGGTGGTATTGGGCCTGCAGGTGCACAGAAGTCAAGAATTGAGGTTTAGTGCCGCAATAAACATATGTGTGCATGTGTCTTTATAGCAGCATGATTTATAATCCTTTGGGTATATACCCAGTAATGGGATGGCTGGGTCAAATGGTATTTCTAGTTCTAGATCCCTGAGGAATCGCCACACCGACTTCCACAGTGGTTGAACTAGTTTGCAGTCCCACCAACAGTGTAAAAGTGTTCCTATTTCTCCATGGAATACTATGCAGCCATAAAAAATGATGAGTTCCTGTCCTTCGTAGGGACATGGATGAAGCTGGAAACCATCATTCTCAGCAAACTATCACAAGGACAAAAAAACCAAACACCACATGTTCTCACTCATAGGTGGGAACTGAACAATGAGAACACACGGACACAGGAAGGGGAACATCACACACCGGGGACTGTTGTGGGGTGGGGGGAGGGGGGAGGGATAGCATTAGGAGATATACCTAATGCTAAATGACGAGTTAATGGGTGCAGCACACCAACATGGCATAAGTATACATATGTAACAAACCTGCACATTGTGCACATGTACCCTAAAACTTAAAGTATAATAATAATAATTAAAAAAAAAAGAATTGAGGTTTAGAACCTGCCTAGATTTCAGCGGGTGTATGGAAATGCCTGGATGTCCAGGCAGAGGTATGGTGCCTGGGAGGAACCCTCATGGAGAACTTCTGCTAAGGTAGTGTGGAAGGAGAATGTGAGGTCAGAACCCGCACACAAGGTCCCTACTGGGGCACTGCCTAGTAGAGCTGTAAGAAGAGGGCCACCGTCTTCCAGACCCCAGAATGGTAGACTTGCACTGTGCACCTGGAAAAGCCGCAGAACTTAGCTCCAGCCCATGAAATCAGCCAGGAGGGGGGCTGTACCCTGCAAAGCCACAGGGGTGGAGCTGCCCAAGGCCATGGGAAACCCACCTCTTGTATAAGAGTGACCTGGATGTGAGACATGTAGTCAAAGGGGATCACTTTGGAGCTTTAAGATTTGACTGCCCCATTGAATTTTGAACTTGAATAGGGCCTGTAGCCCCTTTATTTTGGCCAATTTTTCCCATTTGGAACAGGTGTATTTACCCAATGCCTGTACCCCCATCGTATGTTGGAAGTAACTAATTTGTTTTTGATTTTACAGGCTCATAAGTGGAAGGGACTTGCCTTGTCTCTGATGAGACTTTGGACTGTGGACTTTTGAGTTAATGCTGAAATGAGATAAGACTTTGGGGGACTGTTTGAAAGGCATGATTGGTTTTGAAATGTAAGGATATGAGATTTGGGAGAGGCCAGGGCAGAATGATATAGTTTGGCTGTGTCTCCACCAAAATTTCATCTTAAAATATAGCTCCCATAATTCCCATATGTAATGGGAGGTACCCGATGGGAGGTAATTGATACATGGGGTGGGTCTTTCCCATGCTATTCTCGTGATAGTGAATAAGTCTCATGATATCTGATGGTCTTATAAAGGGGAGTTAGTTCCCTTACACATGCTCTCTTGCCTGACACCACGTGAGATGTGCCTTTGCTTCTCCTTTGCCTTCTCTCATGATTGTGAGGTCTCCCTGGCCATGTGGAACTGTGATTCCATTAAACCCCTTTTCTTTATAAGTTACCCAGTCTTGGGTATGTCTTTATTAGCAGCATGATACAATCATATAATCATTAAGTAAAATGAAGTTGGAGTAGCTATATCAATTTCAGACAAAAAAGACTTAACAAAAAGGAATATTGTCAGGAGTAATAATAGTGACCTTATATAATGATAAAGGGGTCAATTCTTCAAGAAGACATAACAATCTTAAATATATATGGACTTAACAAAAGAGCTACAAAATATATGAAGCAAAAATTCATAAATCTGAAGTATGCAAATTCACAATAACAGTTGAATTCTTCAGCACTCATCTCTCAGTAACTGATAGAACGAGAAACAGAAACTCAGTAAGGATGTAGATGACCAACACAATCAATCAACTTTATCTAGTTGACATTTATAGAAGATTTCACTCAATACTGGCAGCATAAACATTCTATTCAAGTGCACAGGGAACATTCAAGAAGATGAACCCTATTCTGGTTCATAAAATAAACATTGAAAAA
The DNA here is from genome assembly GCF_000001405.40 of Homo sapiens. Classification (NCBI taxonomy): domain Eukaryota; kingdom Metazoa; phylum Chordata; class Mammalia; order Primates; family Hominidae; genus Homo; species Homo sapiens. The sequence continues at coordinate 75,516,456 of NC_000008.11, read as the reverse complement.
TATAAAGCAATAAAAATCACATAAAGTATAATTTTGGACCATGACAAAATTAAACTAGAAATAATAAAAAGATACCTGGAAAAAGTCCTCTTATGTTGGGATATTAAATCAACAACAACAAGAAATAACCCGTAGGTAAAAGAGGAAGACTTATTTAAAAAAAAATATTTGAACTAAATGAAAATGCAACATTTTTAAATTCTGGGTTAAAGCTAAAGCAGTGCTTAGAGGAAAATATATAATATTAAATGTGTAAAGATTAATTTATGTTTCAACTTGACTGGGCTAAGTGATGCCCAGACAGCTGGTAAACATTATTTCTGGGTTTGTCTCTGAGGGTGTTTCCAGATTAGAGTAACATTTGAATTGCTTAGTAAAAGATGGTGGCCCTCGGGCAGGGCGCAGTAGCTTGCGCCTGTAATCCCGGCACTTTGGGAGGCCGAGGCAGGCAGATCACCTGAGGTCAGGAGTTCGAGACCAGCCTGACCAAGATGAGAAACCCTGTCTCTACTAAAAATACAAAATTAGCTGGGCATGGGGGCGCATGCCTGTAATCCCAGCTACTCGGGAGGCTGAGGCAGGAGAATCACTTAAACCCAGGAGGGGGAGGTTGTGGTGAGCCGAGATCACACCATTGCACTCCAGCCTGGGCAACAAGAATGAAATTCCATCTCAAAAAAAAAAAACATGGTGGCCCCCATGAATGTCAGTGGTCATTATCCAATCCTTTGAGGGCCCCAAATAGAAGAAAAAGTCAGAGAAAAGGTGAATTTATTCTCTGTGTTTGAGCCAGGACATTCATTTTCTTCTGCTTTTGGACATTGGTGCTCCAGGTTTTGGCCCTTTGACTCCAAACAGACCTTACACCACTGTCCTCCTGCTTCTCTCCCTCCCCTTCACAGTTCTCAGGCCTTTAGACTGGACTAAATCACACTAGTTTTCCTGAGTCTTCAGTTTGTGGATGTGAATAGCATGTTGTGGGACTTCTCAGCCTTAACAATCATGTGAGCCAATTTCTATAATGAATATATATGTATGTGTCTGTGTGTCTCTGTGTGTGTGTCCTATTGGTTGTTTCTCTGGAGAATCGTGCCTAATTCAAAGTGCTTAGATTAGAAAAGAAGAAAACTCTCAAATCAATAAACTAAAATCTCAGATTACTGAAAAACTGAAGAAACTACAGGAAGGAGAGCAAATGAAACCTAAAATAAACAAAGTAATTTTAAAAAATACAAAAAATATGCACAAAGACAAACAGCTTATAAATTGTACAGTTGAGAATATCAATCAGGTGTTACAGCTCTGAATTCTGGGTGCTTAACTAGCAATGGAACACTGGAAAGACTAGTAAACAAAGCAATACATAGACATTGTTGAGCATGAACTAAAATAACTAGAGTACTGGTTGACAAATATAATATTTAAGTTAAACAGGAGGTAATCCTTAAAACTTCTTAAGGGTTTATATTATTTAAATAACAAGTATATTTATTAATTTTAAATTTGAATCAAATAAGCAAGTTACATTATAGTTTAGTAAGTAAAATAATGTTTATAACAGAAAAGAAAGGCTAAAAATGGAGGGAGGTTGAAAGAGAAGGTTAATCAATATGAAGGCAGAAAATAATTTTGAAAAAGAATAAAGAAATCATAAAATAAAATGACACATATAAGCAATCATTATAAATGTCACTTGAAAACAAATTTATAAATTTTCTAAAACAATGTAAACAGCAGTAACAAAACCCTGCTTTATTTATTTAAAAAATGAAAACCTATTGTACAAAATTTGAAAGTAAAAAGATGGGCCGGGTGCAGTGGCTCACACCTGTAATCTCAGCACTTTGAGAGGCCAAAGCAGACAAATCCCAAGGTCAGGAGTTCGAGACCAGCCTGGCCAACATGGTGAAACCCCATCTCTACTAAAAATACAAAAATTAGCCAGGTGTGGTGGCACACACCTGTAGTCTCAGCTACTTGGGAGGCTGAGGCAGGAGATTTGCTTGAACCCGGGAGGTGGAGGTTGCAGTGAGCCAAGATTGCACCATTACACTCTAACCTAGACAACAACAACAAAAAAAAAAAAGAAAGAAAAAAAAAAAGAAAGAAGAAAGAAAGGAAAAAAAAGAAAAAGAAAAAGAAAAGAAAGCAAAAAGATGGAAAAAATAAACCCAGCACACAAACAGAAGAGAGATTTATGTCAATATTAGACAAAAAAGAAATTTGAAGACCAAAAAAAATCATTATACATGTAAAAGAATCACTATGTAATGGTAAAATACTACAATGGAAAGTAAAACTACTCAGCTTATATTTAGCTTATTTAGCTATTAATATAGACTAGAAATATATAAAGGAAGAATGGGCAAAATTAGAAAAGTGGAAAATCAATATTAATTCAAACCTTCGATACATATCTTTTTGCAACTGATAAAGGAGGAAAAAATAGCAAACTAATAGAATGCACATATACAGAAGCCTTCATCTGACAATTAGAAAATGTTTTTTTGTCAATGATTCATGAACATTTAAAAAACTGACTATAGAGAAAGTCTTAACCTAAAAATGAAAGAAAGCATTATATAGATCACATTCTCTAAATAAAATATAATAAAATCAGAAATAAAAAATATAATAAAAAGTCCACTTGCTTTCAAAAATTAAGAAAAATATAAATAATATGAATTGAATTAGAAATTAAAAAGCAAAGTAAGAAAAAAATCTTTTGCATAAAACAACTATAGTTGGAGAAAAATTTAGTCTCAAGTACAATTTAAAAAGTCAGAAAACAAGCAACAGGGAAAAATAACACAATAGATATAAAATAGTAAAAATGTGTCAATTATTGAAATAAAAATGCAAAGATTAAGTAGAGTCTTAACAAGGTCAAATTTATTATTTGCAAAGACAAGGAATGTTAGACATTACAAACAAAACATAAGAATTATAGTAGATACTCAAAAATAATCTGTGAATATTCTGAACAATTTTATGGCAATTTTCCTAAACAAATTGAACTCAAATTTGATCACAAGATGGGCATTTTTCTAAACAAATTTAACAAATTTAATCACAAGAAATAGAAAATCTGAATAAAGTCATCACTATTTTAAAAACGTGGCCAGGTGCGGTGGCTCATGCTTGTAATCCCAGCACTTTGGGAGGCTGAGGCAGGCAGATCACCTGAGGTCAGGAGTTCAAGACTAGCCTGGCCAACGTGGTGAAACCCCATCTCTACTAAAAATACAAAAATTAGCTGGGCGTGGTGGTAGGAGCCTGTAGTCCCAGCTACTCAGGAGGCTGAGGCAGGAGAATCGCTTGAAGCCAGGAGGCGAAGGTTATAGTGAGCCGAGATCACACCATTGCATTCCAGCCTGTGGGACAAGAGCGAGACTCTTTCTCAAAAAAGAAAACAGAAAAACTCTATCAGTTCATTAAAATCTACCTAATAATAAAACTCCAAGCTAAAGAAGTTTTATAATAAAATTGTGTTAGACGTTCAAAAAACACATAAACTCAATCATCTATACACTCTTTTAGAACATAAACCAAAAGTCATACTAAGTTAGTAATGTATAAAAATAAAATGCAACAGGACAAAATCGAATATATTGTAAGAACATTAGAATGACAATATTTGCAAATCTATTCATGTGATTCACCACATTAAAAGATTAAAATAATAAAGATGTTGACCGGGCGCGGTGGCTCACACCTGTAATCCCAGCAGTTCGGGAGGTGGAGGCGGGCGGATCTCGAGGTCAGGATATCGAGACCATCCTGGCTAACACAGTGAAACCCCATCTCTACTAAAAATACAAAAAATTAGCCGGGCGTCTTGGCTGGCGCCTGTAGTCCCAGCTACTCCAGAGGCCGAGTCAGGAGAATGGCATGAACCCGGGAGGCGGAGCTTGCAGTGAGCTGAGATTGCACCACTGCACTCCAGCCTGGGCGACAGAGTGAGACTCCATCTCAAATAATAACAATAATAATAATAATAATAATAGTAATAGTAATAATAATAATAAAGATGTTTATCTAAAATGAAGTAAGAGAGTCATTTGGTAATATTCAATATCCATCCACTATAAAAACTTAGCAAACTGCAAATAAAAGTGAACTTCTTTAATATAACTTAAACCAATCATTAATAATTATTCATTAAAGGCAATTAGAATCATGACTTTAGTATCATGAAAGACATAAAATTGCTGCTAGCATTGCTTTTCTTAAATATTTTACCAGAGGCCCTAACAAGAGAGAAATTTTAAGAACAAATAAATTTAAAAACATAAAGATTTGAAAAGAAGAAAGGTATTATTATTTTCAATCAATTTAATTGTCCAAATAGAAAACTCAAAATAATTTACAATATAATATTAACAAAATCATTCCACGAATTTCCTAGATATAGACTAAAAAATAATTATCTATTGTATTCCTCTGCACTGGCCAATAAACTAATAAAAAATAATGAGATTTGAAAGAAATAAAATACTTCCTTGCACCAAAGGAACAAAAACACTAGGGTACTTAGTAATCATGAAGAACATTATAAAACCTTATTAAAGGCAAGCTAGGCCAGGCGTGGTGGCTCACGCCTGTAATCCCAGCACTCTGGGAGGCCGAGGCGGGTGGATCACGAGGTCAGGAGATCGAGACCACGGTGAAACCCCGTCTCTACTAAAAACACAAAAAATTAGCCGGGCGCAGTGACAGACGCCTGTAGTCCCAGCTACACGGGAGGCTGAGGCAGGAGAATGGCGTGAACCCGGGAGGCAGAGCTTGCAGTGAGCCGAGATCGCCCACTGCAGTCCAGCCTGGGCGACAGAGCGAGACTTCGTCTCAAAAAAAATAAATAAATAAAAATAAAGTCACGCTAAATACACGCAGACATATACCATACTCATGGATGTCAACACTGCTTAAGTTAATCTACAGCTTTAATTCAACTTTGATCCACAGTAAGTACTGTGTTAATTGTATTTTAAGAAGTGATTCTATAATTGATATATAATAGAAGAGAAAAAGGCCCAAGGAGGCCAGGATAATTCTGAAGAATAGGGAAAGACTTCCCAATTACATATTAAGGCAAACGTATATGTTATAAAGAGAGTGTGGTATTGTTATAGGGTTATAAGTAGAACAGAATAAAGAGCTCAAAATAGAGCTATGCCTAGACAAAAGTTGATATCCACATGGCATTCCAGTCTAATGGGTAAATGATTAATTATATAATCCTAACTAATTATACCTATAGAGATCATAAAATGAAATCCCAAATACAATCATATGTAGATTAATGACTTACATGTAAAAAGCAAGGCTTTTAGAATATAATAATAATTATAATGTCAAATATATTTATTGTCTCAGAACAGAAAAATGAATAATACTAAAAGATGCAAAAAGCACAAACCATAAAGAATATATTGACACATCTCCTTACATTAAATTAAAAAGAAAACTTTTGTGCATCAAGATACCAAAATAAAAAGATAAAGTGCTAACTGGATGAACATTAGGCAGCAATTTAAAATGACTGAGGAATATGAAGAAATACCGTGTTAAATTTTAATTTTGGGATTATTTTTAATTACATAGAATCCAACCACATAAAATATATAAATACATATATATATACACACACAGGAGATATGTTAACTATGGGGATATATTCTGAGAAATGCATTGTTAGGCAATTTCATTGTTGCGCAAACATCATACAGTGTAATTACACAAACCTAGATGGTATAACCTACTACACACCTAGGCTATATGCTATAGTCTATTGCTGTTAGGCTACAAGTCTGTATAGTGTATTACTATACTGAATACAATAGGCAATTATAACACAATGGTAACCTTTTGTGTATCTAAATATAGAAAAAGTGCAGTAAAAATATAGTTTAAAAAAATGAAACATTGGTACTCTTGTCAAGGGCACCTACCATGAAGGGAACTTGGCAACAGTGGAAGTTGCTCTGGGTAAGTCAGTGAGTGTGTGGTGAGTGAATGTGAAGTCTTAGAATGCATTACGATACACTATTGCAGACTTTATGTAGGCTACACTGAATTTATTTTAAAATGTTTTTCAAAAATAAATTAACCTTAACTTACTATAACATTTTAACTTTCTACATCTTTAAGTTTTTTAACTTTTTGACTCTTATAACAGCTTAAAACATATACACATTGTCAACTGTACAAAAATATTTTTCTTGATATCCATATTCTATAAACATTTTCTATTTCTAATTTTTATTTTTTTTTACTTTTTAAACTTTTGTTAAAATATTAAGACAAATACACACACCTTAGTCTAGGCCTACACAGGGTTAGGATAATCAATATCACTGCCTTCCACCCCCATATCTTGTCCCATTGGAAGGTTTTCAGGGACAAAAACATGCATGGAGCTGCCATCACCTATGATAATAATGCCTTTCTCTGGAATACCTCCTGAAGGACCTGCCTGAGGCTCTTTTATAGTAATTTTTCTTTAATAAGTAGAAGTACAATCTAAAATAAGGATTAAAAAGTATAGTAAATACATAAACCAGCAACATAGTCATTTATTACTAATACCAAGTGTTAGGCACTGTACCTAATTGTATGTGCAATACTTCCATATGATTGGCAGTGCAGTAGGTTTGTTTACACCAGCATCACCACAAACATGTGAATAATGCATTGCCCCATGACATTATAACAGCTATGACATCATTAACCATAGGAACTTTTTGGCTCCATTATAATCCTATGGACCACCATCCTTATATGTGGTCCACTGTTGACCAAAACATCATTATACATCACGTGACTGTGTTTTGTTGTCCAGAACATCATTATGTGGCATATTATGCAGTATATGAGAGACAGAAGATAAAGTTCCATTGATGAGCCTTATCTAAAAGTCTTACTTTGCTACGATTTCCAAATGAATCATGACAATGCTTATTAAAATACATGTGTCCCATAATGCACTATGTAATAGGCAATAGAATGTTCCGGCTTCTCACACCCAACCCTAATTGCAGAATTCCTGTTAGTCTCCCCAGTCTTTATATACACCTCCTCTTGGCATGTGGTCTCTTCAGACAAATCTTAGATCCAGGACACCAAATATGAATCTTTGACTCCCAGGGGTTTCCACCTTCTACTTCTTTGTCATGTTGGCTCAGTCCTTAGCTCTTCACAATGAAAACTTCCCTTTACACTTCCCTTGGATGTGTTCCAGCCATCTAGAGCACACTAGAACTGGGAATTTGACCCTAAGCCTAACTACAAATATCTCAGCTTGCTCCAGCCAATCCTCTTCTGATTTCTCTCCTTACAGACCTCAGCTGACTTGTAAATGAGTGGAGTCCTATGGGTATGTCATCCTCCTTGATACCTTAAACTCACCCTCTTCGGACACATTTCTGTAATTTTCTGTTTGTGTGTCTCCCTAACCAGACTCTCAGGCCTATAGTCACTTCCAGTTCGTCTTTCTTATAAGTCAGTAAAATTGAATTTTCTAAAATTCATTCGTGACATCATTCACTCAAAACTCTTTAATAGCATTCCACTGCTCTTAGGATAGAGCATAAATTCCTCCACATGGATTACAAGACACTTCAAACTCAGTTCTGGCCTTCGTCTTCAGCTTCATCTTTTGTCAGTCATCTCTTCCCCTCTAACCTTCAATATTAATGAACTTCTCAGCTCATGTTTTCTCTTGCCTCTGTGTTTGCCTACGTGGTTACGGCTCCTGTCTTTCCCCTTACTACAATCTGTTCTTCCCCTAATGTAAAGATCAATTGTTATTGTCAATACTTGAGTTGTGCTTTCAGCTAGATTCTAAGCTCTTTGAAAAGTAGTTCTTTTGTCTTAAAGCTGTATACCTACTAGCTGAAAAAACGAGGTTTCAATAGCTTTTGAATAAATGAATAATTTTAAACCTAGAAAGTTCTTTTTTAAGAGATTTAATAAATTTTTCATACAGTTATTAAGGCCCAATATTTTATTTAACTGTTTAATATATTTAGAATTTATTTGGGACCATGGTGTAAGATGGAGATCTAACTTCCTTTTTTTTTTTTTTTAAGTAAATGCTTTTGTAACCACATGTCAATCCTCACAGAAACATATTTTATTTGGATATTATAAGATTAGCAAATTGTTCAAGGCTTGTGCCCAGCCCATTTTCTCAAATAGGGCATGGAAAAGTTCTTCTTGGAGCCAGAGAGTAGAGGAAAGGAGCTCCCGGCCCAATCTCCCTGCCTGTGCTGGAAGGATGGATTTTTCTGTATACAGAAAAGGGTCATTTAGTCTATTTGTTAAAATATTCTGTTTGTCTATTCCTGTTCCAACGACATCATTGTATTCTTATAATGTTGTTTAGCCATTGATACGGTTATTCTCCCTTTTCTTCTCGCTTTTATCTTTTTTTTTTCAAAATTATTATTTTATTCTGTTCATTATATGAAAATTAACTTTGGAATCCTTTTCACAAGCTTTGTTCAAACTAAAATTAATTTAAAAACTCTTAAATTCTCCACATATTTTAGTTTTCTTACACAGAAACCTGAGAATTCCATTTATTTCTTTTATGTTTTAAGTCACTTAATAAGTTTAAAATTGTCTTAAACTTTGCACATCTCTGCTTAGAATTATTCTGAAACACCATGTACTTTAAAAACATGTAACTAGTTAAATTTTGATGAATTAATTCTTTTTGAACAAGTTTTATAACTTTATTATATATATCAGATAGTTTTATAAAATGCAGTATTTGAAGAGTATAGCACATCACTACCTTTTAATGTTTTTAATTATAAAAGTTACATAAGCTTTGATTGCAAATGAAAAATATAGTAAACTTTAAAATTTATGTCAATTAGAATTTTAAAAATCAGCCGGGCACAGTGGCTCACGCCTGTAATCCCAGCCCACTGGGAGGCCAAGGCAGGTGGATCACGAGGTCAAGAGTTCGAGACCAGCCTGGCCATGATGGTGAAATCCCATCTCTATTAAAAATACAAAAATTGGCTGGGCATGGTGGCGGGCACCTGTAATCCCAGCTACTCGGGAGGCTGTGGCAGAAGAATTTGCTTGAACCCATGAGGTGGAGGTTGCAGTGAGCCAAGATCACGCCGCTGCACTCCAGCCTGGGCGAGAGAGCGAGACTCCATCTCAAAAAAAAAAAAAAAAGAATTTTAAAAGTCAGTAGTTTCCTCTTCAATGGCAAATCGCTATATAGAGATAGAGATTGTAATAAAATAGAAATTAAGTAGATAGATTACATATAAAAATAGACAATTACCTGTCCATTTATAGTTCTTACATATAATCTATATGTTTACACAAAATGTGTATTTTACAAACACACTCACATAAAAACATACAAATGCACATGTGGAATTTATATCTGTCTATCTATCTATCATCTATTATATATGTTCTTTTCGTAAACCTATAACATTTTTAGGCCCAAATAAAATTGCAATGCTCAACCATCAAAACATAAATATCATTCTACATTAACACATAAAGACCTATCTCGTCTTTCAGCCACTGCATAAAAAGCTTTTGCTGATGTTGTTGTTGTTGTTGTTGTTGTTGTTGATGATCTGCCACAAAAGCACTTTACCTAGCCCACAAGAATTTGTCTTTGCACTCTATCACAAAATTGTCTGGAAGCGGAAAATAATCCTTACCAGTTAACTTTTGCTACTCTAAGGGAGAAGAAAAGTGGAATTTAGGAAAATCCAGGACATTAGAACACATTCAGAAAATATTTAAGAACTGTAATTAAATGTTAGTGAGCCAGTTCAATCCTGAAATCTAATAAGCTTTGAATTAGAAAGGAGGTCAAAGGGAATTACATTGTAGTAATCAAAATATATGTCTCCTTGTAAGAATTCAGGGATATGAGAATGAGGTGGTTTGTTAATTATTTTCTCTGATTAGGTTACCCATTTCTCCCCATGTACATTTAAATATTAATCAGAGATTCACTTTAGTACAGTATTATTCAAAAGGATAAAATGAGGGAAGAGTTCAAGTATAAGATAAACAGCCAGTGAACGTGGAAGATAAGTTTCCTGCTTATTAAATCTAGTATTTAATAATTACTAAATCTGCTTGTAAATTTTATGATAGGTCTTATTCTTGCTATCTTATAAACTGAACTTTATTTTTATAAAATTAGCTTTACATTTTTTGACAGAAATTTCAGATTCTTAAAATCACTAAATCTTCGATTTTTCAGGCTTACAATTATTTAGCTTTTATACTACCTAGTTTCTAACATACCAGAAGATTGGTATGAAGAGATAGAAAGAAAAGGTATAATTCTCTCTAATATATGCCTAATGTTAAATTACTGACATAATCATTTTAAAAAGTGTACCCAGATTTTTAAAATGCAAATCAGTTTTATTTTCATTAAGAAAAATAACCCTCTATACTAACCAATTTTAAAAGTTCAATTTTGCTCCCAAGAATCTTGAACTCTAGAGATGTCATTTCTAATTTAAAAAAAATAATTAAAATGCACTGTTAGTTATTACAAACAGACTGTCAAGGGTCATTCCACTTAAATTATTGAGTAGTAACAGAGTTAATTATTCAGAGTTTGTGTCTCTACAAAATATTTAAAATGTAACTCACAGTTAAATGAATTCATTACATTCTTTCTCAGATGATTTTTAAACTAGATGACAAAAGTGTCAAGAATTCCCGAATATGTATATTTGCAACTCTTGTATTATGTTTTTTTTTTTGGAAATCTTGCATTACGGAGTTTACAGAATAACTCTATCATAAGGTACGTTTATATTTGTTTGTAAACGACAAGGCAGTGAAACTCAAAAAAATTGAGAGGTAAAACAATGTTGTTAAATATTTTGCTTTAACTTTGTTCATATTTTAGTGAGTGAATATTGTTTCAAAACATTCTGGATCTAAGGTCCCAAACTTTTGAGACCTTTGTACTGTTTGTCTTGTGCTGGAATAAGGGTTAAAGAATGATGTAGAAAGAGAAGCCAACTCAGGTTAGAATACAGACAATTCCAAATTCATTTGCATATTCCAAAGGTGTATCTAGAGGCAAGAAATGGATAGTACAAATGAATCAGGAAAGAAGCACAGCTAGCAAGGAGCTTAAGGACATCTCAGACTAACATTTCATTTTGTGGTTGAGGAGACAAAGAAGTTAAGTGACTTGTCAAAGGTCCACCAACAAGTTAGCAGAAGAGTTGAGTTTAGAAATCAGTAACTACCAACATTTAGTGGGTAAAATCAGTACTTGTACTGAAAACTAACATTTTCAGAAAAGGTTGGCATGGAGAAACAGAGACCTTCCCTCGAAACCCTAGTAAATTATCCATAAAACCCTCTGAAAAGAAAATTTCTCAGTGATACTCATGAGTGTTAAAAATTGAGCATATCCCAGATTCTGGTAGAAGTTTCTATAATCACCTATATTAATGAGTGGAATTAAGAAATATTCACTCATCTTTCCTCTCTTGTCCCATCAAATATAATAGGTATAATTCAAAAGTACAACATTATAAAGTGAAACAGATTAGATATTCACAGTAGTTTCCACAATTCACAATTCACTGTATAAAATCCCAGGGTTACTTACAAATAAGTAATAAGAGATCATTTTAATTTGTAATGAAATTATCCTAATAAAAAGATCTAATAGAAAGACCTTAATAAACAAATCATCATCAGTACAATATAAATTTGCAATTTAGACAAAGGGAAATATAAATAGAAAACTAACATTGGAAAATGTCCAAATTTGATAATAATTACAGTGCATTAACCTCAAAATATATTATGCCTAGAAAATGAGCTTTTTGTAAATGACATTATGTGTTGCAGATAATTAATATCACTCGTGCAACGCTAACAGCAATGTAAATTGCCCTCCCCCAAAAAGTATATGTATATGTGTATATATGTTTGTAAGTGTATAATATATATGTATATATCAAGAGTTATTAAAATGCTTGTAACTTTTGACCTAGTAATCCCAGTTTTAAGAGCATGTCTTTCTTGAGATTTAGTAACCAGAACTATCTTTGATATTTTAAAGGGAGAAACACTTGTTAATATAAAAGGTAAAAATATGTTTTGTTTTCTTCCCTGATCATATCCAGATTTTTTTTGTTGTTGTTTTTGGTGTGTGTGTGTGTGTGTGTGTGTGTGTGTGTGTGTGTGTGTGTGTCTGTGTGCTTTGGACAAAGTCTTACTCTGTCACCTAGCCTGGAGTGCAGTGGCACAATCTCAGCTCACTGCAACCTGTGCCTCCTGGTCCAAGGGATTCTCCTGCCTCAGCCTCCTGAGTAGCTGGGACCACAGATGTATGCCACCACACCTGGCTAATTTTTGTGTTTTTAGTAGAGACAGGGTTTCACCATGTTGGCCAGGCTGGTCTGGAACTCCTGACCTCAAATGATCCACCTGCCTCGGCCTCCCAATACACCCAGAATTTTATTAGCTTTTAGGATTATGGAGACAACTTAGACTCATGTATTCTAAACATAACCCACAATGACTCCTAGGCCTTTAGATTACCTGGAACTTCCTCTTTACTAGCTTTAAACTGGTTCCCATCCACAGCAAAAGATTACAGCTTGTGACCATGTGATTTTCTCATACATGACACATTCTCACTGGCATACCCAGAGTTATTAGCAGTTTTCAGAACTCTGTAAGTTCTCCACTCCTATAAGTACTATAAGGACTCCACTCCTCTTTGTCAGACTCAAAAAATCATTTCATAATTCAAGAGAGTAAGGGTATTTATAGGTACAACACTGATTCAGCTCTAACATACAACAAACCTCAAACTTCAGTAAAGTATTATAAGTAACAAATTATTCAGAACACAAACAACAATGATTGTGACACATTAGCTTATCACAGCACTATGGATAAAAAGCTCTGATCTAGACCAGAAGCTGTTGTAAGAATATCTTGACAACATCTCTCACTGGAAGCCAGAGACACTGTACACCCAACTCTCTTGAACTATCACTCTTACTATTAGTAATAAAAATAATATGGCATTAATTAAGTGATCAATCTGTGACATCTCTGTGTTACTTTACATGTTTTAACTCATTGAATACTTATAGCTCTGTAGGTGATCGCCATTTTTCTCTTTATTTTACAAAGAGGAAATTGAGGCTTAGAGCATTTAGTAATTGCCCAAGGCTTAGTAAGCAGCAAAACCAAACACAAACACAGGGCTATCTAATGTCAAAGTCTGCTCTCTCAACTAGTGCTTTCCTTTACCACAGAAAATTGTTTTTAATATTTGAGAATGATTTACCTATGAAGTTTTCTATATGAAAAGTAATCTCTTTTTCCTTCCAGAACCCCCTGCTGCCCTTCCTAATAATATCTCACAATTTTGTAGATACTATGTATCTGTCCAGAAAAAGTGTATGCAAGTAAAAACTGCATGAGTATAAGTGTTTGTGTACTTTCAAAGTACAAATATGTTACAATATGCATTTTGTTTTGCATATTTTGTTTGAAAATATATCCATATCATCGTATATTGGACTACTCCCCTACTAACAGACAATTTCAGACTTTTGCTATTACAGACAATATCATGAATAGCCTACAAATGTAATTGCTAACAATGGGTGTCTTTCTAAAGGAAGAATTTCTGAGCGAAAGGTATAGGTCAAATTTTTTAGGTCAAATTACTTCAAAGCAATTATAATAATTACACACACTCCAACAATATATCATAATAGAATGCCTGTTTTTCCACAACCTCTTCTATACCAAATATTAAAAGACATGTTTAAAAACTGAATGGTAAGAGTAGTATTACATTGTTGCTTACCCTTGTGCTTCTTTAATTATTTGTACAGGATGAGGCGTTTTAGTATATGTTTAAAAGCTTACTTTTTCTTTTGACCTACGTGTTTTTGTCCTTTGCCCATTAGGCTGTTTGCTATTTTCTTGTCACTTGATAAAATCTCTTTACATATTAAAATTAACATTTACCTAAAATATGCTATAAACTGCTATTTTTGTAATGCAGGTTTATAAAATTCATCAAGTCAAATTTTATTATTTGTTATCTCTATGTTTTACTGTGTTTATACAGGGTATCCTCATGAGGATTAGGGAAAACATGTTCTCTCAATTCTCTGTCTTTCACACAACTTTTATATATACTTTATTTTATGTTTAAAACTTTGTTTTTAAATTTGAGAAATCTATTGTATAAATGCTGACCATAGTTAATAATACTTGCAAATCACCAAGAACATAGACTTCAGGGCCAGGCGCGGTGGCTCACGCCTGTAATCCCAACACTTTGGGAGGCCGAGGCAGGTGGATCACAAGGTCAGGAGATGAAGACCATCCTGGCTAACAGGGTGAAACCTCGTCTCTACTAAAAATACAAAAATTAGCTGGGCGTGGTGGTGCACGCCTGTAGTACCAGCTACTCGGGAGTCTAAGGCAGGAGAATCGCTTGAACCCGGGAGGCGGAGGTTGCAGTGAGCCGAGATTGCGCCACTGCACTCCAGCCTGGGCAACAAAGAGAGACTCCATCTCAAAAAAAAAAAAAATACTTTAGGTATTCTCATCATGAAAAAAAGATAATTATGTGAGATAATGCATATGTTAATTAGCTTGATTCAGTCATTCCAAGATAGATACGTATTTCAAAACACCAATGTTGTATACCATAAATATATACCATTTTAATTTGTCAATTTAAAAAACATTTCTTTAAAAAATTTGTTTTATCTGGGATATATTTTGGCATAATATGTGAAGTTGGTAAGGGATGTAATTTTTTTCTCTGATGGAATGCGAACCAAATGTCTACACACTATTACTGAACAAAATCTCTTCAACAATAATTTTTCATGTGAAAAAAATAACAAAACTATATGTGTGTGTTTTGGAGTACATTTGGATTCTGTTTCAACTTATCGATCTGTCTATTATGTACCAAATGTTACCAAACATTTTGTTATCTGAGACAGGATCTCACTATGTCAGCTGGGCTGGAGTGCAGTGGCATAATCATAGCTCACTGCAGCCTTAGACTCCTGGGCTGAGCCTCTGGCCTCAGCCTCCCAAGTAGGTGGGACTACAGGTGTGCATACCATGCCTGGATTATTTTTTTTATTTTTATTTTTTGTAGAGATACGATCTCCCTATCTTGCCCAGGCTGGTCTCAAACCCCTGGACTCAAGTGATCCCCCCACATTGGCCTCCCAATGTGCTGGGATTACTGGTATGAGCCACCTTGGCCAGCTGTAAACTTTTAAAATTCCTGTAGTTTTATAATATGTTTTAAAATCTGGTAGTATTCATTATTCTTCCCTTGTTAGTCTTTTTTATTACAATTTCCCAGGATAAATTCTAATATAATTATATATGATAAACTATAAACACATTTTATATATAGATACATGTTTATTATATTTATTTATAATTTAGTAGCTTTAAGTGTATTCAAAAGGTTGGACAAACATTACCAGTCTCTAATTTCAAAACATTTTCATCAGTCCTCAAAAAACCAATATACATTAACAGTCATGCCCGACCTCCCTCCCCTTGCCTCTGAAAAATACTAATCAATATTCTTTCTCTATTAAATTTTCTCATTCTGGACATTTCATCTGAAGGGAATTGTACAATATTTTGTGTGCATGTGTGTCTTGTTTCACTTAGTGTAATGTTTTCAAGGCTAATCCATGTTGTAATAGGTATCAACACTTCATTTTTTTATGGCTGAATGATATTCTATTATATGAATATAACCCATTTTCTTATCCATATGTTAGCTGATGGAAATACAAATTATTTCCACTATTCAGTTTTTATGAACAATGCTATAGACATTGTTACATATTTTTTCATATGAACATGTATTTTAAATGCTCTTGGGTACATGTTCTAGAGAGAAATTGCTAGATCATATGGTAACTCTATGTTTGTCTTTATGAAAAACTGCTAAACATTTTCCCAGAGCAGTTGGCCATTTTACATTCCAACCAGTAATACATGAGATTTCAATTTCTCCACATCTTCACCAACACTCGTTACTTTCTGCCTTTTTCATTATAGCCATTGTGGGGGATGTAAAGCATTGTCTCATTGTTTTAAATTGCATTTTCCTAATGACTAACGATGTTGGACATTTTTTCATGTGCTTATTGTTCGTTTATATATCGTCTTTAAAGTAACATCTATTCAAATCCTTTGCCCATTTTTGATTGAGTTTTCATTGTATTGTTGCTGCAGTGTAAGAGTTCTTTATATATTCTGGATACAAGACCCTTATCTGACATATGATTTGTAAACATTATCTCCCATTCGATGAATTGTCTCTTCACTTTCTTGATAATGTCTTTTGAAGCACAATGGTTAATTTTGGTGAAGTCTAATTTATTTTTTCTTTTGTAGTTTGTGCTTTTAGTGTGATATCTAATAGTCCATTGCCTAATACAAGCTCATGAATATGTTTTCTTTTAAGGATTTGATAGTTTTAGCAGTTGCATTTGTGTCATTGATCACTTTTAGTTAATTTTTGTATGTTATGTCACGTAGGCATTCAACATTATTTTTTGGCATGTAAATTTCCAGTTGTCCTATCTCCATTTTTTGAAGAGACTATTGTTTCTCACTTGAATTGTCTTGGTGCCCTTGTCAAAATCAATTTATCATGAATATATGAGTTTTTCCCCCCACTGGACTCTAAATTCTATTTCATTAATCTATATATCTATTCTTATGTTAGTACTGTACAGCTTTAATTACTGTACCTTTCTAGTAAGTTTTGAAATTGGAAAGTGTGGGTCATTCAGCTGTGTTCTTTTGTTGTTAAATTTTCTTTTTTGCATATTTTAGGTCTCTTGAATTTTCATCTGAACTTTATTATCAGCTTGTCAAGGTCTGCAAAAAAAAGACAACTGGAATTTTGTTAGGACTATGTTAAATATGTAAATCAATTTGTGGAGTATTGCCATCTTACATATATATTAAATCTTTCAATCCATGAACATGGGATGTCTTTCCAATTATTAAGGAATTCTTCCATTTCTCTCAATAATGCTTGTAGTTTTTAGTGTACAGTCTTGTATCTCTTTTGTTAAATGTGTTTCTTAGTACTTTATTATTTTTAAGCTATTGTTAATGAAATTATTTTCTTATTTCACCTTCTGACTGTTGTTTGCTAATGTATAGAAATTAAACTAATTTTTGTATATTAACCTTGTATCTATCCTATAACCCTGTTGAACCCATTTAGTAGTTTGAATAGCTACTGAGGGATTTCTTGGGGCTTTCTATATAAAACATCATGTCATCTGCAAATTGACATAGTTTTACTTCTTCATTTCCAATCTGGACACCTTTTCTTTCTTTTTCTTGCTTAGTTGCCCTGGTTTGAACTTCCAGTAAAATGCTAAATAGAAGTAGCAAAAACAGACATTCTTATCTTGTCCCTGACTCCAAATATTTCAGCATTTGTTTGATGTTTGATGTGAGTTTGCCATAAATATACTTTATTTGGTTGCTAAAGTTCACTTGTATTTCTGGCTTTTTAAGTGTTGTTTCTTAAAAGTGTGTTGTATTTTGTAAAATGCTTTTTCTGTTTCTACTGAGATGATCATGTGGTTTTTGTTCTTTATTCTTTTAGTGTGCATTGATTTTTTAATGTTGAACCACCCTTTCATTTGTGAGATAAAGCCCACTTGATTATGATAGATAATCCTTTTTTTCTGTTGTTGTATTTGGCTTGCTAGTACAGTATTTTGTTGAGGATT
This sequence comes from Homo sapiens, assembly GCF_000001405.40. Classification (NCBI taxonomy): domain Eukaryota; kingdom Metazoa; phylum Chordata; class Mammalia; order Primates; family Hominidae; genus Homo; species Homo sapiens. The sequence continues at coordinate 75,498,643 of NC_000008.11, read as the reverse complement.
TTTTGCACTTATATTCATAAGATTGCTGGTCTGTCAATTTTTTTTCTTTTGATATCTTCATCTGGTTTTGTTATCAGGGTAATATTGGCCTCATATAATAAGTTGTGTTTCCTTCTTTTCAATTTTTGGAAGTGTTTTCAAAGGATTTGTGACAATTTGTCTTTAAATACTTGCTCGAATTCACCAGTGAAGTCATATAATCCTGGACTTGTTTTGCGGGAATGTTTTTGATCACTAATTTAATTATCTTACATATTATAAGCCTATTCAGAGTTGCTATTTTTACTTGAGTCAGATTTGATACTTTGTGTCTTCCTAGAAATTTGTCCATTTCATCTAAGTTATCAAATTTGTTATGAAACTTTACTGTTCCTAGTGGACTTTCATTGCTTTTTTGTTCCTTGTTAACTTCAAACAAGTTAATAGAAGACCCAAAAATTGGATATGGGCTTTGAATAATATACCTCAAAATGAAGAGACATAATTAGAAAAATATTATTTATTTAGAGAAATTTGATTTATATATAATGTTGCTGAAATAAGAATATATGTATCTCTTGCATTAAGCATATCTTTTTTTTGTCTTGTGTGCCGACAGGGATTCTATGGTGGAACTTAAAAATTCTAAGTGTCCCAAATGTCCTAGCATTTGCCTGTGGTATGAATACTTCAAATTTATTTTAAAAATTTCAGTAGGGTCTCTATTAATATGTATACTATATTAATCATATTCCAATTAATTTTGTGTAGTGTTTATACATTTTTTGAAACATTTTACAACAAAATCAAAGACAGGATAATATTAAATGCAATTTAAGTTTAGTTTCTAAACTGACTTACCATATTATAGCATAAGAATGTTCTTTTAATTAAAAAAAATTCTAGGAATCTTATAATGATTTGCTCGTCTTCAGCAGCTACATGAAACCATTTTATCTATTTTTTTTTTTTGAGGGGGTGGAAATGGAGTCTTGCTTTGTCACCCAGGCTGGAGTGCGGTGGCATGATTTTGGCTCACTGCAACCTCCGCCTCCTGGGTTCAAGCAATTCTCCTGCCTCAGCCTCCCGAGTAGCTGGGATTACAGGCGCCTGCCACCACACCCTGCTAATTTTTGTATTTTTAGTAGAGACGGGGTTTCACCATGTTGGCCACACTGACCTCGAACTCCTGACCTCGTGATCTGCCCGCCTCGGCCTCCCAAAGTGTTGGGATTACAGGCGTGAGCCACCGTGCCTAGCCAAAACCATTTTACCTTTTCTTCAATACATTATTAGGTGTATTATATATTGTACTTTATACCTCTTTTAATTTCTCTGCAGTACCTAGCCCTCTCCTGGTCTCTATGTGTCCAGCAGTTATGACTTCCTTTTACAAGGAATCAGATGTGGTGTCCTCTGCTTGACAAAATTAAATGTATTTTAATGACCCAAAAACACAAACACGAACACAAACACCCACCTTTTCTGCCAATAGAGAAAACAGACTTTGTTTTAAAACAGAGATAATACACAACCCTGTTTGGTTCTTAGTCCTCAAGCCCTTCTCATCTACACAGCATTTATATACCCCCATCAAAGCTAGTGAGAAACAAGCCAAGGGCTGTAGCCCCTACTCAACTAGGTTTTTCTGAATCATAGGGCATTGGAACTGAGGAAATATCTTTTCTGCAACAAAATTTGCATTTTGTTGTTAAGATAATGTTTCTAAATCTAGTAGACACTGCTGCTCTTCATTTTTCCAAAAACTGCATTTCTCATAGTCACAAAACTTTAGACAGTCATCAGAGACATAGCACAACCTATCTTTACATATTTTAATGCCATATATATATATATATAGTAATAATGTATTTGATGCTGCTTCGTTATAATTTCTATATATGCTTCTATGTTTTCTATGTCTTTTTCTCCACTTGTCTGGTTATAGTCTTATTAATTTTCATGGAATAAAAACCAAATATTATAGGAGCTCCTTCATGACAACCAGTTATGTTCTTGAGCTTTGTAGAGAGATTCTTTTTTTAATAAATTAAGTGGTAAGAAGAGATGCAAGATTAAGAAATCCAAGATTTTGGAGTAAATCCCCTCTGAAAGTTGTGAGATGGAGAATTCTGGTGGCTGTTTAAAATAACTAGGAGTTTGAAAATGCCCTGAGAAAAACTGGTAACGTCAAGCTTTTGAGTGAGCAGTTAAGGTTTGACAGACTCAGGAAAAATAAACAAAAAGACCTCCAGTGCCATGAAGTTAATGTAACATCCACTGAGTTGAAAAAAAATATATTATATTAAGATATATTCAGGAAGCTGCTAGAACCCTGCCAGTAGGTATCAGGAAAAGCTCATGACAAGAAAAAAAGAATAAAGGATAACCGTGACTAGAATAGTATTTTTTAAAAACCAATTATCTTTAAGAAGTACATTTTACGGTAAATTTTGTTTACTCTTCTTGCAGAATAATTTTCTGGATCTCCTGGATCTCTCAAATTTTTTGCATATTACTTATATTAAAATTGGATTTAAATATACACTACTTTTAAAGAAGTAACAGATTTTAAAATATTAGTTTTGATATTACTTTTTTCCCATAGATATTTTGTCATTCAATTATTAGATATTAGTAGTACCTGCTCATAACTATAATACAGTAGCTCACAAAATTTAAAGACTTTGTTGAAGAGGGAGAGAATAAATAATTGATCAATAATAGGGACAAAATAATATAGAAATATTGATATTGTTCCATTTCTTTATTAAGGTAAGGGCTATATTGTACCTATTTCAGTATTATTCTTTATACTGCATATGTAGTGTGTATGTTTGTATCAAATATTTTATTATACAAAATTAAAAGTGCCAAGGCGGGCAGATCACTTGAGGCCAGGAGTTCGAGACCAGACTGGCCAACATGGTGAAATTTCGTCTCTACTAAAACTACAAAAATTAGCCAGGCCTGGTGGGACGGGCCTGTGGGCTCATCTACTTGGGATGCTGAGGCACAAGAATTGCATGAACTCGGGAGGTTGAGGCTGCAGTGAACCAAGATCGCACCACTGCGCTCCAGCCTGGGTGACAGAGGAGACTCTGTATTTAAAAAAAAAAAAAAAAAAAATTAGAAGTGTTCTGTCTTTATGTATGTTATCACACTTGCCTCATACAAGTTCCAAAGTTGACAGAATGCTCAGGCAGAGACAATTAAATGTCAGGATCCTGTTAGCTCCTCAGCACAGTGAATTCTGAGGCCTACAGAAACATTACAAGTTAGTAATCCAAAGTCTTCTTTAATATAATAATAACTTCCCATCCTTAACATCTATAGAAAATGTGATAATAGTGAATGCCATCACATGGGGATATTAAACATGGAAACTTCAGAGATATTACACCTGTATTAAAGTTTTCTATATGACTCTGCATGATACGAAATACCATTGTTGGTGATTTCAAAGATGACACAATGAGAAGAGTAGGAGGATACTAGTTTAAGTTTTAGGAACATAGTCTGTGAATCAGTTGCAAAAGCATAAATAGAATAAGCAAAAGTCATTGTGTTCCAAAATCTCTGCCATTTTTTCTCTCCTATCATATTCATCTTATTCTGTCTTCAGTGTTTTGTTATTTGATAAGATATACCAGTGTACTACTGGCATCACTTACACTTACTAATTGATGGAGACCAAACTATGAAACTATATAGTTTCCTTAACACCAAAAACATCACCTTGCTTATAGATAGCAGGTCATAATTCAAAGTCAATTTAAATAAACACTGTTTTTGTTACCTTTTTAAAGTAGAGATGTTTATTGTTAAATAAATATATTTTTCTATAATTGTATAATTATAATTGTATAAAATGTATAATTTTAGTGCATGTTTATTTCTACATATGCTATTACTAGTATTATCTAAAAGTTAATCCTTTCAAATACTACATTTTGCCACCATTCATTCATTCAAAAAAAAATAATGACCACTTATTATGTTCAAGGCAGTAATCTAGGCGATAATTTCAAGAACTAATAAACCACAATACTGGTCCTTGATAAGATTGTTTCTAAATGCACATGATTCATAATATTTTAATGTGTAATCTTTATTTATTACGTTCAATAAAAACAAATTTAATCCTTAGTCTGGAGCAGAATTCTCAATGGTCACAAATTAAAGCCCAATTTATGCAACTGTAATAAAAGACCTTATTAATGTTCATCTCATTATTTCAGGCAATAAAAATGACTTAAATTTTCACGTATCTATCACATGATTTTTTCTTGGTCTCCTTGTGTATTGTCAACCTGTGTGTGTGTGTGTGTGTGTGTGTGTGTGTGTGTGTGTGTGTGTGTGTGCTGTATGGGAGAGCAGTAGCTTTTTTCCTTACTCTGTGTAAAAATAACACTTTGTCTAATTTTATTGTCATTTATTTCATGCTGCTTGTGAATGTATTGAATACATGTTTATAATCTCATTAACTGTCTTCTCTTTGCAGGAAGGTTTGATGTTTTAGACAACTTTGATTTCTCTACAATTGTTTCGACAAAGTATGAACTTAGTAAATTTTGTGAATGAACTGTAAGTTTATAATCATTCAGCTTTCCTAATATATACTATTACTATTTGAAATAGCAATACAATGCTGCTCAGAGATATCACATTGGAAAAATATTAATATATGGAGGGTAGATTCTATTATTTGGCATTGATGTATATGTCTGCAAATTTGCTTTCAGTGGAAAATGTAACAACAGAGAAAATTAAAGAAAATGTACCCCCAATTGCTTGGGACAAATTTTTAAACATTTTTTTTGAAAAAGAATAACAATTAAAACATAATCAGGCTTAATAAAATTAACAAGTTCAGCAAAAAAGTTTTCTAATTGTTATATATCATCATCAGTAGGAATTATATATGCTTATCAAACATTGTTTAAACAGGTAAAAAACACTATGAAGCTTACATAAGTTGATTTTAAAACACTATTGTAAAAATAGATAAAACAGAAAATTTAAAAATATACTTTTTTAAAAAAAGAAATGCAATTAGTAAACAAATATATAGAAAATTTTCATACTAAACTTAACATTATAAACAATTTTTTTTAACTTTTCCAACTAGCATTTTATTATTTTTCAATTACAATACCAAGTATTGATAAGAATGCAGTCAAATGGACAATCTCTTACACTTTTGTTGGAAATATCCATGGTATAAACATTTGGCAAAGCTATTTTGCTGTATATACCTTTATAGCTTTTGCCTCAATGATTCATTCTGTGAGAAAGAAAGCACGCCTTTTTCTAAGCACTCTTCAGGATGGGGAAGCATGTGTCCAACCAGCCTCCATTTCTTCCCAGGACATGAAACTCAATCTACTCAGTACAGTTCAGTCTAATAGTTCCTTTCCCTCCAGATATATACCTTGCTGTCTTTTCTAAAATTGTTTAACACAAATTTGGTCCACTCCAATGATGAGATTTTCCCTTCTTCCCAAATTTTACTAAATATATATAAAATAAGGTAGATCTACATGTTTTCAATACATATTTTTACACATATTTAAGCATTTTATGATTCATATGTATATGACTACATACATATTTATGTGTGTGAGTGTATATATATATATATATATTTCAGTCATATTCCAACTCTGTTCCCTCATGCATTTCTTGCACAAAGTCATGTGCAGACTTCCACTTGTTTTTTGTGTCAAACCAATCTTATTGTTCAGAGAACTGCACTCTCCCTGCTCCAAAAAGGGAAAAGGCAGAGAGTGCTTGGATGAGAAGTTTTTCTTTCACTTTTTCTCAGGAGAAATCAGCCTCCTTGCTTATAATTCAAAGCCAGAAATATCTTTCTGGCCTTCCTTGAGTGGTTTCTGTGAGGGTAGGATGAGCCACTGTGTAAGGTCAGCTGGGATGGATAGAAAATAAAAGTAATGGACTTCAGTGTGACTCAGGACAAATCATTGTAACCCCCTCTAGGCTTTGGTTCTTCTCTACAAAATGAGGATAAAGAGACCCATCTCATAAAATTGCTTTGAGGAATAAATGAGATAAATTATGTGCAAGTGTTATGTAATCTACAAAGAAGTTGTGGTGAAGGCCATCATTATTGGTGAGAATGGGACACATATGTGAAATGTGCAAACATAGGGGGGTCACAATAATGCTCCCATCTGGTGCTTAGACTGTGCATTTTATCTGAAAATACTCTGCTTTAACCAGCCTTTGGCTTCTCCTTTAATCTTTCATTAAGATTCTTCCCTCTCCTACAGGTTTCTAGCTGAATAGTTTTACATTAAACAGTTATTAAACCAGAGAGCACTCTATCTGATCTCAGACACTACTTAGGGTAATGCATACTATCAAAACTGAAAGGATTTAGAAGAGGAGGAAACAAGTAGGTAGTAGTAAGAGTGACTAGATCAGTGTGGGGCGGTGGCATTTGAACTGGGCCTTGAAACATTGGAATAATGTAAAGAAACAAGCATTTCAAGCCAGGAATTGAGTATGAAAACAGGTGTAGAAAACTCATCTTAAAAGCGATTACCTTCAGTATGTAAGGAAAAAATGAAATGAAGTCATAGCAATATGTGCTGGCACAAAGCAGTCTACAAGAAAACCAGCACAGCTCTGGAGTAAACCTGGCCTGGAGAGGATATTATTGAAACAGATTTCAAGCTTATGGCTAAGGGCCTCACTGTCTAAAACCACTTGTTTGGGGCAAGCATTGTTCTTTGTGTGCCCATCTCTTAACCACAGTGGCCTGTCTAGACATAGCTGGACTCTTCTGCTTATAAGTCTTCATGGTCTAATCCTTAGTCCTCTAAGCGACTTGCATTTCCCATTTCAATGAGAATTACAGTGATCTGGCCTGACGCGGTGGCTCACGCCTGTAATCTTAGCACTTTGGGAGGCCAAGACGGATGGATCACCCGAGGTCAGGTATTTGAGACCAGCCTGGCCAACATGAAGAAACTCCTTCTTTACTAAAAATACAAAAATTAGCTGGCTGTGGTGGCATGTGCCTGTAATCCCGCTACTTGGGAGGCTGAGGCACGAGAATTGCTTGAATCCCCAGGAGGCAGAGGTTGCAGTGAGCGGAGATCGCACCACTACACTCCAGCCTGGGCAACAGAGCCAGATCCTGTCTTAAAAAAAAAAAGGAAAGAAAAGAAAAAGAATTATAGTGATTTTAGAAGTGTGTTTTTGTGCTTCTCAAATTTCTATGACCTAAAAAAATTGCCTATAAGATACTATGATTTTAGTGTATAATTACTCACTACATTTTTTATTCTCAACATGTATTTATTGGTATTGTATAAAATATAATTATCATAAAAGTAAATCTTCAAGTAAAAAAATTTTGTATCAGTAACATGTTGCAAACATCACTGATACCTAATATATGCCCGTTCTAACACTCCAAATATACCACATTTATTCTTCCAATAATCCTTGGGATAGATGTTATTACTATTATTATTACTACTTCATTTCATAGTAGAAGTTGATGTTTATGAGGGCTAATTTACTTGCTTAAAGTCATAGAACTCATAAATGGCAGAGACAAGATTGAAAATCCTGTACTTTCCAAACACAAACTAATGAATTTTGAGGGATGGATGAGAGGAGTAGCTTCTTGGATTTCCAAACTATAAGAGGCACTGAAATAACTCTGGACCTAAATCACCAAATTTATACTAGTGCTGAGCTGACTAATATAGGAAGCTAAGAGAGGGAGACAGGAAAATGCAAATTATTAAGCGAAGACGTTTTCTATTGAGTATTTTATATGTGAGTATATGGTTTCAGTTAGCTAAAAGTGAACAATCGCAATCTGCTCAAATTGTTTTGTTTACTGGACAAAAAATATTGTTTTCATTATCTACATTATGAACATTTTAAAAATTCTTCAGAAAATCACAAAATAAAACCTAAGTAAGAAGAAATAATCAAGAAAAGAGAGAAAACACTTGCCATCTTTTTCAGAACATTGACTCTACCACATAAGTGCAAATAAAGATGTGCATTTGCTCTGATAAACAGTTTTTATTAATAGAAACTCTTTCCCATCATTAAATAAATGTTCTTTAAATACTTCAAACTTTCTAATTTGAGAATATGCTAATTAAGTGCCCAGTGCCAGGCTCCAAACGTGCATATAAACATTTATGATATTTTATAAGCAATAGATCAGAAATAAAAACCAATGACAAAAGGCATAGTCATAATATGGGCAAGGAAGATCATATTTGCAATAAAAGATAGGAAGGAAAGGATTTCATAAGGAGGTTGTGGTCAGTGTACACTTTGAGACCTTTTAGTATATACGAAAGCACAAGCAAGTCAGACAAGAAGAAAAGAGGTCTTTACAAGGTGTCCAAGTAATAAATAATTTACAAAGCAATTTAGCAGCCTCAGCGGGCACCACTTACAAGGCTGTGGTAGGGAACGGAGTCTATATTTGTAGAGAAGAGTAGAATCAATACAAGGAGTAAGCTGTCAGTTTTTTCTGTAGTGTCAATATCTCAGACTGGCTGCTTTCGCTGGTGCTCCTGTGGAAACAATTTCCAAAAGTATACTATTGAGTGACATGCTGCATAGATTAAATGATTTACTTTTATCCCCTAACTGCATGTTGAAAGACCAATAGCCCAAAAGGAGTCCTACAGAGCCTGAGGACAAAGCAACCCATAATAACAATGTGATTTTGGAATGGTTTATACTTAAGAAAACTCTAGTGCCACAGGAAGTTCCACACAGAACAACAAGTCAACATGAAATAAGCGGTCATGTCATGATAGACATAATATCTGGCTACCAGGAGGATCATTCACAATGTTGAGAAATCTGACTAAATAGATTTATTGGCCAGATTTTTCATTTGTAAGTCATCAGATAAAATGGTGATTTCACCTTGGAAGAGCAATGAGCAATCTAAACTCCCTTTTAGTTTGCACCTGTGTGTATGACCCCATGTACAATTTTTTGAAGTGTCTTATAAAACTCAACCATGGTCTTAGCACTAAATAATTAGGTAGTTTAAATCCTTATTAAATCAGAAAGTTATAGAGTTCAATTGAATGTAACTATAAAGCAGTAGGCAAATTCAGATACAAGTATAACAGGAAAACACTCCATCTGAGCCATGGAGGTAGGTCAAAAAGGTTGGCTCTTCAACACCATTGCTATGTGACTTCAGTTTTTTAAATGAGAAGATGAGGTTCAGTTTATCTCTGGTCTCTTCCAGCATTAATAATTCCATTATTATAAACATCAATTACTGTTTAGTGTTAGAGCAGATAAATAATTTGTGAGATATTGACATGTGTAGGAATATTTGCCCTTAAATTGAAAGGCATCAAACCATTGAGATAAAGAACTAAGATGCTAATACATTTAAAAATAAGTTTCCTTCACAGCACAGATTCTGCCATTTAGAAGCACTCAGGTAAAATTTGGAAGGTGGAAGAAAGGCAGGACCTTTACCATTCCTCCAGTAACTGCAGGTGAATATATGCGTGGCTCCAACAAATATGAGATGCTATTGTGGCTTCTGGGTTATTTTTCTGGAATTCAGCCACCTCCATATTGGAGGCCTTTTCTTTGATCAGTGCTGGGAGCTTCTTGACTCACCAAAGTGAGCGGTGAGCCTAAAAGCTAACAGTGGTCTTTCCTGAATTCTATTTCTCCAGGTCTTCCATTAGTTTTGTGAGCATTTTGTTCCTGGAATTAAATCCCTCCTACTTCAAACTCCTGAAGTGTTTTCTGCTTTTCTGACCAAACCGAGGATGAAACAGTGCCTTTTCATACTTTTTAATAGACAGAAAACATCACACTCCTTATATTCATTTTTTAAATTTGAGGAAATAGAATGAGAAAGGCTATCAAAGATACTGAGATAAAGGCTACTAAGAATGGCTGATCCATACTGTCCCTGTGTAAATCGCAGTTCTCTCATCTGTAAAATGAAGAATTTGCTATATTAATCCCTAAAGTCTCTAATGCTTTAAAGTCCTAAGAAAGATTGTATTGTTCTAAGCTTATTGTCCAAAACGTCCAATGAGGCCGGGCATAGTGGCTCATGCCTGTAATCCCAGCACTTTGGGAAGCTGAGGTGGGCAGATCACTTGAGGTCAGAAGTTCAAGACCAACCTGGCCAACATGATGAAACCCTGTCTCTACTAAAAATACAAAAAAAAAATAGCCAGGCATGGTGGCACACGCCTGTAGTCCCGGCAACTCAGGAGGCTGAGGCAGAAGAATTGCTTGATCCTGGGAGGCAAAGGTTGCAGTGAGCCAAGAACACGCCACCGCACTCCACCCTGGGCAACACAGTGAGACTCCATCTCAAAAACAAAGTAAAACAAAACAAAACAAAAAAAGTCCAATGACCAATTTTGTCAAATTACATTTAACAACAGTGATTTCTAAACTCCCTAATAAGTGGCCCTTGTTTCTGGAGTCCAAAGACATAAAGAAAAATATAAAGCATGGTTCCTACCCTCAAGGAGTGATATGGTTTGTCTGTGTCCCCACCCAAATCTCATTTTGAATTGTAGTTTTCATAATCCCCACATGTCATGGGAGGGATCTGGTGGGAGGTAATTGAATCATAGGGATGGTTACCCTCATGCTATTCTCGTGATAGTGAGTGAGTTCTCAAGAGATCTGATGGTTTTATAAGGGGCTTTTCCCCTTTTGCTTGGCACTTCTCCTTGCTGCTGCCAAGTGAAGAAGGCCGTGTTTGCTTCCCCTTCCACCATGATTGTGAGTTTCCTGAGGCCTCCCCAGCCTTGAGGAACTGTGAGTCAAATCTCTTTCTTTTATAAATTACCCAGTTTCAGGTATGTCCTTATAGCAGTGTGAGAATGACCTAATACAAGGAGTCAATCTTTGTGGAGGGAAATAATGATCATCTTAATTAGCATGAACAAGTGAGAAAAGAAATTATTCTAATTCTAGTTAGTCCTGAAATTCAGAGGAAAATTCATAATTGAGAACTGGAGTGATCATGAAACTGGGTCTAAGCTGGGCTTTAAAGGATAGATAAATTTTGATTGGTAGGCAAAAGAAAAGAAGACTTTTGGGTCAAAGAAAGGCAAATAATTAGTGTTTGAAAGGATATGTGAGAAGTGTGATTGGATAGTAAGAGTGGGACTATTTTATGGAGGGTTTGGAGAGAGCTAGACAGAAAATTTCAGATTTGTTTACATGAATGATTGGAAGCCATTAAAGATTTGTTGAGCAGATCAGTGATATTACGTGTACAAACCAAATAACAAATATAAAAGATCAAATATGTGTCTATCCCGAAATTCTTAAACATGGCAGCTTCTAGAGCCAACGGCATGTTAAACTTAAAAACAAATAAATAAATAAAATAAAAAAATATAAGAATCGCTGATCTACACATACAATTACATGTAAAAGAAAAACCTGTCTGCAAGTTGGCAAAAGGAGCCTGTCCCAAGGTAAATACTGTTATAGTGGAATATAAAGGTTGTCAAAATGAGTTTTAAAGCATTTATATTATTCAGAAATGAGTAAAAAACTGGGTTTTTAATATTTGCCAATTTTTAAATTGTTGAAGTAAGTGGGATTTAACATTACCTAGTTTTTTCTTATCATTTTTTTTTAGACAGGGTCTCGCTCTGTCGCACATGCTGGAGTGCAAGTGGTGTGATCATGGCGGCTCACTGCCGCCTCGATCTCCCAGGCTCAAGTGATCCTCCTGCCTCAGCTTCCCGCATTGCTGAGACCACAGGCACATGCCACCACACCCAGCTAATTTTTTATTTTTTGTAGAGATGGGGTCTTGCTCTGTTGCCCGGGTGGTCTCAAACTCCTGGGGTCAAGAGATCCTCCCGGCTCAACCTCCCGAAGCGCTGGGATTACAGGCATGAGCCACCATGCCTGGCTACTCAGTTTTTAAATTCACTTTTAGAAAGTGAAATTCCAAAATCAACTATAAACTTTCAGCATAGAAAATTTTTGTTTGTTTGTTTTTTGCCTGAATTTGGTCAGCTTCCATCTACAAAGGTACAGATGAACTGAAATTGGTTTCTACAAAAGAACTATAGTAATTATTACTAATTTAACTAAAGTGTGAAATACTCTTAGGCAAGGACTATTGTTTATAGGTATCTTATTTTCTTCCTAAGGGCTTAGCTTACTACTTTGTACATAACACAGATTCAACATGTATATGATCAATGAAGGAAAAAGAAAGATGGCCAAATCAAGTTACTCAAATCTGGTTATTAAAATATAACAAAAGGTACTGCTAAGGTTCAACCAGAAAGCATGTTGAGGTCTCTATAAGAGGGACAATGGAGACTTATACTTTAAGACATGCAGAAAACTTAAGGGAAAATTATTTGGCCAAGGCTGATCGTAGGGACAATGTCCTTAGGAAGGACAGCTAGTTTCATTTGTAAGGTTAAGGTCAAGAAGTCAAATGTGATGGTCAAGAAAGAAGAGCTAGAAATTAAGAATCCAGTTAAGGCAGGGACTGTAATTCATTCAGTCATTCATTCATCTGTAAGTCTGGCATTAAGGCCTGAATAAAACTGGGCCCTATATAATCATTCAGGGCTCACATCTGATGCTTTGGATGAAGGATATGGTTGGCAGCTAGAGCAGACCTAGTAGGGAAGCTAGTGTCTGCAACAGCCAGTAGAATCTGTGTCGGCAGTATGACTTAACTCCAAAGACTACCAAATGCTGTATCTCAAAATACATGCCCCTGTACCATCAAAATTATCTAACAAACTAGGGCAATCTGAGCCCAGAGTTTTTCAGGGTCCTTGCTCATTTGTACTTACTTCAAGAGCAGGGACGGTCAAGGCAGCAATCACTGGAAGAAAAACCAAAATAAAAAGTATAAGAGGAAATCTATAGAGATAGATTTTAAATTATGTTTTACTTTGGTGAGTTTGAGGAACAAAATTAATTTTTGAAAGGCAAGTTTATCTTAAATATTGAAGTTTGAAATAAATAAATTAGGTATCTTTAAAACTGGATGGTATACATTTGATTGCTAATCAGTATTAGTGATAGGAAAATGTCAAAAAGCATAAAAGCTATACATAGAAAGAAATATATTCAATCAGCTCAAAACTTTAATTAACAGTTTCTATGGTATAGGCTTAATGTAGCTACTTATTCTGCAGTTTTTTACATAGAATTTTACATTGAACATTATTAAAATATATTTATGACATTGATTTTGGGTTAAATTGTTCAGAAAAATTAATTGCAAATTGTGTGCCAATTCACAAGATAGTGATCAACTTTTCTCTTTTGATGAGTGGAAACTCTTTGGAATTTGATGTCAAAATATTCACACTTGAAACCTAGCTCCAACATGCTTTAATGGTTTTCTTCCTTTTTATAGAAAATGATAAGTACTTGGTATAGGGAATTTGTGAAATGTAGAATTGTGTGAAAAAAATAAGAACCAGTGCAATTCTACCACCATTTCCATTTTTATATATTTTCTTCAGAATTTAACATGTTTATAAATTTATTAACAAATTAATATAAAGATTTGTAATATTTCTGCATATTTGACCTACAAAGTTGACCATTTAAATATAGTTATCTTAGTTACATTCAGTACAACCACTTACAATTGGCGGCTAAGAGCTTGTGCACAACATTCAGAGACGTCAGGTTTACATTGGAGCTGTCCGCCTACTGTATAACTCTGGCCAATTTTCTTCCTTTACAATTTAGTTTCCTTATCCATAAAATGTAATAAATATGGTTTCTACTTCATAAGTTTTTGGTGGAGTCTCAATGAAATTATGTCAAAAGTGCTCAGAGAGTGCCTTGCAATTCACTCATTTGTTCATTTCCTCAACAAATGTTTACTGAGCTCATTCTATGTCCCAGTCACTGGGGCAGGCATTGAGTAAACAAGGACACAGTTACTGCTTCAGTGAAGCTGATAGTCTATTGGGGAGGACAGACATTTGAAAGATACCACAAGGTGATTAATTATAATCATAATATATACCATGAAGGAAAATTAGAGTTTTGTGAGAACATGTAACTGGGGAACATAATGTGGCTGAAGTGGTCCTGCAGATCAGCAAAGGCTTTCCTGAGAAAGAAACACTTAAGCTGGAACCTGAAGAAGTAGCCAGGCAAAGAGGATGGCCAGGAGAATTCCAGGGAGGCCCTTGAGATGGGCAGAAGCCTTGTGCACTGGAGTACTCTGGCTCAGAACTCAAAGGTTGTTTCCACAATTGCAATCAGAAGGACTATACATTTCTAAATATCACTCTTTTCAATTATTATTAACCAGAGAGCTTTTTTCCATTTTCCATTTTCCATTTTACTGAAAACATGATTCGTAATGACTGTTTATTGCTCATCATGAAGATGTACCACACTATACTTAGCCATTCTCCTATTTAGTCATGTGATTCATTTCTAACAATTTCTATTTAAAGAAATGCTGAGCTAAACATTCTAATTTACTTAGAATTCTTCTTAATGACACGTTGGGTCAAAAGGAAAATATATTGCCAATTTTGCCATATTTTCTTTCATTAAAACAATAAAAATTTACGTTCTGAAAAGCAGCCATCTACTTGGCTTCCCTAACTTGAATATTCCTTAACTTTACTTTTGAATCTGTAATACTACTAATAATAAAGTTGTGATAATTCATGAAGTATTTTATGTGAAAGTGTCCATGTGTATAGCAAACTGTACTAAAAGGTCAGTTATATCAGTGCTGTTTATTATTGATCGAGACATATCAATACAGAGATAATATATCTAAGAAACTGTAACTAATAACACTTGCTAAGGTATCACCTTGTCTAATCCTTAATAAGTGTTATTATAATAAATTTTAAGAGATATTAGATACACAGTTTTTAAAGTATTATATACATCCTATTTAAATGAATAATTTCTCTCAGTTTTAAGAGAGCGGACCTTTCATTTACCTAAGTCCAGCATTAAATACACGACATTAAGCTTCAAGGAAGAGTTGCACCAATGGTATGTTTACGTTTTAGGGAGGAAAAAATATGAGAAACCTTAACAATTTAGACTGCGAGTCCACTTGGTGAGATGCAGGGGGCAGTGTAACAAAAGCTGAGAAAAGAAATGGCCTCACTGCAGACCTGAGTGCAGGGAGGGGCCGAGCACCAGAGGGAACTTCTCTGGGTGGAATGGGTGGACTGTTCCTTTTTAACAAGAGAACACTTTTGCTTGCTTAATGTTAATAGCCCTGTTAAAGAGAAAAGATGCAGAGAAATGCAGTCATGCCCTGGGCCATGAAAACCACTTAAGGAATTACATTTGCATTGAAAAGAGAAAGTAACCATCCCTTGACTAATTTATTAAGATAAAATTTAAAAAAAAAATTAAGTGACTTATTTGAAATAAATGAATAAATATTTTAATATAGCAACATTCATCATTTTTAGAAATATAATCCATTTTATATTTATTTTAGCAAAACATAACATGCTGTTGTCCATTTCCTCATTAAAGAGCTATTGTTTTGTTATAAACAAATCATTTCAAACTTTGTTTTATGATACCTGCGCATGTTCAGTTCACATGTCATTGAGTTTAAAAGTGTTCAATTGTCCCTCCTAATATTCAGTCACTACTGATTACTCTGTTATTTAGTGATAAACAGAACACGGAATTAGATTACAATTTTAACCAGAAAATGAAAAGTTAACTAGGAATTACTTCAGCCAACAATAATGAAACAATGGTGTAAATATGTTATAAACACTACTGCTGTTAGATACAGAATCAAGATATGACTGTGTCAAATTTTGTGTTTACAGGTTAAAATTCAAACATATTCTTAATAAAGAAAAAGCAAGCATGACGACCAGCAAGTGGTATTTAAAAGAATATAAACTTGTCAGTGTTCTAGTGACAAACATCAAAAGGCGATCAGGAAAGTATCCAAAACAAAACAAAACAAAAACCAGCCGGGGGGCGGTGGCTCACACCTGTAATCCCAGCACTTTGGGAGGCCAAGGCAGGCAGGTCACCTGAGGTCAGGAGTTCAAGACCAGCCTGGGCAACATGGTGAAACCCCATCTCTATAAAAAGATACAAAAATTAGCTGAGCATGGTGGTGCAAGCCTGTAGTCCCAGCTACTCGGGAGGCTGAGGCAGGAGAGTCGCTTGAACCTGGGAGGCGGAGGTTGCAGTGAGCAAAGATTGTGCCACTGCACTTCCAGCCTGGGTAACAGAGAGAGACTCCTTCTAAAAATGGAGCAGAAGGGAGGGGAGGGGAGGGGAGAGGAGAAGAGAGGCTTTTAATACAAACTATATCTTTCAAGATCAATACAAGGAGGTCCCATTAAAATCCTCCCAAATTTCCAGATGAGATTTTTAATTTTTTCTAGGCAACTAGCTAATCTTTCTGCTGCTTAAGGAACTGTGAAATATTCCTTAATCTCATTTTTATTCAGGAAGGCATTTACACTGCAAAGCCTCAAGTAGGGGATATTCTGAGGGTGAGACCAAAAGATTTTAAATTTGAGGATGATCCACTTCACAACTTGATTTTCTCGAGGATATTGTGATATTGCGCTTGACAGTTGTTTGCACTAGATTTTTAAAAACTTCAATATCATGATTTTATTCAAGCTTATACACAAAGGCTATCGAACATTTCCAACAAAATTCACAAAATTTCCCTGAACAAAGGTGCAAGTAGATTATGTTATGTTAGAGGATGAAGACAGGCACAGGGTATGCAGTCCAGAGTCCAGAGGTGTATACAAGTGTATACAAGTGGCCATTACACATTTTTTTTTGTTTGGGCATTTTGCATTTTTATTTTTATAAATGAGTTTTCAGATGTCAAAAATTTCATTGAAAATTTAGATGCATAATTTTTATTGAAATAGAATTTGGCCATGTTGATCTTAAATTTCCCTGTGGACAGTACAGAAATCTCACTAAGGCTGTGACACCCCCTCTTGATGAAATGTGTACATCCTAGAAAGTGCCTTGGGGTCCCACCGTTATCTTCTATTCATCGCCCTACTCGTGCTTATCAGATTTGCCCAGCTCCTGTAGGAATGACAGAAACTCATCAAGTACATAGCAACCCTAACAGAACAAAGAACAGGTAAGTGCTCAAAAATAATACTAACTTACTGTTTTCAAAATTCCAGGGAACGAAAGTTTTTTCCTGGCTGATAATTCAATTCATCTCAGGGATAGCCAGAGTTGAACCTTGAAAAATAAATGGAATTTCTACTAGTAAGAAGAGCAGATGGATATTCCATGAAAAGTCTGGAGTATAAGGCAGTTCCAGAAGTGGAAAAGCACAAAATTTGTATGGTAACTCCTGTGTCTGACTCAAGTATAGGAATTAGGAAAAACATAAATGGCTCATAAAGTGTTAAAAGTAAAGAAATTTCAGATGTAATATAGTCCAGGGGCTTTTCAAACCTTTACTTTATGGAATTATCTAAATAAATTCCAAGCATGAAGCTAATGGATAAAATACAAAGTCAGAATTGTGTGGGAGACTAAAAAGCATTTCTAATCTGTAGGACTCTGCAGAGCACCGTTTGAAAACCAGTGATCTAATTCCATCCTCTGGTGAGAAAATGAGATCCGGCCGGGACCAGTGGCTCACGCCTGTAATCCTAGCACCTTGGGATACCGAGGCAGGTGGATCACCTGAGGCCAGGAGTTCGAGTCCAGCCTGCCCAACATGGCGAAACTCCGTCTCCGCTAAAATAAAAAATACAAAAATTAGCCGAGTGTGGTGGCTGACGCATGTAGTCCCGGTTACTCGGGAGGCTGAGGCAAGAGAATCACTTGAACCCAGGAGGCAGAGGTTGCAGTGAGCCGAGATCACGCCACTGCATTCCAGCCTGGGTGAGATTCTGTCTCAAAAAAAAAAAAAAAGAAAGAAAAAGAAAAAGAAATGAGATCCAGAGAAACGAAGTTACTTGTTCAAGGTCATTAGGATTGAAAATGAAGAGTCCTTACTTCCTTTGTAGTAATATGTATAACACTTAATTATCCCAGATATATTTTCTGGCAAGGTTCATGGAAAATATGGTAAAATATTATTTCAGTACCATACTTCAATACAAAAAATTAATAAAGTTGGACTTACTTCACCTCCGCCTGAATTTTGTTTTACTTTAGCTATTATCTTTATCATTCACTCTTGGTTTCACTGATAAAAATTATTTTTAAAGTTCAAACTAAGTATCAGAGAGAAGACCTGTAGTAGCTTATCAGAGTGCAGCCATGCTACAGGATTCAGCCTGGGCTGCCAGCTTTGACACTTTGGGCACTCAATATGTGCTGCTCTGCCATGGCTATGCACGTATACAATTAAAATGTGCGCTGCTCAAAGAAGGGGAAATGATTTTTCCCAAAGTTTGATTTAATTTTACCTTAGATATTATGTACTTTCCAGTTAATCTTATTAAACTTTTGTGTTATTATTAATTCTTGAGGAACTTTTTAAAATTTACATTAATAAACCAAAAGTTACCAGGTATAGCACATAGATAAGCAAATTATCTAATAGGCAATTAAGCATACATTTAATAAGAATTATATTGTTCTCAGATTGTATGGGAGAATTTTTCCAAAAAATAACACTTTTTTCTATAACATCAAAAAAAAAAAGTTAAGGTTGTTTTTCCTGTTATATAAATCATAAACCTTTGTGATATGTTTTTGCTATTTTTGGTAATATGGTATATCCTAATCAATTAAAAGTGTCATGATAGACTACTTTCCTCAAATTGATACAAATAAACTTGAAAACATTGATGTGATGGATAATCTTCTGGAAATATGTTATTTATCAATACTACAGAAGATAAAGAAATGTTCTTTTTTTTTCATATTTTTCAGCTTGTAAAATCTTCCTTCACCTCCATGGTAGTTTAACAAATGCAGAACATTTTTCTTATTCTCTCTTGTTATCCAGTTTCTAATTTTAAAAAATGTTTGTTCAACAAATATGTAGGCATTCACAGCATCGCTATTTCTTTATATAAGAGACACATACACCAAAAAAAAAAAAAAATGCAAATGAAGTGATAGAATCTTGTTAATGATATAGCCCTGATATTAATTTCTACACTGGTTTTATCTCTGAATATTTACTGTCCTGAATAAGTGTATGGCTCTAAAGACAGTCTCCTCAGTTCAAATCTGGGCTCTGCCAGATTTGATTACTAAAAATTTTAGGTTACTAAAAATCAGTCTTCTCCTAAAGATGATTCACTTGATTCCATACAACCTGTATTTGAAAATCGTATTATCTGCAAAATATGCAAGAAATAAAAGATTTGATTGGTACCATATGCAGGCCATTTTTTAGGTGCACGAATCCACTAACTTCAAGGGCAATTGTTTTTTATTCCTTTAGATAAATGAATCCTTTGCCTCTATTGATGAGCAAAGCTAAGGGATATATAATCTAAGAGGCCAATCTATCTCTTAATAAGGGTAGTAGTTTGGTCAGGGATGATTTGGGAGAGTTCCCTTGGAAATAATACTGTGCTTAACAAATAACAAGGGCCAATTCTGTGCTAGATATTTTTCAAGCCCTTTCATATCCCTTTAAAATTATGCGTTGCCGGCCGAGCGGGGTGGCCATGCATGTAATTCTATCACTTCGGGAGGCCGAGGCGGGCAGATCACCTGAGGTCGGGAGTTCGAGACCAGCCTGACCAACATGGAGAAACCCCGTCTCTACTAAAAATACAAATTAGCCAGGCGTGGTGGCACGTGCCTGCAATCCCAGCTGCTTGGGAGGCTGAGGCAGGAGAATCGCTTGAACTCGGGAGGCGGAAGTCGTGGTGAGCAAAGATCAGATCGCGCGATTGCACTCCAGTCTGGGCAACAAGAGCTAAACTCCATCTCAAAAAAGAAAAAAGAAAAAGAAAAGATGCGTAGCTATCTCCAGCTTTATACATGAGCAAACTAAGTCTCAAAAAGGTACACTAGCTTGAGCAAGAATACATACCGCTTGACAAAGCCAAGATTCAAAGCCTAAATTTATCTGATATCAACATGCATTCTCATTTCACATTATATTTTGGGACTGAAGAGTCTAACAAGCCACTTTCTTTAGTTTTCAGGGTGGACTCAAGATCCTGTGCTATGAATTTCAACGTCCTCAGTAAAAGAAAAAAAATTGTTTGAAAATCCGCTGTACAAAAAACTGAATTTTAGAATCCGTAAAACAACAGGTTTTAGGACTTTAGAATGCCTGCGGAAGTATTCCAGAATTCTAATATGCAGAATTCCTTTAAACCGTGTTCATTAATCCTTTTGTCCCTAATACTATTTAAATTCCATTTGTCACTCAGGCTGGAGTGCAGTGGTGGGATCTCAACTCACTGCAGCCTGGGCCTCCTGGGCTCAAGCGATCCTCCCACCTCAACCTACCAAGGAGCTGGGATCACAGGCACCCGCCACCACGCCCTGGTTAATTTTTTCAATTTTTTGTAGATACGGGGTTCCGCCATGTTGCCCAGGCTTGTCTCGATCTCCTGAGCTCAGGCGATCCGCCTGCCTCGGCCTCCCAACGTGGTGGGATTACAGGCGTGAGCCACCACACCCGGCCTAAATTTCAATGTATATTTATGTAAGCTAATGCATCATAATTTTTTTTCTTTTTTCTTTTTTTGAACGGAGTTTCGCTCTTGTTGCCCAAGCTGGAGTGCAATAGCACGATCTCGGCTCACTGCAGCCTCCCCCTCCTGGGTTCAAGCGATTCTCCTGCCTCAGCCTTCCAAGTAGCTGGGATTACAGGCATGTGCCACCACATCCGACTAATTTTGTATTTTTAGTAGAGACGGGGTTTCTCCATATCGGTCAGACTGGTCTTAAACTCCCAACCTCAGGTGATCTGCCCACTTCGGCCTCCCAAAGTGCTGGGTTTACAGGTGTGAGCCACCACGCCCGGCAGAGAACTTTTTAAAATATATATTTATATATATATTTTTAATGGTGCAAATAGTAATACAAAGAAATGCAAGGTCTAGCAGAAAAACAAGAACTGAATTTTTAGTTTCATTTAGTTTGGGTAGGGGTCCTATTTTAAATATTAACAAATTCAGAAAATAGGTAGTTCTCTCTTGCGTAAATTTCCATTGCCCTTCTGCTCTCTTTACATGTGTTTCCAAATTTAGTCACCTAGAAATTAACTGTTCTTCAATTTCTGTACATATGATGAGACTTGAAGAATTTGACTGTAAATGTAGAGGATCCAATAGACAACGATATTGATAAAGTCTAACATTTCTCATTCCCCATAGTGTGATTCTAATAAATATTTTAGCACTGAAAGTACACAGTTAAAAAAATTAACCTAAGAATCTTTAGAAAATTTAATGGTAGGCTCTGACCATGGGGAACATATACATATATCAAGTCAAATGGTTTTCTTTGTAATGGCAATATAATCTTAAAAAACCAAAATATTTCAGACTCTTGAAGCAAAACTGGGAAATGCTTCTATTTCATTCCTACAAACTCTGCTGAAGGTGTTATCAATTAAAATTGACAAGATGTTGATAAAACTGAGAGTTTGAGAGAAGCTAAATAATTTTAAAGCTAAATACTCAGTTTTTAGTTTTACTTGAAAATAGATAAGACAGATAATCAAGCACTACATTAAACAAAATGTTTATACTTAGTTTTCAATTGAATCTATCCATGAATATTAGAAATGTTAACACTGGGAGGGGAGGAGACACTCCTCACTCCTGATGTTTCCTTCTATACAGCTGGAGCTGACTCCTGACCTCACTGCATGCATTCATTCACCTGCCCCAGAGCAGGTAAAGGAATTTATCTGGCTGGCAAATTTGGAAAGATTAAACTGGCCTGCATAGCCCTGCCCCGCCCCTCTTTCTTTGGGCAGAAAGCTACAGGTAGTTCCCACAGGAAATTACACAGACAGGAATTTCTAGCATCTCAACTCTTGATAAAATATGGCATACATAATCTACAGTACATGTAAAAACAAAACAACAACAAATTTTAAAAACTATGTTTGTATTACGTTATCTTCTCACAAATGCTAAATGACATAACGGGGTTAATTTTGCCATAATAAAAAGTGCAAAAAGAAACATTAACCTGATATTGAATAGTTGATTTCAAGACATACACTCAAATGCAGAATTTCAACAATTTTGTCAAGGGTGTGGAGAAAAGGGAATGCTTATACCCTATTGGTGGTGCACTCTTATGTTTATTGCAGCACTGTTCACAATAGCAAAGTCATGGAATCAACCCAAGTATTCATCAATGAATGATTGGGTAAAGAAAATGTGGTATATATATGCCATGGAATACTACACAGCAATAAAGAAAGAATAAAATCATGTATTTTGCAGCTGTATGTATGGAACTGGAATGCCAAGTGAAATAACTTAGAAACAGAAAATCAAATACCACATGTTCTAACTTTTAAGTGGGAGATAAACAATGGACATGGATGTAAAGATGGAAACAATAGACACAGGAGACTCCAAAAAAATTGGAGAACAGGAGGGAGGTGAGTGTTGAAAAATGGTCTTTTGGGTGCAATATGCACTATTTGAATGATGGGTACACTAGAAGCCCAAATCTCACCATTACACAGTATGTCCATGTAACAAACCTGCATGTGTACGCCCCAAATTCATAATAAAAAAAATTTTAAAAATAAATTTAATTTTAAATTCAAAAATGAAGTTCAACAATTTTCATCAGAAATTGAAAGTACGTTATTGTCGCATACAAATTGCCAGTTATATACACCCTACATACACTTTAGTTTCTACCCTATAATATAAATTGTACTTCTATGGTTTATTATAAATGAAAAATAAGGCTGGGAACTGGGCATTTTCTTCTTGGCACTTTAAAATAAAAACAATAAATGAAAAAATAAAAAAACTCTGAAGCTGTATGTTTTCAGTGCTTATCAATATAACTGATCCATAAGCCATTAGTGGGTCATAAAATAAAAAAGCTCAATAAAATAATTATAACCTCACATGTTTATTTAGCTCTGAGACTTAAATGATGGACCTTTGTACCTGGCCTTGCCTAGAGACAGTTTCATTACACACACACAAACACACACATACATAAATATAAATACACGCACACACATAAACATGCATAGGCTCATGTTCTATCTTTCTCTTAATTATATAGACTCATATACACATGTGCTCACAGGACATCTATAATGTCATATATTTCCTTTAATAAACAACAGAGGGGTACTATTTGGCTTCCTTTTAAAAATAAATAACTTAAGCCATGGTTTTTTTAAAAAATAATTATTTGGCCAGGCACAGTGGCTCACGCCTGTGATCCCAACACTTTGGGAGGCCCAGGCGGGCAGATCACGAGGTCAAGAGATTGAGACCATCCTGGCCAACATGGTGAAAGCTTGTGTCTACTAAAAATACAAAAATTAGCTGGGCGTGTTGGCATGTACCAGTAGTCTCAGCTACTCGGGAGGCTGAGGCAGGAGAATCGCTTGAACCCGGGAGGCAGAGGTTGGCACTGAGCCGAGATCACACCACTGCACTCCAGCCTGGAAGACAGAGCAAGACTCCGTCTCAAAAAATAAATTAATTAATTAATAAATAATAGGCCAGGCACAGTGGCTCACACCTGTAATCCCAGCACTTTGGGAGGTCCAGGCAGGCAGATCATGAGGTCAAGAGATCAAGACCATCCTGGCCAACACGGTGACACCTCGTATCTACTAAAAATACAAAAATTAGTTGGGCGTGGTGGCAGGCACCTGTAATACCAGCTACTCCGGAGGCTAAGGCAGGAGAATGGCGTGAATCTGGGAGGCGGAGGTTGCAGTGAGCCAAGATCGCGCCACTGCACTCCAGCCTGGGCAACAGAGCGACAAAAAATAATATTTATTATTTGTATTAAAAAATAATAATTCCATCTCCAAAAAAAATAATAATTATTATTATTCATCATTCTTGACCTCTGAATTTCCTCTGAATTCAGACAAACTCCAACCAAAAGGAAAAGCTCAACTTATGTGGACATATTTCAGACATTTGTAATTAGATTTCTAACTTTCTCAACTTTTTTCATCAATATTGAACTTATTTTAAGTAGTTTTAAGGACATGAAATCTAAAACCTTCATACAATACTCAATCTTCCTTCTAACTTCCTAATTTAGCCATAATATGGAGAGTGGTCAAAGTTATACAATTTCTCAAGTAATGGTAGTATATTAAACAAATTTAGGGCATATAAAGAGTATGCTTCTTACCTAGCAAAGTAAATGTTTTTACACACTTAAAAGTGTCTCTTGTTACTAACACAAAAGTAGTAGGCTAATGCCACATTGTTGATTAAAACTGCTGTTCTAGTCAGTGTTCAAATTAAAGAAAGAAGCATTTATTAACTGTTTAAGTTTTGTTATCTATATCCAGTATCCCTCCCATCCCCTCTGGTCTTAATAGCTAGATTTCAGGGGAGAAGGAATCTCTTTCTTTCAAAGTAATCTTTTTAAAGACCTTCTGGCCTTCTTTAATTTCTCATCAATGTCTAGAGATCTCTATTGACTATCCCTAGTTGACCACAAAGATTTTCACCTCCATCCTAACCTTCTCCTAACTCCTACTTTTTGTTCTCTTAATGCTTTCTTTGTTTTGTTTTTTGTTTCCGTTTGTTTTTTTCTCAGACAGCCCTTCTGTGAAATTGTTCACAATTTGGTCTCCATTTTGTCATCACACATTCACTTTTTTTTTTTAACCTCATCTACCCAAACCGTGCCCAAGAAACTGGTTTTCTTTACCAGGTGTCACCAGTTAAAGCCATAACTTTCCTACCCTGTGCTGCCTCTTTTGCATCGTTCTCTGTCTACTCCCCCCAGTTCCAATCCGAGTGAATCACTCCTGAAAGTTTAAGCTGTCTAATCTTCCTAACATGTAGCTTTGTTAAATCTTATTGTGGATGATGGAGACAGTCAGGAGGTGAAGTGGAGTCCCTGTAATTCTTTAATAGCTAAAGAGCCAAATGGATTCTTCTTCCCCTGGATAGACTTGATTTCACTATTCTCTTCACCTCAGATTTAGCAAAACTGTTAAACTCACTATTTTCCCACAAAACATTCACATGCCTGCCTCAAACTTTAGTATTTCCTTTGTCTAAAACCATATTTTTCAAACATTTTTAATCATGACTTACAGTGAGACACACATTTTAACTTGTGACCAAGTGTACATACAAGCATATTGGTCCAAATATATTTTATGTATGTATCACATATAAATCTAAACAATTTCCATGACATAATGACACTTTTTTTTTTTTTGAGACGGAGTCTTGCTCTGTCGCCCAGGCTGGAGTGCAGTGGGGCGATCTCGGCTCACCTCCTGGGTTCATGCCATTCTCCTGCCTCAGCCTCCCGAGTAGCTGGGACTACAGGCACCCACAACCACGCCTGGCTAATTTTTTGTATTTTTAGTAGAGACGGAGTTTCACCATGTTAGCCAGGATGGTCTCAATCTCCTGACCTTGTGATCCACCCGCCTCGGCCTCCCAAAGTGCTGGGATTACAGGCTTGAGCCACTGCTCCCGGCTGACACTTTTATATGTAAATCGTGACTCACTCAACATATTTCATTGCCCAACAATGAAGACCAGCCCATTGTTTAAACACTCTGATCTAACTTTTCTAAACCCTTGCCCTTTTTCTAGGACTGGTTCATTTACATCTCATTTAGCCATTCATTTATTTAATTTTTAAAAAGTATTAATTCCCTATAGGAAACCAGGCACTTCTCTACGCACTGGGAATAAAATAATAATGAGCACAGCAAAGAAATTCCTGCCCTCATAAAGTTTGCAGTGTCCAGCCCCCCAAAACAGTGATCATCCATGCCCGTCTCTTCTTAATGGATTTACCTATTTCACCCATTTCATTGTTATATCATACTACTTTACTTTCCTCATCTTTTAATGTGAGTTCCATCTACACAAATAGACTGTAACATCTTTCAAGAGATGAATCTGATTATACATATTTGCACTCTGTATCTTTACTTACTAAGGGAATAGGGTAAGGCAAAGAACGACTGAGTTCTAGTCTTAGCTCACCACTTCCCAGCCTCACGAGCTTAGGCAAGTATCTCAACTTCCCTCAAATTCAGTTTTTCCATCTGCAAGTTGAGAGGGTTCGGCTACACCAGTGGTTTTCCAAATTCTACTGCACAAAGTTTACAGGATTCAATGGAGATTTCAAAGTGGGCCAGGAAGGGGTCTTTTCTCAAAAGGAGGGAGAACTTGAATCCCCATCTCCTGCCTCAACTGAAAATTACAATTTTCTTTAGAAAAAAGAATTTCTAAGCTAAATACTTTCTAAATTATTAAATCTTGAGATTCTCCAATCACGTTCTTTATCTTTTTCTGTCACACAAAGTTGAGATAGGAGGATGAAGAGTAAAGTGGAAAGACAGGAGGTGGGAAAGAGGAGTGGTAAGAGGTAGGGAGGAAGGATGAAAGAAAGGGAAACACTTTCAATAGGATATATGACTCTGAGTTAGGAACTATGCTAGAATCAGCATATATGTCACCTTATCTTTCAGCAGCTTCACAAGACAGGTATTGTTATACCCATTTCACACTTAGAAAAATGAAGCTCAGAAAGGGTAGATTACTTGCTCAAGTACCATAAGTAAGAAGCCATGAAGCAAAGATCTGTTCTCTTTCCATCATCCCAAGCTGCCCTTAAAAGAAGCTAACATGAATGTTACATTTGCTCTTTTAAGGTTTCCCCAATTTCACCTTAATTAATCCTCACAACATTGGGAGTACACTTTAGCATCATTATTATTTTGCCAATTAGAAAACCAAGGTTCAGAGAACTGAAAATGATCCCTCCAATGTCAAAGTAATTCAAGACAAGGATAGAGCTAAATATCTGAATTCATATTCTATGCTCTTTCCATCACACCAAACTGCCTCCTTTAAAAGAAAGAAAGATAAATTGGAAATTAATAAGAAGGAAGGAGGCAAAGGGTATGGAACAGGCTGGAGAATTATCAGAGTTCCACTACTTACTTTCAGAGGACTGTTGAGTCAAATGAGATACTTTAACAGAAAGCATCTTGAAAAAACTGAAACACTCTATCAATGTAAGACGTCATTTTAACTATTCAAACTATGTATATTGAAGATGACATTTTATATTTTTATAAAATTCCAGGTGGTGATTGCAAATATGAGAGCTATATAATGAATTAATTGCTTAGATATACTGCAGAAATTCATATAAAAGGAGGGCAAGCTGACACTTTTCAGATTATGCTACAAGAGTCAGTTACATATGCCTGCTTTTCTGTTCATGATATACAGTCCCTACTGGCAGTAGAATAATTCAAATTTTCAATTTTTCTTGGATTTCATCACCAACTCAATCAAATGAATGAAAGTCAGTATTTTAATATCCTTGCACTGTGTGAAAAATAATAGTATGCTCCACTACCTGAACTCTTAAAGCATTTTTTATTTTGATTGTCTTTCCATTATACTGAGAGATTGTCAGGACTTTATCAGGAAGATCATCCAAACAAACTAGAACGTTATTAAGGTTCCAGCAGTGCAGTAACTCACTGAATGTATGAGTGATTAAAAGCCATACAGTTGTGACAAGGACCATAAGGAGATCAGACAAAGAAGTTACATGTCTTTAAAAGAAGAAGAAGAAAGACTAGAGTGACTTAACCCCTTGTATCTCTTACCAGTGCTAAAACTACAGCATTATTTGACTAATATTTAAAGTCTCATGTGACTCTATTTCTTATAGCAAATAATTTCCTGAGGACAAAAAAATAGAAAACAGGATTAACACAGAATTATAGCATAACTATTGCCTTGACACAATGTCAGGCTTTCAAAAATAATATTTAACATAACAAGATATCCAGACTTTAGTAAAATACTACCTATTTTGTAGTCTGTCACTGGCTTATAGTTATGCTTCTTTGTTCACTGAATTATTTCGGACTTAATAAAATATTCCCATTTCATTTAACATTCACACAACTGTTAATTAAATGTGTCCTATTTGCCAAGGATTGTACCAAGCACTGGAAATAAGGTGTAAAATGAAAAATGATGATCCTTAAAGGAATGAACAATCTGTGGGGGGAGAGAAACAGCAAAATTAATTTTTATAATAGACTACAATTGGAAAAATGCTATGCTATATTGTTAAATGAGGTAATCCTGCCATAAAAATATAGTACCAAAATGTTAACTGTATTCTCTTAAGCCAAGAACAGTGATTATATTTTCTTCTTTACACTTTATATGTCCTCTGATTTTTATGAGGATCTTTTAATGCTTTTATAATCAAATGTAAAGAATCCATGAAACAATTCTTGAATGGGTAGTTGTGCAGAATGCAGTGAGAATGCCAGGAGAAGGCCACTGACTTCGTAAGAGAATCCTGAAAGGCTTAAGAGCAAAGATTACACCCTACTTTGCTCTGGAAGATGAATCAGGCTTTGCTGAGTGGAGAAGGCAATGTAGGTGATATTCAGATAGTAAGAGAATCATCTAAAAAGTGAGAGTTTTGACGTCAGTATTCCATGTAGTTTGAGTGGTGAATGGGAAAGAGAAGATAGCCCGGGCTCCAGCAGTTGAGTGAGCCCTTTAAACAGGGGACACTCTCAGGTTTCTTTTTTTATAAGATGCCTCTGGATCCAGAGGTTTTTGAAGTAAAACTCCTGGTTAAAAATGAAAACACTTAATGAAATAAAAATTGACTGAGGGGACTTGAAAGGAATACTCCATCGAAACTGACAGGATTTGTTCACAGATTGGGTATAAGGATGAGAAAGAAGAAAAACTTGAAGATAACCTGGGGAGATTTGATGATGAGAAATTAAGGAGCCACAGGCTTAAGATAAACAAAGAATTAATAAAATTATGGGTGCCTGTTGAGGAAAAACTGTCTGTAGATTACTTATCGGACAATTTGAAACACAGGTCTCAGACTCAGGCAAGAGACTGAGGCCCTTTCTTCTCTGTCTTCTGCCACTTCTACAGTAAAAGAACTAATGATAAAACACAAGTAAATGAGTAGTAACCTTTTTAATTAAGTAAGTGAAACCCTCTAAAAAAATCATCTGAGAAAGTTTCTGATAATGGCAAAACAAACAAAAAATTATGTATACCAAGAATCCTCAGATTCATATACTGTCCCTCTGATGTAGATTGGATTATTGTCGCAATTACTCAGTGCCTAGTACTAGGATTATACCTCCACACCCTGTGCTATGTAATTTTACAAAGCCTCCCACTGTGGGTGGGGTATATTTCCCCATCCCACTAAGGTTGGGCTTGCCCTGAAACCGCTTTGACTAAGGAAATGCGAATGAACATAATGTAATTGCTTGCATGGTTGGGCTTGTTCTCTTGTGCACCTGGGATCTGCCACCAAAAAAAAAGATTTTCCAATATCTCTGCTGCTCCTTCCACCTGCACCTCAGACCTGAAGCCAAATCAGAAGCCTGCCATTTAACTCATTCAGAAAAGCCTAGCCTAGATCAGCTAAATTATTACAGCCTTTTAAGTATAAAAATAAAATATCAATAAGCCACTGAAAGTTTTATGACTCTTTTGTCATGCAGCATTTTGTAGCAATAGCTAACTAATGCAGCTTTTTTTTTTTCTCTTAACCTCAGAGTAAAGAATAAAGAGTGGGTTTTGTTTTGTTTCTCAAGACTTTGGTTTCCCATAAAATCATAATCTACTTGTCTTAACTTGCTTTCTAGATGATAGGGAGGCAATAACAAGGCTACCATATTAGGAAGGAACGGTTAATGAGTAAATTACACAGGGAAAGGGAAAAACATTGACCATTGAAAAATTTTAGCATTAGAAAACTCTACATATAATTTTTTTTTTTTGAGATGGAGTCTCGCTCTGTCACCCAGGCTGGAGTGCAGTGGCATGATCTTGGCTCACTACAACCTCTGCCTCCCAGATTCAAGTGATTCTCCTGCCTCAGCCTCCCTAGTAGCTGGGATTACAGGCACATGCCACCACACTCGGCTAATTTTTATATTTTCAGTAGAGACGGGGTTTCAACATGTTGGTCAGGCTGGTCTCGAACTCCTGACCTCATGATCCACTTGCCTCGGCCTCCCAAAGTGCTGGGATTACAGGCATGAGCCACCGTGCCCAGCCCTACATATATTTTATGTTGACCTTTTAATTCATTAAATGAACACAAAGTGGGAGATGCAGACTAAGCATGGTTCTTGAGAAATACCTAAGTGACCTCTGCAAAACTTTAAGTGTAGAAGAAAAGACAAGGACCAAAGAAGGACCTCTCCCTGGGGAATACCAGCATATAAATGAATGGTAGGAAGGAAACCAATGAAAAGGACTGAAAAGAGGATAGATATACAACTAGAAAAACTATATTATAGAATTAAATTGGAGAAAGAATGCAAGCGATTGGAATAGTGGAAGATATATTAAAATGGTTTTCTTTTTAACTATCATTTCCTGCTCAGGCATCTATTGCAATGATATAATTATTTGTATGGAACATTACATACATATGCATATATGCATATGTACATTTTTGTATAAATATATATGACGATATCATTTATAACAAGAAAAGAAAACAACATACAGCAGTGGTTCTTAAAATGTAACGTGAATGTGAATCACCTAGAACATTTGCTACTAATGCAGATTCTGTAAGTCCGTCCTAGCAACTCAGTTTCCATGGTCCAGATTAGGACTCTGGATTCTGTTTCAACAGTGCACAGAGGTAGATCTGATTAGAGTCATCTGGGAATGACATTTTAAAAAAAAATAATTACTTTTCTTGATGTCTAGAAGAAGGAAGTAAAATATATGGATAGATAAAAATTTGTGACTTCAGTGTGCTGTTTGCTAATATAAAATTCCTTTTTTTTTTTTTTCCTGAGACAGAGTCTTGCTCTGTTGCCAGGCTGGAGTGCACTGGCACGATCTCCACTCACTGCAACCTCCGCCTCCCAGGTTCAAGTGATTCCCCTCTCTCAGCCTCCCCAGTAGTTGGGACTACAGGTGTGTGCCACCACGCTCAGCTGATTTTTTGTATTTTAGTAGAGACAGGGTTTCACCATGTTGGCCAGAATGGCCTCCATCTCCTGACCTCGTGATCTGCCTGCCTCAGCCTCCCAAAGTGTTGGGATTACAGGCATGAGCCACCGCACTCAGCCCTGTTTGCGAATATAAAATTTCTAATGTGAACTAGTGAGTACTGAATGATAATAGGAATGTGGCCATTCCAGTGAAATGGAGTGCAGGTTAAGGACAGCAGAAGAAAGAATGTGTTGCTAAAATGTTTAGCACATAATTTGCACTCACACATTTCTTGAATAAATAAATAAATGCTTTAGTAGAGAAACTGTCTCAGGGACATATGTGAGCTGGTCATAGGGAAAACCAAAAACCTAGAAATCATCTTACATCAAGAAAACAAATGAGAATGTATAGGAAGATTATGTAAGACTGAAAATATTCTAAGGAACTATTTAACGAAAAAATAAAAGAAAAAGTATACTCCTCAAATTAAAAAACAACAACAACATAGAAGATACAGAATGAATGGTCAGGCCAGGTGCAGTGGCTCACACCTGTAGTCCCAGCACTTTAGGAATCTTGAGTTAGGCAGACTGCTTGAGCCCAGGAGTTCAAGACCAGAATGGGCCACGTGGCAAAACCCCATCTCTACAAAAAATACAAAAATTAGCCAGGCATGGTGGCAGGCACCTGTAGTCCCAGCTACTTGGAAGGCTGAGGCAGGAGGATCTCTTGAGCCTGGAAGTCAAGGCTGCAGTGAGCTGAAATCACACTCAGCCTGGGTGACAGAGTGAGGTCCTGTCTGAAAAAGAAAGAAGAAGAGAAAGGGAAGGGAAGGGAAGGGAAGGGAAGGGAAGGGAAGGGAAGGGAAGGGAAGGGAGAAGGAAGGAAGGAAGGAAGGAAGGAAGGAAGGAAGGAAGGAAGGAAGGAAGGAAGGAAGGAAGGAGCGAGAAAAGAGAAGAGAAGAAGGAGGAGGAGAGAAGGAAGGAAGGAAAGGAGGGAGGGAGGGAGAGAGGGAGGAAGGGACAGAGGGAAAGGAAAAGAAAGGTCAGCAAGTCAAGCAAAATCAAGAAAGTGGATTTTCACTGAAAAAAATGCCATAGAAGGTAAAATTCAGCAGCACAGTCTAATAAAACAAATTAGATAAATAAAATAAAATCTATAAAAATAAACTTGACTGTAAAAAAGACATTGGTAATTTGAGAAAAGAAAAAAGTTGGAAGATAAAGAGGCAGTCATTGCTTGTTGACAGATGTGAGGAAAGAAGGCAGAATGTATTAACAAAATAATCCCTGAAAAAAGAAAATTTTGGTATGAGTATAAAGGAACAGAATTCTAGCATTATGAAGTTAGACAATGTGGTGTTTAAAGTCTCAGAAACATATTTGCATTTTGGAGTATAATGAGCCTCTACTTGATATTTCCTTAAACTGACTAAAGAACAGATATTAAAAATGATAGTAAAGGTAAAAGAAGCTAATAAATAAATACTGGCCTTTTCCTAATTTTCATACATATTTACTCTGTATATATTATTTCATCAGATGCACACAAACACACACACATAACCTGTGACTAGGAAGGAACAAAGTGAAGAGTCTATTATCCCAGGCTGCTTCCTTCATTTCCAATAGAAGGAGGATTCTAGGAAGGTTTAGAAGCAGAATAAGTAAAGAAAGAATTGAGTTAGTCAAGAAAGTTCAATTTTGAAACATGTCCTGGTAAACTTTGAAAATATTTTCTAGTTTTTCTTTTTTCCCCTCTGATCAGTTCTTCTTTCCCATTTCTTTGCTTTCACTTTCTTGTTCTTATTTCTACTAGTTGTACTTCCTAAATTAGTTTTCTTTTTCTCCTGTTTTTTATTTCATACTTTTGTTGTCTTTCTACTTTTTCTTTTTGGCATAATACATATTTCCATTGCTTACTTTTTAGGCTTCAAATGTATTTTCTGTTTTGCTTATGATACCTTTAGTCTCTGAAACTTCTTTCTGGTTATATAATTGGTTCTATTTATTTGTTTATTTTAATTTTTTAAACCTATAAAATGTGCCATACATGCATAAAAGCAGATAAAATATTGCCTTCAAGATTTTCTTGACTTTCTTATGCCTTTGATTGGCATAGAGATGTTTAGCATGAGCTTATTAATATTCACTAAAAATCATGCTTGGCTTTTCACTGGAAACACTATAACTTTATTGATGAAATTGCAAAGAGTTGACAACCATGATTTATGAAATCATCTAATTTGTGAGCATTATATATTATTCTAGTTATGTATATTATCTTAAACTTTAACAATTTTTGCATAGAGTCTATATGAGGCTACATGGGTTAGCTGTAGGATCTGTAGAATCCTATATGAGGCTATCTGTAAGTTCTCATAATACCATATCATCCCTTACTGACATCTTAGGAAGTCAACCAAAAACAAGAGTTCCAGTTAGGATAAACAAGATGACTACTCCCTCTATTGAAGGATGCCTTAGGAAATGTAGGCAGACACTGTTGTGCCTCTATTCTACCCTAATCCAGACAAGGATTAGAAAACAA
This sequence comes from Homo sapiens, assembly GCF_000001405.40. Lineage (NCBI taxonomy): Eukaryota > Metazoa > Chordata > Mammalia > Primates > Hominidae > Homo > Homo sapiens. Next base: position 75,464,963 of record NC_000008.11, on the reverse strand, counting down.
GGTTTACCACCCTTTACATCATGCCTCATTCCTTTTCCTCTCCCAACATATTCTCTTGTTCTTCCTATTTGGACTTCATTAGTGAATTCTCTGTCCATACTTGGATGATGCCTTTTTAACCTAGCAGTCATGATTCTGGATACTTGTTCCCTGGTGTTTTCCTGTACACTATTTCAGAAATAAGGGCAGCCTCATGTCCCATGATCTAAATGAGAGGAATTAGAAAGCAGTCATGGGTATAAGATAAACCAATCTCTAATATCTCACATTATTAATATACAATCTGATAGACTCCATAAAAGTTAAAACAATAATACATAAGCAAAATTATATTGAGTCAAATAAAATAAGACTCTCATCCAAAAAATAAATTGAGGGGATTTGGAGAATGACAGCTGCACAGCAAGATTAAAGAGGCCACACATTCTGAATGAAGAAGGAACAATATAGAGAGCTCCATGAAGGACATTTCCAAGGGGAAAAAATCTGAGACAATATAAAACTTTGAGGGGGTAAAAAACTGAGGATAAGATAAAGGCAAATTTAGTGCAGGAAACAAAATGAAAGACAATTTGATATTTCAGGATAAAAACAAATCTGCATGAAACTTTCAAAATCAAATAAAGCAAATACAAGTAAATTTGGAATGGTATTATATTAAGTAAATATAAATCTAAAGAAAATGTAAATTTGAAATGATTTCAAAAAATTGAGTTAAAAAAAAAAGAGAGAGAATCCATTTTCACATGGTGAACTTGTTCCCATGAGTGCCCTAGGTTTCCTGAGAGTGAAACTACTTCAAAGAACATAGTACACTATGTGACTCAGCATCAAATAATATTTGTGGTTTGGCAATGTTGTTCATACATTTCCAACTTTAAAGTCAATGTGTCCGGGCACGGTGGCTCACACCTGTAATCCCAGCACTTTCAGAGGTTGAGGCAGGTGGATCACCTGAGGTTGGGAATTCAAGACCAGCCTGACCAACATGGAGAAACCCCGTCTCTATGAAAAATACAAAATTAGCTGGGCATGATGGCACATGCCTGTAATCCCAGCTACTCGGGAGGCTGAGGCAGGAGAATCACTTGAACCCAGGAGGTGGAGAGTGTGGTGAGCCAAGATCATGCCATTGTACTCCAGCCTGGGCAACAAGAACAAAATTCTGTCTCAAAAAAAAAAAAAAAAAAATCAACATATTCACAAAAAGAATAGTTGGAGGTGGTTATAGGAAAACTGTAAATATAAACAAACTTGACACCTGACCAAAGTTAAGCTGCTGAAGAAAGGAAAACTTGAGGAAATGAGTAGGAGAATTAATACCTTATCTGGAAAGTGAAGAGTATAGACTCTGTTGAAAAAAAAAATGAATGCTTACCCATATTATTTTCAGTTGTAAAAGTAAACAATAGAAGAACAAAATTTAAAATATAAATGTCAAATATTGAAAGGAGGGGCAAGGAAAGATGGTGTAATTAAATTGGCCAGATCCTAGCCTTTCAAATCAGGAGTCAACAATTGTTTAAAAAGTTGACAAGCATGTGATCAAGAATTATAAGGTAACATTCTAAAGAAAAAGAATTAAAACCCAACAGTTAGGAGTTCCCTCTGAGAATGGGATCAAAGTGAGGGAATGACGAGGCAGAGGTGATACTTTATATCATAACTTTCCTATAATATGAGGTTGGGATTTATTTTATAAATGATTTTTAAAAGGCTAATGCAGGATTTGTTTTTCATAAAAAATACTAGTTGTACACCTATACCAGCAAACAACAATACAGAAAATTACATGCTAAAAATTAAGTTCCTAAAATGGAATGAGAAAAAGCCATCATCAAGCTAATGAATTAATTCAGATTCCTAAATTTAAGAGGCATTACAGAAAAAAAAAAAACAAAAAAACAAGCAGACATTGAATATCAGAGGAGGAACAAAAAGAGCACATTGAGCAGCAGAATATTATTTGTAAAATAAAAATAAGGCCCACAAAATGTTTAATATATTTAGAAAATAGTTTTTGCAAATGTAATTATTATTAGACATTACTTATAACATCTAAGTACAACATGTACTATATTGTCTGCCTTCTCTATCTTTGTTATTTTCTAAAAATGAAGGAGAAGGAACAACATTCCTTATAACTCACCACCACATCACCTCTAAAGAGACAACACTAAGATATTTATCTGATGTTATACAGTTAGTAAATGATGAAGCCAGAATTTTTCCAGATTCAAAGCTATTTCTATTATATTACACTACCGTAATCATTGTAGTGATCATTAATCTCTGTGATTGTATTTTTTCTCTACTAAATTATATTGACATATTAATATCAAAATACAACAGTCTTCCCTTATCCAAGGTTTCGTTTTCTGCAGTTGCAGTTAACACCAGTCAACTGTAGTCTAAAAATATTAAACTGAAAATTCTAAAAATAAACAATGTATAAGTTCTAAATGGTCACTGTTCTGAGTAGCATGATGACATTTCATGTCATCCTGCTCTGGATGTGAATCATTCCTTTGTCCTGAATCCACTCTGTACACCCTATTCAGCCATTAGTCACTTAGTAGCCATCTTGGTCATCAGATCAACTGTCACAGTTCAAGTAACACAATCACTGTGATACTGTGACAGTTGATCTTATTTTACCTAATAATGGCCCCAAAGGGCAAGAGTTAATAGTACTGACAATTTGGATATGCCTAAGAAGGGTGAATAAAGTACAGTAAGATATTTTAGGCCTGTCGCAGTGGCTCACACCTGTAATCCCTGCACTTTGGGAGTCCAAGGCAGGCAGATTACCTGAAGTTGGGAGTTCGAGACCAGCCTGACCAACATGGAGAAACCCCATCTCTACTAAAAATACAAAATTAGACAGCCATGGTGGTGCATGCCTGTAATCCCAACTACTTGGGAGGCTGAGGCAGGAGAATTGCTTGAACCCAGGAGGCGGAGGTTGCAGTGAGCTGAGATGGCACCACTGCACTCCAGCCTGGGCAACAAGAGCAAAACTCCATCTAAAAAAATATATATATATATATATATATTTATATTTATATATTTATATATTTATTTTTTTTTAAAGAGACCATATTCACATGACTTCTATTACAGTATATTGTTGTGATTGTCCTGTTTTATTATTAGCAATTGTTGTTAATCTTTTACTATGCCTAATTTATAAATTAAACTTTATGATAAGTATGTATGTATAGGAAAAAAACAATATATACAGAGTTCAGTGCTATTCATGGTTTCAGGCATCTACTTGGGGTCTTGGGACATATCCCCCACAGATAAAGGAGAACTGCTGTATGCACACAACTGCACTATACTTACCCAGATCTTTAGCTTTTGTAGTAGGCAGAATAATGGCCTCTCACAGTTGCCCTAATGCCTAGAAACTGAATGTTACCTTAAATGTCAAAAGTGACTTTGCAGATGTGATTAAGGGTTTTGAAATAGAGGAGATTGTCCTGGATTATCTAAGTGGGTCTGATATAATCGCAAGGGTCCTTAAAGGATGAAAAAGAGAGGAAGAAGGGTCAGAAAAGGAGATGTAATAGCAGAAGCTGAGGTTGGGTAATGAAATTGTGGGCTTTGAAGAAGGAAGATGGCGGAAGGGGCCAAGGAATGGAGCCAAAAAATGGAGGAAGACCCTGGAAGCTAAAAAAGGGAAGGAAAAAGATTTTCCTGGCTTCTTCAGAGGAATGCACCCCTGTTGACACCTTGATTTTAGCCCAGTAAAACCCCTTTTGTACTTCTGACCTCGAGCTGTAAAATAATAGATTTGTGTTGTTCACAACACTCAGTTCGTGGTAATTTGTGACAGCAGAAATAGGAAGCAAAGAAAAAAACAGGCTTACATCTTGTCCCTGCTGTGTGATTTTGGGCAAGATTCTTAACCTCTATAAACCTCTTTCTTTATCTGCAAAGTTGGAATCCTAAATATATTTGAACAAGTGTGGTAATCATTAATCTACAGTAACTCATTAAAGGGTCGATATTATCATTAAGTACTAATTGTAGAAGAAAAAGAACATTTGTAAGAAAAAGTGGTGAAGACTGTTTTCTTCTGCCAAACCCTCAAAGTTAGCTAGCCAGCAATTCTTCATAACATATTAGTTACAAGTTGAAATATGAAGGGGGAAAACTCTTCCAATATTGAAACCACTTCATGATTTGAGCTCATTCGCTCCACTCCTTTAATATCTAGCCTCTTTGGGGAAGAGGCAATATCCTTGACTGTCTATAAATTTATGAGTGTAGTTTCTTTTATGGCTCTGAATGTAATAGAACCTAAGTAAATACTGATAAGTTCTCTATTCTTCTGAGAAGTTTCCACCCACATAATATTGTCCTATCATTGGAAATCCCCACAGTTTTGATAAGAATGAAGGCAAGAACTCTTTTATATATAACACTTGTCAATTAGAATCAGAACAGCATTCATCATTTTAGTTGGAAAGTCTATAGATTTTTTAAAAACCCACTTGAAGTCTGTATAATGAAATTTTACCCTTATTGTCTTTTAAGCACCTTCAGCTGGTTTGGAAGGTTAATGCTGGCTTTCAAGTTTATTTTTGTCAAGCATCCTTTAACATGGTTTGCATTTATAGATTAAATGTAAACTGAATTAAAAGCACTAAGTATTTAGTACATAAATGTCATCACACTCTCCCCACATAAATCAACCTGAAACAGAACTAGAAACCATGTCCACTTTTTCAATATAGGGATAGGTAATGTCTTTATTAATCAGGCCTGTAGGAAACAATATTAACTCTTTCAAACCACTTAGTTACTAGTCATTTTCAGGAACTCTTTTTAGGTTTGTTTTTTTCTCTTTGTGTACTGCAAAGAGATTTTTTTTTTTCTTCAGAACGTACGTATTGATTTAAGCTTTCTTTATACAGAATCATCATACAGCATGAGTTAATTAGTATCTACAAGGCCTCACAACTAGGCAAATTCTCATGGAAAACTATGATCACTCTAAAAAATATAAAATATAACTAAGGAAAAATGATTTAATATGTAATTCCATGGTGTATGATTTTCCATTTGTATGTGAATTACTTTAAGACACAACTATGTAACTTGAAAAACAACTCTTTTGGACTCTGAGTAGAGTCCTGGAGGGCTTTTCTAGGTGGCTAGCATTCTGAAGACAAGTGCCTGTCCATGCTGCCACCAGATCATCTGGGTCTGAATCACATCAATGGATAAGTAAGGATAAATGTGTACATGACTAAATGCATAAATGAATGAACACTTCTAGAATGAAGATGTATACAGATTAGCTCCTGGGTTTCACATGAGGATATAGCAGAGTTCACTTGTCTTTTCTAAATGAAGTCAAACTATACAGGTCATTTATAAACACTACTACACAAGCCAAGTATGAACTCAAGACTTATAACATCAAGACTAGAATAAATCTTTTATGATCCAGAATCCTATCACTCAATAAATGAACTATTTTTTACATTCTCTTATTGATTTCCTGATCACATTTTGTAGGTTTATTTGTATAGCACAGAGAAATCAGTTTTTGCTACATAATGAGAAGAATTTAGGCACAAGTTTAAAATTCTGCATGTACATTAGGCTTCATAATTTTGATAGGCCACAGTGATTTTCTTTCCTAAGAACTCATGACACTTTATGAATATTACACTGACTAAGAATGCAGTCATATACTGCTGAGATACATTTGGTGTTATTATTTAGCTAACATTCTATTAAATTTTATATAAGTGTTATTTACCTAGCTAGTAGAGAGTTCCTTCCTACTACGGAATAGGAATTACCTTCCTTTATATAATCCCACTCTGCCTGAAGGGTGAAATAGCTAGATAGACAGACATTTGTTGAATGAATGTAGTCACTGTAAGCAAATAAAAAATAGTGGGAAAAATTGTAAAATGCCTAACATTTCATATTCTAGTTTGAATATAATTACAGTAGTTTGTTTCATAATCTTTATTGCCTGAGATAAAGACCATTACTGACCTTTAAAAATGTACATTATTAAGGATAATCAGAATGTTTTCATTAATATCATATCCATTAAATAGCAGTTAAAATATAAGTCATTAGAAAAATAAAATAGAAGAAAGATTGTCATTATTCTCTTTAGTTTTCACTTTTGATTTAAAAACACACATGAGATGAAAACTGTATTCTTAACTTTGACCCAGTTATGATGTTGACGCAACCTGAACTATGCCCCTGAATGCCAACCTGTAAGTGGAGGTTATTGCTTCTTTCCATGAAGGCGTAAATTCAATTCACATGTACCAGGCATTTAGGAAACAAAGACATTAAGGAGATACAATTCCTGCCTTCAAGAAACTTAGGGGATAGTAGGAACATTTTTACGTTTTTTCATGCTCAAAGACAAAACAGTTTTTGTTTATTTGTTATTGTTGTTGTCTGAGTAGATATTATGAAAATTTGACCCCTGTATCATTTGGGAAAATGAAGCTTTGAAAATCAGTCTGAGTGTGTCTTTATCTTTAGAGTTTCCCTCATTTTGACAACTATTCTTCCTTAGAAGTAAAAAAAAAAAAAAAAAAAAAAGTTAGACCATTAAACATAAACCAACAGTAGTCTTCTTTCTGCTGATTTTTTTCCTTTCTCATCTCCTTAGTGGGTTTCACATTTTCCTCTTATTCTTAATCCAAGACGGGGTATTTAACCCTCTCTTATCTATTTCCTTATCTCTATATACATTCATTCAGTGATTGTATGTACAATAGGAGCAGCTACTTTTATTATTACCTCCTAAATGTACATATCTAAACCTAACCACCTACCAGTGAGCAGGCTAGTCTTAAGACATAACTGAAGTTTGGCATGGTGGCTCACTCTGTAATCCAAGCACTTTGGAAGTGAAAGGATCTCTTGGACCCAGTAGTTTGAGACCAGCCTGGGCAATATAGTGAGACTTTGCCTCTACAAAAAATTAAATATATATAAAAAACAGAATAACTCATTACATTTTCCTCAAAATTGGTATCTTTCTTTTTTGTTCTCTACTGCAAAGGACCATCATCTCACTCCTCACAATATAAACATACACACACACACGCACACATAATATTATATGTAATTAACATACATTCCTGCATCCCTGTCTACAGTAAATGTCTTACTCTATGGCAATGCTCTTATGAGAAAAATATCTTTATGCAGAGCTAGACCTGAGCAGCCACCACCCCCACCGCCCCTGATGCCTGCCCTAGATATTCCACATGCCTTTCAGAAGTATTCTCTATAGCAAACAACAGAAGATCCACCTATTAGATTCACTGCAGCATGTCAGGCTCCAAGGAATTTCCAACCTCTCTAAGATACTACCTCTCTACTCAAATAATCCTTAGTAAAATCTAGGGGAATGTCATTAGAGTCACATAGACTCAGGTTTTAATTATGATACCATGTTACTTGCTGTCTCATCCTGGACACGTTCAGTTTAGTTAAATAACAGTGTTAAAAATATTTATCTCAGAGGTGTATAGAGGAATAGGCATAAGGTGTATAGCCACAGTGACCAATCTCCCTTCTATCTTAAGGATCATATAAAGCCACCTGACAAGTCAAGGAACCACCTGATTATGTCAAATAAGGAACATGGTGCCAGAGCATTAATACAAATCTTCATCTGATCACTTTCTTTTAGATTATGTGGTATGTAAGAGGTGTGGTTCCTTGTTTTTAAAACTGATGTATGTGGGTCCTCTTTACAACTGGATTAAAGTCTACAGCTATAATAAAGAGCCTGAGGATCTGTTCTGAATGCTTCAGATGCTTGGTAAATGACTGAATCAATTCATTAGCCAATGGATCTGTTCTGGATATATTAGAGACTATTATAAATATTTAACCAAATTAACTAGTTAAAATATTCTTAGGCCAGGTGCTCACACCTTATCTTAGTACTTTGGGAAGCTGAGGCAGAAGGATTGCTGTAGCTGAGGAGTTCAAGACCAGCCTGGGCAATATAGTGAGACCTCATCTCTACAAATAATTTTTTTTTTATTTTTTTGGGCATGGTGGCACACGTCTGGGGTCCCAGCTACTCAGGAGCCTGAAGTGGGGGAATCGCTTAAATCCAGGCAGTTGAGGCTGCAGTGAGTTATGATCATGCCACTGCACTCCAGCCTAGGCAATAGAGTGAGACTCTGTCTCAAAACAAAATAATAAAAATTAATTAATTAAAATAAATTAAATAAATAAAATATTCTTTATTCTATGGGACTTTTATATAGAATGTTAATTTTACCATCTTCTGAAGATTAGGAATAGATTTTGGTTACCAACCTGGAAAGACTATCATTCTCACCCTTTCTAAGGAAATATTTGAGTCAATGCTTTATGTTCTATTTAAAAATAAAATAAATCAGGTTTAAAAATGGCCCAAACAAGATAAAACATCAAATTTAACCTTGAAATGAAAACTAAGTGATCCAATAACACAGGAAAAGTTATACTCTTCAGAGGACCATGCTCTCAGGAAGATAAAAAAGGGATTTTTTGAAACAATATTTCAAGTGTACAAATCAGCAAATGCTTATACTATTCCCTAAATTTCTTCTCAAACTGTGTTACATCTCAGGCCATATACCACTTTCAAATGTTTTTGTTTTCATTCTTAGTAGGTACTCAATGAATTTGAGATTCATTCTCTTCTTTTCTGTTTGTTTCTTCATTCATAATATAAATATTATGTCGAATTTTGCACTACCCTGTAAAGATCTTATACAGAGAATAAGATCTCAAATATGTAGAAAATGAGCCTTACTGGATATATATGAAGCTCTGGACAGGTTTATAAAATTCTGTGTACTTCTGAACAAAGACGTCCCCAGCTATACTCAGATAAGAAGTGTTCTTTACAGATCTCATAACCGCTTAGTCAAATTATGTTCATAAAATGGCAAAGCTCGTATAACTTGTTGCAGCTAGCTCTGATTTAAAATATCTAATTCTATAGAATTAGTAATGATTCTATTAGTTAATTAAATTAAGACCTTTCCGTTTTGGTTTGACTTTTTTTTGTGATTCAGAGATGACATCAAATCAGTCTTTATACAGAAAGTATGCAAACTGCTACCACTAGTATTTTAGAAGCAGCAAAAGTAACTTGTAGAAGAAATTATATTCACAGTACATTACGGTTATTTAAAAAAATTAACATCTTACTGGAAAATATAGAGGCAATAATCACTTCTATGAGCTTTTTAAGAGTTATTATATTTTACTAATTCAATGATATTATGGAGTGTCTGCAAAATCAAACAGAACTGAAATGATTTATCAGAATAAATATTAGCAGAAGAACATTTTCTTAATTACTCACACATTTCATTTTGCTTTAAGTTGAATTATTCAGAAAATTATAGTTCCCCAAGTTCATGCATAACAGGAAACACCAGGTTGGGGCAATTGATTGAATTGTTCTCTGGAGCACAGTACCTAAACATTACTCACCACATTGATTATCATTGTGGCCTGTGTGTAACTAAAGATACCAACACTTTATGGAAATTAATTTTTAATTATTAATCACTTCCTATCTGCCTAAAAGCAATATGATTAAATAAAAACAAATACAATCTTTCTAGATAAAGACAGTTGGAAGAGGTATATGGAATATAATGCTTAAATTTATAAAAAGTTTCAAAAATTGTATGTTTCAGGAACTACATTTTGTTTTTACAAAAAGACTATGATAATCTAGTACTAATTTGTTAGGAAGTCGGTCTCCAAAAACTTAAATCAATGTTTTATCATTTTGAGAGTTGATATACTTAATTTGGAAGATGAGTTATTTGTTTGATTTTTGATGAGATAGAATAATACATTTAATGAATGTATTATTTACACAAAAGGGATGATGTGAGGACAATGAGAGACTAAAAACCTTTATCTTAATTTTTATATATGAATGGCAAGCATTCCTTCCAAAATGCTAACATATATACGTGTGTTTCTATATAGTGTGTTTCTTACTAGAAGCATTTCCTTATAAAACTCCTTTTATTCAATCACTCAAAAATAGGTTTAATGATACCATAGGCTAGGTACTCTTCTCAGCACTGGGGATATTCCCTGCCCTCATGGACCTTATTCTGGTAAGCAACAGGGATACCACAAAAATAACTAAATATATTAATCGAAATGTCAGTGACTGCTTAATGAAGAGAAATGAAGAAGGATGAGGTGATAGAGTGATTAGGGTTATTTTGGGTAGGCTAATTAAGAAGGCCACTCTAAGAGAATGACACTTAAGAGACCTGAGCAAATAGGGAGAAGAGGCCTTCTGTGGCAAGCACAGCGGGTAGAAGCCTGACACAGCAACAAGCTCTGTGTCTTCTGGAAACTTCAGGTAGGCCAATGTGGTTGGAGAGCAAGGAAGTGGTAAACAGTTGGAGATGACATAGAAAGGCAACAAGTGGACTACTGTGTGCTTACTATTAGTGGGTACCAAGTACCAGACACACCATTCAATGCCCAGGATAGTAAGAACTGCATGTACTGAGGTTTTACGATGTACTGGGAAATGTACTAAACATTTTATACTTATCTCATTTAACCCTCAGTATCACCTATCTTAATTAGCTCAGTTTGCTGTAACAAAGTACTATAGACTGGATGGTTTAAACAACAGAATTTTATTTCTCTCGGTTCTTGAGACTGTAAGTCCAAAATCAGGGTGCTAGCAGAATTGAGTTCTGGTGAGGGCCTTCTTCCTGGCTTGCTGATAGTTGCCTTCTTGCTGTGTCCTCACAGGGCCTTTTCTCTGTATGTGGAGTGGGGGAGAGGAGGAGAGGGAGAGAGGGAGAAAGGAAGAGAGGGAGGGAGGGAGGGAGAAAGGAAGAGAGGGAGGGAGGGAGAGAGAGAGAGAGAGAGAGAGAGAGAAATTTCTTCTTCTTATAAAGCAATTAATCTCATGATGAGAGCCCCACTGTGTCACCTATTCTAATCCTAATTACCTCCCAAAGGCCCCATCTCCAAATACCATCACATTGGGACTTTAACATATAAATTTGGGAAGGATTTTAACATATGAATTTGGGAAGGACAGGAACATTCAGTCCATTACACCAACCTTGTGTGATATATATTATTTTTAGTTATTTTACAAAACAAAGCAAAAAACATTAGGATCAGAGATATGAAATAACTTGCTCACGAAGAAGACAGATCAAGGTCTTAGTCCCAGTGTGTCCAGAGTTGGTTCCTTCTGATGGGTTTGTGGTCTGACTGACTTCAAGAATGGAGCTGCAGACCTTTGCAGTGAGTGTTACAGCTCTTAAAGATGGCATGGACCCAAAGATTGAGTAGCAGCAAGATTTATTGTGAAGAGGAAAATAACAAAGCTTCCACAGCATGGAAAGGAACCCTAGCAGGTTGCCACTGCTGGCTACGGGGCGGGGGGGCAGGGGGGTGGCCAGCTTTTATTCCCTTATTTGTCCCCACCCATGTCCTGCTGATTGGTCCATTTAACAGAGTGCTGATCGTTCCATTTTACAAACCTCTAGCTAGCTACAGAGCACTGATTGGTGTGTTTTTACAGAGCACTGATTGGTGCATTTTACAAACCTCTAGCTAGCTACAGAGCACTGACTGGTGCGTTTTTACAGAGCACTGATTGGTGCATTTTACAAACCTCTTGCTAGACAGAAAAGTTCTCCAAGTCCCCACTCCACCCAGGAAGTCCAGCTGGCTTCACCTCTCACCAGGAGGCTCAAATAAGTGTAATTAGTCTTGGTGCCATTCTGCTTCTGGCAAGGAACAGCACAGGCATATGCCTACTGTCCTGAAACAAGGAGTCTGGTTACAGATATTAGAACAGCCTGTCACAGAAAATAGGAAACTAAAGTTAAGAAGGCCTGACATGATTGCTATTCTCTAGGTGAACTTTAGCAATCACTTAACCTTTTTAAATTTACATAATCATTCATTTCCTCATTAATTTATTCTAAATCTACCTAATATAGACCAGGCCATGTGCTCAAGAACCAAAATTAATAATAGAGAGTGCCTTCAATAATCTCTCATTCAAGTGGAAAAGCAAACATATTCACTCTTCATAAAAGTGTTCATATTTTGATTATCTAATAGTGAAGAGCATAGGCTTTAAAATAGGACTGCCTGATGTGGAATCATGGCTCAAACAGTTACTAATTGCATACATTAGTCTTTTTCTTTTCTTTTTTTTTTTTGAGACGGAGTCTCACTCTGTTGCCCAGGCTGGAGTGCAGTGGCACGATCTCGTCTCACTGCAAGCTCCGCCTCCCGGGTTCACGCCATTTCCCTGCCTCAGCCTCCCAAGTAGCTGGGACTACAGGCGCCCGCCACCATGCCCGGCTAATTTTTTGTATTTTTAGTAGAGACGGGGTTTCGCCGTGTTAGCCAGGATGGTCTCGATTTCCTGACCTCATGATCCCCCCGCTTCGGGCTCCCAAAGTGCTGTGATTACAGGCGTGAGCCAACGTGCCCAGCCACATTAGTCTTGAAACTCATTAAAAAGATACTTATTTGGAAAGTGAAGACAATAAATGTGTACAAACCTTGAGGTTGTGTTAGGAATAAAATAGTCTATAAATCATGTACTGTGGTGTTGGACACATACTAATACTGTAACAATCGTTTATTATAAATATTACTACTGTAACCACTAGAAATGGTATAATACCAACAATGAATATTATAACTTTTGTTCTTTAGAAATATTTATTTATATTATTTATTATAAAATTGTAAAGTTATTTTGAATTTGTTGAATACCAGTTTGGCAAAGACATCCAGTAGTTCCCTAACATATGATCTCCCTCCTTCCACAGCAAAAGATTTGTAATTGGGCACTTTGGAAGTGAAGATCATATTCCCAGCCATGCTTGCAGCTCAGTGAAGCCATGGAACTAAGTTTCCACCAATGGAATGGGATCAGAAGTAATGTTTGCTACTTAGGTGCCTGGGCCTTCAGACATTGTGCATGAAATCTTCCATGCTCACTCCTTCCTGGAAGCTGGAGTACAGGTGTGCCTGTGATTAGGCTCCAACCTAACAGAACAAGATAAGGCCCTAGAGCAAAAGCCATAAAACTACCAAATTGTCTGTCTTGTAAATAGTTTTAAGGGACAAACAACAAAGCTGGAGGCATCACACTACTTGATTTTAAAATCTACTACAAAGCTCTAGTAATCAAAACATCATGGTGCTGGCATAAAAATAAGCACATAGACCAATGGGACAGAATAAAGAGTCCAGAAATAAATGCATACACTTAGGATCAATTGATTTTCATTAAAGATGCCAAGAACACAAAATGGGAAAAGGGCAGTCTCTTCAATAAATGGTGCTGGGGAAAACTGAATGTTCACATGCAGAAGAATGAAACTTAACCTTCATCTCATACCATTTACAAAAATCAACTCAACATGGATTAAAGACTTAAATGTAAGACCTGAAACTATAAAACTACCAGAAGAAAACATAGGGGAAAAGCTCCATGACATTTCTCTGGGCAATAATTTTTTTTTTTGGATATGGCTATAAAAGCACAGGTAACAAAAGCAAAAATACACAAATGGAATTATATCAGACTAAAAAGCGCTGCACAGCCAAGGACACAATCAACAGAGTAAAGGGACAACCTGCAGAATGGGAGAATATATTTGCAAGCTATACAACAAAATATGTAAGGAACTCAAACAACTCAATAGCAAAGACAAAAAACAAAACAAAACAAAAACAAGTAATCCCCCCAAAATGGGCGAAGGACCAGAATAGACATTTCTCAAAAAAAAAGGCATACACATGGCCAATGGAGTATATGAAAAAATGTTCAACATTACTAATTGTCTCAGTCTGTTTTGTGTTGCCATAACAGAATACTACAGACTTGATAATTTATAAAGAAAGTTATTTCTCACAATTTTGGAGGCTGAAAAGTCTAATATCAAGATGCTGGCATCTGGTGAAGGGCTTTTGCTGCATCATCCCATGGCGGAGGGTGGAAAGACAAGAAAGCACACAAGACACACAGCGAGAGAACTCTGAACTCACCTTTCTAACAAACCCACTCTAGAGATAATGACCCACTCCCATGATAGTAACATTAATTCAGTTATGAGGACAGAGCCCTCAGGACTTAAACGCCTCTAAAAGTTCCCATTTCTCAACACTTGTTGCATTGCAGATTAAGTGTCCAACACATGAACTTTGGGGGACACACTCAAATTGTGGCACTAATCATCAGGGAAATGCAAATTAAAACCACAGTGAGATATCCCCTTACACTTGTCAGTTGGCTATTATCAATATCAAGATGAAAGACCACTAGTGTTAAAGACAATGTGGAGAAAAAAGAACCCTTATACACAGTTGGTGAGAATGTAAATTAGTATAGCCATTAGGTAAAACAGTATGGAGTTTCCTCAAAAAATTAAAAATAGAACTACCATATGATCCAGCAATCTGACTACCGTGTATCTATTCAAAGAATATGAAATCAGTATGTTGCAGGCCTTAGGAATACTTAAGGCTATTAATATTTGATTTTTGTTTTATTATTTTTCTGATTGGAATTGGATCAAATATATGAGATCCCTCCAAAACACACCCATATTCATTGCAGCACTATTCACAATAGCCAAGACATGTAATTAACCTAAGTGTCCATCAATCAATGAGCAGATAAAGAAAATGTCGAATACATACACAATTGAATATTATTCGGCCTTAAAAATTAAAATTTTATCATTTCCAACAACATGGGTGAACCTGGAGGACATTGTGTTAAGTGAAATCACCCAGGCACAGAAAGACATCTGTCACAGATCACACTTCTGTGTGGACTCTAACAATATCAAACTCACAGAAACAGACAGCAAAATGGTGATTACCAGAGGCTAAGGTGGTGGGGAATAAAAGGATTGGGGAGATATTTGTTGTCAAAGGACACAAAATTTTAGTTACACAGGAAGAATATACATACATCGGGGGGCTATAGTTAGTAACAATATGTTGTACTCTTAAAAATTGCTGAGAATAGATTTTAAGTAGATTTTAACTATTCTTCATTTCTCAAACCAGTATCATAAATCTCACAACAAAAAATATTATTGAGATAGGCCGGGCGCGGTGGCTCATGCCTGTAATCCCAGCACTTTGGGAGGCCAAGGGGGGCGGATCACGAGGTCAGGAGATCGAGACCATCCGGGCTAACACGGTGAAACCCCGTCTCTACTAAAAATACAAAAAAATTAGCCTGGCGTGGTGGCGGGAGCCTGTAGTCCCAGCTACAAGGGAGGCTGAGGCAGGAGAATGGCGTGAACCCTGGAGGCGGAGCTTGCAGTGAGCCGAGATCGCCCCACTGCACTACAGCCTGGGCGACAGAGTGAGACTCCGTCTCAAAAAAAAAAAAAAAGAAAAAAATATATATATATTACTGAGATAATGCATATATGAAGTAGCTTGACCTAGTCATTCTACAGTGTATGCATATATCAAGACATCATGTAGTACACCAAAAATTTGTTTTTTTAGTTAATTAAACCAAATTTACAAAATTTTATAGGAAGATAGGTATAACCATTTGTTTATGTGTTGTTTATAGCTGCTTTAATTCTATAATTGCAGAATAGAGTAACTGCAACAGAAACCATATGAGACCCCAGATTCTACAGTATTTATAATCTGTCTCTTTACAAAAAAATATTGCCAATGGCTGCCCTAGGAGATAGCAAAGCAGAAAGATAGAAGCAGTCTGAATCCCCAAATAACCTTGTGAAATACAAATACCATCCAACCTAGACCAGGGACTTTGGTGTTGTTACATGAGAAAGAAACTTCTATTTTATTTAAACAACTTTTTGGGGCCCTTTAATTATAGCAACATGATCTTCATTCTAACTGCTATACCCCCCCAAATCTCAGTTTTTGTGAAATTATGCTATTTGATTTTCTTTGTCATTTTTAATGAGGTTTGAGAAATTTTCTTCTTAATTCACAAAGTCCTTTGCATTTTAGGGAGCTAAATCTACATTTGTAATATAGAAAATAATGTCAACAGGTTGCTTGATTTGTATAATTCTGATATAGTCCTATGTATTTTTTAAATGTTTAACTTTCATCAAATCTGTCATTACTTCCTTTTATAATTTCTTACTTTGCTTTTATATTTGGAAAATTTTCCTTATCCCAAGATCAGATAGATAGTTGTCCTTTTAGGTGTTTTTTAAAAATTTTCTGAATATTTCACTTATAATTTTTCATTCCCAATGAATATTCATAACAGTATCCAGCAGTACTTATCAGTTTCCCCCTTATACATATTACAATAACATATTATAAGCACATATTATACTTACATCATATAATCTTATATTAGAAACGTATAAATATTAGGTTTTCTTTTTTTTTTTAAGGTATTTGTTTTTTTTTTTTTTTAAAGAGGTCTTTTATTTAAATCATCTTGTATCATGTCTGACACTTTTTTTTTTTTTTTTTTATACTTTAAGTTTTAGGGTACATGTGCACATTGTGCAGGTTAGTTACATATGTATACATGTGCCATGCTGGTGCGCTGCACCAACTCGTCATCTAGCCTTAGGTATATCTCCCAATGATATCCCTCCCCCCTCCCCCCACCCCACCACAGTCCCCAGAGTGTGGTATTCCCCTTCATGTGTCCAGGTGATCTCACTGTTCAATTCCCACCTATGAGTGAGAATATACGGTGTTTGGTTTTTTGTTCTTGCGATAGTTTACTGAGAATGATGATTTCCAATTTCATCCATGTCCCTACAAAGGATATGAACTCATCATTTTTTATGGCTGCATAGTATTCCATGGTGTATATGTGCCACATTTTCTTAATCCAGTCTATCATTGTTGGACATTTGGGTTGGTTCCAAGTCTTTGCTATTGTGAATAATGCCGCAATAAACATACGTGTGCATGTGTCTTTATAGCAGCATGATTTATAGTCCTTTGGGTATATACCCAGTAATGGGATGGCTGGGTCAAATGGTATTTCTAGTTCTAGATCCCTGAGGAATCGCCACACTGACTTCCACAATGGTTGAACTAGTTTACAGTCCCACCAACAGTGTAAAAGTGTTCCTATTTCTCCACATCCTCTCCAGCACCTGTTGTTTCCTGACTTTTTAATGATTGCCATTCTAACTGGTGTGAGATGATATCTCATAGTGGTTTTGATTTGCATTTCTCTGATGACCAGTGATGATGAGCATTTTTTCATGTGTTTTTTGGCTGTATAAATGTATTCTTTTGAGAAGTGTCTGTTCATGTCCTTCACCCACTTTTTGATGGGGTTGTTTGTTTTTTTCTTGTAAATTTGTTTGAGTTCATTGTAGATTCTGGATATTAGCCCTTTGTCAGATGAGTAGGTTGCAAGAATTTTCTCCCATGTTGTAGGTTGCCTGTTCACTCTGATGGTAGTTTCTTTTGCTGTGCAGAAGCTCTTTAGTTTAATTAGATCCCATTTGTCAATTTTGTCTTTTGTTGCCATTGCTTTTGGTGTTTTGGACATGAAGTCCTTGCCCATGCCTATGTCCTGAATGGTAATGCCTAGGTTTTCTTCTAGGGTTTTTATGGTTTTAGGTCTAACGTTTAAATCTTTAATCCATCTTGAATTAATTTTTGTATAAGGTGTAAGGAAGGGATCCAGTTTCAGCTTTCTACATATGGCTAGCCAGTTTTCCCAGCACCATTTATTAAATAGGGAATCCTTTCCCCATTGCTTGTTTTTCTCAGGTTTGTCAAAGATCAGATAGTTGTAGGTATGCGGCGTTATTTCTGAGGGCTCTGTTCTGTTCCATTGATCTATATCTCTGTTTTGGTACCAGTACCATGCTGTTTTGGTTACTGTAGCCTTGTAGTATACTTTGAAGTCAGGTAGTGTGATGCCTCCAGCTTTGTTCTTTTGGCTTAGGATTGGCTTGGCGATGCGGGCTCTTTTTTGGTTCCATATGAACTTTAAAGTAGTTTTTTCCAATTCTGTGAAGAAAGTCATTGGTAGCTTGATGGGGATGGCATTGAATCTGTAAATTACCTTGGGCAGTATGGCCATTTTCACGATATTGATTCTTCCTACCCATGAGTATGGAATGTTCTTCCATTTGTTTGTATCCTCTTTTATTTCCTTGAGCAGTGGTTTGTAGTTCTCCTTGAAGAGGTCCTTCAGATCCCTTGTAAGTTGGATTCCTAGGTATTTTATTCTCTTTGAAGCAATTGTGAATGGGAGTTCACTCATGATTTGGCTCTCTGTTTGTCTGTTGTTGGTGTATAAGAATGCTTGTGATTTTTGTACATTGATTTTGTATCCTGAGACTTTGCTGAAGTTGCTTATCAGCTTAAGGAGATTTTGGGCTGAGATGATGGGGTTTTCTAGATAAACAATCATGTCGTCTGCAAACAGGGACAATTTGACTTCCTCTTTTCCTAATTGAATACCCTTTATTTCCTTCTCCTGCCTGATTGCCCTGGCCAGAACTTCCAACACTATGTTGAATAGGAGCGGTGAGAGAGGGCATCCCTGTCTTGTGCCAGTTTTCAAAGGGAATGCTTCCAGTTTTTGCCCATTCAGTATGATATTGGCTGTGGGTTTGTCATAGATAGCTCTTATTATTTTGAAATACGTCCCATCAATACCTAATTTATTGAGAGTTTTTAGCATGAAGGGTTGTTGAATTTTGTCAAAGGCTTTTTCTGCATCTATTGAGATAATCATGTGGTTTTTGTCTTTGGCTCTGTTTATATGCTGGATTACATTTATTGATTTGCGTATATTGAACCAGCCTTGCATCCCAGGGATGAAGCCCACTTGATCATGGTGGATAAGCTTTTTGATGTGCTGCTGGATTCGGTTTGCCAGTATTTTATTGAGGATTTTTGCATCAATGTTCATCAAGGATATTGGTCTAAAATTCTCTTTTTTGGTTGTGTCTCTGCCTGGCTTTGGTATCAGAATGATGCTGGCCTCATAAAATGAGTTAGGGAGGATTCCCTCTTTTTCTATTGATTGGAATTGTTTCAGAAGGAATGGTACCAGTTCCTCCTTGTACCTCTGGTAGAATTCGGCTGTGAATCCATCTGGTCCTGAACTCTTTTTTGTTGGTAAACTATTGATTATTGCCACAATTTCAGCTCCTGTTATTGGTCTATTCAGAGATTCAACTTCTTCCTGGTTTAGTCTTGGGAGAGTGTATGTGTCGAGGAATGTATCCATTTCTTCTCGATTTTCTAGTTTATTTGCGTAGAGGTGTTTGTAGTATTCTCTGATGGTAGTTTGTATTTCTGTGGGATCAGTGGTGATATCCCCTTTATCATTTTTTATTGTGTCTATTTGATTCTTCTCTCTTTTTTTCTTTATTAGTCTTGCTAGCGGTCTATCAATTTTGTTGATCCTTTCAAAAAACCAGCTCCTGGATTCATTGATTTTTTGAAGGGTTTTTTGTGTCTCTATTTCCTTCAGTTCTGCTCTGATTTTAGTTATTTCTTGCCTTCTGCTAGCTTTTGAATGTGTTTGCTCTTGCTTTTCTAGTTCTTTTAATTGTGATGTTAGGGTGTCAATTTTGGATCTTTCCTGCTTTCTCTTGTGGGCATTTAGTGCTATAAATTTCCCTCTACACACTGCTTTGAATGCGTCCCAGAGATTCTGGTATGTTGTGTCTTTGTTCTCGTTGGTTTCAAAGAACATCTTTATTTCTGCCTTCATTTCGTTATGTACCCAGTAGTCATTCAGGAGCAGGTTGTTCAGTTTCCATGTAGTTGAGCCGCTTTGAGTGAGATTCTTAATCCTGAGTTCTAGTTTGATTGCACTGTGGTCTGAGAGATAGTTTGTTATAATTTCTGTTCTTTCACATTTGCTGAGGAGAGCTTTACTTCCAAGTATGTGGTCAGTTTTGGAATAGGTGTGGTGTGGTGCTGAAAAAAATGTATATTCTGTTGATTTGGGGTGCAGAGTTCTGTAGATGTCTATTAGGTCCGCTTGGTGCAGAGCTGAGTTCAATTCCTGGGTATCCTTGTTGACTTTCTGTCTCGTTGATCTGTCTAATGTTGACAGTGGGGTGTTAAAGTCTCCCATTATTAATGTTTGGGAGTCTAAGTCTCTTTGTAGGTCACTCAGGACTTGCTTTATGAATCTGGGTGCTCCTGTATTGGGTGCATATATATTTAGGATAGTTAGCTCTTCTTGTTGAATTGATCCCTTTATCATTATGTAATGGCCTTCTTTGTCTCTTTTGATCTTTGTTGGTTTAAAGTCTGTTTTATCAGAGACTAGGATTGCAACCCCTGCCTTTTTTAGTTTTCCATTTGCTTGGTAGATCTTCCTCCATCCTTTTATTTTGAGCCTATGTGTGTCTCTGCACGTGAGATGGGTTTCCTGAATACAGCACACTGATGGGTCTTGACTCTTTATCCAACTTGCCAGTCTGTGTCTTTTAATTGGAGAATTTAGTCCATTTACATTTAAAGTTAATATTGTTATGTGTGAATTTGATCCTGTCATTATGATGTTAGCTGGTTATTTTGCTGGTTAGTTGATGCAGTTTCTTCCTAGTCTCAATGGTCTTTACATTTTGGCATGATTTTGCAGCGGCTGGTACCGGTTGTTCCTTTCCATGTTTAGCGCTTCCTTCAGGAGCTCTTTTAGGGCAGGCTTGGTGGTGACAAAATCTCTCAGCATTTGCTTGTCTGTAAAGGATTTTATTTCTCCTTCACTTATGAAGCTTAGTTTGGCTGGATATGAAATTCTGGGTTGAAAATTCTTTTCTTTAAGAATGTTGAATATTGGCCCCCACTCTCTTCTGGCTTGTAGGGTTTCTGCTGAGAGATCTGCTGTTAGTCTGATGGGCTTCCCTTTGAGGGTAACCCGACCTTTCTCTCTGGCTGCCCTAGGTTTTCTTTCAGAGCTTTTATGTTGTTTCATTGCTCTATTCTTCATTTCTCAAACCAGTATCATAGAGCTTTAATTATTATAGCTTTAGAGTTTAATTAATATCTAGTTTGACAAGTCACCCTTATTTATTTATACTTACAGTTCCCAACTTTTTGAGTACTATGGAGAGGGGGATGACTTTTTAAATTTTATTTGGTCAAATGATAAACATAAAATGAATTACAACTTACTGATTTATTACAACTACAAAAAAGATTGACATAGAAGAATGTACACAATATAGATAGGTGAAAAAAATCACATGCCATATATATCACATGTTCTTACTTTTCATAAGTAAACCAGCAAATACACTGGACCCAGAGCACATGCCTGTAATCCCCACCACTCTGGTGACTAAGGTGGAAGAATTATTTGAGCCCAGGAGTTCAAAACCAGCCTGGGCAACATAGTGAGACTCTCATCTCAAAATGAAAACAAAGTAAAACATCGAATACTTTAAATTTTATAGAATTCTTCATTATGAGGCTAAAATAAATAATTTTTGACTACCAACGTATAACTTGTTATCCTTTTAATATGTATTTTGTCATATAATTATTGCAATAATTCAGAAGTTATTAATACTAATGTTATTCTCATTTTAGAGACTGGAAAACTGGATAATGCAGTTAAGTGATTTGATTAAAATAGTTAAGTGTCTTAGTTCCTTCAGGCTGGTATAACAAAATACCATAAATTAGGTTGCTTATAAATAATAGGAATTTATTTCTCACAGTTCTGGAGGCTGGGAAGTCCAAGATCAAAGTACCAGCAGATTTGGTGTCTGGTGAAGGCCCAGTCTAGGTTCATAATGGCTGCTTCTCCTGTTCCCTCACATGGTAGAAGAGACTAGCTAGATTTCTAGGGCCTCTGTTATAAAGGAACTAATCCCATTCTCGAAGGCAGAGCCCTCAGGACTTAATCACCTCCTAAAGGCCCCACCCTCCTAATACCATCATCTTGAGAATTAAGATTTCAGCACATGAATTTTGGGGAGATGCAAACATTCAGATCACGAAGGCAATACATAGTAGAGTGTGAGATTGAGCATTCCTGTGCTCTGTCATGCTTTCCAGTCATGGTCATCTGATCATTACTTGTTCTATAGTTGTTCTGGCAGACTCACAGAATATAGGCATTTTATTTTATTTTTATCCCTGAACACCTTAAAAACCAGGTTTTTATATTGTCATGATCAAATTTCTATATTCAAACTCAATATAAAATAATGATCCCCATCTCCTGAAGGCTTTAGGAAATATTTATGGGTATTAATTTTTAATTATTTTTCTGATTGGAATTGAATCAAATGCATAATTGTGATTATTTATCTTCCCATCTAGGAATGTCTTCCTATTTTTAACATATTTTATTATTTTTAAATTTATTTTTAATTGAGACCAGGTCTCTCTCTGTTGCCCAAGCTGGAGACAGTGACACAATCATGACTCACTGCAGCCTTGACTTCCTGGGGTTCAGTGATCCTCCCACCTTGGCCTTCCACAGTGCTGAGATTATAGGCATGAGCCATTGCGCTGGGCCATTCACATGTTTTTAAATGTATTTCAAAAATATTTTTTAAAAGTCTTGCCTATTTATAATTTTAGTAATTTTATTATAAAATATATATGCAAAAGAATATTTAATATGTGTTCAGTTTAATAACAATGAAACAAATATCCATATACCCGATACCCAGGCTATAAAGTAGAGAATGAACAGTAATTTCGATGTGCCCTGGGTA
The DNA here is from genome assembly GCF_000001405.40 of Homo sapiens. Taxonomy (NCBI): domain Eukaryota; kingdom Metazoa; phylum Chordata; class Mammalia; order Primates; family Hominidae; genus Homo; species Homo sapiens. The sequence goes on along the minus strand of NC_000008.11, from coordinate 75,442,224 downwards.
CCTTAACTTGATTAAATCTCCACTCTCTGGGGTAATTTCTATCCTGTGATAATAACTTCTTGCATTTCTTTGAGTTTTAACCACATATCTATGGTTAGTAACAATTAACTATTTAGTTGTTTCTCTTTTGAATCTTTATATAAATAAAATATTACTGTAATACATTCTTCTCTGACTTGATTTTTTTCCCGAACATTGTGTTTATAAGATTCATCTATGTTAATGGACACAAGAATGCTTTATTTATTTTCTCTACTTTATAGTAAATCATCACGTGAATATACCACAATGCATTTATCCATTCTACTATAAATGGACATTTGGGATGTTTCCAATTTTTGCTTTTACAAACAGTGCTGCTATAAATATTCTAGTGTATGTTTCCAGGTGCAAAAATCAATGTGTGGTCTGTGGACCCAAGCCAGTTCGCTGATTGTTTGCTACAAGTTTGTGATGGGATAAGTACAGAAATGAAGAGCAAGCATTTAGAAACTTTAACTGTAATCTGGTTTTGCTATAATATCCAAGCACAGAATCAGTGAACTCATATCATTTAATAGGACTTCGCTAGTTTGATAATGTTGAACTCACGGTATGACAAAAAACAGTTATCAAGATCTGCTGTAAATTATGCCTACAGTTAATAATATTTTCTTGTACACTTAAAAATGTGTTATAAAGGCCGGGCATGGTGGCTCACATCTGTAATCCCAGGACTTTGGGAGGCTGAAGAGGGCAATCACTTGAGGCCAGGAGTTTGACATCAGCCTGGACAACATGGCGAAACCCCATCTCTAGTAAAAATACAAATATTAGCCGGGTGTGGTGGCGCACACCTGCAGTCCCAGCTGCTCAGGAGGCTAAGGTGTGAGACTCACTTGAGCCTGGGAGACGGAGGTTGCAGTGTGCAGAGACTGTGCCATTGCACTTTAGCCTGGGTGACATTGAAAGACTCTGTCTCAGAAAAAAAAAAAAAAAGTTCTAATCTTGGCTTTAAAGAAATTAAAAATTAAAAATTTGTTACAAGGTAGCTCTCATGTTAAGTATTCTTAGGATAATAAAATAAAAACTCTAAAAAACACACATACAAGTCATGCACAATAGAACCACGCAATATTTTTAAAATTAGATTGGGAACTGCAATCTAAAAGTGTATAAGCCAGCACTATAGCAAAACCTTATCTCTACAAAAAAATTTAAAATTTAGGTGGGCATTGTGGTGCCTGCCTGTAATCCCAGCTACTCAGGTTAAGGTGGAAGGATCACTGGAGCCCAAGAGGTTGAGGCTGCAGTGAGCCATGATCACTTTAATGCACTCCAGCCTGGGCAATATAGCAAGATCCTGTCTCAAAAATAATAAGAATAATAATAAGAAATTAATTAATTGAAGTGTATAAAAATGGGATAAAATGAGGACATATACTTTTATACATACATGTATAGTCTTAATTTAAAATTAAGCCTACTTTTAAAATTTATAATTTAACATTATTAGCTAAATTAGGGCTGTAAAATTTGTGTATTTAGTTTTAATCTTTAATTTATTGACAGCAGTATAAGCTTCACCTTTTTTCCTTTAATTTTGGTCAGGACAAGGTATACCTTTTCAGAATGTAGTGGTAACACTAAATAAAATAATGAAAAATAAACAATTTCAAAGAAATAAAACATTATCTTCCATATATTTGATTTAGTTTTTTAGCCATAATTGCTGGCAATCTGTGAAACTATACATATTCCTATTTAAACATAAACAATTCATAGATGGTTTTAAAAAGCAGTTGGTGTTGTTAAAGCTAAAAATTCATTAAAAATTGCTGAGACATTAGTGAAACACTGCATCAAAAGTGTGTTAGAAATGATAGCTGCAACCACTGCAAATAAAGTAGCTCAAGTCCCACTTTTCAATGACAGCATACTTTAAAACACTACAGAAAATGAAGAAAAATAATGGACCCACTCACAGAACAAATACAGCTAGGAACTGGATGAATGCAAAAATATCACTAACTTGGCAACTATTTTAATCTCTGTGTAAACTGTATAGGCTGGTGATATAAAGAAGTATTTTCTCAATGTCATTGATGACTAGAAACAACCAGCTATGGATTTGTAAAACTGAAAAGGATTGCATTGACATAATAGTTGGGAGTTTAAGTTTCATTAAGATAATGTTCTGATGGTACAGTTGCAATGACAAGACAATATTCTGAAATAGTTATGCAGATTAAGAAGCTTTCACCTTCAATACTGTATGTGGAAACTGGAAAGAAAAAAAAAATTTAAGGAGCTTTCATGACAATAGAAATCAATATTCTGGTTGCTTCACCAAGAAAGACTTGCTATAAAAAAAAGTCTTAGTTATGTAGTAAAAACTGAATTATCTAAAAAACAGTTTTAAGGTAGAAATTATTATATTATGTTTATAACATGTAAGCTTATTGTATTTAAAAAAACTAATGTGGAGATATAATGCTTAATAAAGGAAAATGTTCAGTAGAGAATGTTTGAAGTTTTTGACATGATTTAATATATGTGAACTCTTAATATCTTTGCAATTATTAAACCATTTTGATCCCAAGTAAAGATGTGATTGAGACTGCCAGACTTACTTCATTGTCTTTATCTTTAGTATATTCATTGCTGTTTACACTTCTTTCTAAGAAAAAATGTAATATGTTTTTTAATGCCAGATACAAAACAAAAATGAAAGTCAGAAGCCTAAAAGAACAAAGTTTTTAGATTATTATGATGAGTCCTATAATTTAACAATATTATCAATGAAGATCTTGATACTGCACATCAGCAAAAAATTATCATTGAATCCTATGAATCTGATAGAGTACTTTGGAATTTACTTTTCATCAAAATGCAGACATGTAAAAAATTCATCATTTAACTATAAATTAAAATAGGTTATGGATGGAGATTTGAAAATGAATTTTGAAAATACTAAATAATTATGGCATCCACCTGTAATCCCAGGCTCCATGGGTTAATTTTGTATAAAAGTTAAAAATAATTATATTTTCATTTACTCTTTGGATGCTTTAATCTCATTACTATGAATTAATCCTGAAGATACACCTCCAACCATGATAAATATATGCACAATGTTATTTATTTTAAGATTGTTTGTAATTGCAAATATTGAAACTGCCTAAATATCCAAGCCTAGGATGCTGGTTAAATATACAATGAATACACATGCACGGTGCAGTACTATGCAACTACAAAGAAATAATGAGGAAGATCTCTATAAATGGTTTTGGAGTACCTTTCAAGAGATATAATTAAGTGGAGAAAAAAAATCAAAGTGAAGGAAAAAGAAAAGCATATATATTTACCCTACTCGTGAAAGAAAAAAGCAAAAACTATTATACATAGATCTGCTAATCTTTATGAAAAAGAATCCCACTGAAATTGGTTACATGTGATTGGAGTATAGAGTAGAAGAGATAACGAGAGTGTGAGTCCTGTTGTAATTCTTTTATATATATTGTTTTTACTTTTGAAAGCATAACATACATATTTAAAAATTACATTAAATAAGAATGGAAGCAGAAAAAAAAACATAAAACAGAAAGCAAGCAAGGTAAAATGCATGAAGGTAAATTGTATTCCAAATGAATATCATAACTGAAAAGGAAGAAAGGAAGGGAGGGAGGGATGAAGAGAGAGAAAGAGGGAGGGAGATTGAGAGGAAAGAAAGGAATTAATCAAGTTTCCTGTGAACTCATTATTTGTCTGTATTCCGTCAGTCTGGAGCAGGGTTGGATGTTAGGGACAGGGACAATGTTCTAACATATCCAGAACTTGTTTTAGGTTTTACAGTGGTACAGTGGAAGTAATTCTGAAACAGTTTTAGATGTCAATATAGGACTAAGCAAATGAATAAATGTTTTATAGTTATTGGCAGCCAGGGATCTGGCTGTATAAGAAGAGACAAATAGGGAATGAGAAAAGGCAAGAAAGTTCATCTGGTGATGGATTAGAATTGGAGGTATGAGAGTGAACTCATGATTTCTTAAATATGCATATGTTTATGTATATGCATCATTACATGTACATACCTGTCAACATGCTGTTGTGAAATTGATTTAGTGTAACAAAATATGGGAACAATTTCGTGTTGTCATCAATCCAGTTTAGATACATCAAGCAAGCAAGAAACAAGCTCATTTGTCACATTAAAAACTCTATTAATTACATATTATGAATATTCAAAGTGCTCCTACAGTCATAAAATATATGAAATGCCTATTTCACTCATAGCATTTTATTTAGAAATAATTGTGGAATGACAAAAGGTGATAGTGATTCTTTATATTAATTTATAATAATCACACTTTCAATGAACAACTTGTTTGGTTTGTCTAACTATATTTTCATCAGCGTTACTTTATATTATTTTATTAAAATATAATTATGTCTACCGAATCTAATGATAAAAATGAGTTTATATTTTTTATGTCCATGTTTTTATATTTATTGTTTTCTGGAAGTGTATTAACATTTCTTTTTTTATTTTATTTTTATTATTATTTTTTTGAGACGGAGTCTCACTCTGTTGCCAGGCTGCAGTGCAGTGGCGTGATCTCGGCTCACTGCACCCTGCACCTCCTGGGTTCAAGCCTTTTTTAAAATAATTTATTTTTGTCACATTTTATAAAAGACTGGAAATTTTAAAAAACATTCTTCCTTTGTCCTAGATAGTTTAAGGCCCCTTGCCCCGACATATACTTAGCAGTGGAACTGCTTTCTCAGTGTTATAGCTAAACTTTACCATTGATTCCAAATAGATTTCTAGAGGGATTGTAGAAAGATTCACTTTGCCTAAAGTGTATGCCAGTTCCTGTTGCTCACTAATGCTGACAGTGTTATACACTTAATACCTGGAAATATGATGAGTATGACACAAGAATTTCAGTTTAAACTTACTTTTCTCTAATTATAGATACGTGCGAATATGTTTACAAATATTTCTATGAAATGTCTATGCCTTATTCACACTTTTCTTTTGGTTTTCTTTTTGTAGTTGACTGACTCTGACTTTTTATATTCGAAACTTTGTTGGTCATGGGCAATGCAAATATTTTCTCCCAGCTTTTGGAATGCCATTGCAGTCTTTTATAGTGTCTGTTCACCTACAAGTTTTTCTTTTGTTTATTTGTTTTTAACAAACTGTTTTTCTGATGCTCAGCCCAGGCTGAAATGCAGTGGCACAATCATAGCTCACAGCAGCTTTGAACTCCTGGGCTTAAGTGATCCTCCAGCCTCAGCCTTCTGAGTAGCTGGGACTACAGGCATGCACCACCATGTCCAGCTAACTTTTTTATTCTATGTAGAGTCAGGGATCTCACTATGTTGCCCAGGCTGGTTGCAACTCCTGGCCTCAAGTGATCCTCCCATGTCAGCCTCCCAAAGTGCTGAGATTACAGGTGTGAGCCACTGTGCCTGGACAAAGTTCTCATTTTAAACTTTAAATATGTTTCAGTGTCTCTTTACAGCTTTGCTTCTTTTTAAAACTAATTATTTCATGAAAAGTAATCAGAAGGATATTCTCTTATGTCCCTTTGAAATTTCACCTATTAAGCCAATTGGAATTGAATTTAAAGCGTGAGGTGGGATCCAGTTTCATCTTTTCTATATTAACTACCAGTTTTCCCAATATCTTTTGTTCGGGCAACTACCCTTTCCCTACTGATCTGCAAAGCAGGCTCAGAGAGTGAGTTTCCACAGAAGTGTGGGTTGTTTATGGGCCGAGCATTCTGTTTCAGCAATATATTTCTAAACTAACAATACGTTGTAATAATTATAATAGATTTAAAATAGATCTTGATATCTGATAGGGCAAGAGGTCTTTCCTTGTCCCACTTTTTCAAGAGCATATCAGTAATTCTTGTCCATTTGATCTACCACATAAATGTTCAGATGAGCTAGTCAGTTTTCATGAAACGTCCTGGTGAGACAATAGGAATTGCATTAAATCATAAACCAATTTGAGTAAAACTGTCATTTTAAAAACAGTGTCCTCCTATTTACAATATATTTTTTAATTTATTTGTCTTCTAATGTTTTTCAATACAATTTTATTCTCTCCCTTGTAAAAAACTTGTGTTTCTCCCATTATTCTGAGGTACCTTATAATTTATGTTGCTATTATAACAGAATATTTCAAAGTTAAGACAGTAGCAACAGACTATTGATATATACAAATGCACATGAATGCCATATTTGGATTTTATAGTAAAAAATTACTAAAAATTTTTCTATAGATCTTTTAAAATAGGAAGTCCTATCTTCTATAGAACATTAAAATTTGTTTTTTGGCTGGGTGTGGTGGCTCACACCTGTAATTCCAACACTTTGGGAGACCAAGGTGGGTGGATCACCTGAGGTCAGGAGCTCGAGACTAGCCTAGCTAACATGGAGAAACCCCGTCTCTACTAAAAATACAAAAATTAGCTGGGTGTGGTGGTGCATGCCTGTAATCCCAGCTTCTTGGGAGGCTGAGTCAGGAGAATTGCTTGAATCCGGGAGGCAGAAGATGCAGTGAGCCCAGATCATGCCACTGCACTCCAGCCTGGGTGACAGAGTGAGACTGTCTCAAAACAACAACAACAAAAATTACTTTTTTCTTTTCAGAGCCTAATAACTTGTTGCTTTTTCTCTTGCCATTGCCCTGGGTCCAGTCTGTAGTACAATGTTGAATTGATGTGGTGAAAACAGGCATCATTGATTTACTCTGGATTTTAATGTTTCACCATGGAATGAGATATTTAGTAAAAAAGTTCGATAGCTGCACTTTATTATAGTAAAGATAGTCTCTTGTATTTTTAGGTTGTTAAGCTTTTTTAACAAAAACACGAATTGACATTAATTTTATAGGTTGTTTTTCTGTATTTGTAAGATGACTGAAATAGATTTTACTTTTAACCTATAAATTTGGTGAATACATTAGTAGATTTCTAATGCTTAATCAAGTTTGCATTTCTATAATAAACCTGTGATCATGATTTATCTTTTATAAACAAATTTAGTTTTTCTTTCCTAATATTTTGTATAGGCCTTTGCATCTGTGCTTGAGTCAGATGGACCTACTATTTTTCCTCCTTGTATTTTGTGTTGGTTTGATATCAAAATTACACTAGCCTCATTAAATAAGTTGTAGAGTGTTCCCAAATGTTCTGTTCTTTTAAAGAGTTAAAGTAAGACTGAAATTATAGGTTCCTTAACTGTTAGATAGATGCACCTGTGAAATCATTTATTCAGATTCGTATGTTCTTTATGGAGAGATTTTTGACAATGGGTTCAAGTCCTTAATGATTTATCAGACTACTAAGTTTTTCTATTTCTTCAAATGTTATTTTTGAGAAATTATATTTTTGTGGATACAACTACTATTTTAAATGTTTTAAGTGTACAGGTATAAAGCTATTTATCGTGTCCCTGTATTATCATTGTAATACCTGCTGCATCATAGTTATACCCCACTTTTCTTACCTGATTTGTGTATGTGTGTGTGTGTGTGTGTGTGTGTGTGTGTTGGCCTTGTTGTTTGTGTTCTGGAATCATTTTGTTAAGCGTTTCCAAATTTTAAGTTGTTTTTCACTCCCTATTTTTCATTCGCTATTGTATTATTGTTTCCTTGTTTATTACATTTTTATCATTGTGACTTCTTTCCTTCTATTTCTTTGTGTTTATTTTGTTGTTCTGTTTCTGACTTCTTTAGTTGTTTATCTCATCTATTTGCACTGTTATTTCCTCTCTATTATAAGCTTGTTAAGGCCTTAACTTCTCCTTTTGTTTCTACTTCAGTGGTATTCCAGATGGTTTGATATGTGGCATTTTCATGATCATTCATTTTTAAACAATTTCTAATTTCCATTATGATTTCTTCTTGGAAACATAAGTTATTTAGGCCAGACGCAGTGGCTCATGCCTGTAATCCCAGCACTTTGGGAGGCAAAGGCGGGCAGATCATGAGGTCAGGAGATCGAGACCATCCTGGCCAGCACGGTACAACCTCATCTGTACTAAAAATACAAAAATTAGCCGGGTGGGGTGGCAGGCGCCTATAATCCCAGCTACTCAGGAGGCTGAGGAAGGAGAATCACTTGAACCTGGGAAGCGGAGGTTGTAGTGAGCCGAGATCACACCACTGCACTCTAGCCTGGCGGCAGAGTGAGACTTTGTCTCAAAAAAAAAAAAAAAAAAAAGAAAAGAAACATAAGTTATTTTAAGGTGTCTATTTTTGATTTTCAAACTAGAGGGTTCTTATCTTTATATTGAATCCTATCTTAACTGTGCTAAAGTCAAAGACTATAGTTACATGACATTAGTCTTTTGAAATTTATAAAACCTGCTATGTACTTACTGTTTTTTGGCTGGTCAATATTAGAATTGCTGATACAGTTGTGTTAAAGTTTCCAACTGTAATGATATATTAAAATGTATGCAAATTATTACCTAGTTTATTTCGACATTATACTTGCATGCATAAAGGTTTAAAATTGTATCTTCAGTTAAGCGTGGTGGCTTATGCCTGTAATCCCAGCACTTTGGGAGGCTGAGGTGGGAGAACCACTGAAGCCCAGGAGTTTGAGACCAGCCCGTGCAACACAGTAGTGAGATCTTGTCTCTATTACTACTACTACTACTACTGATAATAGTAATAGTAAAACATTTAAAAATCAATCAATAAATACAATCATATTTTCTTGTTGAGTTGAGTTGCTTAGAGATTTAATGGCCTAAAACAGCAATTAAAATTGATCTTAAAGTTTCTTTCTTTTTTTTTTTTTTTTTTGTTCTGAGACAGGGTCTGACTCTCGTCACCCAGGCTGTGGTGCTGTGGCCCCATCAAAGCTCACTGCACTCTCAAAATCTTGGGCTCAAGCGATCCTCTGCCTCAGCCTCCTGAGTGGCTAAAACTATGGGTGCACATCACCATGCCTGGCTAATTTTTTTCTTTTTCTCTTCTGCAAAGATGGGGTCTTTCTATGTTGACCAGGCTGGTCTCTAATTCTTAGCCTCAAGCCATGCCCCTGCCTCAGCTTCCAAAAGTGCTCAGATTAGAGTCATGAGCCATCGGAGCTGGCCTTCTTATAGCTTCTATGGGTCAGAAATTTGGGAGCAGTTTGGCCGTGTGGTTCTCTTTTGAGGTCTCTCACAGGGTACACTTAAGGTGTTAGCAGGAGTACAGACATCCGAAGACTTCACTGGGGCAGGGGATCTTCTTTGAAAATGGCTCATTCAAAGAGCTGGCAAATTGGTAGTGTCTTTTGAAGCTTCAATTCATTAAATATGTACCTTTCCCCAGAACTGTCTAAATGTTTACACAGAATTCCAGCTGATGGTCCCCCATAAAGTGTTCCAAAAGAACAAGGTGAAAGCTACATTGTGTTTTATAGTTTAACCTCAGAAATCACACACTGTCATTTCTGGACTATCTTATTGGTTAAAAAGATCATGCCTATTCATTCTTAGATGAGTCTTAAAAAAAGCCATGAATACCAGGAGGACAAGGATCGCTGGGTGGCATCTCAGAAGCTAGCTACCATATAGAACAGTATTTTTGCTTGAGAATTTCCTTTTTATGTTATTTAAAAGGTAAATTCTGGCTGGGCATGGTGGCTTATGCCTGTAATCCCAGCACTTTGGGAGGCAGAGGCGGGCAGATCACCTGAGATCAGCAGTTTGAGACCAGCCTGGCCAACATGCTGAAACCCCATCTCTACTAAAAATACAAAAATTAGCCAGACGTAATCCCAGCTACTTGGGAGGCTGAGGCACAAGAATCGCTTGAACCCAGGAGGTGGAGGTTGCAGTGAGCCAAGATTGCACCACTGCACTCCAGCCTGGGCAACAGAGTGAGATTCCTTCTCAAAATAAATAAATAAATAAATAAAACAAATTCTTTTTTTTTTTATTTTGATACATCTTTTCCCATCTTTTTACTTTTTTATTTTTTTTAATACAGGGCCATAATCCAGGTTGGAGTGCGGTGGTACAATCATGGTTTAACCTATAGCCTCAACCTCCTGGGCTCAAGCTATCCCCTCTCCTTAACCTTCTGAGTAGCTGGGACTACAGGCACATCATGACGCCTGGCTAATTATTTTTCTTTTTATTTCTGTAGAGATGGGGTGTCCCTATGTGGCCCAGGCTGGTCTGCAACTCCTTGGTTCCAGCTATACTCCTACTTCAGCCACTGTTGTAAGTGCAGTGCTGGGATTACAGGTGTAAGCCACTGCACTTAGCATCTATTTTGTTTTTGTTTTGTTTTTTTTTTTGAGATGGAGTTTCACTCTTGTTGCCCAGGCTGGAGTGCAATGGTGCGATCTTGGCTCACTGCAAACTCTGCCTCCCAGGTTAAAGCAATTATCCTGCCTCAGCCTCCCGAGTAGCTGGGATTACAGGCGCCTGACACAACACCCAGCTAATTTTTGTATTTTTAGTAGAGATGGGGTTTCACCACGTTGGCCAGGCTGGTCTCAAACTCCTGACCTCGTGATCCACCCCCCTCAGCCTCCCAAAGTGCTGGGATTACAGGCGTGAGCCACTGTGCCGGGCCTTAGCATCTATATTCTTTAGTTTAGGTGTGTTCCTATAAACAACAGAAGTGGGATTTTGTTTGTAGTGTTTTGTTTTCTGTCTGATAATCTCCTTTAATTGAAAATTTAACTCAATTTATATTTATTGCGATCACTGATATGTTTAGATTCATTTCTATCATATACTACTGTCTTCTATTTTCTATATTATCTTTTTCTGCTTTTTAAAATCTCGATCAATGTTCAGCGATTTCACTATATCAAGCCGTTCTGTGATTATACCATAATTAACTTAAGATTTGTTTTGTTATGTGAATATGAAGATCCATGTCTTTCATCAATCCTAAAAGTAACTCAACTATTATCACTTTAAACATCTCACTCATGTTTTTTCTCTTCCTTCATTCTGGCTCTCCAATTAGATGTATGTTGCAATTTCTCTTTCTGTCCTCTCTATCTCCTAAAGTCTCTTGTATTTTCCAGCTCTGTCTCCTTGCTCTACCTTCTATATAATTTTCTCAGATCTATCTTCTATTTCAAAAATTTCCTTTTCAGCTATTTCTACTCTGCTGTATAACACATACAATAAATTTCAACTTTCATTTGTTAATTTTTCTTCATATCTCAAAATGCTCTTTGGTTCTTTTTTAAATGTATCTGTTTGTTTTTATAGTCTTCTGTCTTTTACCATATTTTTAATAATCTATATTATTTTGAACATTATATGTAATTAATTTACATTCTACAAATGAAATTTCTAACAACAATCTTCGTAATCTACTTCTCCAGTTTGTTTTTACTGATTTCTTTCACTGAGATGTTCTATTCTGTTTGTATTTAGTGATTATCTTTTTAATGCAATCTCATATCCTTTGAAATTTTATCTATGAGAGTTATGTGGGACCTTTATTTAAAGTGCTTTCTTGTCACAGGATTTTTGCTTGCTTCTGCAAAGTACTTGGGGACACTATCAACCAAGTGTCACTTAAAAGTAAAATTTTACCTTTAGAGGTTTTGAGGTTACATATGTACTATGAATATGGCTTACATAAGGGAGAAGTTATGAATTTTCTTCTGGTGAAACTTTCCTTTTCCTTCACTACACCCAGAACCAAATATCTCCCTCAAGAGCATTCTCTCTTGCTCTCTCTCTCTCTCTCTCCCTCTCTCTCTCTCTCTCTCTCTCTCTCTACTCCCTACCCCCGTCTCTTTTATTTGCTTATTTAATTCACAATAAGTATTGTCTTTCAGGGATCCTATTCATGCAGAGGTATTTGTAGTCAAATCTGCCAACTTTTGCCAGCCCAAACTAAATTTGTTTACAAAAAATGGTCTTGTAAATCCTAGGCTGTATGCAGTGAAGAACTTCCAAACATCTTCAGAGAAAATGTCTGTTTCAGTGACATTCATCTTGCTTACTTCTCTTGATTTGTTAGTTCATGCTGTTCATGGACTCTGAGAATTCTCCTTACTTTCCACCAACTCAGCTATGCAATTAATTTTTTTTTTTTTTTTGAAACAAGATCTCGTTCTGTTGACCAGGCTGGAGTGTAGTGGTGCGAACTCGGCTCACTGCAATCTCTGCCTCCCGGGTTCAAACGATACTCCTGCCTCAGCCTCCCTAGTAGCTGGGACTACAGGCGCATGCCACCATGCCTGGCTAATTTTTTATATTTTTAGTAGAGACGAGGTTTCACTGTGTTAGCCAGGATGATCTCGTTCTCCTGATCTCGTGATCCGCTGGCCTCGGCCTCCCAAAGTAATTTTTAAATATACATATACTGTCTGGAATCTTTAGGTTTTTTGCTAATGAAAGGATTTCTCTAGACATTCAGTCTACCATACTGTCAGAAATACAAGGAAAGGATAACTATGGGGTTTCTGATTGGAACACTGCAATGAAATGCTATGATTCTAGCCTTCTTTCTTCAACTCAGACTTTTGGACCTGATCGGCCTTTCTGCTTTAAAAGGAACAAAACACAGAGCTGTGCTTAACTTCACTACACTTTTATGAAACGTCATGATCTTCACTAATCCTGGAACAAGGCTTACATTAGATACTACCAGCTTCATTATGAGAAGTGAGTATTAATTAACCATGGTGAGTAGCAAAGAACCAATAATCCTCCATTATGTGGGATTTAGAGTCAGAGATTCCTGTGGTGGAAAGAAATCCAGAGATTCCTATGGTAGAAGTAGGGACAATGGTAAGAAATTGAAATGGAAGAGAGAAAAACAGAGCCCAAACACTTACTTTATATTAATATGTCTGTATGTTGTCTAAAGAAAAAAAAAGAGAGAAAGAGAGAGAAAAATGGAGTTACACTATATTGAAGATTAAATTCCAGACAAAATACATTGTTGAAACATAACTTTTGAAAGACAAAGTCTAAATTGAGTCAGTACCTGATCCTAGAGATCTAAGATGCACACATGTTAGGTGTACAAATCTGACCATGTTGGAGTGTCCATTTAACCTTTGGTCTTCTTCCTATATTCTCTCTCTGTGATGGGTACCACCAACCATTCATTTAGGCAAGCTAGAAACTTAGAAATTATTCTTGAGGAATTTCTCGCACACTTGCCATTTCTAAATTATTACGAAGTCCCTTATATTTTGCCCTCAAAATTTCTCTGAAATCAATCTACTCTTCTCATATTCTCTACCAGTAACTTCCGTTAAGCTATCATGATCTGGTGCCTGAACTACTAAAATACTCTCTTGACTGGTCTTCCCGTATCTACTTTTGCCTCCACCCAATCCATTTTTCACCTGCCACCAGAATAATATATTCAAAATGTGAATCTGTTTACCCCATCTCCCTGCTTAAAATATCTCAGTAGCTTCTCATCAACATAGGCAAAGGCAAAAGCATTATCTACAAGATTCTTATTTTGACCCTTACTACCTCTCAAATAATATTCTTCATGATACTGTTTTCTCCAACTATACTGGCCTTCTTTATTTTCTTCATGTTCAACAGTGCTCTCTCCTGCACCAGAAGGCCTTTGCAAATATTCCTCTTTTTTTCCTTTGTTTTCTAAGTTAATTTTCACTCATCATTTAGATATCAGCTCAGTTACAACTTTCTCAGTGAAGCTCTTTCTGCGCTTTCTTGATTAGATTGTATCAGCTATTGCATAGTCTTATGGCATCACATACTTCTTATTAAATAAGCCTGGAGTAATTGCAGTTATTGAATTAATGTCTACCTTTACTGTAGCTGGAAGCTCCATAAATACAAGGATATTACCTAACATATTACTGCCCCTAGGAAATAGTTTATTTTCTTTTTAATTTTAAAATATATCAGAGATGAAAGCATGCATATAATGCATTTGTGAGGGTAAAAGGCTAACAATAAGTGAAACACCAAGTAACTTACCTAAGTGAAGAAAGAGAACACTGACACTCTGGGAAAGCCCCGGTTGTGCCTCTCTCCAATCATACACCCACCTGCTAGGTCTAGATTTAAATGATGCAGCATTAACCTGAGGTTTTGATCAATATTCCTACCTTCCCTTTACAAAATGTAAGTAATAATATTATTACTCATGTTGATGAGTATACCTCTAGTTTATATGTTCTCACCACAATGTAATGTTCCATTATAAGTATATAAAGCAATGTTTTATGCATATTGATGGACATTGGGATTGTTCATTGATTTCTAGTACTAAAACAATGTTGCTTTGATTGATACTACTGTACATACTTCCTCTTATTCATGTGCCAGACTTTGTGAAGGATGCACCCTGAGGAAAAGAACTGCTGGCTTAAATAATGCTACACAAACCTTCAGGGTTCACTTGCATTAATAAAATATTAGTTATTTGATATAATACACATAACATATATATACATTTATAGGGCTAGTATATAAATTCTGTTTATTTTCCACATTTTTCTCAATATACCCTGCTATTATCTAAATCAAAGAAACATAGGCTTATTACAATTTAACCTATTATACTAATATATATTCATTCATTCAACAAATACTTAACAAGGCATTCGCTATCTGTAAAGTACTATACTAGATGAGAAGATAGTCTTTATTTTATTTTATTTATTTTATTTTTTTTTGAGACAGGGTCTCACTCTGTCACCCAGGTTGGCGTGCAGTGGTGCAATCTCAGCTCACTGCAACCTCCACCTCCCAGGTTCAAGCAATTCTCCTGCCTCAGCCTCCCAAGTAGCTGGGACTACAGGTGGTGCCACCACACTAGGCTAATTTTTGTATTTTTAGTAGAGACTGGGTTTCACCATGTTGGCCAAGCTGGTCTTGAACTCCTGACCTCAAGTGATCCACCCGCCTCAGCCTTCCAAAGTGCTGAGATTACAGGTATGATCCACCATGCCTAGCCTATTCTTAATTTTTTAATATTTTTATTTCAACAGTTAATTAGAGTCTGGATGCCTGTCAGATGTTCAACATCACAGCCTACTCACTGATACTCACAAGGTAACATGCATTCAAAGAAATACAGAGAGATCATGAGTAAAAGAATACCTGCAAATAACCAGTACATGGTATGCTGTAAATTTTTGATAATACTGGTCTAAAAAGATTACTTATTATCACCTCACTTCTCATGTAATAGCAATATCATTGAACATTAACTAAAACTTTTTTCAAAACTAAAACCACTTAAAAAACAATACCAAAAAGAATACACAGATTTAAAATGTTTAAATCTGATTATTGCCTTGCATTAAAAATTAATCATTGTATTTATCCCTAACCCCATCATGATCCCAGGCCTGAAAATGGAGTTACATAATGGAGTTTTAACAAGCGACTGTAATACTCCCAAGTACGAACTAAACATTAACATAATTCGATCAGTGTCAGGGAGTTCCATAGTACTTAGCCAATCATTACCTCTTCGCATCTATTCTTTTCACTAAACAACCTTTTATCCTCCAATAAATAAGAATTGCCAATCATTACCTCTTCCCACCTTCTCTTTTCACTAAACAACCTTTTATCCTCCAATAAATAAAAATTGCAATAATGGAAACATTGTCTGGTCTGCACCTCAACAATATTATTAAGGTTAAAACAGTGGCTATAATTTAGGTGTCCCAGAGAGAAAATATTTATTGCCGGCACACCCTAACAAACAAATGAAAGCCTGTGTTGAAGGAAATTTTTTCTGAGTTCACTTCCTGGTTCAGAGGTATAAGAGAAGATATAAAAGAAGTGTCTGCTTAATTTAGAGAAAATTATGCTATAAGATGACCAGAAGAGATAATTTATAAGAATAGCTTAAGTTCTTTAAAATGTATTGCTCTGATAATCTTAGTTAAATAAAAAGTACGATAAGTCTAGAGGAAGTGCAATGGAGAAACACAGAGATCAGGGAAGATGTGATTCTGGACAGACAAAATGGCATGAGCGAAATCCACGAGGAATGGAAGTGAAGGGTGCTTACAGCCAAAACAGTATGACAATAAAAGTCTAAAAACTTAGGAATATATTGTTGTGAAAAAATAGTTATATAGTTGCATGTACAGTAAGCTTATACGGAAAGAAAGGAAATGACCAAAGGCAAGTGGAATTAGTTGTTTCTAGACTCTGCTACCACTTTTCTAAATTATTTGATCTATCTCCTTTTAAATGATAGTGTAATATTCTTACCAATTGACAAAATAGAAATATTTCCATTTATATTTTAAATAGATTTTATACCTTAAAAAACTAATATTAGCTAAACACATGTATCCCCTATGGTCCAGTAATTCCACTCTTGGAAATATACCCGTCAGAAAGGAGTGTCAAGTCCAGTAAAAGACATGTAAACTATGTTCAAGACAGCTTTATTGTAATAGCCTAAAACGGGAAACCCAATTAACCATCGACAGTAGATTTGGTAAATTATTTGTGGCATATTCATCCAATGGCATACCAGAGAACAACAGAAAAATACACAGCAAGACAGTAAAATAGGCGAAATTAATCTTTGCCTGGTTAGGAGCCCAGTGATACTTTTGGGTAGTTGGAAATTTCCTATGTGGCATAGCAATGGTTACAGAAGTGTGTATATATATAAAAAATATATAATATATATAAATATTATATATATAACATATATTATATAATATATGTAAAAATTTGTGTGTATGATTAAGATTGGCTACCATTAACTTAAAAAAATCATTTAAAAGCAATACAAGGATATATGTTAAAAGCCAGAAAAAGGCTAATTTGTTGACTCACTAAATTAACTTCTGGAAGTTAATACTAGATAAGTTGATTTTTTAAAAGCTGCATTGGGCTGGGCGCGGTGGCTCACACCTGTAATCTTAGCACTTAGGGAAGCCAAGGCGAGAGGATCACTTGAGGTCGGGAGCTCAAGATCAGCTTCGCTCAAACGGTGAAACCCCGTCTCCACTGAAGTACAAAAATTAGCCAGGCATGATGGCAGGTGCCTGTAATCCCAGCTACTCGGGAGGCTGAGACGGGAGAATCACTTGAACCTAGGAGACAAAGTTGCAGTGAGCCGAGATTGCACCACTGCACTCCAGCCCAGGTGGCTGAGCGAGACTCCGTCTAAAATAAATAAATAAATAAATAAATAAATAAATAAATAAATAGGCTGCATTGATGTTGGTGAAGCTGCAGAGAAAAGGAAATGCTTATACACTATTGGTGGGAATGTAAATTAGTTCAGTCACTGTGGAAGGCAGTTTGGAGATTTCTCAAAGCACTAAAAATAGAACTCCCACTTGACCTAGAAATCCCATTACTAGGTATGTACTCAAAGGAAAATAAATGATTTTACCAAAAAGACAAATGCATTTGTATGTTCATCGCAGCTCTATTCACAATAGCAAAGACATGGCATCAACCTTGGTGTCCATCAATGGTGGATTCGATAAAGAAAATATGGCATATATATATACCATGGAATACTATGCAGCCACTTAAAAAAGAAAGAAATCATGTTCTTTGCAGCAGAATGGATGCAACTGGAGGCCATTATCCTATGCAAATTAACACAAACACAGAAAACCAGTTATTGCATGTTCTCACTTATAAGTGGGCACTAAATCTTGGGTAGACATGGACATACAGTTAGGAACAGTAGACTCTGGGAACTCCAAAAGGTGGGAGGGAGAGAAAGGGGCAAGAGCTGAAAAACTTCCTGTTGGGTATTACGTCCACTATCTGAGTGATGGGATCAATAGAAGCCCAAATTTAATATTATCCAATATACCCTTGTAACAAACCTGCACATGTGGCCCCTGAATCAAAAATAAAAATGGAAATTTAAAAAATAAAGGTAAAAAATTTAAGATGCTGTATTAATAAACACTCTCAACCTGTACAAAAATTTTAAAAAGGGTTAGATAGATTGTATTATTTCTATTTAACGAACATTTAATTTGATATTAAGAAGATAATGCTAAATATTACTTTAATAAGGAAAAAATAATTCAATAATCAATGTAAAAATCCATATACAAATTACTCATAGTGAATAAATATAAAACATACACCTGCCAACAAACACACACACATAAGAAACTGGACAGGGCCGGGTGCGGTGGCTCACGCCTGTAATCTCAGCACTTTGGGAGGCCGAGGCAGGCGGATCACGAGGTCAAGAGATCAAGACCATCCTGGCCAACGTGGTGAAACCCGTGTCTACTAAAAATACAAAAATTAGCTGGGTGTGGTGATGCATACTTGTAGTCCCAGCTACTCGGGAGGCTGAGGCAGAAGAATTGCTTGAACCCGGGAAGTTGAGGTTGCAGTGCACCAAGATCACCCCACTGCACTCCAGCCTGGAGACAGAGCGAGACTCCTTATCAAAAAAAAAAAAAAAAAAAAAAAAAAAGAAAGAAACTTGGCAGAAAGTTTCAAAGAAGGAAGTATATGTGTGCTGGATAGTGATTTAATTCTCATGTTAAAAAATTCTTTAAATGTTCTGTTTCTGCTTTTATAATTAAGAATAGTCATAAATGGCTGGGTGCGGTGGCTCACGCCTGTAATCCCAGCACTTTGGGAGCCCAAGGTGGGCAGGCCACGAGGTCGGGAGATCAAGACCATCCTGGCTAACAAGGTGAAACCCCGTCTCTACTAAAAATACAAAAAAAATTAGCCAGGCGTAGTGGCGGGTGCCTGTAGTCCCAGCTAGTCGGGAGGCTGAGGCAGGAGAATGGCATGAACCTGGGAGGCGGAGTTATGAGGCAGAAGAATTGCTTGAACCCGGGAAGTTGAGGTTGCAGTGCACCAAGATCGCCCCAGATCGTGCCACTGCACTCCAGCCTGGGCAACAGAGTGAGACTCCATCTCAAAAAAAAAAAAAAAAAAAAAAGATAAAGAAAAGTCATAAATATACTGAGAGTTATGAGAGCTAACTAATGTAAAATGTTATTAAGGGCAGAGCTAAGCCAAAAGAAGAGGGATTATACTTTCAGATAAGGTGAATGACTTAGAGAAGGCATGGAGGGAGAAAAAAGTATAAAATTATGGAAAAGGGAACAAAATTCCAGGCCAAAAATATTTCAAATGGATGTATAGTTTGGTACAAGTTTATGGAATAGGAGGTCAAGGAAGAAAGACCAAGTGTTGAAAGAACAAATTAAGACAGCTGAATCTCACAGAGGAAGATATAATATTGCAATTAAGCCCAGCAGAATATCATCTCTGCTCCTAACTGGTTGTGTAACACCCATCTGTAAAATCGGAATGATAATAATATAGTTATCAGCTTGTTATGAGGACTAAATGAATTAATGCTGATAAAGCATTTAGAGCAGTGCCTGTAAATAATAAATGCTCAATAAATATTAGATAATACATACTGGCTAACACGGTGAAACCCCGTCTCTAGTGAAAAATAGAAAAAATTAGCGGGGCATGGTGGCGGGCGCCTGTACTCCCAGCTACTCAGGAGGCTGAGTCAGGAGAATGGCGTGAACCTGGGAGGCGGAGCTTGCAGTGAGCCGAGATCGCACCACCGCACTCCAGCCTGGGTGACAGAGTGAGACTCCGTCTCAAAAAAAAAAAAAGATAATGCAGCAGAGAAATAAGTTTTCAGAGAACATGAGGAGGAAAGATTAATTTCACTGGATTATTTCCTAAATTTAGCCTTTATTTAAAAAAACTTAAAATCTATAGCCTTACAAAGTTAATATATTTACTTTGATAATGATTTTCCTCATCACTTAGAAATTTGACATTAATTTTACCTAGTATTCACTGAGGCCTGATTCACACAATTGCAGCTTTGCAGAAATCCAACATGAAACAGTAGCTGAACAAGCACTGCCCTGATCATATAAACAATGGTACTTATTTCCATGTGAGCCTAAAAGCTAATTTAACACTTAGAACTTAGTGGATATCATAATGGCTAGAAAACAGATAAATTACTGTGGGGAAAATACTAGCTTTTGGTTGAGTATTCAACAGAGCTATTATTATTTCACTAATAGTCTGTCATCTGGACCTAGAAAATAGACACTGTAAAGGTAAAATACCTTCCTATTTCCCCGCCCCTCACAGCATAAGTAGTAAGATATATGGAATAGTCACTAGGGAGCTTGTATTGCCCACTGATCTCAGTTTCCTTCTCTGAAATTTATTTTGTTGTTATCTTTCCCCTAAAGTTCTTTTGCTACTGTTTTCTCAAAGTAGAACACAACAGCATAATGAACAGGTAAGTAACTTTCTCCATCTACCCTCCACCTGACGCGCACACACACATAGAAACAAACAAATGAAAAAAGAGTAGTTTCCAGGGTCTGCATCATCAACCATATAAAGAAGAAAAACATGCCCTGTTGCTCAAGGCAATCTCCACGTGCACCGTGCATGTGGAGAGACGAGATGGTCTATGCCAGCAGTGGCCTCTACTAGCAGGAGCAGCACCTGCAAACTTGCTACAAATGCAGGTGCTCGGCACCATCCTAGACCTACTGAGTCCCGGGGTGAAGCCAAAAAATCTTCAGAGTTACTAGCTTCCCAGCTGATTCTGATGCCCACTCAAGTTTGTGAACCACTTGCATGTGCAATTTCCGTGTAAACTGCCTCTTACATAAATCTTAAAAGTTGCAGAAACTCTAGCAGCACTGTCAACTCTCCAGTGTAAACTAACCCCTGTCAACCCTATTTATCTTCAAACATAATTAAGATAGAGATGATAGGTTTTTCGTAAATGCCAGAAAATATTTTTCCCATACATCTATTTAAAAGTCATTGAAAATAGAAAGCTGGTATATCTAATCTAAAAAACCAATTCAAAGTTAAATTGTCACAAAATTGAATAAAAAGTCATCCCAGATGATAAAGGAATGGTGCAGATTAAACTTCCTTTAAATAACCCTTAGACCTGGACTGACCAACTAGGTAGCCACTGGCCACATGTGGTCACAGAGCTCTGAACTGTGACTGCGAGAAAGTGAGATGTGCTGCAAGTGTAAAATGCACAGATTTCCAAGACCTACCATGAAAAAGGAACAGGAAAGATCTCATTAATAATTTTGCTTGCTTTGTTTTTTCTCATTAATAATTTGTACATTTATATTGGCTATACATTGAAATGATTATATTTTTAATATATTGGGTTAAATAAAATAGATTATTAAAGTGACTTTCCTTTGTTTCTACTTACCTGCGATGTGGCTATAAGAGAACTAAAAGTACACATGAGGCTGAATTATACTTTCATTGTCCAGTACTGCTTTAGAGTCCTCAACTAGCACTTCTTAGTAATCATCATATCTTAATCTAAACAAAAATAATTACGTCATGTAATTTACATTTTCAAGTTATATGTAAAGAATGAGTCAGAGTTATTTTGTTTGTTTTGCTTCATTAAATACTCGGCATCCTAATTTCCTTTCTCCTCTTGCTGCCTGGCCTTCTGTGACAATATCCACTCAACCGTCTGCTGCTGAGACCTCCCAGTCAGCTGGGTCTACTCAGTTATCTCCAATCATCAATAAATATGAAAAAAGACACCTGTACAAATCAGAGGAAACTCACAGAAACTGAGAACTAAAGGATAAAATATATTCATATGATGTTTATGTGTGGGAGATCGGGGAAGGGTTTGGAAGGAATATTGAACACAAATGATGAAGGAAGGCCCTGGGATAAAAAACAGCTTGACTAATTAGAGGAGAATGAAGAAAACTCAGATGTGACTAAAACTTCAGGGGTCAAAGAGAGTTGCAAGAGGTAAAAGAGAGACGGCTGAGGCCGGAACGTCAAACACCTCATAGGCCGCAAGAAAGAGTCTGGACTTTATTCCTAGTACAATGAGAAACCAATCAGATGATTTTAAGCAGGAAGATAACATATTCTTATTTAAGTTTTAAGAATGTCCTCCTTGAAGGGAGCAATGTGGTTACGGAGAAAGCAGTTCGTAGACTTACAGCAGTTGTCCACGTACACAATTGGCTCAGACAACATAGCAGCAGTAGAGATAAAGATAAGTAGAAAATGTGAGGCCCAATTGAAGTTAATATTGGCAGATCTCTAATTTACTGATGAATTAGATAAGATGTGTAAGGAGAAGACAGAAATTAAGAAGACTCCTGGCTTTTGATTTAAGCAAAAAATTGGGAGTTTTTTTTTTAACCTAGTTCTGATATCATAAGAGGAAATTAAAAATAATAGCGAAAAAATATTTCAGTTGGTTAAGCAACTACCAAGTGCCAGAAATGGTGCTGAGTGTTGTCTTATATATGTTGTTCAACTGAAGATTCTCAGGAATCCTATGAAAGTTAAGTGGTAGTATCCCATATTAGAGATGTGCAAACTAAAGCACAAAGAAGTTAAATAGCTAGGACCTGATACATTTATCTAAATCAATAAACCACTGTTCCTAATACATTTATTGCAAGATGGCTAAAGCCATAACACAACTAATCACTCGCTGTTTTAAAACAGACGCACTGGAGTGAGCACACTCTCCTAAACATCCATGAGCTGCAATTACATTGTCAGTGACATTGAAGTGTTGGTGGGCGTGAATCATGGAGCTTGTACTGCAATCACAGTTGTTAGGATTTTACCTGAGAAACTCTGAAATCACCAGTGTAATGCATAACTTCAAATACAGAAACTGCCCTTTGTATCTTAAAGGCTTATGTGTATTTATCTCTTTCAAACAGGACAGAGGGGAAGCCACCATAGATAGTGTCCCTCGGAATGGGTCTGACATCTTGAAACTTTTGCTCAGCATGAAGGGTGCTTTGCTGTGTTTTTCTTTCCATTGATTCAAGAGAAGTACCCAGTTTAGTAGCCTCTGGATTATTGTTTGTGTAAATTCAATGCTTCCTACTAAAACTCACCATTTATAAATTAAGGTGATACATAAATGCCTGTATGAGGACCTGAACCGAGCAGAGTACAAAAGCCTCAAAGAAATACTTAAAACGGTTTCTCCCAAATGCAAACACAGTATCTGCCTTGCTTTGGAGTTCAGCTTACTTTGGCATTGTTGTTTAACTTCTGATAGTCTCAGGGACACAAACATGCATGTCCACAGAACTTCCCTCTGCTGCTATTTAATCAAAACACTATCATTGACTCAAAGGCCATGATGGGAAAATAGTGGTTTGTACATAAGTAGCAGGCAAAAATTATTTTTTAAAAAACAAGAGACTTATCACAGGCAGGTGCAGTGGCTCACGCCTGTAATCCCAGCACTTCAGGAGGCCGAGGCAGGCGGATCACCTGAGGTCAGGAATTCGAGGTCGGTGTGGCCAACATGGAGAAAACCCGCCTCTACCAAAAATACAAAATTAGCCAAGCATGCTGGCTCATGCCTGTAGTCCCAGCTACTCGGGAGGCTGAGGCAGGAAAATCGCTTGAACCCGGGAGGCGGAGGTTGCGGTGAGCTGAGATCGTGCCATTGCACTCCAGCCTGGGCAACAAGAGAGAAACTCCATCTCAAAAAAAAAAAAAAAAAAAAAAGAGAGAGAGAGAGACTTATCACTAGGTTATTCATGAAAGATTCTTCTTTCTATATATTCAGTGACTCCGGATATCATCCTCAAGCCACATCAATTTTGCCATTTGTCCTAGCCAGAAGGACTTGTCAAAGGGGGAATATACTAAGGCCAAATATGAGGAAAGTGTGGATGAGGATATGACTGTTAGGAGAGAGGAAAGCTTTCTACAAGTAAACATAAATGGTTTTGATTCTAGATGTTTGAACCGAGTTGATTTAATTGATAGTCGAAAACAAATATATGCATAGACTGTAAGGAAGATTTAAAACATCCAAGCTTCTAATGAGACAAAACCATTTTATGGTTGCCCTGTTATTATTGGCTGAACTGTGTGTCCCTCCCAAAATCATATGTTAAAGTCTTAACCCCCAGTAGTACCTCAGAAAGAAATAACTAAGGTAAGATGAAGTCAAGTTGGTGGGCCCTCATACAATATGACTGGTGTCCTTATAAAAGGAGATCAGGACACAGACAGCACACCAATCTAGGGGCGGCCACATGAGGACACCAGGAGGAAGCAGCCATCTGCAAGCCAAGGAGAAGGGCTTCAGAAGACACCAAGCCTGCTGAAACCTTAATCTTAAATTTCTAGCCTCCAGAACTGTGAAAAGATAAATTTCTGTTATTTAAGCCACCCAGTACGTGGCCCATTATGTTATGGCGGCCCTAGCAAACTAACACTCCTACCTAAAATATATGTGTGTGTGTGTGTGTGTGTGTGTGTAGACACACACACATTTATAATTAACTAAGTATTCAAAATTTATCGTGCAAAACTAGATAAAAATTAATACCATAAGCACCAGCTTCTATTTGATCAAATATGTGACTATTATCATTTTTATTCCTGATTTCATAAATTAGTTTCAATTAAAATTTCATGTTCAGGGTTTTACAAAATCTATTCTAACACGTCTCAGAAGTCAATCTGCCGTATTGTTTATTTACACATGAAATATCAGTTAAATTATTTTCACCTAATAGATGCTCAAATTGAATTCAGTGAAATCATTCATATGCTTCATATAAATAATTGATAGAACACAAAGGAGAAAAATAAAATTACCTTATTTCATTTTTAGCTTTAGAAGATACTGTAAAAACTGAGATGAGATTAATAGCATAAGACCTTATTAGTATTTAAGTTATTATCAGAAGAAACTGGGCTCTGGAGACGAATGGCCTTGGTTCCTATTTAATGCTTACACTAATTATTTAGTCTCACTGGGTATTCATAACATCTCCTTGACTCAGTTTCCTTAGTAGCATAGTGGAGATAACAATATCTTATACCGTATAGAGTTATTGAAAGAATTAAACAATTTAATATATGTGAAGCATTTAGTATCTAGCACACATAAACTGAATAAATGTTAACTCCCTGTAATCCCAGCTATTCAGAAGGCTGAGGCAGAAGGATGACTTGTCGCCAGGAGTTTGAGGCTACAGTGAGCTATAATCATACCACTGCACTTCAGCCTGGGTGACCCTCATCTATAAAAAATAAAAATAACAGAATGCTGACTAGTCACAGCAGCGTGTGTGTGTGTGTGTGTGTGTGTGCGCACACGCGTGCGACCATGCACATGCTCGTATGTGTGTGTACCAAACCTACAGTAATCGGAATAAATATATAGAAATATTAATATAAAGAAGAGTCAAGATAGCAAGCAATTACACATTTATTAAGTACATCCACCTTTTGCCAGACTCTATGCTGAGCACTTTAAATGTCATCTTATTTATGTCTCACAATGTACAGTAAACTGGGTAGGGAGAGCTTCAGGAAGTTTGCTAACATGCTCAAAGCTGCAGGCTTGAATCACGTGTATTTAACTCCAAAACCTGCATGTGTTTTTCATCACCCCAAACTAATTAAGTAATATGAACATAAACAGAATGATTATGCAAATTTATTTTAAAAGAAGCTCAAGCCTTCTAGGTTTATCTGTGAGAAAATGGCAGGTCCCATGCGAAGTCTACATAGACATGCTGTACAATACTTCAGCAGTTTTCTTAAAGTGATTTTGAACTGATCACACAAAAGAGGCACAAATAACATACAGTAATGTGTATGAGCATATTAAACATAATTACTATTAAAATCATTTTTACCTTCCTTTTAAGGGTACAGCATTTTAATATGGAGAAGCCACACACTGGCAAGTAGACTTCAGTTTCTCTCGGTTATAAGCCACTGGTACTTTACCATAAAAAGAACCTATAGGAGTTAAAAATGGGTGAAAATTTTGAAAACACAGCAAATCAGGACATTTCAAAGCTTCCAAGTAAGTTCAAAAACTGAAGAAAAAAAAGAAAATGTCCAAATCATGAGTCTATTCAGCAGGTAATTTTTATTCATGTTTCCGAAGTTGATCTGATGTTCTAATTGCATGTCAGCCGTATGCAGAAAAAAGTCAGGGCAGAGCCCTGAGCAAGACAATGAAATCAGAATATACTGAACAAAAGGACTGTGTTTGAAAAAGTAAGTTCTTTGAATTCCCATGAGACATTAAAAATAAAACAACAAAATTAAAAATAAAGAAAAGAACTTGATCACATTATTTTTGTCTTAACAAATTAACTAACATATCATTTTACTTTATTTATCTAGGGTCAGGTTACAAATAAAAGACAACTAAAAAAAATTCACAGAATCTAAAATATCTTCTGAGATTTTGAAATTTTTGTGAACCATTCTATAATAACTGTGAATTGTCATTTTTAAAGTACGGGTATACAACCCAAACTTTATCAGAACCTATTGTACCACCTGCCAGAGCTCAGCAGGACACTCTCCCCTGCCCTATTGGGAAAGTGCCCTTCTGAGCCTTTGTAGACCAATCCAGCTGTCATTCTTTCCTCACACTCCATTAAATGTACATATACATGCCCCCCACCCCCCAACACACACACGTGCACACACTGGTTGAAAAGGCATTGGCTTAAACCCCAAAAACCTATATTTGATATTGACTTCACATGGCCCCGAGTCTCTGCGCCTTCACATAGTTGTCACAGGACTAAAGCAAATTGATCCAGGGGGAAACACTGTAGACCGTGTATATAAAAACACTCTATAAACTGCAATGCTCAATTCTTAGTATAACTATTGTTGTTGTATTGATATTTATTAGTATTGGTGCTCACAAAAAGAGTCTAAATTCCATAAGTCTTTATATTCAGGCTACTCTTTATTTTTGAAAACTCATTTTCTATCACCTTTTTCTATTTTACTCCATATTGAGGCCTCATAAATCCAATTTTTTATTTCTTTTTTTGTACATGCTATTCCCATTTATGAATATAATATCTTTACCCTTTTTCTCTTGATCAAATCCTATCCCTTGTATAAGAATAAATTCATGTGGGGAGAAATATTTTCAAAACCCATATCTTGAAAAGGACTGATATCTATAATATATATAGAACTCTTCTAACTTGATAATGAAAAAAAACAAACAACTCAGTTTTTAAAAGAAGGGGACTGCATAGGATTTGAACAAAACTTCACCAAAGATAATCATTTATGTTACATAAGCTCATGAAAAGATGTTCAGAATCATTAGTCATTAGGGAAATACAAATTAAAATCACAATGAAATATCTTATATCTTTTAGAATGTCTAAAATTAGAAGACTGATCATACCAAGTGTTGGTTAGGCTGTAAAGAAATTGAAACTCTCAAGCCCTACTGGTGGGAATGTAAAATGGGACAACTACTCTGGAAACCAGATTGGTAATTCTTTGCCTATGATCCAACCATTCTATTCCTAGGTAATCATATAAGACAAATGTAAGTGTACACACCAAGACTTGATACAAGAAAGTTCATAGCAGCGTTATTTGTGATAGCCAAAACCTGGAAACAAGCCAAATGTTCATCAAGTGAATGGATAAACAAATTGCAGAATATCTATACAACATTATGCTATTTAGCAAAAAATATTTTTAAAAACAACTATTGATACATGCAACCAAATAAATGCATATCAAAATAATTACACTGAGTGAAATATGCCAGACACAAAATAATACTGCGTGACCCCATGGATATAAAATTCTAGAAAATGCAAATGAATTTACAGGTCCAGAAAGTAGATCAATGGTTGCTTTGGGACAGGGAAGGAAGGGAATGCAAGGAACAGGAGAAAGAGTGTATAAAAGAGCTTTAGAAAACCTTTGGAGGTGTTGGCTATATTCACTATCTTTACTGTGGTGATTTCATGGGTATATACATATATCAAAACTTCTCAAATTGTACACTTTAAATATACGCTGTTTATGGTATGTCAATAACACCTCATAAATCCAAGGTTTTTTTTTCTCCCCCAAAGGAATAAACTCCTGATGCACAAAGTAAGATGAATGAATCTCAAAATAATTATGCTAAATTAAAAAAAAAGACATAAAAGGGTACATAGTATATGATTCCATTTATATATTATCCTGGAAAAGGCAACATTAATGACGGAAATCAGATCGGTGGTTGCCTGGGGTGTAGTGGAGGGAAAAATTACAAAAAGGCACAGGGAGTTTGAGGGGGATGGGTGCAGAAATGTTCTTTGTCTTCATTGTGGTAATGGTTACAAAACTACATACATTTGTCAAAACTCACTGAAGCACATGCATAAAAAGGGGTTTTACTGATTGCAAATTATATCTCAATAAACCTGACTTAAAAATAAAGAATTTATATTTAATTTCTTAACCTACTCCAGGAAAAGTGAGTTGGCTTTTCACTAGGTTTTAATAATACTTCCCCAGGACTCAACAATTATACTTAGCATGGTGAATAATAATTTTTTTATTTTTTTTTAAATCTTTTAGACAAAGTCTCTCTTTGTCGTCCAGGCTGGAGTGTAATGCTAGAATCTCGGCTCACTGCAATCTCAGCCTCCTAGGTTCAAGCAATTCTCCTGCCTCAGCCTCCCAAGTAGCTGAGCTTACAGGCGCCCGCCACCATGCCCATGCTCATTTTTTTGTGGGGTTTCATCATGTTGACCAAGCTGGTTTCAAATTCCTGACCTCAAGTGATCCACCCGCCTCAGCCTCCCAAAGTGCTAGGATTACAGGCATGAGCCACCATACCCAGCCAATAATTTTTTTTTATAGGTATCCCCAGCCAGACAGGAGAACTTTAGGAAAGAGTTGTTTCTAAGTCATTGCTGAGAAATATAAAAATGTAGGTCAGTTTCAATCTCTCTCACTCCTTCATCTTACATATTCTATAATTGATCAATTCAGTTTAAATACCTTTGAAACCTACAGATTCTAATGTCTTCTCACCTTCATTGCCACTGGCCACTATCGTAGTTCTCACTATTCCCCTCCCCACCCCTCCCCTCCCCTCCCTTCCCCTCCCCTTCCCTCCCTTGTCCTCTCCTGTCCTCCTCTCCTCTCCCTTTCTTTCTGTCTTTAACCCATTTTCCAAAATGCTGCCAGTCAATCTTAAGAAAAAAAATCTTAACTCAACCTGCTTAAAGATTGTGATGGCTTCCCGGTGCCTTGCAGACATTGTCCAATCCTTGTTACCCACATTCAATATTGTTAGAATCTGGC
The DNA here is from genome assembly GCF_000001405.40 of Homo sapiens. Lineage (NCBI taxonomy): Eukaryota > Metazoa > Chordata > Mammalia > Primates > Hominidae > Homo > Homo sapiens. The sequence goes on along the minus strand of NC_000008.11, from coordinate 75,413,121 downwards.
CCAGTGTTCCTTCCCCACTTCATCTCTTGCTACTATTCCTACTGCAAGTCTGATCTCCTCTGCCCCAAATACTTTTCTAATTCTTCTCTACTCAGCAAGTTCTCATCAGAAGTCATTAACACTTCCCTGAAATATCTCCAGGCTACTCAAGCTAAATGTACCCTTTTTGCTTCTGTTTTCCACGGTATTATACTAATTATAATTATCTGTTATCCTAATATAATAGTGTCACCTTATGTTTGTCTTCAAGGTAGATTATCACTGTTTGCAGTGATACTTATATTTGTATTCCAGGTACCGTGTAGAGACCCTATAACTTAATTCCTGCTAAAATAATATATATTAACTTTATTTGGAACCTGTAACTATGATGTCTGAAATAAGAAAATGCAAAAAAAAAAATTCTAAAACACAGTCCATAATCTTCAGTCAGCCAAGAGCATAAGCAAAGCACAAGACAGTGCATAAGCCCACGGGAACAAAGATTCAAAATACTTAAAACATTAAATTGTCAGATCCAGGTGTTATCATACTTTTAAATGATATCCTACTATTAAATAATGATACTTTTAAATGAGATGGGGGAAAAGCTGCCTAGATTTCTTGTCAATTTTTTTGTTATCCTTTATAAATATGATTCTTCTATACTGAAATAGAGTGTAGGAAGTGTCAAACATTCAACAGACAAAATGCTTAATTTAAATAATGCAAGAATTTATCCATATGTACTTTGAAAGTAAGAACTATTTTCTCATTTCATAGCTATTTAATCTGAAGAAACATTAAATGACTTGCTCTGGGATATACAACTGACAGGCGGCAGAATTGAGATCTGCACACAGGTAGGAATAACTCCAAAGCCAATGTTCCAGCCATGGAACTATACTTGGTGTGATTTTTCTCTACACTGCTTAGCTGAAAGCTCCAAGAAATTAGAGACTCTCTTTCTTATTCATCAATACATCTCCAAGGCCTATTAGAGGGCTTGGACAGGTTTCCAGCGGTCCACAATTTTCTGAAGTTATAAGTACTTTGTGTATATAAATATAATAATCTCTAGAGAGAAGATCAATAAAAACAAGTAACACCTATTAAGAACTTACAACAAGTCAAGCAGTGCTGTAGATGCATTATCTCACTCTACCATAAGAACAGCAACACAGAACACATACCTGGTACTCAATGTGCCAGGCACTGTTCTAAATGTTTCCCATGGATTAGCATATGTAATTACCCTACCAATTATATGGCATAGGTATTATAATTGCAAACATTTCAAAAATGAGGAAATTGGACCTCAAAGAGGATAGGTTGCCCAAGCACCCCTCCCTTCCCATTTAGTGAATAACTGGGCTGGGATGTAAACCTTGCCATCTGACAACGAGGCCTGCCCTTGTGACTTATACACCACGCAGCTTCCCATGAAGCTAGTCATCCTTAAAGACCTTCATGTTCTTCAAAATGTTGAGTGTCACACAAAAAGAAAAAAAGTGAACTCCCTATTCGTTTTCCAGGAAACCATCTTGATAAAATAAAAGGTTTTCAGGGGAACATCAGATGTTATCAGCTAATTCTATCATGTAAAGAGCATACTCTGTCAACATGTTTTAAAATATAAGGTAGGGAAGAACAGGCAATAAGGCAAATCTGTTATTTAAGTTCTACCCATAATGAGTAGGTAAATAGTATTGAGTTACAAAGATACATATGGAAACCAATAGGTCTGTGTAGCTCCTACAAATTATCCAACAGCAGCAAGGGTGCTGATACCTCTTACAGATATTCTGTGGCCTAGAAAAGTGCCTTCCCCAGGGAATATTCAGCCAAGAACAAAGGGACATGGTTTGGTTTGTGGGTAGTGTAAAGGTTTCAACCGTTCCTCTGCTCAGTTAGGCACCTTTGTGCAGCAAGCAACTCAATGAGGACATGGAGCAGCCATAGTTACGTTCACGACCTAGAGCTGACGTGCCTTCATTTGAATCCCCAGCTCTATCCCATGTAAACGTGTAACCTTAGTCAAGTTATTTCATTTCTCTCTGGTTCACTTTTTCCGTCTGTAAAGTAGGAAGAATGTTAATATGAACAGCACAGGATTGTTATAAGAATCTAAAAAGCAAAAGGCATATAAATTGCCTACAATAGTACCTAGTGCATATTAAGTATTCAATAAGAATTACCTGATCTATATGTGTGTGTGCGTGCGTATTCTTTAAAACATAAGAATAAGAGTAAGCCATATTTGCAGAGTTCCTTATGTCTCTATATGAGTGTCAGGACTGACACCAATAGGTATAAATACCTTTGAGGATGGTGGAGAGAAGTAATTGCAAGACTGTGTTTGTTTCAACAACATACCCAGTTTCATTTGCATGGATAACTTTTTAAAGGACCCAGAGCTATAACACCTCATTTAAAATCATACTTTTGCCCTAGGGGTGTGAATCTTCTCTTTGGAAGGAAAACATGTAGTTACAAACCACAAAATCACAACTGCAACATGTTGTTATTGCAAACATGGTCCACATGTTTGCAATCTAGAAATGCTCATTATCATGTATCAGTATCTCCAGCCATTCAGTAAATGGATAGTTAGTAACAAATGCGGTAGATTCTTTTACAAGCTCAGAATAAGATGGTATATTCAAGTGTATTTAATTCCATTCCCATTTTATTATATTTTTAAAGAAAAATTCCCGAACTCCCCAAGTCAGATGTTCTGGGACTGGTTTATATAATTCCCAACAATGAGGAATCAATTTTTCAACAGTAGATTGACAACATTCTAAATAAATCATTATTATATAGTGTTGGCAAGCATGGTACAAGAAATATACTGTGGGTGTTTAGAAAGGCTCTTGGCAATATCTATCAAACATCTCCCTGGTGCCAACAATTCTCTTCTCAGAATAAATATTCAGCAGTACCCATGCAAAGATAATGTACATAGATATTCATATCATTGTTTGTAATACTTAGAAATTGAAAAATCCAAGCGAATATTCTGAGGGACACTGGCTGGTTACATTGGGTAGACACATTTAAAAAAAAATCTGTATATATTGACAGATAAGTATTTGAAAAATATTAAAGAAAAATAAATTTCAGAATACTAGTATGATATGAACCATTCAAATTTTAAAACAATAAAACTGTCTGTGTTATACACATAGAGATTAGAGAAACACAAACCCAAACATCAACAGAAGTTACACTACATGGAGTGGAATGGGGAGGGGGCTCTTTTTCTATTTTACTACGATTTTGATGTTGTTTTATGAGAAAATATTACCTTCAGAATTTATAGAAAAAACAAGAATTTAAAACAAATAAAAACAGGCCGGGTGGGGTGGCTCACTCCTACAATCCCAGCACTTTGGGATGTCAAGACGGGCAGATCACGAGGTCAGGAGTTCAAGACCAGCCTGACCAACATGGTGAAACCCCATCTTTAATAAAAATACAAAAATCAGCCGGGTGTGGTGGTGGGCGCCTGTAATCCCAGCTACTCTGGAGGCTGAGGAAGGAGAATTGCTTGAACTGGGGAGGTAGAGGTTGCAGTGAGCCGAGATTGTGCCACTATACTCTAGCCTGGGTGACAGAGCAAGACTTCATCTCGGAAAAAAAAAAAAAAAAAAAAAAAAGAACAAGGCACTCAAAAACAAATACTTATTATTTGCATGAGGAGTATTTTTTTTTAATCTTAGCAATCCCTAAAATAAATTTGCGCTATCCCATATGCCTATAACCGTGATTAAAAATGCAATATTTGTGAGATCTTAATAAACACACTTTACTAAAAGAGTTGAACCTTCATAAAGCACTTTGGAAAAATGTCCTTATTTGTGGGCCCATAACTGGAGCTTAGGAGAAATGGGAAGACAAACGGCTCTCAATTTTCCACTCCATTTTGAAAAGTGAAAAATGAGCAGTTTACCACCACTCACCACCACCTCCCTCTCCTTGCCACACCTTCAAGTGATACCAGGAAAGAGCCCAACACTACTTGGTCACCTACTTCGACCACACAGCAGATCAGGTGGCTTGAGTGAGAGTATCCACAGGACATGAAAAGAGAGGGAGTGGTGGTGAGGAGGTGGGGACAGGAGGACTCCTAAGGAAAAACGGTGACAGCTAGACAGGAAGAATGTTTAATGACAAATAACCGCTTCTAAAGAGAGAAGGGAAACCTGTAAAATTAACGAGAAAGCAGAAGAAACTAACAAAAACAAAACCAGGAAATGGTGCTCTCAATGAGTGTTTAGTTTCCGGGACATCCCATTCACTTTTGAGCTTCTGGATTCTGTATTCTCTTGCCCTTGCCCGCAAGTGAAAACTCATGCTGATTGTTTTGCTTGTTGTACAGTGCTTTGACTCAGTTCCGAGCAAGATTTATAAGCACAGATCATCAGGTATGAAGCACATATATTCATTCCATTCTAAGATCTTATCACGTGCTGGCTTATTTCAGTTAGACACAGAACGGTTATTGCTTAACTGGCACGTTGTTAACTAAGCTTCCAAAGGACATTTCATCCCAAAGTTAACTAGGAAGATCTCAATACTATATTTAAAATATCCCCCAACGGCATCACCGGCAGATGCCCACTCCCAAGATGTGTCCATGAGAGATGGATGGAAGCTGAGACTTGAGCAAAGGCCATGCATGGGGTGATGCTGCAGGACCAAGCACCTACCCACAGACCTCCAGGGTCCACGAACATCCATTTGTCCTGGCCTTGCCCCAGGCCACAGAAGTACTTACACGGAAGACCCCCCAGAGACCTGGGAATCACATGACCCGCTACAGCCACCAAAGCTTTCTCTGCACCCAAACAAATACAACTCTCTCTCTCTCTCTCCTCTCTCTCTCTCTCTCTCTCCTTCTCTCTTTCTTTCTTTTCTAAGGTAGAGGACTGGCACCTTTCAATTCCCCGGTCCCCCCACTGCCCGCTGCCGCACCTCCAGCGCCTTCTTCCCTCCAGCGCAGGCTGGGCGAGGCCTCGGGGTATCTGCTTTCAACACGGCCTGGCCTAGGGGTCCTGAGGCTCAGCCCCTCCTTCAGCCGCCCGAGGGGAACCGAGGCTCCTCCTGCCCGGCAGCCGCCGGGGCGGTGCGCTGCGGCCAGCCCGGGCCCCGGGCGGCGGCGGAGAAACTTACCTGCGCGGGCCGCTCCCGGAGCTCCCGAGTCGCAGTCAGCCGCGCGGCCGCCGCCGCATCTCCCGGCAGCAGGTCCCCCACCCACCCCGTCGCGCTGTCCCGCGCCGCACTTTTCCCAGGCTGGGAAGTTTGCTGAAAGCGAGGAGGTGGGAAGTGGGGGTGGGGATGGGGGGACTTGGGAGAGGAAGCTTAAGGATTTTGTTGTTGTTTGTTTGTTTGTTTGTTTCTTTTTCCCGATCTCTAGCAAAGATTTTAGACCATATGCTGGGAGAATATTAGCTTTGCTCAATGGCGACAGGGCAGCGGCCTGACTCTCACAGTCCTATCGATTTACTAAACAAACTGAAACGTGGGTGGGGACGTTAAACAGTAACCAGCAGACTCAATGAAAACTGAAAGCAGCGAGGCCGCCACCGCCTCGGCGCGCGCATTTCCCTGTTCCCAAGGCCCCAGGGCGACTGGCGGTCGGGCCAGCAAGTCCCAAAGCCCGGCCTCCCGAGACCGCAGCGGCTCTCCCGGGCCTCCGCGGGGCAGCCAGGCGGTGACTGCCGCCGCCTCATGCCGGAATCTCCACTATGCGGGCGAGTCGCCCCGCGCTGGACCGCTCGGGGCTAGAGCGGATCAGTCTCCGCCTCCTACACCCTGGGGAGCCCCCGGGGGTCCGCGCCTGCAGCCCAAGGCCAGGGCATCCTTCACGCGACGCGGGCGAAGTCCCCTCCCCCGCCCCGGGTCACGCCTCGTCTTGGGCGATGTCAACCCTGGCTTGTGGAAGTGCTTCTGGACACGTGGTAGCAGGGAGAAGCCTGCTGACCCTAGAATGCTGATTTCATCCTGAGCTCATGAGGTCCAGAAAACGGCTGGAAATATCATTAAAGGGAATTAAATGGCTTCCTAGGAGCAGCTCTGAAGCCACACCACTAGGGGAAGCCGCCACCGTTTCTTCAAACTGCACCTTGGGCCTCTGGGGTTATATTCTACCATGACGCTCCTGACCACCTAGCTCAGCAAGAGTTCTGGGAAGAGGAGGGGGAATGGTTTTCCGTTCCCATCCGTGCCAGCTACCTGTGGTTTTAGTCTTTAAGTACCTCTTTAGATATGTATTTGATGGAAAACTTCCCTTTCTCCCTCCCATACCCTTTAGCTTTCGACTTGCAGAAGTGGGTCTCAGACCCGTCCCAGATGCGCTGATCTTCTTGGTCAGGCATTTGTTCACCAGAAATATAGCCAGAGCGCCGGCTTTTAAAAACATCTCAACAATTTAACTCGTGGTTTCAGGAATGAGTGACTTCAGGTCAAACAAGTAATTATCATCGTGAGATAAATAGTTACTTAATCCGTAAGATTTTTCTTTTCCTACCAGAGGGTTGGCTGATATTTTAAGGCTGTAATAACAATGCCAGGGAGATCAAAGGGCTAGGTGTTTTTTTCTTTTTCTTTTTAGATCGGATTTACTAAACTTTCTCAGTTTTCTCCTTCTGAATATCTTGCTGAAAGGTTCTTTGAAAAACAAGTTGTTGGCTGTTTTAGAAATGAGGACAAAGGAGAGAGATCATATACTATTTTTCTTAAAATCGACCTTTTTGAACAAAACATATTCTTTGGTTCCTCATTGCCCACGCGGTTTGCAAACCGTGTCAAGAAAGTGGCCTCTGTTCATGTCGCTCATGGGAAACCATCCAGACACGGCAGAGGCAAAAGAGTTACAATTAACGGGTTATATTTATTATGCAAATCTTTCATAGGTGTGTTGTTTACAGATCACCTGTGGACATTTTCTTTAAAAATATTTCCAGATACTTGGAGAATGAAGGTCTATTCTATGCCAAAATATGAATGTATAGTTTCCATAAAACACAAAGTCTGGAGACAAGTTCTTCATCCTCATTCACAGAAGCTTTAATGACACCTGACATCTCTTGTTCTCAGCAGAGAAATAATATTTTAATTCAATAGTCTCAGTTTATTCCACTGTTAATCTGCGATGTAAGTGGGTTGGGTTTTGGATAATCAATTCATTTCTGGTATGTGGTAGAATCGCTGATCTACCAGGAAATAATCACATGTTCTGTGTACAAAATTATTTTGACACAATATGTAGAACCTTTGCGATAAAATTTATCAACACGAGGATTTTCAATAATGAAAAAAAGTCATGCATTCAAGAAATTAAACTCTGTGAAGTCTTAGTTATTATCTAAGAAAAACATTGCATTTGTTCAATTTTTAAAAACCCCTGAGAAGAGTTTAGGTAACACTGCCAATCCTCCTGTGCCAGGAGCAAGAAAGGAGGGGTTTCAGATGAATGAATGGATGAATGAATAAATAAACGACGTTAAGAACTAGAAGGAACAAGGATTTGACTCCCCTCTGGAGCTTGGCAGTTTTTACTAGATAAACCAATGCTACACGACCAAGCTTTAGAGCATCACTTATATTGTTCCTGAAACTAATTTATTACGATTCTCCATGGCATGGCTTGAAGCTGCTGAAGATGAAAAATGTGCTCTATGGAGAGTCGTCCCCTGATGCTTGGGGGTGCGGGGGGCGGGGGTTGGACAACAATAAGAAGAAAGGCTCAGGATAATTTTTCAGGGAAAGGTTCTCAGTAGATACAATGTTCCATTTCGCTAGTTAGTGGTTAGGGGGAAATTATACACATATATATTTATGTTGCATCTGCTCTTAACCTAAAACTAAATACACAAAATGTGGCGTCAAAAAACCCTTTACTTCACTTTCCTATTAAATGTCTCGTTTAGCCTGTACTTTTCCTTTTCGCTTTGGTACTTTTTTACACCATTCCCCCCACCCCCATCCCCCCACCCCTACTCTCGCGCTTCCCAACGCCACCAAGATTGTCTTGATAAGAACTCCAGGTTCTCCCACGAACCGTTCTGATACTATTAATTAAAAGCAGTGGCCTCAGGCAGAGGGCTCAGGAAGTAGGGAGGGCGCGGGCCCGCGCGCACAACCTCAGGGAAAAGGTCTTTATGATTTCAGCATCCAGAGACCCTATTTCTGAGGACAACTCCGCACCCATGTCCTGGTACATGAAACCATCACCAAACGCGAACGGGAAGTGTCCTCTTCCTGCCTAGGTGCTGCTGGGGCGCTGCCACTCCTGCTGACCGGGTTCAGAACCCGATTTTTCGCAACCGCGGTGGCACCCACGCCGGAGTCCTTACCTCCCCGCGCGGGCTCAATCAGTGGGGATTACCGCCCACCCTTACCCCAGTTTACACGCAGGAAGGGGGGAAAAAGGGAAGAAAATTAAAAGCTCATGCAGTTCTCCTCCCATTCTTTTCTAGATTTGGGCACAGCTCGGTGACACCTTCAAAGCTACTCGTATAGAAAGGACCGCGGGCGGGACGCGGCCACCGGGGCTCAGGTTAAATTTAATCTATAGCTGAGCTACTCGCTCCTCCAACTCACCCAGTGGACCAGTGTTTGACCCAGGGGGCGAAACAACGGATAAAGCAGCCTCCGCCAGAATTTCAAAAACTCCCTGGAGGCCACTGAATGTTTTATGCATCAGAAGGGAAGTCTGGGATTCCGGTCACTGTGGCTAGGAGGGGGGAGGGCTCGGCCAGCAGGGTGAGGGTGGGGGCGGAGGCGGTTTCAGCCTTAAGCCATCCAGGCCTCGGGTTTATGGCCCGGGGCTGCTTCTGGCCGCGGCTCTCTACCTTGTTGCCCCGGCCTCTTTCAAAAAAGCAGAGGTTTTTTGCTCCCTGGCGCAGCCCAAAGCGAGGGCACAGATTGTCGGAGCTCTAAAGCTGCCGACTCGAGCCCCTGGGAAGGGGGATGCTAGGCCATTTCATCTTCTCCGACCTGCACCGTAGCCTCCAACGAGGTCCGCCCCCGCTGGGCCTGGAGCAATAGCGGACTGCAACTGGGACCCCGGGACTTTGGTACCCTCCTCTACTGTTTCATTTGTCGGGCTTTCCACGGGGCGTCCACTTCTTAAAGACTTAAATTTAACACGGTGAAACAAGAACAACAAGAAAAAAATCAGTAGAACAGACCGATTGAACATGGCACAGGGATTGATTAGTACTCCCAGTCCTACCATCACTGTGCAGACTCTAAAAAGAAAAGAAAAAAGTCCATACACTTGCATGACCCGTTTGGTGGTCAGACATTTAAAAACACTAAAGCTGCAGGCGTGGCCTTCAGGACCGGCCACCCTAGTTGGCCCCACATTGACCCAGATAAAAATTAGTCTTTATTTTGCGCTCAAGTCACAGATCAGAAGCACCCAGAGTAAGTTCAGTTTAAGGAAGGCCACAGGAATGTTCCCAGACTCCGTTACCTGTAAATAAAAATGCAAAGCCAAGATTTCAAATTGAGCGTCTAAATTGAAACTACTCTGCGTATGTTACGCATCTGGCTGAGACACCGTGAAAATCGAACATACTTAATAATTCTCAATGTCAAGGTATGGTTCTTGTAACAAATAGGCAAACTACTAGGCTGGATCCCTTCTCTTCCCACTCCCCTCTTTGTAGATTTCCTGCTGAAGTATTGATTGCCAAGGTCTCTACAAGATTTGCAAACTTTTACAGTCATTTATGGTGCATGCAATAAAAACAGGTGATATGAGCATGCTAGTTCAAGGTGTAATGCAAAGATGTATTCGGTGCCCTTGGCAACTATCTGTGAGACCTGTTTGTCTTTGCAGAACCCGCCCTTCACTGCAATGAACCCCTCTGTAACAAAGATTGGCCCTTTACATTTCCAGGGCCTTGGCCCCTCAGTGGAGAGGCACACACGTTTCAAGTAGAAAATTCAGTTATTTCAGCTGTATTTCAAGCCAGGAAAAAAAAGAAAAAGAAAAAGAAAGAAAGAAAAACTTTAAACAAAACGGTGAGAAACAAGGAAAAAAGAACTATTTAAAATTCCCCAATTTCCTACTCTCTTTTTTTCATAAAGAAAACAAAGTAAATCTACAAACAATTTACAATGTACTCTCTCACTGCCCCTTGCAATTGGGCAACCGGGATCTTTCCACTGTGAAAAAATAAGAGAACTGAGATTACACAGAGACTACACCACATTTTGGATTGTATGTGTCCAAAGGAGAAAGGAAAAAGACAGAAAACGAGTGTATTGTGTGAAAATACTTAAAAGCCTTATTAGAAACCCTACCTTCCTTTACCAGTTTTACCAGTCGTTTTTTTGTTTGTTTTTTAGGATCTATGTAGGAGACTGGGGGAGGGGGCTGAAGATAAAATGATTCATTTCTAAAATTTTGTGCTTTGAACAAAACTGGTTTTCTCATCTAGTGCTGCAAATAAGAATGGGTAACAAAATAAGTTCAAGAGATCTATTGTACAACATGAAGGCCATACTTAAGGACAAGGTATTGTACTTTTAAAAAATGCCAAGAGGGTGGATATTAAGTATTCCCCTCACAAAAATGATAACTATGTGAGGTAATGCATTTGTTAATTAGCTAGACTTAACAATTCCACAATATTTATATACTTCAACACATTATGTTGTATATAATAAATACATACAATGTTATATGTCAATTAAAAAAATTAATGAATTTAAAAATAAATAGGGTATTTGCAGTACTCCATAAACCCTTCCAGTCGCTTCATTCTTCTGAAGGTAGCCACTATCCTGACTTCTAACCCAATTAGCTTTGACTATTTTTGAACTTTACATGAGTGCAATTATAATGTGCTTTTAAAAAAAAAAAAAAAAAAAAAAAGGTGACACAGCTCCTGAAAAGCATTCAGAGTCCTATACCTGCCATCTAGTGGGCATAAAAGAAAATGCTGATTCTAGGCATCCTCCATTCCTCTGAGTTTAGTTGTTTTCTTACTTACAAACCAAAACAAGTATAAGAAATGAAAGAAAAATGTAAAATTATAGCTAAAGGGAAAGAAACACACTATTACACTAGGGAGCGTTATAACATAATCATTCAATTTATTTCATTCCTTTTGTGTGTATTAATCATTAAGGTTATTGATCTTCACTCAGATCATCAATTTATTATAATACTAGTTTTTCTTCTAAATATCTTCATATAAATTTTATGCTATTTGTCTTTTTTTGGATTAAATTCACTATCAGCTTTGGATCCAGTTGACAAGCAAATTTCAAAAATTCAAAAAACAGCTAAGAGGTACCTACTTCCTGTTTGGACTCTGAAAATATGCACACAAAGCCATCTCTCATTTTCTCAAAAAGAAAGAGAAAAGGAGGATGAAAAGGAGAAGGAACAGCAGCAGCAGCAGCAAAGAAAGATGGACTTGATTATACTTATACACTCACATGCTTGCTTTTGGTACCTTGCTATAAGTTTTATACTCCTTCAAAATTAGACCTCATCAAATACAGTCAGCCCTTTCTATCCATGGGTTCTGCATCCCTGGATTCAACACACCGAGGATCGAATATATATTTGTTTAAGACAGGGTCTCCCTCTGTCGCTCAGGCTGGAATGCAGTGGTGCATCTTGGCTCATTGAAACCTCTGTCTCCTAGGCTCAAACAATCCTACCACCTCAGCCTCCCAAGCAGCTGGGACTACAGGCATGCACCACAATGCCCAGGTAATTTTGTGTTTTTAGTAGATGCTGGGTTTCACCATGATTGCGCAGGCTAGTCTTGAATTCCTGAGCTCAAGCAATCCACCCATCTCGGCCTCATAAACTGCTGGTGGCATGAGCCATCGCACTTGGCGGAAAACATTTGGGAAAAAAAAAAATGAATGGTTGCATCTGTACCGAACATTTACAAACTTTTTTTGTTGTCACTATTCCCTAAACAATACAACTATTTATATAATATTTACATTAAATTAGGTGTTATAAGTAATCTAGAGATGATTTAAAGTATACTGGAGGATGTATTAATACTTAGGTGATACACAAATACTACACCTTTTTTTTTTTTTTTGAGACAGAGTCTTGCTCTGTCACCAGGCTGGAATGCAGTGTCATGATCTCAGCTCACGGCAACCTCTGCCTCCCCGGTTCAAGTGATTCTTCTGCCTCAGCCTCCCGAGTAGCTGGGATTACAGGCATGGGCCACCACACCCAGCTAATTTTTGTATTTTTAGTAGAGACGCGGTTTCACCATGTTGGCCAGGATAGTCTCGATCTCGTGACCTTGTGATCCACCCGCCTCTGCCTCCCAAAGTGCTGGGATTACAGGCCTGATCCACTGCACCCGGCCTACACCATTTTACATTAGAGATGAACATTCTCGGATCTTGGCATCTTCAGGAAGTCCTGGAAGCAATCACCCATGGATACCCAGGGACAACCTCATCAAAAACAAGTAAAAATCTACTTGGTAGGGCAACCGAAAACTACTTTTTGTTGAAGTTCACATTATTAAATATTTAGCATATGTAGAAGATTTACTGAATGAAATAACCATTAAAAAATCATCACTATATTTTAATGATAGCTGACATTTTTAAATTTAAGGGTGCTTTTAATATGCCAGGATTGTTTTATGGGATTTTAATTAGTTAACACATTGAGTACTTACAACAACCCTAGAAGATCTGTATCGTAAACACCATTTTACTGGTGATCGCGGAAGCTGAGGAATCAGCAAGTCATGAAGCTGGTAAGTCAGAGCTGATATGGTTCCAGAGCCGAGGGTGGCATGCATCTTCCATGTCATACTGCCTCCCATAAACAAAAGAGGCAAAAAGACATCACTGCAATTCAAGTTAGAGGCTAAAAGAGTCTGAGGGACAGAGCAAGACTCCATCTCAAAAAAATGATAAATATTAAAAAAATAAAAGAGATACAAGATACATCCAAAAGGAGCATTTGCTTGAAGGCACATGGTCTGTAATATATCAGACATCCAAATGAAAGGAAAAAAAAAATCAGTTAATTAACACTAATTATAAAAATCAAGTACTAAGAAAAATATATGTAAAAAGCAAAAAATATATTCACTTATCTCATCTATTTAGTATAATTTTTGACCACTATCGTTCAAACCTTTATTGTAGATTGATTCTACAGTCTATGCCCCTCTGTACTTTAATTTCAAGTCATGAAGTTACCAATGCTACTGCAAACAGTTCTTGAAAAGCCCTCCAACATACTTCCAAAAATTTGTCCCTGAACTTAGCAGGCTTCATCATCTCAATTATTTTTCCACTTTGCCTCATTCTAATTTCCAATTTTATCTTATTTACAAAACAAAATGCAAGTGTGTTCCGAACATATTTTTCTATTATCTAATTACAGAAAATATTATCCTCTTTTCAGGACAGTGACTGTATAAACCTGAGCTGGTTAAACGTATTCAAATTCCTCAATAATTGTGTCATGAGAACAAGACTTCTCTTCTGGAAGCATATTGCTCATTTTAGAAACTGTAGGTGAATGATCAATCTATGACACTATATGTTTTTGTTTTGTTGTAATCCACAATATTTGAAATATTAACGATGACTAATTAAGTAGCACTGTAGCGTGTAGGTATTAATTTATGAGTAGTGAATGCTTTCAAAAGCTGACAGCAGCTGGTGCGGGATTCCTGCCATGGTTTAACAAGAGAAGCCACTAGCTCTGCCTTCCTGATCTCTTACATGACTCCAATCAAGATCAGACAGCAGACAAAAGCTGAAACTACAGCAGTCAGGCCCTTTGTATCTCTCTTGTATATCCATGTAGATCTAAGTGCACCTTCCCCTTTTCAGGAGGAAATATTGACGCTCTCACAGGAAGAAGAGATTCAACTCCTGTTTAAGGTTAATCCATCCACCTGTGTTCTTGATTCCATCCCTTGCTGCCTATGCCTGGCCTTGTTCTATCAATTACAGTATTTCTTTTTCTTATATCTTCACACTCTCCCTCTGCAATGGTTTCTTCCCTGCAGGCTATAAACAGGTTCAAGTCTTACCAACAAACCAAAATATTTTAAAAAGCAAAAGCAAAATTTCCTCTCTACTCTGTCTCCTTCTGGTGTTGCCCTATTTTTTTGTCCTTTGCAGCCAAGATTCGCTAGCCAAGTCGACTTATGGTCTCCTTATCAACACCTTTCATTCACTCTTCCACCCACCATAATCCGGCTTTAGCTGGTTCCACTCCAGGGACTCTGCTCTCAGAAAGGGCCTTAGTGGCCTCCTGATTGGTAAATCCAATAAGGACATGCTCAATCCTTATATTAAGCTCACCAGAGTCTATGTCTAACCCTCTTAGCATTCTTTTATCTGTATTTCTTAACACTTTGCTCCAACCATCCTATAACAACTGCTGTTTCCTAAGATTCTTCCTTTACACTTTTTTCTTCTGACTCTTCCTGGGAAATCCCATGCACTCTAACAGTTTTACCTACCACAACATTGGCTGATGATTCCCTAAATTACACTCAAACCCAGATCTTCCCTCTAAGTATCAGCATTATAACAGCTTTGGCTTACCTCTCATCTTCCCTGTCTTCTATACCTTTTATAGGCACTTTAAACTCAGTATTTTCTAAATTTATCTTATCCCCAAATATGCCTTTTCTTTGGATTAATGGAAATATTATCCAGTTGACAAAGCCAGCAAAATAGGAACCGTCAGTGACTCCACCTTCTTTAATACGTTGAGTTAGTATTTGCATTCATTTATTCCAGTGGATTAAAGATTTTTTTTCTCATACAACAAAAAGTCTGGAGATTGTGTAGTCCTGACCTGGTAGGGCAGCTAAACTGCCATCAGGGCTCAATTGCTTTCTATTTTCCTGTCCCACCATTCTTAGAGTGGGACTTTTATCTCATGGTTGAAATATGCTTCCTTTATTTTATCTGTATTCCAGGGAAGAAGGAGGAGGAAAAGCAAAGGGCCAAAGAATCATTCTAACTAAAAGAATTGCCTCCCTTTAGATGGCTCCACTACCAGACACCAATTAGCAACGTATGTGTATGCGTCATTGGCCAGAGCTGGATCAAGAGGATACCATTTGTAGCCATAGATTGCAGGAAGGTTATCTTCAGTAACCAGACTGCCAAACCAAATACATTTGGGATTTTGTTGATATGTATTAATACATTGAATTTTGCAGTTTAACAAGCCACCTCAGAATATAGTTGCCTAAAACAATGATAATATTATATCTCACAATTTGGGTTGGTGGGGCGGTTCTGTGACAGCTCGACTGAATAATTTGCAATAGCCTTAAACTCTTGTCTAAGATTTCAGCTGGGATTGCTGGGCCTTCCTCTTTCTCTATATGACCATTCCTGATCCAGGAAGATATGACTTCTCATGGTAGTCCCAGCATTCCTAAAAAAAGGAAGAGAAGACAAGCTCCAATACACTAGTACTTTTTAAGCATCATTTAATATTATGTATGTTAATGTCCCATTGATTACAGCCAATGACATGGCTAATCCAAAGTTCAAGTAGAGAGAGAGATATTACTTCCTGATGGGAGGATGGCAAACTCACAATACTTACAGGAAAGGGGGAAATTTATAGTTACTTTTTCCCAAGTCTACTACAGTAAGGAGGTATAGGAGAATAGATATTATGTAGGCAAAACCAATGGCTGTCTCATCTTTTATATTTTACTATCTTTTAACCTGTTAATATCTTAATTAATAAAACTTAAAGAAAACCTGTGCATTCTAGGCATGGCATCCCTGTAACTTTCTAATTTTCAAATCAGTGATTGTTAAATTTTCTTAGATTTAGGTCACTTGGAAAATCTGATCAAAGTTATGGTATATTATGGACTGAATGTCTATGTACCTCCAAATTCATATGATGAATCTTCAACCCTTAGCATGACTGTATTTGGAGATGTGGCCTCTAAGGAAATAATTAAGGGTAAATGAGGTCATAAGGGTGGGTTTTAATCTGATAAGATTAGTGGCATTGTAAGAAAGAGACACCAGAGAGCTCCCCATCTCTTCTTTTGTGTGTACACACTGACGAAAGACCACGTGAGTGACGGGATAGTGAGAAAACAGCCATTTGCAAGCCAGGAGGAGAACCACCACCGGAAACCCAGCTGGAACCTTGATCTTGGACTTTCAGGCTCCAGAACTGTGAGAATGTAAATTTCTGTTATTTAGGGCACCCAGCATTTTGTTATAGCAAATCAAACAGACTAATACAACTGCCTTTTATCTAATTAAAAGTCTTTACATTAAGTTTTTTTGTGTGTGTTAAAGTTGCAGCTGGGATTTCAGTCTCCTGAGTGGATCCTGATAGATGCAGGAGAGAGTGGTGAGAAGGAAAGAGGAGGGATTTATCTGTGAGTTCCCTTCTAACCATTGTTTCCTATTGTCCAGGTTCTCAATGCCCAGAGTTTAGCTCATGGAGCCTTTGGATAAGCTATATTACTCAGGTCTAATAGTGATGGGAAGAATTAGAATTTCAGTAGTTATCTCAGGAGACAGAACTGCTCCTGTATCAACTGGAATAAGTCCGATTTATACTTGGTTGCCTCAGTGGTGACTGGGTGGAGCCCCAGCAGAGTTAGGCACCATGGTGGTGGCAAGGATTTGATCCAGATAGTGGATGCTCCATCAGCCTGGACTACAAAAGTGGGCACAGAATGGAGTAGGTCTCCAGCTGCTCTACTAGGGATATTTATGTAAGTAAAAAAATTCCTTGTTTTTTAAACTGAAATTTGTGAATATGCTTGATAATGTAATATAAGCTAACCGAATTTAACTGAAACAGAAATTCATACCAGAAGTGGGGTGCTAATTACAGAGAAATAATAACCTTATTAAGTATGTAGCAATAGTTAAAGGGCTGAGCATACATAGGTGGTGAGAAAACTGGTTTCAAAAACTGAAATCCATAAAACGTGTCAGTGAAGCATCTGGTAGACTGTTGATTGTATTAACCTGGAAGTCAGGTTATATACCTATTTAACTTGAGCTCCAGGAAACATGCTCTGAAAATAGATGTCGGTAACAATGTTTGTTGCTGTTGGCTACGTTTGGCAAGATATTATGAGAAAAAATGATTTTGCTGATTTATACACATAAGTGAAAAAGAGTAAAGAAATTTAGGAAAATTGTATTTGGAAGATTAAAATATTTCTTAACTCTAACAAGTAAAAGGTAAACATAGCTCACCCAGCACATGGCAGGTAGAGAGGACATCATCCTGGTTGATAAGTGGAGTACAGGCCATCCCTGGCACAAGGTGGCAGAATAATTGCCAAAGATTTCAACAGAGGTGACCTCAGAAATTGTTCCAGTGAGGGTGAGGGCAGGGGATGTTGTGGAAGGTATGATAATGATATCATTTGGTGTCATTTGAAAAGAATATGTATTTGGAAAAATATGAGGGCAGCAATGCTGAGTTCATTGATTACTGTTAAATTATATTAAACTTGCCGAAGAATAATGAGGAAGTAAGGGCTGTTAACCAGCAGTAAATACCTAATTGTGAAAGCCAGAGAGTTTCTGTCTCAGTTTACAAAAATGCCCTTATACTTGGAGTGGAAGGGCAGACACAGTTAAGGTTACACCAAAGGCCTAGTTGTCAGAATAACAGAACTCCCGAGGTATTTGAATGCTCAGCCACAGCATGTCTGCTATATGAAAGTTAGGGCCCTGGTAAGGAACATTTCAAATCCTGAATCATGGTATACAGCCAACCAGATGAACTGACCATAAGAATGTTGTCTCTGTAACTTCCCTGGGTCTTCTGCGGGTACAGAAGTGATTCATTCTTCCCTAGTCAGAGCTAGCATTTCCTCTGTGCCAGAAGATGCTGCAGAAACCTGTCTCATTCAAGGGAACAGAAGGCTCCCTCTCCCCTTAGAAGCTGCTCACCTTCTGGCCTGCATGCCAAGTTGATAACTAGGGTTATCTCCCAGCATAACCCAGTAACCAGCGGTAAGACAGCAGGACCATTACTATGGGATCTACATGACTATGGGGTCTATGCATGACTCAGAGTCAACCAACTTCACTGAAATCTAGATCAGCCTTCCAAGGGTATAACTGGGGCTGGGTGCGGTGGCTCATGCCTGTAATCCCAGCACTTTGGGAGACTGAGGCAAGCAGATCACTTGAGGTCAGGAGTTCGAGACCAGGCTGGCCAACATGGTGAAATCCCATCTCTACTAAAAATACAAAAATTAACTGGGCATGATGGCAAGTGCCTGTAATCCCAGCTACTTGGCAGGGTGAGGCACAGGAATCACTTGAACCCGGGAAGCAGAGGTTGCAGTGAGCCAAGGTCATGCTACTGCACTCCAGCCTGTGCAACAGAGCGAGACTCCATCTCAAAAAAAACAAGAAAAAACAAAAACAAAGGTATAATTGAAGTACCACATTGGAGAAAACACTTGAAAGGGTAGGGCACCATCTTTCAGGATGGGTATATTTATTAAATCAAACACCTCTACATGGCCTGTGTCCACAAGAGAAAAGACACCTGGATCCAGGAATCAAGAGATGGAAGCAAAAGTGGCCTCTATAACCATCGCTCTCAATGACACAGTTGGAAACACTGTATTTCTGGTTCCCACAGACTCTGGGCCCTGCAGTTTTAAAAGCCCTAGTCCTCAGAGGAATGTGATCTTAAAGGGAACACAGCAAGGTTGCCATTGAACTACAAATTCCAGCTGCTATCAGAGCACTTTGGATTCCATGTGTCCAGGGGCCAGCAGACAAAAGAATCACCATACTGAGCAATTTCTGATGAGCAGGAAAAGGTAGGGGTGCTTGTAGACAAGTAAATGCCAAAATGGTAGCTGAAAGTGAGGGGAATTTGAATGAATGGTGGAGAAGAGGATGAGTGCTATCTCTAGGATCAACCACAACAACAGAGACTTTTGTTCATCTCACTAACCTCCCTCTTCTGGGTTCCAAACAGGAAGAGGGACCCCCAGGAAGTGTGGAGGAGCTGCTCCCTGAACCTGTGTGAATATGTCTAAATGACACAATGGGTGGATTGTGGTGGCCGTAAGTACATGTCTTGCAGACCACCAAAGACCGGGAGCTTCACTAACCGATCTGCTGCACTTTGATCTCCCTCATCAAGCCTGCCCCAGTGGCACATTTCCCACAAGTTTCGCAATGGTGGTGACTGAGTGCACCAGGGACACAAACGCAGTCCCATTTCTACTAAGGCAGGCTCATTTGGGATAAGGGATTACTCTAACGTCTGACTTTGGCTCCAGAAACCCCTGGTGGCCTTGTTGGACCTTCTTTTGACTGTGTAGCCATTGAGGATTCTTCTACCCCACCGTCCTGTCCTCTCTCCTTCACTTAGGGTCAGGTTTACGTCATGCCTTGATGTCTCTCCCAGCTTCCCCTGGCTCCTTCCCTATTTTTTTTCTCACAAGTGTTTCTCATAACAAAATAATTGCATGTGTACTCCCATCTTGGGCATCTGCATCTTGGAGGAACTGAATGAACATGCTGTTCTGGGGGTAGAAGACCCTTGCAGAATCTGATCAGCAGGATTTTAGATTTGCTATAGAACAGAGACTGCTGCATGATGGCCATTCATCACTTTTCTACATGGGAATGTCTTTAGTGGATAAACTGTCCTTTTCCATCATTTATTATTAGGGGAAGAGTAACTTGCCCTTTTTCCATGGTTATTTGAATTAGGAGGTGCTACATCCAAAGGTGTTATAAAGACTATCACACATTATCCCAACTTTAAATAATATAATGCTTCACCCAAAAAATGTGGAGTTTGGGCTCAGTGCCATGTTGGTTGGGACTTCTGTTTTATTTTCATTTATTAATTAATTTATTTTTTTGAGATGGATTTTCGCTTTTACTGCCCAGGCTGGAGTGCAGTGGCGCGCTCTCAGCTCACTGCAACTTCTGCCTCCCAGGTTCAAGCAATTCTCCTGCCTCAGCCTCCTGAGTAGCTAAGATTACAGGTGCGTGCCATCATGCCCGGCTAATTTTGTATTTTTAGTAGAGATGGGGTTTCAACATGTTGGTCAGGCTCGTCTTGAACTCCTGACCTCAGCTGATCTGCCCACCTCAGCCTCCCAAAGTGTTGGGATTACAGGCATGAGCCACCACACCCGGCCCTGTTTTATGTGCCTTCATTAGTGGGTGAGTGTATTTTGTCTACAGATGAAAGAATGAGCCAAATATTTGAGTACAAGATTTAGTCATTATGGTGGTCATAAAAACTATTTACTATTTCTGATTTCTTCCTTCCAGGAAAATGTTAGATAGCATTTCCTGATCCTACCTTACCAGGTGGGACTGGATAACCAGATATGGATAATAAGTTCTAAGTGGAAGGACATGTGCCTTTCTGGGCAAGAACATCTAATTGCAAGATGTCTTTTTTCCCCTAAAATTATGGCAGCAACGTTTCTTCAGCATGGATTCTAAAGTAGGGACATCACAAAGGAGAGCAGCCAGATAACACACCAAAAAATATCCTGCATAAATGAAAAACAAACCTTTGGTGTTGTTGTTTTGTTTTTTTGTTTTTGTTTGTTTTTCTTTTGAGAGTGAGTCTCTCTGTTGCCTAGGCTGGAGTGCAGTGGCTCTATCTTGACTCACTGCAACCTCTGATTACTGGGCTCCAGCAATCCTCCCACCTCAGCCTTCCTAGCAGCGGGGACCACAGACGTGCACCACTATGCCTGGCTAGTTTTTGGTAGAGAAAGGTTTTGCCCTGTTTCCTAGGCTGGTCTTGAATTCCTGGGCTCAAGTGTTCTGCCCACCTAGGCCTTCCAAAATGCTGAGATTACAGGGATGAGCTATTGCGCCCTGCCTACCTTCTGTGTTTTAAGCCTTAAAATGTTAGTTATCTGAGCGTAATTCAACCCAGAGATTCTCAAACTAATTGTGTGTCAGAATTACCTGGAGCATTCATTAAAATACAGATTGGGAGCCCACTTTTTGTTTCTAATTAAGTAGGTCTGAGGTGAGACACAAGAATCTGCATTTCCAAGAAGTTTGCGGGTGATGTTGCTGCTGCTGGTCTAATGACCACACTCTGAGAAACTGAACTAACCAATCTTGATGTTTGCAAGTATTAACCTTAACATTCTTTTGTAACCTGTATAACTATGAGCATTAAGCTGTTAAGGACACACATGATGAGGCCATTTTTCTGCACAATCGGGACTCTATTCAGCTCCTAAACAATTGGAAAATTGTTTTTACCATCAATGGAAATGGGCTATAGTCCCATACGTACTCTACAGTGTGGACATTACATTGAGTCAGCAGCAATAGCAGATTCATGGAAGGACAATAATTTGGGATCATGCAATTAGAAAAGAAAGCATTAGTAGCTGTAACACATTGTTCCGCATTCAGAAAACAGAATTTACTCTAGTTAATATAACCAGGAATTGTTGTAATATGCAGTATTAAATAGATTACCAAAATGTTAGGAAGGATAAAGAAACAAATCATAGGGGCTGTGGCTGTGTCTGTTCTGTTTACTGCTGTGTCTCCAGTATCTGCAAGTGCCTTGTACTTAATGTATATATTTGACTGGATAATAGCAAAGAATTTATGAATTTTATTCTAGTTTCTTACTGTTGTCCATTGTGGCTCATTATCAGTAAATGTGTGGAGGTTATAACTGAAAACTGTTTAACATTAAAATGTTTTAACACAAAGTTTGCTCTTAGATTTACATCTGTGTGGCTAATAGGTAAGTTATGGGCGTGCTTGGTATTCAGGGCAAAATTTCTCAAGAGGTGAGTTTAGAGATGTTATGGATAATTTTCTAGAAGCAATCAATTCCTACTTTTACTGAAATAATCCTTCAGAGACTCACGAAATAAACCATGTTTTAAAATGAGCGTATTTTCATTGAACTATACACTTAAATTCATTCTCTCATATTTCAATTATACCTCAAGAAAATTGATTAGAAAAGTAAAAAAAAGAAAAAAAAAAGAAGGTCTTTTTGCTTTTCCAGGAATTGGTAAAAATGTTAAAATAAAATACATTCAAGATCCTCAAAATTATGTGCAAGTAAAGAACTAATCAAACACTAGATAAAGAGATTTATTGATTTATAGACCTGTCAAGGCGGCTCACGCCTCAGCACTTTGGGAGGCCGAGGCGGGTGGATCACCTGAGGTCAGGAGTTTGAGACCAGCCTGACCAACATGGTGAAACCCCGTTTCTGCTAAAAATACAAAAAAGTTAGCCAGGCATGGTAGTGGGTGCCCGTAATCCCAGCTACTTGGGAGGCTGAGGCAGGAGAATTGCTTGAACCCGGGAGGTGGAGGTTGCAATAAGCTGAGATTGCGCCACTTCACTCCAGGCCAGGCGAAAGAGCAAAACTCTGTCTGAAAAACAAAATATTAAAAATTAAAAATATTTATGTATTTATTTATTTGAGACAGAGTCTTGCTCTGTCACCCAGGCTGGAGTGCAGAGGTATGATCTCGGCTCACTGCAGACTCTGCCTCCTGGGCTCAAGGCATTCTTCTGCCTTAGACTCCCAAGTAGCTGGGACGACAGGCACCTGCCACCATGCCCAGGTAATTTTTGTATTTTTAGTAGAGATGGGGTTTCACCATGTTGACCAGGCTGGTCTCAAACTCCTAACGTCAAGTGATCCACATGCCTCAGCCTCCCAAAGTGCTGGAATTACAGGCCTGAGCCACCACACCTGGTGAGATTTATTTTCATCTAATACAATTTTCATAAAGATTTTTTTTTCTATTACAGAAACTGAGTCCACAACCTAATCTGTTCCACTTATAGTAAAATAAAGTCACATTGAAGCTTGTGTTCAGGAGTAAAATAACTATTTTTGTAGCTGAACATTAAATTTTTTAAAAAAATTCTAGCAGCCAGTTTTTTGAAACTGAATGATTAAGAGGGAAAGAGTCGAAAGAAAGATCATTGTTATTAGGTTAATTTTTAAGCAGTGTTAGAATGGTAAATATGGGAAAACATACATTTTCTTGATCCTCTTTATTTATGTGAGCAAACCTGTACAGGAAAATGTTGTATACTACTAAGCACTGTTTTACATTATACTAATATTATATTATATATTATATTATATTATATTATATTATATTATATTATATTATATTATATTATATTATTATACCATGCAGTGCTCAGTATACATAAGCTAGCTCTCTTCCATTCTCTGTTAACATCAGTAGAACATTAATTGGTAATTGTGTGGTAACTGCAATTAACTCATGTCACCACTGTACCTTTTCATTAGTGTCTCCAAGAGTAGTATTAGTCTCTCAGTGACCTCAGCATAAGTGATAACATCCTTAGCTGTTAAAGTGAAAAAAAAATTAAGTGAATTTAGTGTTGTGAAGGGTGATGGAGTGACAGCCTTGGAGACTGGAGCCCTTTTTATCTATCCGTGGCACAAATAGTGAAAATGCAAACCTCTCTAAGCAGCATCCTTGGTACATCTCATCCCTTTTCTCTAAGAATAGAAGATTTCTTACTTAATTCTTCTACTTGTTAAGATGACTTGCAAAGTCACCTACTGTGTTTGCAAATTTTCCAGGGAGGTTAACGGCTGTGAGAACTCTCCCAGTGTCACAGGCTCATTCATTTCTCTGTTCCCAGGCAGTGCTCATGCTAACTAATACACTTGGTATATGTTCTTTAAGCACAACTTCGAAAATTCTTATCATGGATTCTCACTTATCACATGTCCACTTGGGGTATAACCAAAAACTATTAAATATTAAATTACTTTTACAGAAAATTCATTCTTATATTCAACCTCGGTCAAGTTTTGTTCTTCAAGCTCACATTCTTCCTGAAAATAAAATAGAAAACAAATTATATATTCAATGGTGTAGCCTTTCTCAAACTATGGCACATTGGCGAGGAAAACTCTTAAGCTGGAGGGTAGGGGTATCTTAGTGATTAAATGCATGGGCTTGGAAATCAGAGTCACCTGGATTTGAGTGCAGGTGACAACACTACCTGAGCACCTAAGAAGATATAAGAACACAAAAGAAGAACTGAGGTATTAGAAAATGCTTCCTTGAGGAAATACTCTCTCATCTGTGACATAAAAGAGAATCAGAGTTAGCTAGACACAGGAGAAACATTCTAGACAGACAGTCTAAGAAATTGGCATTCACAAAAGTGGTATTATGAGACAGAGCCCAGCACACCCAAAGAAACATAAAACCTCTGAAATGGAGCTTGAGAGGGAGGGATCTTTACAGGGTATGACAGCTGGGGAGGTAGACCATCATCTGCTCCTGGAGGACACAGAGCAGGGGTGAGGCTGCAATTCTGTATGTCTGGGCAGTAGGAAGACACTTATGGGTCATAAATGTGTGTGTGTGTGTCTGCATGTGTCTGTGTGTTTATGTGTGTGTGTGAGTGAAGGGAGGAGGTATGGAATGTAAAGTATAGTAGAGAGAGTTTAATAAAATGTGTGCTTTAAAAAGATCACTCTGGTTGCAGTGTGGATAACAGGGGGCAAAAATCTATGTGGGGAATCAGTTAAAAGCCTACTTCAATATCTTGGGCAAGAAATGAGAGTAGTCTGTACTAGAGTGGTGGCAGTGAGGATGTAAAGATGGGTACAAATTCAAACACTACTTAGGGGCAGAAATGATAGGACTTGAATATTGTAAGGCAAGGAGAGGGAAGATGAGAGACGACTCTCAGGTTTTGGCTGACTGAACTAGATGGTTATCTACTCACATGGGAGACGCTAAAGAAAAAGAGGTTTCTGTGAGAAGACCTGGGATTTATCGAAGTGACTTTAGGATCTCTGAGAGTAGATGATACCACAGCATCTTATGTCAGCTCTTTTAGTAACTTGTAACCACTTTTGTCCCTTTTAATCCATTTTCCACAGTGAAGCTAGAATCATCCTCCAAAATGCTAAATTTGATTACAACACTTCTCCTCCTGCTTCAAACCATTAAATGACTTCTCACTGCACTTAAGATTTTTAAAAAAGTTAATAGAATCTAAAAAGCCTGCATGATCTGGTCTCTGGTTTTTTGGTTGGTATCAGAGTATGCCGCTCTTCTCGTTCCTCATTATATAGCTTTTACTCTGACCTTTCCATTTCTTGAAAGCACCACACCCTACAGTACACATGCTCAACAAACTTGGCTTATTTATCTTCTACCCATTCTTCAGTTGTTAGATCAAACTTCTTGAGGAAGGCTTTTCTGTTACATATTCTCTTGGCCCTTGTAATTTTCTTTTATAACATTTATCGTTGTAATGTATCATTGTGAGACTGTTAAATTTCAATATACAGGTTGGTTGGTAGAACATGACAGTTTATTTGGATGCTTGTGGTAGGCAAAACAATAGCCAGCCAACGATTTCCACCCCCTAACTTTGAACCTACGAATATGTTCATGTACATCCAAAGGAAGTTGGTAGAAGTGATTAAGTTAAGAACCTTGGGCACGGGATGGTGGCTCACGCCTGTAATCCCAGCGCTTTGGAAGGCCGAGGCTGGCAGATCCCTTGAGCTGAGGAGTTCAAGACCAGCCTGAGCAACATAGCAAGATCTCACCTCTATATAAAATAAAATTAAAAAATAAGAAAAAAAATGTTAAGAACCTTGATGTGGGGAGATTATGCTGCATTATCTGAGAGAGCTCAACCTAATCTCATGAGTTTATAAAGGCAAACAATCTTTCCCAGATGTTGTCAGAGAAACAGATGTGATGACAGAAGCAGGGTCTAAAAGATACTACTTTGCTGGTTTGAAGATGGAGAAAGAAGATCAAAGCAAAGTAATGTAGGCAGCCTCTAGAAGCTATTATGTTGGTGCAAAACTAATTGCAGGTTTTTGCGATAAAAGTAATGGCAAAACCGCAATTACTTTTGCACCAAGCTAATAGACAAAGCAAGGAATTCTCTTAGAGTCTCCAAAAAATATTGCAGCCAGGCTGCACCTTAATTTTAGCTTAGGGACAGCTGTGTTGGACTCTTGACCTATTGAACTGTAAGATGATACATGTATGTTTTAAGACAATACGTTTGTGGTCATTTGTTACAGTAATAATAGAAAACTATTAAACATTAAATTACTTTTACAGAAACTCATTCTTATATTCAACCTTGGTCAAGTTTTGTTCTTTAAGTTCGCATTCTTCCTGAAAAGAAAATAGAAAACAGATTGTATATTCAACGGTGTAGCCTTTCTCAAATATGGGACAATGGAGAGGATAACTCTTAAGCTGGAGAGTGAGGGTATCTTAGTGATTAAATGCATGCATGGGCTTGAAAATCAGAGTCACCTGGTATTTGAGTGCAGGTGATGACATTACCTGAGCACATAAAAAGATATAAGAACAATTATATCTATAAGATATAATATAGGTGCAATTCTGAATTATGTTTACACTATGAGTAATTTAAAGTATGTTTCTGGCTCACTGGTTTCCTAATTCTAAAATTTTCATACTTTTATCATGCTGCTGAGTTTCATGAAAATATAGTATTCTGAATTGTCAGTACAAAAAGTGTCCTTAACTTTGACCTTCTTAATGGAATTCACGGCAGCATTCATTACCTCAATTGTTCCACATCAGACAAAAATAAACTTCTAAGTCTCTACATTGATTCTATAAATTGATGAAAAAATTATCAAATTATTATTAAAATTAGCTTAGGTGATTATTACTTTTAGCACCTGATAGCTTTGATATAAAACTGGCATTATCTAACTCTCTATAAAGTTCTTCTTTTGCTAAAGGACCTAACATTCTATCAACAACCATTTCACAGGTGGGGTGCAGTGGCTCATGCCAGTAATCCCAGTACTTTCAGAGGCTAAGGCAGGTGGATATCTTGAGCTCAGGAGTTTGAGACCAGCCTGGGCAATATGACAAGACCCCACCTCTACTAAAAATACAAAAAAAAAAAAAAAAAAACCCAGCCAGGTATGGTGGTGTGCACCTGTGGTCCCAGCAACTCAGGAGGCTGCGGTGGGAAAATCTCTTGAGCTCAGGGGGTGGAGGTTGCAGTGAGCCGAGATTGCACCACTGCACTCCAGCCTGGGCCACCAAGTGAGACACTGTCTCAAAAAAAAAAAAAAAAGGGACCTTAAAATAGGGACATAAGATTGTATTATTCCAGTGTGTCCAATCTAAAAAAAACCCCAATCATTACATAATTCTATAAGAAATCATAAAATGAGTAAAATTAACAATTACAGTTACATGCCACTTAATGATGTTTTGGTCAACAACAGACTGCAAATATGATGCTAATCCCATAAGATTATAATATGTATGAGTCTTTTACTCTACCTTCTCTATGGTTAGATATGTTTGGATACACAAATAGTTATCATTGTGTTACAATTGCCTACAGTATTAAGTACATACAGTAACATGCTGTACAGTAGTGGTTCCCAACCTTTTTGGCACCAGGGACTGGTTTCGTGGAAGACAATTTTTCCACAACTGAGGGTTCAGGAAGATGGTTTGGGGATGATTCAAGCACATTACATTTATTATACATTTTATTTATATTATTATTACATTGTAACATATAATGAAATAATTACACAATTCACCATAATGTTGAATCAGTGGGAACCCTGAGCTTGTTTTCCTGCAACTAGATGGTCTCATCTGGGGGTGATGGGAGATAGTGACACCCAAAGTGTGTTGTTGCTTATGTCCAGTCTACTCCATAATCTCATTTTGGTTGCTGTGACTGCAGAAAACCCTGCTTCACAAGGATAGGATATTGGAAATAGAAGCAGGCTTTTCAGTGTTTTTGTGGTAATCTCAGGATACTCTACCTTGACTTTAATCCAGAATGTATAGAGATTTGAAGCTGTCTCAAACATACTTTTAAAGCCACCAGATGCAGCTTTAAAATTGAAGTACATCAACTCACTTGCCACTAAAAAGCCTGCCAGATGCAGCTTAATTGTCACTTGCCCACTCACTGATAAGGTTTTGATATGAGTCTGCAAGCAATTGATTTATTATGGTCTCTGTGCAGTCAAACCTCTCTGCTAATGTTAATCTGTATTCGCAACTGCTCCCCAGTGCTAGCATCACTGCCTCAGCTCTCCCTCAGATCATTAGGCATTAGATTCTCCTAAAGACCATAGGCAATCTAGACCCCTTGCATGTGCAGTTCACGATAGGGTTTGTTCTCCTGTGAAAATCTAATGCTGCTGCTGATCTGCCAGGAGGCCGAGCTCAGGGGATAATGCCAGTGATGGGGAGTGGCTGTAAATACAGATGAAGCTTCTCTCACTTGCCTGCCGCTCACCTACTGCTGTGCGGCCTGGTACCTGACAGGCCACGGACCAGTACCATGCCATATAGCCTAGGTGTGTAGTAGGTACCATCTAGGTTTGTGTAAGTACACTTTATGATGTTCATACAATGACGGAATTGCCTAATGATGCATTTCTCAGAAAGTATCCTGGTTGTTAAGTGACTCATGACTGTATATGAAAAGTCATACATCATAGTGTGATAAATAAATGTACCTTCTGCAGCTACACTTGTTCAATCTTTGTCTTCAAGCATAATTTTTTCAAATTAACTGCTTCTTTTTGGAATAGTTGTTGGTATTTCTTCATCAGACATACTTCCTCTGGTTTTTAGGTGGTCAGTGATGTCCTTATAGCCCCCATGGTGGATGGTAGAGGTCATCAAATATTTTGAACAAGTTAACACGTTCATCATCAACTCTCTTGAGAAACAAAGTGTACTACTAAATTTTTCCTAAATGTGCATTTTCTCTTTTATTTTGGTGGTGGTGGGGTGGGGGGTGGGTTGTTGCCAAAGGTATTCATTACAAAACAAAACAGCATATTTTGTGACGTGTTTGATGACATAATGGTTCATTCTCTATTTCTAACTTCAAGTAGTTTTAACCTATAGATATCCTTGTTTTCTACTGGACCCCGTGACTAGTGTCTTCTGGAACAGCTGGGACACCAAGTAGTCATCAGAGAGAGCATATGTCATTCTCCTGTCATCACTAAGGCCACAGGTGTTAACTGCCCCAAGCCACTTGTGTCCATCTGTGTGTCACACAAAATGTTATGCTAAAAATTTATCTGGATCTCTGCCTCCCAACGTGTTCTTTGATGCAGACTGTGTGACTCTATTTTAAACAGGATGGATTTTTTAGGGTCCTTTGCCTCCTTCAAAACTTAGTAGTTTTTTAAAAAAAAAAATGAGCTAGGCATACCAATTCATCAATATCTATTTTCTTCCGTGAAGCATTCCCAACCCTGATGCAAACAGGCTTCTTGCTGCTCCATCATGCTAGCAGTCCACGGGACCGGGCATATCTGCCTTCACAATCTGAAGAGCTTAGGCCTTTGCTCTGGAAGATCTGCCATCTGCTTTTCCTCAATTCCCTGCATTCCTGTCATTTCCCAGAATAATAGAAACTCCCCAAATTTAACAAAGTTCGAAACTTGTAGTAACTGACATGATTAGCTGTTCTCTTGAAACAACTTTGCTTTTCAAGTTAATCAAACATGCCTCTCAGTTCACAAAACCAATTGGACCAGAAATGCTTATTTATTGATTGATTGAGATATGGTCTTGCTCTGTCACCCAGGCTGGAGTACAGTGATATAAACATGGCTCACTGCAGTCTCTATCTTCCAGGCTCAAGAGATCCTTCTGCCTCAGCCTTCCAAGTAGCTGGGACCACAGGCATACACCACCACGTCTGGTTTATTTTTTATACAGAGGGGCTTTGCTGTATTGCCCATGCTGGTCTCAAACTCCTGGGTTCAAGCAATTCTCCTGCCTTGGCCTCTCAAAGTGCTAGGATTACAGGCACGAGCCATCATGCCCTGCCCACATTTCTTTTCTGATACTGAATTTAAGGTCCATTTTGAGTCTCCAATGTTCTCTGTCACAGAAATTTAACTTTAGTGAGTTGCAGATAATTTTAGTTAATTCAGGATCATTCCTTATTCTTCTGCCTTTACTTCACCAAAATTCTCTATGGCTTCTTCATGCCAAACACTGACCAGCAAAGGGTCCCTGGTGTCTAGCTGTCCCAGTTTGCTTCTTGTGAGCTGTACATGTGCTGGAATATTCTTGATTCTTGGTCCAGCCAGTTGTGGCTGCATTGGTTTTCGATCTTGACTACAGCCTTTGCTAGATTCACCTCATTATTCTGACAATATTCAGACATGGACATTACTATATCTCATCCAAAGCACATGTGACCAAAATGATGCAGAGGAAAATCAGCCACTACCAGATACCATGTTTGAGCTTCAAGAGAAACCATACTTCTAAGTCAGAAATCAAACTACATCTGACTAGTCTGTATTACAACAAAAGAGCTACTAAATAGCTACATCTTTATTTTAGTAAACTCGGACGCATTTTCTATGCTGGAATTTAGGTAAAAGCCAAGTTTTCTCTCTCATGACTGTCATTTTTTTTAAGTTCTTGGTTCTCTATATTTGAAATCTAAAATATTATTTTCATATTTCAGCTTATTTGATTTTTACAGAAGCGTTTTATAAATAAAAAATTATGTGACATGAATTTGAAAGCATCGTGGGGTGTAGAAGACAAAGATACACGATAGTTTATGAGAAATTGACTTGTTCAATGTAGTTATGCAATTTTAGACATTTATTTGGTGCATTTGCAAGTATACAGAAATAGGATGAGCTCTGCAAAGAAGAAAACCTATGCCCCCACCTTCATCTCAGAAAAGACAGATTAGCTAAAACCTTTTTACATGGGGCTTATATTTAGTTTCCCGCCTGTACTATGTACTGCTCACCCCAGTGATTTGAGCTAGTTCTTCTGCCCCCATAACTTTCATGGACGCTGAATAACTTAATTGAGAAAAGGACCCTAACACAGATACTTTTTAAGAAAAAATATAAATTCTTTATTCTATTTCAGGTGAGACAAACAAAATAGACTTGGATCACATTTTGAAAGAATTCTTTTATTTTTAATTATCTATATTCTACCATTTTCTCCAAAGAATGTATAACAAACTCCAAGAGAATCTAAATTGTTGTTTCAGTCCAAATGAGATGTGCTTACAGAAGCCAGTTGAGCTTCTCATCCTTTCCTCTTTTTTGATTATTAATACTCTTCTAGTGGCATAAATTTACCTGTCTACTGAGGAGATAGGGCTCTGATTTTAACCATATTTTTTTTCTAGAAGAAGAAGGATGGTGATGACTTGGCATCTCTAACAGTAAATATAAAAATGCATAGTTAGCAGACCTCATGTTTTTTCTTAAACTACCTTTAAAGCAGTAACAAGATATATCCTGCGGGAAGTTCCTAACATTCCACTCTGAAACTTTACTATCCACAAACATTAGCTGAAGTACTGTGTGTTCAGAGCTATTATCAGGACTAAATAGGTTTAAAGAGCAGCAGAAGACTGGTCACTTTCTGTTAAAAAATCTAGAACCTAATTGAGACATCCAAGACATATTTATAAGAAATTATTAAGGAGATAAATATCTCATTATTCTGCAATTTCAAATAAATGGTCAAATTTATACTTTGTGGCATTACAAAAAAGTTATAAACAGAGTGGGATTACTGAACAGAGAGGTTGATGAAGGTTGGAATTCCACAGATGTTAAGATTGAAAAGAAGGTGCATAAGTCATGCCTGGAATTATGGATAAGATTTGGAGAGACCGAAAGAAGAAAAGTCATTACAATTCTCTTCCACTAAAACAAATGTATTCGTCTGTTCTTGTGTTTGATATAAATCTTTATTCCACATTCAATATCTTTACCCTACTCTCTAAACCTTCTATCTTCCTTTATTTTTTTGACACTGGTACCTATCTCACCAATGTTTAAAAAAATCATTCTTTTGATCCATACATAGTTGCAAAGCAAAATTTCTTCTGAATATGTTTTAAAACTGCATAGCTTTGATTCATAAATTCAGCCCATAGATATTTCCTGTGATCAGTTTACCTCAGAAACCACTCTCTCTGTTCAGAGGAGATATGAGGGATGGGGGGAGAGAAAGACATTGAAAAACTATAGTTTCTCCTTGCCAGGAGCTTGTTGTTGTTTTCTTCTGCCCAGCCTTCCTCCCATTTTCTGGGTGACATCAGAACAGTCCCACCTCCAACTCACCTCACCCCCCACATAATCTTTAAGACCTACTCCCCCTCACCCTGTGGTTTTTACTAGTTTATAATGGGTGGCTAGTCAGAGTACTCTGCCCCAGTTTATCCCATTCTCCAGACAAACAGAGGGACACATTTGGGCTGAGCTAATGATTAGTTTCCATACCTTGGATCATAGTGTCCAAAAGGTGAATAATTGATCCAAACTGGAAAAATCAGAGTCCCTCCTTGAATTTCTACAGTGGAGAAATTTCTACTCTTTCCTCTTGAATCAGAAACTGATACGATATAAACTCAGACAAGTTCCCATGCGGCATTAGTCCATTTTCTGTCGCTTGTAACGGAATACTTGAAACTGGATAATTTATAAAGAAGATCAATTTATTTCTTACAATTATGGAGTCTGAGAAGTTCAAGGACGAGGGACTGTATCGGGTGAGAGCCTTCAAAGTCTCAAGGCAGCACAGGGCATCACATGCTGAGGGGACTCAGTGTGCTTGCTCCTGTCTCTCTTCCTTTTATAATGTCATCAGTTCTCCCAAGTTGAAGGAATGTATGTTTTGATAAAGTGCCAAAAAGCCAAGAAAATCCATTATGCTTTTCAAGAATAAAAAGGAGAGAGGGAACTTGCCCTAACAGTGATCAATACTTACCCTAAAGCTGCAGTAATTCAGTGAAATATTTGTGCATTGATAGAAAGATAGGCACACACACTTGGAAATATCCATTGTGTTAAGCATATTTATTCTTTAAACCTATTGTGCCTCACTTTCTTGGATCAGCATCATGTTGTGTCTAATATGGTCACAGATAAATGGCATTCTTCTAAAAATGTAGAAATACCCATGGCAACAAGAAAAATACAGACAAAATAAAAATCACAATTTTTAGTCAGGCATGGTGGCTTAGGCCTGTAATCCTAGTTACTTGGGAAGCCGAGGTGGGAGGATCACTTGAGGCCTGGAGTTTGAGACCAGCTTGGGCAACATAGAAAGACCCTCTCTCTACAAAAACTAAAATAAAATACAGAAATTGACCAGGTGTGGTAGTGCATGCCTGTAGTCCTAGCTACTCGAGAGAATGAGGCAGAAAAATTGCTTTAGTTTAGGAGCTCGAGGCTGCAGTGAGCTATGATTGTGCCACTGCACTCTGACCTGGGTAACAGAGCCAGGCCCTGTCTCTAAAATATATATATACACACATATATATACACGTATATGTGTGTGTGTATATATATATGTGTGTATATATGTGTATATATATATATACATAGACACGTATATATGTATATATATACGTGTCTATCTATGTATACATATATACGTGTCTATGTATATACACATATATATACACATATATATGTCTCTATGTATATATATACATATATATGTATATATGTATATATATTGCTAAAAAATCACAATTTTGTTTGCAACTAGCAAAGAACAGTGGATACAAAGAGGCTCAATAAATTGAATTCTAGAGAGAAACGAGCTCTCCATAGGTGAGCAGACAACCATGATGTCAGCTTCCATTACTAGGGTTGGGTATCTAGTCTAGATAGGTTTGGACAGAGAAAAAGCCTGACATAGGAGAAACTCTTCCAAGAATAGAAGAAATCAGCTAAGCCTAGACAATAGCATAGGCTGAAGAGATGAAATCGAATGAGAAAGAGTGCAATTATAAAACTAACCCAACCTTGTTCAACTTTGGGTAATAAAACAATGAGTTGTTTTTCAGTTGCCATGGACCCCAAGTTGCAAGTTATGTCACCTAAACATGCTTAGATAAACCAAGTGTGCAACCACAGGAGGAAGGTAAGTGCTTGGACCAAGAAACGGGACCAAACTAAGAAACTGACACCACACGGCATGATCCATGATCTAATCAGACTGAGCCCTGGCATCACCCCATGATGCGATCCAATAAGATCACACCTCCCAACACCACTTCATTGCAAGATCCAATCAGCTCGTGTCTTATTACCCTCTGCCTATAAGACCTGCCCCAGCCTTCAGCTCAGAGAGACAGATTTGAGCATTGCCTCCTGTCCCCTTGCCAGGTGACTCACAATAAACTTTTCTCTCTATGAAAACCTGATGCTTTGGTGTTTGGCTTTCCAATGCGTGTGAGCAAACAAATCCAGTTCAGTTTGGTAACTAGAGCCCTGAATCCAAAATAAGTTGTTCTACCTGACAATTCTCTTTTGGCTCCAATCAATACAAGCCTGAATTTTGCATCCTCTCTACAAAAAAAAAAAAAAAAAAAAAAAAAAAAAAGTTGATTTGAGAGAAAAGTGGGAAGAAATCACATAGAACTACATTTAATCATGGATTGCCACATGTAAATCTCAACTCTTGGTTCAAAAATACCTGAAATTGAAATCCAATCCAATTTTCATCTCAAATACTGATATAATAAACATGACAGGAAAATGAGAGGTTGAGAATGCCACTGATCATAGTCAAATTCAACTGAATTTAAAGGTACAACCCAGCTTTGGTTCAATTCAACTTCAGAAATTATCTAAATAATTACTCCTCTACTCATTGTCAGGCCGAGGAAAAGGGTTGCACTTTCTGACAAATAAAACTAAGTAAAACAAAATCATATTTTAATCTCCATTGTTCTTCTGTACACAATGTCTAGTATACAATTAAAAGTAACAAAACAGCAAAGAAAAAGGAATATGTGTGACTCATGAATAAGAAAAACACACAAGGTTCAGATTAGGTTGTTTAAAATGACTATTATAGATATATGAATAAATTTAGAGAAAAAGGTGGATACAGTGAGTGAAAGGATGAGGCATTTCAAGATAGAAGTGGAAATTCTGAGAGCAAAATTTGCATACATTATAGATAGTCTGAAATCAAACATCTATTCATTGGGTTTAATAAAAGATTGAATACTACAGAATGATAAATGAAATTAAAATAGAGTCATAGTAATTATCCAAATTGAAGCAGAAAAAGAAAAAAAGGGTGAAAAAAATGAGCAAAAAATCAGTACCTGTAAGATTTTATGAAGTGGTCTAATATACATGTAATTGAAATCCCAGGAAGAGGAAAAAAAAGGAATGGAAAAAAATATTGGTGAGGAATTTATTTATTTATTTATTTATTTAATTTATTTTTGAGACAGAGTCTGGTTCTGTTGCCCAGGCTGGAGTGCAATGGCGCAATCTCAGCTCACTGCAACCTCCACCTCCCGGGGTCAAGCAATTCTCCTGCCTCAGCCTCCCGAGTAGCTGGGATTACAGGTGTCCACCACCATGCCCGGCTCATGTTTGTACTGTGTGTGTGTGTGTGTGTGTGTGTGTGCACGCGCTTCAACTGTTGTTTATTGACATACAGGTAGGCTCTATAGCAGCAGGCCTGGAGGCTCTGCAGTAGTAGGGGAAAATGGAAGGTGGAGGGTGGAGTGTTTTCTGCAGGACAGCTGAGTGGAGGGCGGGGACAGCTGCGGACTGGGGAGGCCCAGGGGGTTGAGGAAGCAAGTAAGGGCCAGGGCCAGAGTCTGCTTCAGTGGAGCAACTGCCCTGTGCCCTAAGGCCCCTAACTCTCGCTGGCTGTTTCCTGACCCCAGGCCAGAGTTGGGAGTCCTCTGGGCATCCATTTTCTAAAGGAACTGAACAGAGTAAACACAAGAAAGGAAGCTGTCACCCTCTTGCCATCTGGCTCCTGGGGCCTCCAGTCCAGCATTCCTCCTTCTTCCCTTGATTGGGTGGGGCCACATGATGGGCAGCCAGGCTCTGGGCTGTCCCACTGGAGCAGGCTGTAAACACAGCCATGTTTCAGCGAGGCATTGATCTTCTTCCCTGGTGTCCCAGCCCACCAGTGCCACATTACAGCCCACAGTGAGCTCTACAAGCGTTGCTGGCCTAATGGATGGGTTGGGGGAAGGGGGTGGGACAGGAGCTGGAGGAGGGGCTCTGGGGTCCATCACGGCACAGGAACAACACACATGGTGTTGGTGAAGCCGGAGCCAGGGTGCCACCCGGTCAGCACAATGACCACATCTCCCTTCTTGAAGAAGGCTTGGGCCTTGCCAACATTCATGGCCAAGTTCACCCGGAGGTCCACGTCCTCAGCCCAGGCCTCTTGGACTGGGTCCTTGCACAGCACAGGGAAGATGCCACGGTACAGGTGGGCCTAACGAGCTGTCTGGGGATTCCGTGTCACAGCAATGATGGGGGCATGTGGGTGATATCTGGCCACCTGGTGAGCAGACTTGCCAGACTTGATGAATAGCTGGGATTACAGGTGCCCGCCACCATGCCCCGGTCATTTTTGTATTTTTAATAGAGACGGGGTTTCACTGTGTTGGCCAGGCTGGTCTCCTCCCAAAGTGCTGGGATTACAGGTTTGAGCAACTGTGCCCGGCCGATTTTACAATTTTTATAAAAAGCATTAATATACAGGTTCACAAATCTCAACGTAATGACTCTCAACCAGAATGAATACAAAGAAAATCACACCTCTCCATATCATAGTCATATTCCTAAACAGTAAAGAAAGACACACATAAAAATTTTTTCTAATTGTTTGAACCTGGCAGGTGGAGGTTGCAGTAAGCCAAGATTACACTACTGCACTCCAGCCTGGGCAATAGAGTGAGACTCCTTCTCACAAAAGTAAAATAAAGCAAAATAAAATAAGAATAAAGAAAGAGATTTTTAAACATCTTTAGAAAATATTTAAAATGCTCCAAGAAAGGTGAGAAGACATAGAAGACATATTACATAAGCAACAACCATTTTTCCTCAAAAACAAGGCAAGCTAGAAGACAATGACATCAAGTCTTCAAAGTGTTGGGTTTTTTTTTTTCTTTTCTTTTCTTTTTTTTTTTTGAGACACAGTCTCGCTCTGTCACCCAGGCTGGAGTTCAGTGGCACAATCTCGGCTCACTGCAAGCTCCGCCTCCCAGGTTCAAGCGATTTTCCTGCCTCAGCCTCCCAAGTAGCTGGGATTACAGGCCCCTGCCACCATGCCCGGCTAATTTTTTGTATTTTAGTAGAGATGGGGTTTCACCGCGTTGCCCAGGCTAGTTGTGAACTCCTGAGCTCAGGCAATCTGCCCACCTCGGCCTCCTAAAGTGTTGGGATTACAGGCGTGAGCCACTGTGCCCAGCCTAAAGTGAGAAAAGAGAGAAACCTGTCATCTAAAAATTTAAAAGAGAGAAACATGTCATCTAAAATTTGATGCAGCAGGTATTCAAAAGTCAAGTTGAAGTAACGACATCTATTTTTTCTTGATTTATTTTGAGACGGGGTCTTGCTCTGTCACTGAGGCTGGAGTGCAGTAGCAGGATCATAGTTCACTGCAGCCTCAACCTCTTATGAGCAAGCGATGCTCCAGCTTCAGCCTCCAAGGTAACTGGGACTACAATAGGACACCCATGCCCGGCTAATTTTTATTTTTTTCTAGAGACAGGGTCTTACCATGTTGCCCAGGCTGGTCTTGAACTACTGGACTCAAGTGATCCTCCCCTCTTAGCCTTCCAAAGTGCTGGTATTACAGGAATGAGCCACCACGCCTAACCTCTACAAAAGAGGAAACATAAATGGCCAACAAGGAAGTAAAAAGATGATCAATCCTATTTGTAGTCGAGGAATTGTGGAATTTAACCAAAATGTGATGCCATTAGATAACCTATTACACAAAACTTGAAAAGTGTGACAATAACATATTTTGGGAAGTGTGCTTAGTAAAGGAAACTGTCCTCCAAAAGGAAGATGGGGCTACATATTGGAGCAACTACTTTGGGGAAAAAAGTTCAGCCGTAGAATTAGAGATACAAGACAAATATAGTAAACCTAGCAATTACACTCCTAGAATCATACCCTAGAGATAGTCTTGCACATTTTCTCCAGGTTGCATGTACAAGAATCTTTGTAGTGATTTTGTTTGTAACAGCTCTAAACTGGAAATAATGCAAGTGCCCATTGATACTAGAATAGAAAAATATATATATGTGTGTGTGTGTATTCATAGCTGTATTTATAGCTGTATATATATGTTTTCATAGCTGTATAGAGTTTGAATGAAAGTATATGTTTATATACACATTCAAACTCTATACAGCTATGAAAATGAACTCACTGCAGCTGCACACGACATGAGTAAATCTCACAAACGTAATGTTGAGAGAAAGCATCAAGATATAAATGAATGAATATGGTATGATTTCATTTACATGAAAATCAAACCTGGAAAAATTTAAAATATATTGTAAAGTGTTCATGCTGGTGTAGTAAAACTATCAAAAAAAAAAAAAAGCGAGACAATATGAAAGGGTCAAATGGTGAAGTTTTGGTTATAGGGAAAACTCTATCTCTTGACCTACGTGGTAGCTATTTGATTGTTCACTTTATAATTATTCACTTATATATAATGAATACATATGCAATCAGTTCTCTAATTTTACAATAAAAAAGTATTATTGTAATACTAATGTTTTCTTATTATTTTCAAGAAGGGATGTTTATTAACCAGTAGAATTGACATTTAGACCAGACAAGTGTGTCTCTGGAATCAGTACTCTTATCCATTCATTAAAATACAAGCCAACAAAAATGGTTCTGAGAATAGTATTAAAGGGCCAAAACCCTTGGTAAAGAACGTTCACACCAATATTCTAGACTTAGAAAAAAGCTTAGGTAGGTGTAGGTAATAAATGTTTGTTTCATACATACGATTTTAGCATATTTGCTTATTCTTTTGTATCCTTAAAATGTGATGTTTTCAGTTGCGTTTTTTTGTTTGTTTAGTTTCTTTTGTTTTTGGCTTGAGCAGGACAGAATTGTGCTTGAAGTCAGGAATTGAGGAAGGCAGTCTTGATCATCTCTGTGTTATATCTACAGATTGATTATAAAAATCACCAGTTTTAATGAGAACTTACTATTCACATTGCCATCTCTAGGTGTAAAGGTTAAAATTGAAAGTTTAGTGGTGTTGAGCATTTTAATTTTTTCCTTGATTTCCTTTGTTATCAGATTCATTGACTTTTAAATTTCCATCATAACCTCACTAAAACTTTGTGTATTGTTTCTATACACTTTATTGACTGAAAAACTCACTATTCATAAAGTTAGCAATAAAATTACACAGAAGAAAAATATTATACATTTGAAAATCAATTTTGAGCAAGGTTTTGTCTGAACAATATGTGTACATGAGGTTTCACATTTAAATAAACATTGAGTTAAATACAGTATACAATGATGTCACAAATGCCTAGCAAAATAGTAATAACATTATTGTTATGCAAATGCACTGCTAATCTCATAAACTTGCATTTTTTTAGCAACTGTTATATTTCAGTATATTAAGAATATCATTGCCTTTTGGGAAAACTATAGCACATGAATTTTTAAAATAGTTTTTCACTTATTTCCTTTTTCTTTTTAACATAGATATATAGCAAAATATTCCTCTGGTAAATTTACACGTTTATTTTGCCTCTATTTGCAAAACTTCACTAATAATATCCATAATAATTGTTTCATTTTATCATGGTCATATTAAATTATAAACTAGCTTTTATTTTATTGCTTAGAAACAGCTGCATTGAAAAATGTCTATTTTTCTAAAAGACATATTCAGAATATTTGTAAAATTTTCTAAATGAGCAATAATTTCTGAAAGCATTACACAGGCAAGGCATTACATAGGTCATAGCAATATGTGGGTAAATCTACATAGGTAGATTTTTTTCTTGCAATTAACTTTCTTCAAACAGCATATGATCTTTGATGTTTTCGTACTTTAGTGAAGTTTAACAATGTCAGGATATGTTTATATATTACCACTTGTATATGTCTTTATGTTATTTTTCAAAACATGATCTATACTTTTTATATGATTATGGAGCCTGACACTTGTCAGTATATATGTATTAATATATGCATATTGATCGAAAGGTCCTATATGCAAACATAAGTAATACATAGATATTTATAAAAAGCTTATCCATAATCCATAATTATTCAACCTTATGTGTTTAGTTTATTTGAAGCTTATATTTTAAAGGAGCTATCATCTCAAAAGTGTAATGATGGCATAATTTATAATGAATAGCCACAATGATGTCTATTTCTTAGTAATTAATATATAATAGAATGAGAAAAGTACTATGCCTTAAAGAAAAATATAAAAGTAAATATACATCTATAAGAAATTAAAATGTCTTAGGTGATTCTTAGAATCATGCAAATATTAAATTAGTATAAGAATGGCTTATTTTTTAAAATACTGTATACCAATGTTCAATATTGATGGAAAGATTCAAATGTATTTCCCTTAGTAGCCACCAGATGGCTACATGGGCCCTTTCTTGATATTGAAGTTTTGTTTAGTTTTTTTCTCCAGGCTAGTTTTGATGGAATTTCAAAATAACTGAAGTATAATAATATAATAGATATGAATGCTATGACGTATGTGTGTGTATAATTGTTTCTTATGACTTAGGGTAAGTAATGAAGACTAGTATGGATGAATTTTAAAGAATCCCTAAATAAGAGAACTTTAGCACATTAAATATTTAGCTATAATTTAGTCCAAACTCCTAATTTTATGGGTTAGGAAAATGAGATTTAAAAGATGTGCATTTCTCCATCTTTTTGGGCTTATTTTCACTGGCAAAGTCAAGTCCAAGTGCATTATCTAA
This sequence comes from Homo sapiens, assembly GCF_000001405.40. NCBI lineage: Eukaryota > Metazoa > Chordata > Mammalia > Primates > Hominidae > Homo > Homo sapiens. Next base: position 75,372,291 of record NC_000008.11, on the reverse strand, counting down.
ATAATTCAATTCAGCATTGGGAAAGGACATCAAAACTCCCTGTAAAGCTATTCTATAAATAAAACCCAAGATGTTAATTTCTTTGACTTATTCAGGAAATTATATTTATCCAAACATGTACAGTTTTGCTTTTTTTGTTTTTTATTTTATATTTTTTATTTTTATAGCTTTAGGTGGTACAAGTGCAAATCTGTTATGTGGATTTGTTAAGCAATAGCGTAGTGGTGAAGTCCAGGCTTTTAGTGTAACCATCACCTGAATAGTGTATATTGTAGCCATTAGGTAATTTCAAATCCCTTACCCCTTTTCACCCTCCCACATTTTCAAGTCTCCAGTGTCTATTATTCCACTCTGTATGTCCACAAATATGGACATTTTTATTCTGCTTTTGTTCTTTCAGCACATTCATAGGGGAAAGCAGGCAAAATAGAAGAAAATCTAAAATATGTACTCGTGATTACATTTTGTCAACATATTTTTCTCTGGAATATATATATATATATATATATATATATATATATATATATATATAAAATTAGCTTTATACTACTGTAGAAAATCACTAAAATAAGTCCAGCCACGGTGGCTCACACCCATAATCCCAGCACTTTGGGAGGCTGAAGCATGTGGATCACTTAAGGTCAGGAGTTCGAGACCAGCCTGACCAACATGGTGAAACCCCATCTCTACTAAATTACAAAAATTAACTGGGCATGGTGGCACTTGCCTGTAGTCCCAGCTACTCAGGAGGCTGAGGCATTAGAATTGCTTGAACCAGGGAGACGAATTGCAGTGAGCCAAAATCATGCCACTGCACTCCAGCCTGGGTGACAGAATGAGAGTCTGTCTCAAAAAAAAAGAAAAAAAAATCACTAAAATAAGAGAATTGCAACTCAATCAAGTATTACCATTCAACGTAATAAATACTTAGAAATATTTGTATAATGTATATTAATTTCGCATAATTTAGAAAATGTTATTTTCCAAAAACAGAATTTAGTATGTTATAATTTTTCTGAACTATAGTTTGTTTTGGATACATGGCTTTGAGTATACCTTTGCTTTTTAATAAAATTGTGTTTAAAGTCATAACCAATGGTACTAAAATGATTATAATTGGCCCTTATTCTTTCTTTTGTGGGAGAGTATAGTTGTGTAAGCTCACAACTATGAGATTTTACTCAGAATAAACAAGTTTCCTTTTTCTTCCAAAAATTCAGTTTAAGCCTGGGAAAGTTAATACCACCTTGCTACAGTCCCACAGCAAAGAATGGAAACAGAGTTTGGGGGAGTGCTGTGGAATGTCCAGGTAATACCACTTTTATGCACTCAGAATTTACCCACTACAACTCAGATATGTTAATCTGTGGCATGATTTATTTTCTAGAATTGATCTCATCTTCATCTCAGGCACCCTTTCTCAGTGACTAAGGAGAGGATAAAGAAAAGGAAAATAAAACTTCAATCTTGGTAAGCCAACACTTATTCCGGTTGTTTGTGTCTTTTAGATAGTCATGTCAAACTTCTCATCAAGAAGAGTTTTCTCTTCCCCATTTCTTTCCCCAGGAGGTATGATAATGACGCAGGACAAAGAGTCTCTAATCTCATGGCAGGGAGGAAAGGACCTCTGTTTGGCCCACCATTTTCTGAGTCCATGCTATCTCCATGGAGATGTCCCTGGGGGCTTCGTATCATTGGTTGTCCTGCAATAGTGCCACTGAAAATCAGCTTTTCATCACTTCTATATCCTCCTGTCAGCCATCAAAAGCCCCTGTGTGTGCCACAGCGGTCACAGACACTGGCCCACACTGCTTCATGACTTGAAATCTTTACTCATTCTCTGTTTCAGTGGAACCATGATGTTACACTGTTTCCTGTGATATAGTCTCCTCTCAGCTTTCCAAACTTCTTCCCTGTGTTCTATCATTTCTTCTCAGAACATCCTATCTCCTCTTTCAGCGTTGACCTGAGTAGTTGAGTAAAAGGGAAGTTGTTTCTGCCTCATGGTTGTCCTCTTCTCCAAATCTTTCCAACCTCGCCCCAATGCCGAAGATTGGTCTTTTTCCTTTGAATTGCACTGATGTTTTTTACTCTTTACTGTGACTTTTATAGGAAAACCCTATGCTGAGACCCTTAACCTTTGCTCTGGCTTTGCAGTGGGAAGATTTGTGAACTGCAAGATGATTTCTTCTTTCAACAACGACTAGTATCCAAAACTTTCATTTTTTTATGAAAGTATATATCTAAAAAGGTAAATCTGAGACTCAAAGTTGAGCAATAACTACTTTATTTTAGGACCTGTTCACCCTTGCCTATGAAGTAAGAAATTAACAAATTAAATAAGTATGGAGACTAGGAAAACGAAAATTGGTAGTGGAAAAATAAACATTGATTTTATATTTCGAGTTGACTATAAAGGTTTCATTATTAAGACTTAAGTGGTAAAAGTTCTCCTGCAGAGTCATTGTGTTCTTGATATTGCTTCACAACTCTCAGCAATAAACACTGAAACAGGATAAAATTTGTATTTGATCACCCCTGTTTTTTGTTGCCTGCCCATTTGTCAGGGCAAGAGAAAATAAAACAGTCTGGCTCATGTGAAAGCTCATTTACTTATTCATTCATTCATTCAGTGCCAGATAAATATAAAAAATAACAACAATAATAACAACACGATCCCATTTTCACCCCAAACAGTCTCTCTGTACTGCATTGTAGTATTTGAAAAAGCTTTCGAGACATTGTTTTATTAAAAGGGCAAAATCAGGGCATCTGTTTATGGTTAATTTTTTCATGGTGCAGTTAACTTGAGAGAATCCTCTGGGGGGAAAAATTGGTCCTATTGCTTTATTATTACTTTTATAATCAGGAAAAAGAGCATCATAAAAAGACATGATTTTGACCTCACACTGGCCCAGAGTTTGGCAGCTCTAATTAAAAAGTGAATGTACCCAATATCTTACAGAATAAAGCTCTTTTATAACAAATAACCTTTTGATGGGGAAACCACACTGTTTGTACACCAAAAAGTAATTTTAAGGCTTATCTTGAGTTAATGCCAGGGTAAATAGAAGCTGAAGCTTCTTGCCCTTCTTTTCTCTTTACCAAGGAATCAAAGCAGATCTATTTCAGCATTCTGCTTTTACAAATATTCTACTGTAAATTTTATGCAGTTTGCAAGGGCAAAATCCCTTCCAGTGACATTTTGGAACAAAAATGAAAATTCTGGATCTATGGTTGTGTGGTGACTAGATTTTAACAATCTGTACAGAAGAAGCCTTATTGTGAGGGAAGCCAAATTTAATACTGCAATGTTCCAAAGACTTGTCAACAGTTCATTTAAGGAAACATTAAGGAAACATCTCACTCTTGAAATTTAATTTTGACCCATTTTATGAAAGTTGGAAAGCCTGAGTATTTTTTGTTTTAGTAAAGAAACATTTTTGGGAAACCTTAGTTTATCTCCATAACTTAATGTATGGGGATGTAACTACATTAAAGATAGGTTTATTTGGATAAGAACTTTAAACTGCATACTTCTTTAAAATTGTCCAGTGACAAGTTAACAGATCAGATAAATTTTAACAACCACCAAAAAATAGCTCTAAAAGTGCAGCCATTTTGCAGACTTTAATCTTTTAAAAATTGATAATTTTAGTCTTATAATTAAATGACCCAAAATAATAAGCAATTTATGGTCCTGCACTTCTTGTTCTAATAAACATTTCAAACAGGCCATTACTAATGAGTATTCATAGACTAAGTTCAAATAGAGTGTAAGAAGTTCTTCATATGGTACTTTGTTTATATGTCACATAACATCCCCAGATTCCTTTACAATTTACAAAATGATTTCACGTACTTTATTCCACACTTTATTCATGTTCCACTTTATTTCATGTACTTATTTCATTTTATGTATCTGCTATAGGCTGGCAGTCCTTTTTGAAATTTTATATTTATTCTCACTTTACACATAAGTAAATCATGAGAATTAAGTATGTTGACTAATGCTATATAACTAAACAGTGGACGAACCACAATATACTCACGTGAAGGATTTCTGATTCTAAATTATTTGCAAATAGTTCATTTTCCATTTGATATGAACATACCACTCATTTATAAATGTGTCTTCTTTCTTCTTACTGGATATTTAGAACACCAAGCTATTATACCAGTTTGACTAGGCTAGTTGTTGTTAAGCATCTCTTCTTAGCCTTTAATCACAGTTTCTCTCCCTTTAATTACATCTCTAGCTAGGGAGAGCAAACTCTGGAGGATAGGACATATATCTAGTTTTGTGCACACTGAATCTATGCACCTAGTGAAGTATCTAGCATATAGTAACTCCTCAATAAATTGCAGCTGAAGGAATTCATGAATGAGTAAAATAGTAATAGGTTACTTCTTCACATGGGAAGAAATATAGTACTTGTTTTCTCTGATGTCTGCTCTCAGTTCTAACAATGAATTGTGGAACATTGGAAGAGAGGTTGCATTTCCCCCTCAAAAGAACTGCAATTTTTTTAAAAAACTGTGACTTTTCTGCCTTTTTAATAAGTTCATAGTAAATTTTGTTTAGGTTTTGATACTTCATAATTTTAAAATTAAGTGGATTACTTTGATAATAAAAAATCCTATATTATTTTATTGTTTCATCACCTGTACTAATCTCAAATATCAATTAATAACAAAATTCATGTAGTTTATATAATAGATAATAAAAAACATTGTACTTTAGTGGTAAAACTCATACACAATTGGTAATTAAGATTTCATTATCAGGTCATTCCTTAGGCATTTATTTCTTAAAATTTTCAGTTACTTTTCCTTCTTCTATCTTATGTATACTGCAGCCTGCTTAATCAGGCCAAAGTTAGTAGTTTGTCCTTCTGTAGATATGATGGCTTTTGCATACCTACTACTAAATTATTTTTCCTCAATCTTTCTCTTTTCCATTATACTTTCAGTTATTTTCTCTTTTTAGGGGGTGGGGTAGGTGGGGTGGGAGTTGAGTGAAGGTCTTTCTCTATCACCCAGCCTGGAGTGCAGTGTTACTACCATGGCTCTTATCAGCCTCAGCTTCCTGGGCTCAAGTGATCTTTTCACCTCATCTTCCCAAATAGCTGGGACTACAGATATGCAAAACCACGCCCTGCTAAGTTTTAAACTTTTCTGTAGAGATGGAGTCTCACTGTGTTGCCCAGGCTGGTATCAAACTCCTAGGCTCCAGCAATCCTCCTGTCTCAGCCTCCCAAAGTGCTGGGGTTACAGGTGTGAGCCACCATGCCCTGCCAGTTATTTTTCTAGGGCAAACAAACAAGCAAGACTTTAATTACATCAGTCTTTTGCTCTTAAACCTTAACTGGCTTCTTATTCTCTAAAATAGTGGTTCTTACATTGGAGGATTCACAGCAAAAATAGCAGGTACTATTTCTAACAAACTCATCAGTTGATTTTGAAGAACACCAATAGTTAAAAGCAATTGCTCTGATGAATAGCACCTATAATCAAGCAGGGTATTCCATGTCCTTGGCCATTTTATTCCATCCTACCTCCATCATCTTATGTCTGCCCCTAACTTCTGTTGCCCTACATGTAACCTCAATTTCAATCAGGCCACATTCCTTGCCATTGCTTAAGTTCACCAAATTTTCCCTTCCTTGGATCTGTGCCTTTGTACATGCAGTTCAGCCTGCCTAAAATTTTATGCTGTATGCATTTCTTTTCATTAAGTATATATTCAGGCTTTCCCTAGTACCTAGAAAAAGAAAGGAAATGTAATAGAGAGTAATAACTCTTGACTCTGAATACTTTCCCTCACTATGCAGACTTTAAAGGTTGTTCTATTTTTGGAATTAGTGAATTGCAGAGCTTATACCAAATAGTGTTGCACTTACTCATACCTTTAATTGTATACATGTCACTTTCAGTCATGAAATTTATCTGACAATCTCAAATATTTGGAAACAAAATAATAAGAAACCAAAAGAAAAAAAAAAACTCTGAAACTCAAAATAGCATCAGTAACCTAATGTTTATATATGCTACTTACTAGAAATATATGAATCTATTCATTCGTAATTTAGACAGAATTTTAATAAACTCACCTGTCTAGTCTCCTAGTATGCAAAAAATAAGAATCAAAAGTTGGAAAAGGGGCTTGGATGAAAGATAAAGTGATACATACTGTAAAACTAGAGCTGACTTCTAGAAAGATTAAAAAAAAAAAAAAAAAAGAAAGATTCCAGAGCTCAGAAAGCTCCCTAGCACCTTAGGAATCTTTAATATAAATGGAAGATATTATTTATTCTTTAGTTCAGCTTTTTTTTTCAATGTCTATATATCTTTAAAAATTAAAATGAGTAAGTTTTGTTTCCACCATCAAGAAAGCTGAGAACCATAATTATATCAGGAAACAGCCAATGATGTCGATAATCTGATTATTAGGAAACATTTTACTTATATTAAATATCTTCCATTTATGAAGGCAGGAAACTGTTCAGTGCATTTAAGAAAGTTACCTAACTCAAGCTGTTTAGAAAATAATAGTAAAAATTGAAATTCTACTGTCAAATGTAGACTTTTGATATCTGTTTTATGGGTAAAGTGGTCTTATCCACTCGATCACATGAAAGGCCCCAGTGGTGTCTATTAGACTTCTAGAGCACCAGCATAGGCTGGGGATATATTAGGCAATCAATACTTTTTAAAATTTTTAAATTACTTTTTTATTTTTTGAGACATGATCTTGCTGTTTCCCAGGCTGGAGTGCAGTGGCATGATCATGGCTCACTACAGCCTCAAACTCTCAGGCTCAAGCGATCCTCCCACCTCAGCCTCCCAAGTAGCTGGGACTACAGGCATGCACCACTATGCCTGGCTAATTTTTAAAAACTTTTTATAGAGACGAAGTCTCACTATGTTGCTTGGGCTGGGCTTCAACTCCTGGGCGCAAGCTATTCTCCTGCCTTGACCTCTCAAAGCAGGTGTGAGCCACCGTGCTCAGCCCATTTTTTTACTAATGGACTGATAAGGGGTTCTGAGCACTTGAAAGGTGGATTGAAGATATTCAAACGTTTTATTTGGATTAAGAGAATAAACCCATATATACCGTTCTGCTTCAACCTTTTTCAATGAATGTGTAATATGTAGACATATTCTCACAAATCTGAACCAACATCTATGGTTAAAAATACCCAAGTAAGCAAGCGAACAATCATTATCCAGCGTGTCACCTGAGTCGCTGGTATTACTCTAGGTCCAATTTTCATTTTCCTACTTTCGTCCTTCTCACTTTTCAGCTAACCTGCTTTCTCAGATTGCAATTTGCTTCTGTGACTTACCTCCTTTGATTGCCAACTTGTTCTAGGCTTTGACTTTCTGCATAGTTTTCAAACATGACTCTCACTTATGAGACATAGTAGAAATATAAGTATTGATTGAGTGATTTCTTATCTTAACTTCAATTATGTCTAAGGATAGAATAACAATAGCAAAACAACAACAACAACAAACCCCAGCAAATCCTCTCTCTATAGCATAATATGTACTTGACATAGTGCTCATTTAGATTTTTGTTCATTTCCTAATTTTCACAACCTTTTGTAAAAGCTGTCTCACAAATGTAATATCTCCATTTCCCAAAGTTGTATTTGGGGTTTAGAGACATCAAAGTTATCAAGTGTCAGCAGCAATTTTCAATCTGGGTCTGTTCAACCTTAGGTTGTCCTCAATCATTACACACTGCAAGTTCTGCTGGTACTTAGTGAATCAGTGTGCTGTTCATTTACGTATTGTATTCATTATTTATTTAGTGCCAGATACTGAAGACAAAAAGATGAGTAAAAGAAAGCATAATTTTCCAAAAGAGATCCAACTTGTCATGCAGATACACATGTAAACAAGCAAGTACAATGCAAGTGATGAAAGCTCTAATAAAAGCAACTAGAAGAATTAGAAGATGCTGTGAAGATATGAAGAGGAAAGGTTCTGACCTTCCTCTGGGGCCAAGGAATGAAGCAATTATAGAAGATGTCCCAGAAGAGGTGAAGCTTAAGCTAAGCTTAAGGGTAAATATGAGATTGTCAGGCCAAAGATGATGCATATATGCAAGCATATATCAATCCCAAGCCTCAAAATTAGACATATTAAGAAGAATTAAGAATAAAACATTAAGCATGTGTATTGCATTCTGATTACTTGAAAATTAATTTTGCATGTAGTATATTCATGGTAATATTCCACTAAGAACTATTTTTGTGAATATAGAAAGAAACCAGTTCTATCAACAGCAAAAATTTCAGATAAGGAAATTTTTTCACCATGTGAAGGATTAAGTTAAACATATCAGAGTTTCAAAGTAATGGAATTACTGTGCAATTTATTCACATGTATCATATATATTTTTAAAATTTATTTTTTATTTCAATCGTTTTTGGGGAACAGGTGGCTTTTGGTTACACAGATAAGTTCCTTAGTGGTGATTTCTGAGATTTTGGGCCATCCCTCACCTGAGCAGTGTATACTGTACCCAATGTGTAGTCTTTTATTCCTTATTCTCCTCCCACCCTTTCCTCTAAGTCCCCAGGGTCCATTATTTCATTCTTATGTTTTTGCATCCTGATAGCTTAGCTGTCACCTATAAGTGAGAACATACAATATTTGGTTTTCCATTCCTGAGTTACTCACTTAGAATAGTGGCCTCCAGCTCCATCCAGGTTGCTGCAAATGCCATTATTTTGTTCTTCTTTATGGCTGAGTAGTATTCCATGGTTTATATATATCACATTCTTTTAATCCACTTGTTGGTTGCTAGGCATTTAGATTTGGTTCCATATATTTATATATGGCTCCTATATATATATGGTTCCTGTATATATATGTGTGTGTATGTGTATATATATATATATATGGTTCCATATATGTATATAAATTCCATAGTTATATGGTTCCATATATATATATGTGTGTGTGTGTATATATATATATAAATTCCATAGGTTATTGGGGAACAGGTAGTTTTTGGTTACATGAGTAAGTTCTTTAGTGGTGATTTGTGAGATTTTGGTGCACCATCACACAAGCAATATACACTGCACCCTATTTGTAGTCTTTTGTCCCTCACCCCCTTCTCACCCTTTCCCCCTGAGTCCCCAAAGTCCATTGTGTCTTTCTTATGCCTTTGCATCCTCACAGCTTAGCTTCCACTTATGAGTGAGAACACATGTTTGGTTTTCCATTCTTGGGTTACTTTACTTAGAATAGTAGTTTCCAGTCTCATCCAGGTAGCTGTGACTGACAATTTATTCCTTTTTATTGCTGAGTAGTATTCTAATATATATATATATATAATATATTATATATTTATTTATATGTATATAATATATAATATTATATATAATATTTATATATAATTTTTATATATTATATATTATATATATAATATATAATATATATAATATATAATATATATATATACACACCACAATTTTTTATCCACTCGTTGATTGATGGGCATTTGGGCTGGTTCCATGTTTTTGCAATTGCAAATTGTGCTGCTATAAACATTTGTGTGCAGGATCTTTGTCATATAATGATTTCTTTTCTCTAAGTAGATATCCGGTAGTGGGATTGCTGGATCAAAAGGTAGTTCTACTTTTAGTTCTTTAAGGAATCTCCACACTGTTTTCCATACTGGTTGTACAAGTTTACATTCCCACCAGCAGTGTAGAAGTGTTCCGTTTTTATTACATGCCCGCCAACATCTATTATTTTTTATTTTTTTATTATGGCTATTCATAGGGAAGCTCTTAGTATCCCTCTTACACCGTTCGAATTATTTTCTTAAATTTGGATAAGGATTTAAAGGCGCAGTTGGTTTGGCTCCCCATGGTCTCCAGGTCTTTCTTCCTCTAGCCCTCCTGCTGCCTCTTGATTCTTGGTCTTCCTGTCCCCTATTTGGTGACATGTATGGAGGGACCCCACGGCTTTTCACTGGGGAAGGGCTTTTTACTAGGCTCTCTTTCTTCTTCCTCTTTGAGAGGGAACATGGGGGTGGGGTGGCGAATTCCTTGATCCAGCAGAAAGCATAACCTATCTCTTCTTGTGAGGATGGGGTTTTATCATTCACATAGAGAATCAAAGTTTGGCACACCCAATCCTCATCTGAGCCAAACTTAGGCCAGAAGACTGAAAGCTTACGAATGGGGTCTTTGGGCCAGATAAAACAGCAATAGTTTATTATCTTTTCCTTTGTCTTGTCCCCTGGTTCAAGGGTTGTCTCTCCAAACCTGCAGCATTCTCCCCGAAGGACTATCGGGGGAATGTCAGAGGGAGTGTCTTTGCTTCCCTCTTTCCTTTGTCCCCTAGGCCTAGAATTTCTGTTTCCCATTTTTGGTCAGTCTCTGTGTCTGAGCTTCTTCCCATACACTCCACCCTCGCTACTGGAGTTTTCCAGCACACCCTAAGAACCCCTTTGTCTGTTTCTGGCCATTTCCCTCAAGGGAGAATGAAACCGCGGACTGGGACTCCGCACTTGCTTCGTATCTAGGATACGTCTCAGTCACACACACTCGACATCTGAAAATGTCCAACCACCAAGGAAGTACTTATAGTTTACTTTTCCCACCTTGGCTCGTGCACAAGGTTGCCTGGTTGCTGTGGTGCCTGCTTTTCTCCCTGTATTGCCTCCGTTGCCTCCTGAATAACAGTCTCCGGTTTGTCTATGGCCTCTGTCAGGAGCTGGGACACCCAGACAGAGTGGGCCACCTACTCCCCTCTCGGCAGGAGTCCCACTCTATGCAGGCACAGAGGTCCCAGAAAGGCCCCCAGGTTTGTGAGAAACACACATTTACCCATCCAAACCCGAAGAATAGACTCAGAGACGTGAAGAACAGTGGAAGTGAGACTTTTAATGGCAGTCTTCCAAGATCGAGTGTCTGGTAGGCAGGCACACCCAGGGAAGTTACAGCAGGTAATTCACCTCCTACCTACACAAGTCCCTCTCCGAGTTCCTCATTGGCTGAGTATTATGGGGTTACAATTTTCCCAAACGTTTACCTAAGTTTCATTATTCCCCTTATAAATTTATACTCCAGTCCCCGTCCCCACTTAAGTTCGATTCCCCAATAACAAAACTTTCTTCCCTTTTATGGACTGACCCCTCCTCTACATTCTGTTTGCTTATTGTGAGCTTCTAGGTGCATGAGCCATGCAGTTTGTTACATCTGCAGGCTGGCTGCCAGTACTTAGATTGATCATGCCTTGAAAATGGATCATTTAAAATGTTTTCTCACACCAGAGGTTCCGTTAAGTTGTGTCACTAATTTTGTTCAGTTCAAAGAATTTTTAAATTTTCATCTTGATTTCATTTTTGACCCAATGATCATTCAGGAGCAGTTTATTTAATTTCCATGTATATGCATGGTTTTGAAGGTTCCTTCTGGAGTGGATTTTCAGTTTATTCCACTGTGGTCTGAGAGAGTGCTTGGTATAATTTCAATTTTCTTAAATTAATTGAGGCTCATTTTGTGACCTATCATACAATCTATCTTGGAGAAAGTTCCATGTGCTGTTAAATAGAATGTATATTCTGTGGTTGTTGGATGGAATGTTCTGTATATAACTGTTAAGTCCATTTGTTCCAGGGTATAGTTTAAATCCATTGTTTCTTTGTTGACTTTCTGCCTTGATGACCTGACTAGTGCTGTCAGTGGAGTAAGAAGTCCCCCACTATTGTTGTGTTGCTGTCTATCTCATTTCTTATGTCTATTAGTAATTGTTTTATAAATTTTGGGGCTCCAGTGTTAGGTGCATATGTGTTTAGGATTGTGGTATTTTCCTGTTGGACAAGGCCTTTTACCATTTTATGACATCCTTCTTTTTCTTTTTTAACTTCGGTTGCTTTAAAGTTTGTTTTTCTGATATAATAGCTACTCTTGCTCACTTTTGCTCTCCATTTGCCTGAAAGGTTTTTTCCACCCCTTTACCTTAAGTTGGTGAGAGTCCTTATGGGTTAAGTGATTCTTTTAAAGGCAGCAGGTGAATTAGTGCCTTCAAATTGGTGAATTATTATCTATTCTTCAATTCTGTATCTTTTAAGTGGAGCATTTAGGCCATTTACTTTCAATGTTAGTACTGTGATGTGAGGTACCATTCCATTTATTTGTGCTATTTGTTGCCTGTATACCTTGGTTTTCGTTTTTTGTTTTTGTTTTCTAAATTGTATTTTTGTTTTATAGGTCTTGTGAGATTTATGCTTTAAAGAGGTTCTGTTTTGATGTGTTTCAAGATTTGTTTTGGAGGCAGTTCCAAGATGGCCGAATAGGAACAGCTCTAGTCTACATATCCCAGCATGAGCGATGCAGAAGACGGGTGATTTCTGCATTTCCAACTGAGGTACCGGGTTCATCTCACTGGGATGACAGTGGGTGCAGCCCATGGAGTGTGAGCTGAAGCAGGGCGGGGCTTCGCCTCACCAGGGAAGCGCAAGGGGTCAGGGAATTCCCTTTCCTAGCCAAGGGAAGCCATGATAGACAGTACCTGGAAAATTGGGACACTCCCACCCTAATACTTCGCTTTTCCAATGGTCTTAGCAAACTGCATACCAGGAGATTGTATCCTGCACTTGGCTCGGACAGTCCTAAGCCCACGGAGCCTTGCTCATTGCTAGTACAGCAGTCTGAGACCGAACTGCAAGGCGGCAGTGAGGCTGGGGGAGGGGCATCCGCCATTGCTGAGGCTTGAGTAGGTAAACAAAGTGACCAGGAAGCTCTAACTGGGTGGAGCCCACCGCAGCTCAAGGAGGCCTGCCTGCCTCGGTAGACTCCACCTCTGGGGGCAGGGCATAACTGAACAAAAGGCAGCAGAAACTTCTGCAGACTTAAACGTCCCTGTCTGACAGCTTTGAAGAGAGTGGTGGTTCTCCCAGCATGGAGTTTGAGATCTGAGAAGGGACAGACTGCCACCTCAAGTGGGCCCCTGGCCCCTGAGTAGCCTAACTGGGAGACACCTTCCAGTAGGGGCTGACAGACACCTCATACAGTTGGTGCCCCTCTGAGATGAAGCTTCCAGAGGAAGGATCAGGCAGCAACATTTGCTGTTCTGCAATATTTGCTGTTCTGCAGCCCCCGCTGGTGACTCCCAGGCAAACAGGGTCTGGAGTGGACCTCCAGCAAACTCCAACAGACCTGCAGCTGAGGGTCCTGACTGTTAGAAGGAAAACTAACAAGTAGAAAGGACATCCACACCAAAACCCCATCTGTATGTCACCATCATCAAAGACCAAAGGTAGATAAAACCACAAAGATGGGGAGAAACCACAGCAGAAAAGCTGAAAATTCTGAAAATCAGAGAGCCTCTTCTCCTCCAAAGGAATGCAGTTCCTCGCCAGCAATGGAGAAAAGCTGGACAGAGAATGGCTTGTCCAGAGTTGACGAGTTGACAGAAGTAGGCTTCAGAAAGTTGGTAATAACAAACATCTCTGAGCTAAAGGAGGATGTTCAAACCCATTGCAAAGAAGCTAAAAACCTTGAAAAAAGATTAGACAAATGGCTAACTAGAATAAACAGCATAGAGAAGACCTTAAATGACCTGATGGAACTGAAAACCATGGCATGAGAACTACGTGACACATGCACAAGCTCCAGTAGCCGATTCAGTCAAGTGGAAGAAAGGGTATCAGTGATTGAAGATCAAATGAATGAAATGAAGCGAGAAGAGAAGTTTAGAGAAAAAAAGAGTAAAAAGAAATGAACAAAGCCTCCAAGAAATATAGGACTATGTGAAAAGACCAAATCTATCTCTGATTGGTGTACCTGAAAGTGATGGAGAGAATGGAACCAAGTTAGAAAACACTGTTCAGGATTTTATCCAGGAGAACTTCCCCAACCTAGCAAGGAAGGCCAACATTCAAATTCAGGAAATACAGAGAACGCCACAAAGATACTCCTTGAGAAGAGCAACTCCAAGACACATAATTGTCAGATTCACCAAAGTTGAAATGAAGGAAAAAATGTTAAGAGCAGCCAGAGAGAAAGGTCGAGTGACCCACAAAGGGAAGCCCATCAGACTAACAGCAGATCTCTCAGCAGGAACTCAACAAGCCAGAAGAGAGTGGGGGCCAATATTCAACATTCTTAAAGAAAAGAATTTTCAACCCAGAATTTCATATCCAGCCAAACTAAGCTTCATAAGTGAAGGAGAAATAAAATCCTTTACAGACAAGCAAATGCCGAGAGATTTTGTCACCAACAGGCCTGCCTTACAAGAGCTCCTGAAGGAAGCACCAAACATGGAAAGGGACAACCGGTACCAGCCACTGCAAAAACATGCCAAATTGTAAAGGCCATCAATGCTAGGAAGGAACTGCATCAACTAATGAGTAAAATAACCAGCTAACATCATAATGACAGGATCAAATTCACACATAGCAATATTAACCTTAAAAGTAAATGGGCTAAATGCTCCAATAAAAAGACAAAGACTGGCAAATTGGATAAAGAGTCAAGACCCATCAGTGTGCTATATTCATGAGACCCATCTCACGTGCAGAGACACACATAGGCTCAAAATAAGGGGATGGAGGAAGATCTATCAAGCAAATGGAAAACAAAAAAAGGCAAGGATTGCAATCCTTGTCTCTGATAAAACAGACTTTAAACCAACAAAGATCAAAAGAGACAAAAAAGACCATTACATGATGGTAAAGGGATCAATTCAACAAGAAGAGCTAACTGTCCTAAATATATATGCACCTAATACAGGAGCACTCAGATTCATAAAGCAAGTCCTTAGAGACCTACAAAGAGACTTAGACTCCCACACAATAATAATGGGAGACTTTAACACCCCACTGTCAACATTAGACAGATCAATGAGACAGAAAGTTAACAAGGATATCCAGGAATTGAATTCAGCTCTGCACCAAGTGGACCTAATAGACCACTACAGAACTCTCCATCCCAAATCAACAGAATATACGTTCTTCTCAGCACCACATCACACCTATTCCAAAATTGACCACATAGTTGGAAGTAAAGTACTCCTCAGCAAATGTAAAAGAATAAAAATTATAACAAACAGTCTCTCAGACCACAGTGCAATCAAATTAGAACTCAGGATTAAGAAACTTACTCAAAACCACTCAACTACATGGAAACTGAACAACCTGCTCCTGAATGACTACTGGGTACATAAAGAAATGAAGGCAGAAATAAAGATGTTCTTTCAAACTAATGAGAACAAAGACACAACGTACCAGAATCTCTGGGACACATTTTAAGCAGCGTGTAGAGGGAAATTTATAGCACTAAATGCCCACAAGAGAAAGCAGGAAAGATCTAAAATTGACATTCTAATATTACAATTAAAAGAACTAGAGAAGCAAGAGCAAACACATTCAAAAACTAGCAGAAGGCAGGAAATAACTAAGATCGAGCAGAACTGAAAGAGACAGAGAACAAAAAACCCTTCAAAAAATCAGTGAATCCAAGAGCTGATTTTTTGAAAAGATCTAGAAAATGGATAGACTGCTAGCAAGATTAATAAATAAGAAAAGAGAGAAGAATCAAATAGATGCAATAAAAAATGATAAAGGGGATATCCCCACCGATCCCACAGAAATACAAACTACCATCAGAGAATACTATAAACACCTCTATGCAAATAAACTAGAATATCTAGTAGAAATGGATAAGTTCCTGGACACATATAACCTCCCAAGACTAAACCGGGAAGAAACTGAATCCCTGAATAGACCAATAACAGGCTCTGAAATTCAGGCAATAATTAATAGCCAACTAACCAAAAAAAGTCCAGGACCAGATAGATTCACAGCCGAATTCTACCAGAGGTACACGGAGGAGCTGCTACCATTCCTTCAGAAACTATTCCAATCAATATAAAAAGAGGGAATCCTCCCTAACTCATTTTATGAGGCCAGCATCATCCTGATACCAGGAAGTTCTGGCCAGGGCAATCAGGCAGGAGAAAGAAATCAATGGTATTCAATTAGGAAAAGAGGAAGTCAAATTTTCCCTGTTTGCAGATGACAGGATTGTATATTTAGAAAACCCCATCGTCTCAGCTCAAAATCTTCTTAAGCTGATAAGCAACTTCAGCAAAGTCTCAGGATACAAAATCAATGTGCAAAAATCACAAACATTCCTATACACAAATAACAGACAAACAGAGAGCCAAATCATGAGTGAACTCCCATTCACAATTGCTTCAAAGAGAATATAATACCTAGGAATCCAACTTACCAGGGATCTGAAGGACCTCTTCAAGGAGAACTACAAACCACTGCTCAACGAAATAAAAGAGGACACAAATAAATGGAAGAACATTCTATGCTCATAGATAGGAAGAATCAATATTGTGAAAATGGCCATACTGCCCAAGGTAATTTATAGATTCAATGCCATCCCCATCAAGCTACCAATGACTTTCTTCACAGAATTGGAAAAAACTACTTTAAAGTTCATATGGAACCAAAAAGGAGCCTGCATTGCCATGAAAATCCTAAGCAAAAACAACAAAGCTGGAGGCATCATGCTACTTGACTTCAAACTATACTACAAGGCTACAGTAACCAAAACAGCATGGTACTAGTACCAAAACAGAGATACAGAACAATGGAACAGAACAGAGCCCTCAGAAATAATACCACACATCTACAACCATCTGACCTTTGGCAAACCTGAGAAAAACAAGAAATAGGGAAAGAATTCCCTATTTAGTAAATGGTGCTGGGAAAACTGGCTAGCCATATGGAGAAAGCTGAAACTGGATCCCTTCCTTACACCTTATACAAAAATTAACTCAAGATGGATTAAAGACTTAAATGTTAGACCTAAAATCATAAAAACCCTAGAAGAAAACCTAGGCAATACCATTCAGGACATAGGCATGGGCAAGGACTTCATGACTAAAACACCAAAAGCAATGGCAACAAAAGCCAAAATTGACAAATGGGATCTAATTAAACTAAAGAACTTCTGCACAGCAGAAGAAACTACCATCAGAGTGAACAGGCAATCTACAGAATGGGAGAAAATTTTTACAATCTACCCATCTGACAAAGGGCTAATATCCAGAATCTACAAAGAACTTAAACAAATTTACAAGAAAAAATCAAACAACCACATCAAAAAGTGGGCAAAGGATATGAACAGACACTTCTCAAAAGAAGACATTTATGCAGCCAAAAGACACATGAGAAAATGCTCATCATCACTGGCCATCAGAGAAATGCAAATCAAAACCATCTCACACCAGTTAGAATGGTGATCATTAAAAAGTCAGGAAACAACAGGTGCTGGAGAGGATGTGGAGAAATAGGAACACTTTTACACTGTTGGTGGGACTGTAAACTATGTTCAACCATTGTGGAAGACAGCGTGGTGATTTATCAAGGATCTAGAACTAGAAATACCATTTGACCCAGCCATCCCATTACTGGGTATATACCCAAAGGATTATAAATCATGCTGCTATAAAGATACATGCACACATATGTTTATTGTGGCATTATTCACAATAGCAGAGACTTGGAACCAACCCAAAAGTCCAACAATGATAGACTGAATTAAGAAAATGTGGCACATATACA
The DNA here is from genome assembly GCF_000001405.40 of Homo sapiens. Lineage (NCBI taxonomy): Eukaryota > Metazoa > Chordata > Mammalia > Primates > Hominidae > Homo > Homo sapiens. The sequence goes on along the minus strand of NC_000008.11, from coordinate 75,354,674 downwards.
CCATGGAATACTATGCAGCCATAAAAAAGGATGAGTTCATGTCCTTTGTAGGGACATGGATGAAGCTGGAAACCATCATTCTCAGCAAACTATCGCAAGGACAGAAAACCAAACACCGCATATTCTCACTCATAGGTGGGAGTTGAACAATGAGAACACTTGGACACAGGAAGGGGAACATCACATACCGGAGCCTGTTGTGGGGTGGGGGAAGGTTGGAGGGATAGCATTAGGAGATATACCTAATGCGAATGACGAGTTAATGGGTGCAGCACACCACCATGGCACATGTATACATATATAACAAACCTGCACCTTGTGCACATGTACCCTATAACTTAAAGTATTTAAAAAAAAAAAGCTTTGTTTCAAGATTTAGAGCTCCTTTTAGCAGTTCTTGTAGTGGTGGCTTGGTAGTTTTGAATTCTCTAAACATTGTTTTGCCTGAAAGAGACTGCTTCTTTCTTTTATGTATAAACCTTAGTTTCACTAATACAAAATTCTTGCCTGATAATTATTTTGTTTGGGAGGTTGAAGATAGGGCTTCAATCCCTTCTAGGTTTAGAGTTTCTGTTGAAAAATCTGCTGTTAATCTGATATGTTTTCCTTTATAGATTACTTGGTGCTTTTGTCTAACAGCTGTTAAGATTCTTTCCTTTGTCTGAACTTTAGATAACCTGATGACCGTGTGCCTAGGCAATGATCTTTTGATGATGAATTTCCCAGGTGTTCTTTCCGCTTCTTGTATTTGGATGTCTAGTTCTCTAGCAAGGCCAGGGAAGTTTTCCTCAATTATTTTCCCAAGTGTTTTCCAAACTTTTAGCTTTCTCTTCTTCCTCAGGAACACCGATTATTCTTAGGTTTGGTTGTTTAACATAATTTCAGATTTCTTGGAGGCTTTGTTCATATTTTCTTATTCTTTTTTCTTTATCTTTGTTGGATTGGGTTAATTTGAAGACCTTGTCTTCAAGCTCCGAATTTTTTTCTTCCACTTTTTCAGTTTTATTGCTGAGACTTTCCAGAGCATTTTGCATTTCTATAAGTGTGTCCATTGTTTCCTGAAGTTTTGATTTTTTTTTTATTTATGCTATCTATTTCCTTGAATATTTCTCCCTTCACTTTTTTTTTTTTTTTTTTTTTTTTTTTTTTTTTTTTTTTTTTTTTTTTTTTGAGACAGAGTCTCACTCTGTTACCCAGGCTGGAGTGCAGTGGTGTGATCTCGGCTCACTGCAACCTCTGATTCCTGGGTTCAAGTGATTCTCGTGCCTCAGCTTCCTGAGTAGCTGGGATTAGATGTGTGCTACCACAACTGGCTAATTTTTGTATTTTTAGTACAGACAAAGTTTCACCATGTTGGCCAGCCTGGTCTCGAACTCCCAACCTCAGGTGATCTGCCTGCTTCGGCCTCCCATAGTGATGGGATTACAGGCATAAGCCACTGCGCCCGGCCTCCCTTTGCTTTTTGTATTTTTTTTTGCATTTCCTTACATTAGGTTTTGCCTTTCTCTGGTGCCTCCCTGATTAAAGCTAATCAGATTAAAGCTAATAACAAAGCTTCTTAATTCTTTTTCAGGTAAATCAGGGTTTTCTTCTTGGTTTGGGTTCTTTTCTGGTGTGCTACTCTGATCTTTTGGAGGTACTGAAGAACCTTGCTTTGTCATATTATCAGAGTTGGTTTTCTGGTTCTTTCTCATTTGGGTAGGCTCTGTTGGAGGGAAGGTCTAAGGCTGAAGGCTGCTATTCTGATTATTTTGTTCCATGGGGTGTCCCCTTAATATAGTAATCTCTGTCTTTTCCTATGGATGTGGCTTCCTGAGAGCTGAGCTGTGGTTATTATTATCTCTCTTCTGGATCTAGCCACCTAGCAAGTCTACCAGGCTCCAGGCTGGTACTAGGCATTGTCTGAACAGAGTCCTGTGATGTGAACCATCTATGGGTCTGTCAGTCATGGATACCAGCACCTGCTCCAGTGGAGGTGGCAAGGGGGTGAAATGGACTCTGAGGGTTCTTAGTTTTGCTGGTTTAATGCACTATTTTTGTTCTGGTTGGCCTCCTGTCAGGAGATGGTGCTTTCCAGAGAGCATCAGCTGTGGTAATACGGGGAGGAACAGGTGGTGGGCAGGGCCCTAGAACTCCCAAGAGTATATGAAATTTGTCTTCAGTTACCAGGGTGGGTAGGGGAGGACCATTGGGTGCAGGAAAGGCTAGGTGTGTCTGAGCTGACTCTTCTTAGGCAAGTCTTGCTGTGGCTGCTGTGGGGGATGGGGATGAGAGTCCCAGGTCAATGGAGTTATGAATCTTGGAGGATTATGACTCTTTACTGTGTCATGCAGGTTGTCAGGGAAGTGGGGAAAGCCAGCAGTCACAAGCCTCACCCAGCTCCCATGCAATCCAAAGAGCCAGTCTTACTCCCACCACCCCCACCCCCAACAACACTAAGTCTGTTTCCAGGCAGTGGGCAAGCAGGGCTGAGAACTTGAACCAGGCTACCCGCCTCCCAGCTGTGAAGGCAAATATGGCTTGCTTTCTTCTCCTGCCCATGGAGTCTACAAACCAGATTCACGCCCTGCCCTGAGTTCTGGCCAGGAGGCCTCTTGATCAGTTCAAATTGTTACACAGTTCAGCTGGAAATTTCCTTCTCCCTGTAGGCTTTTCCCAGTGCCTCTGGCAACCCTCCAGAAGGACCCCTGGGAGGCCAGGCAAAAAGGGCTTGCTAGGAGACCCAGCGAGTTCCCAGGGCTTTTCCCTCTGCATCCTTTACCCCTGTATTTCACTTGGCTCTCTAAATTGACTCAGCTCCAGGTAAGGTCAAAATCTTCTCCCATAATCTAGGCCTTCAGTTTCACCAGTGACGGTGTGTGTTTGGGGGTGGATGATCTTCCTTTCCCACTTTCACAGTTTGGGCACTCACAGTATTTGCCGTATCTCTCACATTCTGCAGGAGCAATCCACTTCCTTCAGGGGGTCTGTGGGTCCTCTCAGGTTTCCTGACTTATTCCTGCAGTCATTCTGGAGCAAAAATTCATGATGCAAGCCTCCACATACTGCTCTGTCCATCTGAGTCAGAGCTGCAATCTTTGGTTCCATATTTTTGCAATTGCAAATTGTGCTGCTATAAACATGCATGTGCAAGTGTCCTTCTCATATAATGATTTTTTACTTTGGGTAGATACCCAGTAGCGGGATTGCTAGATTGAATGGTATTTCCACTTTTAGTTCTTTAGGAAATCTCCATACTGTTTTGCATAGTGGCTGTACTAGTTTACATTTCCACCAGCAGTGTAAAAGTGTTCTCTTTTACCATATCCATGACAACATCTATTTTTATCTTTATTTTTAAATTATGGCCATTCTCCCGGAATAATGTAGTATCTCATTGTGGTTTAAATTTGCATTTCCCTGATAGTGATTTGAACATCTTTTCATATGTTTGTTGGCCACTTATATATCTTCTTTTGAGGATTATCTATTCATATCTCCTTTGCCTACTTTTTGATAGGATTTTTTTTTTTTTGCTGATTTCTTTGTGTTCATTGTAGACTCTTGTCAGATGCATAGTTTGCAATATTTTCTCCCACTCTGTGGCTTGTCTGTTTGCTCTGCTGATTATTTCTTTTGCTGTGAAGAAGTTTTTAGCTTAATCAGGTCCTATTTATTTATTTTTGCTTTTATTGCATTTGCTTTTAGGTTTTTGGTAATGAATTTTTTGCCTAAGCCAATCTCTAGAAGAGTTTTTCTGATGCTATCTTCTAGAATTTTTATGGGTTCAGGTCTTAAAGTCCTTGATTCATCTTGAGTTGATTTTAGTATAAGGTGAGATGAAGACACAGTTTTATTCTTCTATATGTGGCTTGCCAATTATTTGTTAAAAAGGGTGTTCTTTCCCCATTTTATGTTTTTGTATGCTTTGTCAAAGATCAGTTGGTTGTAATATTTAGCTTTATTTCTGGATTCTCCATTCTGTTACATTGGCCTATGTGCCTATTTTTATACCAGTACCATGTTGTTTTGGTAACTATAGCCTTGTAGTATGGTTTGAAGTTGGGTAATGTAATGGCTTCAGAATTTTTCTCTTCACTTAGTACTTCTTTGACTATGCAGGCTCTTTTTCTGCTCCATATGAATTTTCAAATTGTTTTTTCTAGTACATGAAGAATGATGATGGTATCTTGATGGGGATTGCTTTGAAGCTGTAGATTGCTTTTGGCAGTATGATCATTTTCACAATATTGATTCTACCAATCCATGAGCATTGGATGTGTTTCCATTTTTTTGTGTCATCTATGATTTCCTTCAGCAGTGTTTATAGTTTTCCTTTTAGAGCTCTTTCACCTCCTTGGTTAAGTATAAGTTTTTTTTGTTTGTAAAAGGGATTGAGTTGTTGATTTGTTTCTCAGCTTGGTTGCTATTGGTGTATAGCAGTGCTACTGATTTGTACACATTGATTTTGTGTCCTGAAACTTTACTGAATTCATTTATCAGATCTAAGAGCTTTTTGAATGAGTCTTTAGGGTTTTCTAGGCATATGATCATATCGTTGGGGAACAGCAATATTTTGACTTCCTCTTTTCCAATCTGGATGCCCTTTATTTCTTTTCTTGTCTGATTTCTCTGGCTAAGACTTCCAGTACTATTCTAAATAGAAGTGGTGAAAGTAATCATCCTTGTCTTGTTCTCAGGGGAGAATGCTTTCAACGTTTTTCCATTCAGTACAATGTTGGCTGTGGGTTTGTCATAGATGGCTTTTATTATCTTGAGGTATATCCCTTCTATGCCAATTTTGCTGAGAGTTTTTTTTTTATCATAAAGTGATGCTGGATTTTGTCAAATGCTTTTTCTGCATCTATAGAGATTATCATATGATTTTTGTTTTTAATTCTGTTTATGTGGTGTATCACATTTATTGACTTGCGTGTGTTAAACCATCCCTGCATCCCTGGTATGAAACCCACTTGATCATGATATATTCTTTTTTGATATGCTTTTAGATTCAGTTAGCTAGTATTTTGTTGAGGATTTTTGCGTCTATGTTCATCAGGGATACTGGTCTGTAATTTTTTTTTATTATATCCTTTCCTGGTTTTGGTATTAGGGTGATACTGGCTTCATAGAATGATTTAGGAAGGATTATCTCTTTCTCTATCTTTTGGAATAGTTTTAGTAGGATTGGTACCAATTCTTTAAATGTCTTATAGAACTCAGCTGTGCATCTATCTGGTCTTAGATTTTTTTGTTGTTGTTGGCAATATTTTTATTATTGCTTCAATCTTGCTATTTGTTATTGGTCTATTCAGAGTTTCTATTTCTTCCTGATTTAATCCAGGAGGGTTGTATATTTCCAGGAATTTATCCATTTCATCTAGATTATCTAGTTTGTGCATTTAAAGGTGTTCATAGTAGCTTTAAATAATCTTTGGTAATTCTGTGGTATCAGTTGTAATAACTGATAACATCAACAACAAAATAAGGCAAACATATATCATAGAACATTATAAAAGAATGTGATCATTTAAGATTAATGGTTATGAAAGCTGCTATAGAAAAGATAGCATGTAACCTAGACCTTGAAGATTTGGTGGAATTTGGGTAGGTATCAATTTACAAGAGAGAAACAATTGCAGACAAAAATGATTGCAAGACATCAGTAAATCCATATAATATGGCCATCCCAACTAATACCTTTATTCATTGTAGACATTGATAACAGAGTCCTCTAAACTTGGAATAGTTCTTATAATCCTTCTATATAAAGCCAATATCAATTAATTACAGTTGGCATAGAAGGTGAAGTCAACTTGCCACTGTTGAGAGAATATGGGTGAGATATTGTGATATAATGAAAAATATATATTTGGACTCTATTCCTGGTTCCTCACACAGATTTCCTAATACCTTAAAATGTGCTGGGTGATTGCAGTGTGTTTTGCTCTAATGAGGCTACTCTTGGTGGGCTTCCAGATAGCTTCAAGATGGTGGCTGATCATCGGAAAGAACAAGCCATGTATAGAAACTTGGAACTTTCAACCTTATTGCCCATCCTCAAAGAAGAGAAGAAGGGCTGGAGATCGAGTTAATAATTGATCATGCATATGTGATGAAGCCTCCATAAAAATCTCTAAACTATGGATTTTGGAGTGCTTTCAGACTGATGAACATATCGAGGTGTCAAGAGGGTAGGGCACCTCAACTCTATGGAAACAGAATCTTCTGTGTTCAGGACCCTCCCAGATTTCAATCTATGTATCTCTTTATCTGCTGTTCATCTGCATCCTTTATTATGTGGCTTATTATTGTCATAAACTAGTTAATGTAAGTATTTCCCTGAGTCCTAGCAAGTTAAACCTGAAGAGGGAATTGTGGGAACCCCAATTTATAGCCAGTTGTCAGAAGTATAGGTAACAACTCATTACTTGAGACTGACATCTGAAGTGGGAGGCAGTCTTGTGGGACTGAGTTCTTAACCCGTGGGATCTAACGCTAACATCTGGTAGAGAGCTTCAGAAGTGAATTGAATTATACGAACTGAATGTCCACTGGTGATATCTCCCCAGACATATTAGTGACTGGAAGTGTTCTGTGTCATGTTGAGTGTTTACTGTAAGATAAAAAAACATTTTTTTTTTTTTACATAATGAGCCAAGATTCAGTGGCAAGAAAGGAAATTTGGAGTAATAATAGAGCAGCATGGTTTAAAGAGTTTTTATAACAGTTAAGGATGGGAAGATATTGGGGCTATAATGCAGGGATCTCAAATGGCACATTAAAATTTTTCTATTTTTTTTTTTTTTTTTTTTTTGAGACGGAGTCTCGCTCTGTTGCCTAGGTTGGAGTGCAATGGCACCGTCTCTGCTCACTGCAAGCCCCTCCTCCTGGGTTCATGCCGTTTTCCTGCCTCAGCCTCCCGAGTAGCTGGGACTATAGGTGCCTGCCACCAAGCCCGGCTAATTTTTCTACTTTTTAATATTATGTTATATTCATATTTTCAAATTGTCAGTATACTATCCTATTTTCTTCTCTGGTTGCCTCAACATTTGAAACCATAATACTGACATCATTTTTACTTTTACAGCCTATTAATATTTTTGTAGTCTCACTCAGTTTTATATGCTGGACTTTAAGAATACATATTCATTAATTTAGTAAACACTTTTCGGTACTCACCACGTGTTGAACATAGTGTCAGGGGCTGGAGCTGTAGCCAAGCAGTACTGGTAGGATTTCTATTCTCATAAAGTTAATGATATAATACAGAACAGAATTAACTAAATGATTAGATTAAAAGTTTTATAACAGAGAATGTACGGAATACTTAGCTCTTTCCAAACTTCTATGACATTTATTTATTCCTGTGATTCCAAAGAGCTTTTAAAATGTTTATAATTTTTTGGATTTTTACTCATTTTTTGACAGTTCTGTAGTCCCAGAATATACTGAAAGGTAAATTCATCTTTTTGATTTTTATAATAGTTTTAAAATTTTTAACCACAGCTTCTTATTCTTGCTTAAGAAATACTAGTGTGCTCTATTCAAACTGGGTTCTCTTAATAAAATGGTAATTTCAGCACTTATGAGATACAGCCTCACTCAGGCTGACTGGAAAATTATTTTACATATTAGGACCAGGACCTAGTAACCCTAGGGCTTTGTGCATGGGAATACTTTAGGGAATGGTAACAAGACAGAAAGTGACCTAACCAAGCAGAAACATTCATGTTCCTTTGAAAATATGATATGATAATACACTGCCTTTTCCCATCCTACTATATGAATTTCTTGTGGTTATAGGATGAACTTTTGGGCACTCCTAAATTTAGAAAAAAATTCTCACCTCTTAGAGATGAAAGTGAGATTGAAACTTACTATCTGATTTCCAAAGAGCCATCCACATTTCAGAACCATAGTTTAATTTTTGTTTATTACTAGACATAGAAAGCAGTACCTACAGAAATATGAATGTAAGTAGAATCTACAAGTAAACATAGGTAGCGAATGTTTTGGAACTCTACACATCTTTATATGAAATTGCATTGCAGAATATATTGACTGTTAAAAACCTGATGCCTTATTACCATGATGAGACAGGAATAGAAAATGGCAGAGGACTACAAGCAATTTATTTTCACTACAAGCCTGCAATATCATGCAGAATTGTAAACATAAACCATTCTCATTGCCATCTCAGGACGGTAATCTTGTCTTCCAAAGATGTCACACCTGGGCCTCAGTTGCTTTAAATGATTCATTTCGTATTTCTAGGTATGCTTGATCAGTCAAGTTATCAGGTTCAACAGTTTTTAAAATAAATGATATTATTCTCTTCCACTTTATTGAAGAAAATCGTGTCAACATAGAATGCTAGGTTTGAATATTTATGAACCATGGAAGCAACTTGAAAAGAATTAAAATGATTTTGTTAAAAGTATGGTTTTTGAGTTCACATTTTGATGTGTATATAAACAAGTGAATTCCAGAGATGTTATAAAATGTGCCTTTTAAAATAAATTGGACATTAGAGATGTATGTGTGAACGTGTGCATGTGTGTGTGCACGTGGCATAATTAGAGCTCTTGTGATCTCACATGCCTAAATTATATTGCAAGCATACCAACAGAGGGACAAATAAGTGTCAGAAGAAAAGCTCAAGTAGTCCTACAGGAGAGACTTAAATGCATTTTATAATTCAAAACAAATACATATTCTTTATCATATGTATTCTATGGGAATTATAGAAAAAACTGTTAATTATGACAAGGTAAAGGATGATTGAGGTTACAATAAATCTATTTTTATGATTTACCGCTTAAAATATTGACTTTGATGTAATAATACATATTTTGTGTGGTGTGTCCTTTGAGAAATACAAGTTATTATTACATTGAGATAAATACCGTCATATGCTTATACATTTCTACATTTATTATTACAATTTAGCAGGAATGATTAATGAATGAACTATGATTTCATTTATTTCTACTTGGTTAATTTATTTGCTGTCTCTTTTTACCAACTGCAGTGCTTCTCCTCAGTTAAGATAGATATCATGTCAAATCAAAAATATTCACTGGATTCCTAATGTACAGTGTAAAGAATTCAAAAAAAGTACACTTTTAGATAACTAGAGAATAGTACTTAATATTTTCTAGTATAGCTTGTAATCTTTTTTTGGAACACAGAATATTTTAAAAATCTGATGTAAAGAGGGAGATCTTCTCCCTAGAAAAATCTACATTTGCACATCTAAACTAAATTTTGCATGAAATTACATGAGATTCACCGTTTTCTTCAAATTTAAGATATGTCCTGTTTATAAAATCTTGCAAAAATAATGTTGGACTAGTCATATAACTGTGGGTAGTTTATGTAAATTAACTGTGCCTCAATATCCTCATTTGTATATTCTGAAAAATTTGACTGCTTATCTCTTATGATTGTTGTAGGGATTAGAGGAGTTAATATATGTCAGGAGCCAAGTTCAATGCCTGGTTCAATGTAGTACTATGTATGTGTTTGTCCTTATTGCAGTTTTAAAATGCTGCAGGTAGGCTGAAGGGGAATGTAAGCCTGGCTTACATAGTATATGAAGATGCTGCATTTGGGCTAGGCCTTGAGATTTGATTTTGGATTGGCAGAGAAGAGATCCAAGTGTTCCTAAAAACTGCGAATATATTTTTAGAAGTAGAAAATGGTGTGACAGGAATTACTAAAGTATTTTCAAAAGCTGAAGCCTCTATTAATGAAAGCAAGGGGTAGTTACCAGAATGGATGAGGCACCCACACAGAGTGAAGAGCTCTTATATCATGCCAAGGAAGTTTGGGTAAGTCAAACAGGATCCATATTTCTATCACACACCTTTCTATCTTGACTTTAATTCTAGTTTGCACAAGTCAAGCAGACTGTAACAATGAGGAACAGAGTACTCAAGCTCACATTTGCTACACATAGCTGAGTGGTAAAGATAAATTAATATTTCCAAGGCAGGATCAATAAACCTATGGAAAATGTTGCTAAAAATAATGACATCACACTGAATAAAAAAAGGAATGGTAGAGTAAAGAGAGAACAAAAAAGAACAAAAATAGAAAAACAATTTGGCCATAAAGGTACAAATATCATGTGAAGAGTGAAATAGTTCAAAGGTCCCATATACAAACTCTTTAACACTAATGGAATGCATTAGATTCCCATGCATTTAATTGTAATGTAATATTTTGAAAAACACTGATGGCTATTTCTCTCTCTCTCTCTGTCTCTCTCTCTCTCTCTCTCTTTTTTTTTTTTTTTTTTTGAGGAATATTTTACCCTAGCAAGCTACAGGCATTTTTCCATCTACCTGGTAGGGGTGGGTAGAGCTGGAGGAGAGTTATAGAGTGTGCCACAGAAGGAATGAAGTTATGTTCAACTTTTGATATGTAAAGTAGAATTCTCCAGCAAGACTAGAGCCTAGAGAGGGATTTCTCATGGCTCCATTTTCTCCCTTCCTCAATTTAGCATACCAGCAGGGAATCCAGAAGAACATAACTCTAAGAGTCATCCCACAGGATAGAGAAGATGCATCTTTTGTCTATGACAGGTGGGCCAATTCCAAGGTAGCTAAGAGGATATCACAAAATAAAAGAAAATTCCACCTGCATTCCTGACATTAGGAATGGCAAGAAAGACAAATGAGGTCAAATGAGGGTATTTCCCTTGCTTTTTCCTGAAGTTGTATGTGTTAGATAAGGTGAGGGACGTGGGAAGAGGAGAGAATAAATCCTGGCCCAGCTTCTAGTTTGGGTCCATAGAGGGGCCATATTTCAGCCTTCTTCCAGTGCATGTCTATAGGCTGAGTGGTTGATCATTTCATCCAGGATGATGAGCTCTTCCTAGGACTATTGTAATGATCAGGTCAGGGTAAAATTTAAGATAAGTTGACTTTTTTTTTCTGCTAATAAGTAAGTAGGGTCATAGAAAGAAAGTCCAATTGCTTAGAGACTAAACACAAGATATGACGTTAATGTTCTGCCTATTTGAATATTGATGTGAGTTAAATTTACTCAATCTACTTTTATATCCATAATCTAAAATATGAAGTTGAGGAACTGATATTCATTTATAGTATATCACAATTATGAAGTTACTACACTATGTTCTACTTCCAAGACACTGAAATGAAACTGAAGTTTTAAAACATAAATGCCCTATGCTGGAATAATTTTCTTTTAGTACAATATGCTTAAGCAACAAGCAAGTAATAACAATGAAATATCTTTAGTTGTTTTAATTTTAAATTCATTCCATTTGGTTGTTTCAATTATTTTCCTATCGTCACAAATAACCGAGGACAAAATGTAATACTGTGTTCTGTGGTTTAATTTTTTTTTGATTGTGAGATTTTCTACATCAGGAAACAATGTATTGAAATAAAATTCTCTGCTAGTACTTGTAATAAGCTTTGCCTTACAAGTCTCTAAGCAAAGTCTGGAAAATTGTCTGTAGAAAACAGTTGAAAAGCATTTTAGACTTAAGAAATTTTCCACAACTAATACCTGAGTAAATTTATTTCAAGTTATTGAGGAAAGGGGGAATAGAAACCTACCAGATAAAGTGCATATTAACCTTCCAGTTTCTTTTTTTGTTTTGTTTTGGTTTTTCTTTATTTTTTTTTCAAAACAGAGTCTAGCTCTCTCGCCCAGGCTGGAGTGCAATGGCGCCATCTAGGTTCACTGCAACCTCCGCCTCCCAGGTTCAAGCTATTCTCGTGTCTCAGCCTCCTGAGTAGCTGGGACTACAGGCACCCACCATCACTCCCGGCTAATTTTTGTATTTTTAGTGGAGATGGTGTTTCGCCATGTTGGTCAGGTTGGCCTCGAACTCCTGACCTCAGGTGATCCACCTGCCTCGGCCTCCCAAAGTGCTGGGATTACAGGAGTGAGTCACTGTGCCTAGCCAATCTTCCAGTTTCTTAACCAATAATTGTACTAGAGAAAATGCTGATTCAGTAAATGTATGAAAATAAAATAAAGACTGATGATTTTGTAATTGGGAACAATTCCAGAAATAAATGAAGGCTGCTCATACAATATATTTCATAGTGTTGTTTTTCACATAGTAGTTACTTAAAAAAAAAAAAAAGTTTGCTGAATGAATCAATTATCCTTGAGAACACCTGGAATCAGTTAGCCTAATACATTTACCTGGAATACAGAGCGCATTTTTCCAGAGCTAAAGATTTGTCCATAGCACATTTGAATAATACGGCCATTTCATTTCCTCCCGTTCATTTCCCTTCACCTCCAATCTTGGCTTTCCCATAAATGCCTTCAACTGTGCTAAGAATTTCACCACTGACTGCTTTGCCAGTGTAGAGGCCTGCGCAGTGGTCCAGGCCCAGACCAATTGCTCCTGGGCATTTTCCTCAAGTAGCTCGAACATTCAGTTCTAGGGTTTAGATTTAAAAATATCTGCCAACAATATACTGACAGTACAATGGGCTTTTAGATTTTTTTTTTCTTTTTTATCAAAATGAATTTTTAAGGTCATACACTAGTTATTTTTTTAACAACTTGTATTCTCTTTAAGATGTTTCCTAAGTAAAATTATTTTATTTGATACTACTTAGAAGGAGCTCAGTGACAGGATGGATATAATCCTGAATTTTATTTTATTCTATTTTTGTTCCTGTTGTTACTCAGAAAAAACTCCTAATATAGTTGTTTATGTGTTAATTGTGCTAAAATGTTAATTAGGTTGTCTGCATACAAAACTATGTTTTCCCTCAGTTCTTCCATTTATTAATTGGAAAGAGTCTACAATTTGGGGTCAAATATATCTATTTCTGAACCCCTTTACTCTTCTATAAAAGCTGTGGCCTTGGCCAAGTCACTGTTTTGCTCCAATTCAGTCCCCTTTTTCCTTCATCATTGCTACCAGGACAAAACAAATATCTGCAGACGTCACACAGACTCTGAAAATAACTGGGCATGGCCCATTACACACAGACTTAGCTAAGTGTGCCAATGGCATAAGTAGTCATATTCTGACCTGCAGTGTTGGCATCTTCGAAAGTAGCATCATTGTGTTCTTTTAGGATGCCTTTGTCTGTAGATACATTTGGTAGCCCGTTGGTAATGATTCCTTTTGGCTGTGTGTTGTGGGAGTTTGTTGTTGTTTCTTTAGAAAAGATAAGAGACATTTTTGTATCTGTTTCTTCTTCTTTTAAAAATGTCTATTAAATGTCAGCTCAAAGATGGGCAGTAGGAAGTATTAGTCAATGCTTACAGGTCTCATACAGTAAGGGAGCAATATGGGGTTTTGAGATGTAGAGGCAGATTCAAATCCTAATTCTACCTCTAACTAGCTATCTGACACTATTTAACCTCTCAGAACTACCTGGCTCTTCATTTCTAGGAGAAAATAATACCTCCCTTACAGATTATTGTGAATACAAATTAAAACTTTTATAAATTGTTTAGCACACAGTAAGCTGTCTCCCCACAATATTTTATAAAAGAATCAGAAATATTAGAGTTAGTATATGTAACTCTCTCATTTTCCAGTGGGAAATTGATATCTGGCAAAGTTAAATGACTAGCACAAAATCATACAATTATTTACTGCTGAGATTGTTCTGTAGTCCACTTCTCTTAATAATATCTAATACCCTTTTTACTCCAGAACAATGCCACCTTTATTAATTGAGCATACCAAGATCCTATTTCTGACCTAAAGAATGATTACATTTTTCATTGTGATAGGAGCAAATTTTAGTAATCTTATTTTATATTGGAGGTTTATATTAGAATTTTTTTTTGTCTAGAGAAAAATTTTGTTCAAAAGCTAATGCATTAGCAAAGTATAATTTATTTAAGGACAATATAACTAAGTTCAAAACAACTTGATTTCCCTGGTGTATACTCTGAACTTCACTCTAGCAATCAAGGATAGTATATTTAAATGTGATTTAATAGTACTTAGTTGATGCATTATTTAATTTATGGCATCATGTGCCTGCACAATTTCATCATTGTAGTGCAAAAGCAAGTTTACTGAATAAGTGCTATGGTTTCAGCTACTTCTTTAGTATTAGAATGTAGTTTTCTCCATTATTTATATATAGTTCATTTTATACCATGATAATTTTGAAGTAAAATGCCATTTCTTACTTTCCTTATGTAAATGTATATTCATCTCATGTCTAATATAATCAAGATAAAATAGTGCTCAGTTCAAAAGTCCTTTGCTGTTCAAAATAAATGGTTTGGTAGAATGAAGGTCTAAACTGAAGCACTATGCATGTGATGGCCTAATGGCTTTCTTAAAAATATATTTCTGACAGAGTTAATTTTGTTAGAAACAACCCTGCCAAACTAACTACACTTCTAAAAAAAAAGAAAAAAGAAAAGGTAATAGTGGCTGTAAGGTACAGATCTTCTGTTGAAGGAAGCTCCTTATAATGTCCCTGTGGGGTGGTGAAACATTAAAAATGGAATTCTAACAGTTACTGGTATATCTGGTACATCAGAGTCTTCTTACACTAATTGGCCATTATAACTTTGAGTAAATCACTTAATCTCTCTGAACCTCTGGTTCCTTTTCTCTCTAATCATAAACAGTAATCTCTGCCTAAGAATAATGAGATATTTAAGCTTTTGCCATCCCTGAGAGAAAGCTGTGTTAAATTAATTTTTTGCCTGGGCTTTGATCTGTCAGTGACACTCTTTGTGTCCAATAACTTCAAAGTCTCTCTTACCACATCCCATTTTGTTAATTCATCAAACTCTGACCCTAATTTCACCGTCATTCCCCTGCTAGACCCTACTCTTTCTTTTTCTTTTCATAGCTAGTTTTCTTGGCGTTTTCTCACTCCTGATATAACCACATATGACAGCAAAAACATTGGAAAAACTGCAACTTATTTCATGTGCCTGGAGTAGAAGGACAGACAGATTCAGTGAAGTTGCAGGCATAATCAGAGGTATTTCCAGTTTCTGGTCCTTCAGGTAGGGAGCTTGGAAGTCATCATTTTATTCCTAAGATCAGGTAAAGAGCTGAATGAATTGAAAAACCAACTCCTCTTAGATCCATCAAAGAAATGAGGTTACAGGTCAAACTGCTGCCCTCAACATCGGAGAGACAAACAGGCAAATACATAATATACCAGAGCACTAACAATCCAGCAAAAACCTCTGAGGGAACCCGTGCTGGGATAGGAAAACCTGAACTGTCATCAGTGACTTGCTGGAGGCTTAGAGCAGACAAGTCTGAGAGTTAAAAACTCCAAGGGGGACTTAGTCATAGAGGGACACCCCCACTTTTGTGAGCCAACCCTCAGAAGTGCAAGCTGGTTCTCAAAGTAAACAACAGAGAAAAATCCCCTTGTCCTTCCAGAAGAGAGAAAGGAAAAGGAACCATTTTGAAATTCACCAGAGCATGCTGCTCTTCTCCAAAGGCCTGTCCTCAGGATAAACTATTTAATCAGAGTCTAAATTATTGCGGTTTTATGAAGGCTAACCTACCTGGGGAAAGGAAATATCCAATTTCAGCCCACTCTAGCCATCCTCTCCTACCTAAATGGTGTAGGTAGGGAGACTGTGTGTGAATTTTATGCTCCAGAGGAACAAGGTCACTAACAGATTGAGACTTAATTACGGGACAGCAGAATGCTTCCCCTCCCCTCACATCTCACCACCACATTACTAAAGGCCTATTTAAAGCAATTCCATTTACCCAATACATGTCTGGCTATCAAGAAGGAGAAAACAAGGCGTACTAAAAGGCAAAAACACAGCATGAAGTGACAGAGCAAGCATCAGAACCAGACTTAACTATGGTAGAGATGTTAAAATTATTAAATTGGGAATTTAAAACAACTATGCTTAGTAAGCTGGGGGCTTTAATGGGAAAGTCAATGACATGAAAGCAGAGAGATTGAAATTCTAAGAAAAAAATTTTTTAATGCTAAAGATAAAAAACACTGTAACAGGAATGAAGAATGCCTTTGATGGACTCATTAGCAAACTCACAAGGCTAAGGAAAAAACTCTCTGAGTTTGAGGACGTGTCAGTAGAAACAGCATGTCCTCCAGTTTCTGGTCCTGGAAAAAAGCAAACAGAAAAAAGATGTAACAAAAGGGAACAGGTTATCCCAGAACTATGGAAAAACCACAAAAGGTAAAACATAAGCATAATGGGAATACTAACAGACAAAGGAAAGGAGAAAAGAATAGAAGAAATATTTGAAGGAATAATGACTGAGAATTTTCCCAAATTAATGTCAGGCATGAAACTTTAGATTCAGGAAGCTCACAGAACACCAAGCAGGATAAATGCTAAAAAAAAAAACAGAAACAAAAACAAAACAAAACCATCACACCTAGGCATGTCATATTCAAACTGCTAATGTAAAGAGAAAACCCAGATAAAAGCCAGAGGAAAAAAAATACCTTACTTATATAGGAGCAAAGACAAGAATTATATCCAACTTCTCAAAAACCACACAACTAAGAAGAGAATAGAGTGAAAGTTTTGACCAAAAACACACACACACACACACACACACACACACACACACAAATTTACCAATCTAGATATCTGTAACATGCAAAATTATCCTTGAAAAGTGAATAAAAAACACAGTTTCTGAGACAAACAAAAATTTTGAGGATTTGTTGCCAATAGACTTGCCTTGTAAGAAATGTCAAAAGAAGTTCTTCAGAGAGAAGGAAAATTGTATAGTCAGAAACTCAGACCTGCATAAAGAAAGGAATAGCACCAGAAAAGGCATAAGTGAAGATAAAAACTTTTTCTTATTCTTAATTGATCTGATAATAGTTTATTCAAAATAATAATAGCAACAATGTATTTGATTGTATATGCTTATATATATATTAATATATGCTTATGTATAAGTGAAAGGAATGACAGCAATAATACAAGATACAGAAGAGAGTAATTGGGAATAGTTTGTTATTATAAGATACTTGCACTACCTGTGAAGCAGTGTAGTGTTATTTGAAAGTAAACTTGAATTAGTTGTAAATACATATTGCAAATTCTAAGGCAACCACTAAAATACGTTTAAAAAAAAGTACAACTGATATGCCAAAAAAAGGAGAAAAAATAGAATCATATAAAATGTTCAAATAAAACCAAAAGAGGCAGAAAAAGAGTGGAAGACAAAAGTAAGAACAAACAACAAATGCTAATGAGGAGAGCAACAGGATCTCACACTTATTGCTGGTGAGAATGCAAAATGGTATAGCCACTCTGTAATAGAGCTTGGCAGCTTTTAATGAATCTAAACACACTACTACCATGTGATCCAGCAATTGTACTCCTTAGAATTTACTCAAATGAGGTGAAAACATGTCCACACAAAAATCTGCACTTATATGCTTATAGAAACTTTATTCATCATTGCTAAAATGTGGACTCAACAAAGATGTCCTTCTGTAGATGAATGGATAAACTGTGGTACATCCAGACAATGAAATATTATTCAGTGCTAAAAATAAAAGACCCATCAGGCAATGAAAAGACATGGAGGAATCTTAAATGCATATTACTAAGTGAAGGAAGCCAATCTGTGAAAAGCTACATCCTGTATAATTCCACATATATTAATTTCTAGAAAAGACAAAACTGTAGAAACAGGAAAGGATCTGTGGTAAGTAGGGGTTATCAGAGAGAGAGAGGAATGAATAGGTGAGGAACAGAGAAATGTTAGTGCAGTAAAACTATTATGTATGATACTATAAAGGTGCTATATACATATAATTATATAGAACACATGTTATATAATTTAGACCATTATATAATAAAATTAAATTACACTATTATATTATTATATATTATATGTATTATTTTCACAAATGTGTAAACCCATAGAATGTATAACACCGAGAGTAAACATAATATGTGCTACAATAATATAACGATATAATATAACATAAGGTATCTGTAATGATACTGGCTCTCTTCTTGCTATAAAGGCATACTGGCAACTTTGGGAAAAAGGGATAGAGGCATACAGTGATTAAAATGAAGTTATTCATGACTGAGTAAAAAGAGCTAAAAGTAATTGATGTACATTAATCTACTTACATATAAACCCATGTTATTTTCACCAGCTGTGTATCTTCTTAAATATTTTCAAGTACTATGAGCGCCACAGCTTGGAACACGTGACTTAAGAGACTAGTGTATGATATTTTATTACCCAGACATTTCAAATCATGTTTTTTTTTAGCAATCCAATCAAGACTGTCTGCCCTCAAACTCATGTGGTTTAAGAGTATCTGATATTATTTTTACTTTTTTTTTGTCTCCCACCTCATAATATACAAAGGAAACAATATGATTATTTGAGAGAAGGTTTAAACTTTCATATAAATTTTAGATTTTTAAAGAAGAAATTTAAAAACAAATTATCCTAACATATCTTGAATCTCTCCCTACCTCTTCTTGGAAGATTGTTGATTCCAACTCAAGGACTAAGATAATAACTTGAAGTATATAATTATTTTCCTGAGTTTTGATTGCTCATTCTCTGGGGTAACCCTAATCTTCTTTTCACACTGTGTTCATACTTGTTAGGTTGGTGCAAAAGAAATTGCAGTTTTTGCCATTGAAAGTAAGGGGAAAGCTGCAATTACTTTTGCACCAACCTAATAATTTAACAGAGCTAAAAAACAAAAAACAAACAAAAAAACACAACAAAAACAAACAAAAAACCCAAAAGACTTTTTCTTTGTAATTTAACAAAGTTGAACCTAACTGTAGCATCTGAATTTGTTTACATTATATAGTGTACACATAACTACATATGTTAATATCATAAGTCTTCCACCATATTTTTATTTGTGAAAGTCAAAACATTAAAGTTAAAAAGTCAACCTGAAGAATGCTACAATGACATTATTAATAAAAGCAAAATAGTCTTTAAATTAAAAAATATTACTGGAAACAAAGAAAGATATTTCAAAATAACAAAACGGTCAATATACATTTTGTAAAGATATAATGGTAATATTGAATAAACACTTAGAACAACAGAATATATGAAACAAAAACTCCAGGAACTGAATGGCAAAATGGACAAATTAAAATAAAAATCACAGATAAAGATTCTAATACTTCTCTCCAGTAGTTGATATAATAAGTAAAGAGAAAATCAATTTTAATTTAGAAGACTTGAACCAAATTATGTTTATGGAGCATTCCAGTCAACAGCAGAAAGTGCATTCTTCTCAGTGAAGATAGGATATATTCCAGGCCTTACATCAAGTCTTAATATATTTAAAAGGACTGAACTAGTACAGAATATATGGTTTCTGACTACAACGGACTTATACTTAGAAATCAATAACAGAAAGAAATGTGGAAAATACAAAACTATTTTGAAATTTTGATTCCAAATAACTCATGGATAAAACAATAAATCACAAGGGAAATTATAAAGCATTTTGAAGTAAATGAAGATTAAAATGCAACCCATCACCATTGTGTTATACAGCTAATGCAGTTGTCAGAGGGAAATTCATAGCTCATATTAGTAAAGAATAAAGATTGAAATTAATTATATTAGTTTCTGAAGCTAGAAATTAGCTAGAAAATAAGAGTAAATTAAATCCTGAGCATTGGGGAAAAAAGGAAATGATTAAGAGAACATGAATAAGTGAGAGGGACTAAAACATAAACAATAGAGAAAAATCAATGAAATAAGTATAATCGATTTATTGAAAAGATCAATAAAATTCTAGCTAGACCAATCAACAAAAGAAAAAAACCAAAATGATTAACCTCAGCAGTAACAGAAGAAACATCCTTACAGGTTTCTTACATACTTAAAGTATAATTAGATGTTATAAGTAGCATCTAAGACTGTCTCTAAAGATGCCTACCTTCTAGTATTCAGAGCCTTGTGTAATACATACTCTCTCCTTGAACAATGTGCTTCTAATAGACTATCTCAATATTAGGGCATATTATTTCATTGGTATATAATAGGAAATTGTAACTCTCATTTTCTTAGCAAACAATTTCATTTGTTGCTGGCTTTAATGAAATAAATTGCCCTGCTAAATAGGCCCATGTGTCACTGAAGGCAGCTTCTGGCCAATAACCTGCTAGGAATTACAGCCCTCAGTTCAGTAGTTCAAAATAAACTGCACTCTGCTAACACGTAGGTGAGCTTGGAAGTAGCTCTTTCCTTTGTCAGGCTTTCAGATGAGACCCAGATTGACACCTTGATTGAAGCCTTATGACAGACTCTGAAGCAACAGACCCACCTAAGACATAATCTGATTCTGACCCACAGAAACTGTGAGAAAACACAGTGTGCTATTTTAAGCTGTTAAGTTTGTGGTCATTTGTTATGCAGCAATAAATAATTGATATATAATATAATATTATGAACAAGTGCACACCAATAAATTCAACAGATTATATGAAGTGGATGAATTCCTTGAAAGACACAAGTTGCCGAAACTAAATTAAAAAATAATATGCCTAAATTAAAACATCTTTCACTAATAAACAGTGAAAGTTATCATTTTCGTATTAGGGAACTTTCTCACAAAGAAGTCTCCAGACTAAATGGCTTCAGCGGTGAATTCTACCAACATGTAAAAAAGAAATAACATTAACCTTATAGTACTTCTCTCAGAAAATAAGGGAAAATGAAGCATTAACCAACTCATTTTATAAGACCAGTATTACCATAACAACCAAAAGATCAAAAGGAAACAAAACCATGGACTAATATTTGTCATAAACATAGATGCAAAAATTCTTACCAACATATTATCAAATCCCAACAAAATTTAAAAAGTATAGTGCATCACAACAAAAGGGATTTATCCCAGAAATGCAAGGTTGGTTTAGCATCTGAAAATCATTTAGTGTAATTCATCATATTAACAAAATGAAGAGAAAACAGACATTCATATCATTTTAATAAATGCTCAAAAAGAATAGGACAAAATTTAGCATCAAAACAGAAGAAAAGAAACCTTCCCACTTTGATATAGGATATTTATGAAAAAGCTACAAGTTATATTGTACTTACTAACAAATAGCTACTTTTTACCAAAGAGAAAAGATAAAAGGCAAATATTTCTGCACTCATCACTTCTAGCACACATTTTACTAGAGGTCTTAGCCAATACATTATGGTAAGAAAAAAAAAACAGGATAAAGATTGGGAAATGAAGAACTAAAAGTTTCTTTATTCATATATGACATAATTGTGTGCATTAAAATGTCAAAAAGAGTCTTTTTAAAAGCCACTAGAACTTATTTAGTAAATTTAAAAATAATGCTAAAATAAGACCAATATACAAAATCAACTGCGTTCTTATATACTAGCATCGAAGAAGTGGAAATTGAAATTTAAAAAGACATTATTTAAAGTTGCATAAACACTAAGCACTACATTTAATAAAAAAACTTGTAAAATGTGTACACTATAAATTCCAAAAATTGCTGAAATTTTAAAAGCTCTAAAGAAGTTGATATATATATATATTCTCTAGGAGAAATATTTTCTCCTAGACTGTGGCTTGTCTTTTTTCATTATAATGCTGTCTTTTGAAAAACAAAAGGTTTTAATTTTTATGAGATTCAATTTATTAATCTTTTTTCTTTTGTGTTCTGTGTTTTTTATGTGCCATATAAGGAATATTTGCCTAGCCCAGAGCCATATATATATATATATGTGTGTGTATATATATATGTGTGTGTATATATATATGTATATATATGTGTGTATATATATGTATATATATGTGTGTATATATATGTATATATATGTGTATATATGTATATATGTGTATATATATACATGTATATAAATTCATCTATGTATATATATGTGTATATATGTATATATATTATACCATGTTCATGAATTAGAAGACTTGATAATTTTAAGATTGTAATTTCCCACAAATTTTTCCAAAGTTTAAAAAAATTTTAAGCACATTCTCAGTTGGGTCTTTTTTTCATTGATAGAAGTTAACAAACTTGGCCAGGTACAGTGGCTCTTGCCTATAATCCCAGCACTTTGGGAGGGTGGGGTGGCAGGATTGCTTAAGTCTAGCAGTTCAAGACCAGCCTGGGCAACATAGGGAGACCCCATCTCTACAAAAGAAAAAAAATTAGCTAAACATAGTGGCTTATGCCTGTAGTCCCAACTACTTGGGAGGCTGGCATGGCAGGACCACTTGAGTCTGGTAATTGGAGGTTGCAGTTAGCCATGATTGTGCCACTGCACTCCAGCCTGAGTGACAGACTGAGATTCCCATGAAAAGCAACACAAAGCAAACAAAAAAGAAATTAACAAATGGGTTGTAACATTTATATGGAAATGTAAAAAATTTAGAACAGCCAAAACAATTTCAAATATATATATATTTGAAGAAATAATAGTTTTTATGAAGTATTGCTGAAGTAATTGGATATCCATATGCAAAAATAAAAGTGAATGTTAACCTTTACCAATCCTCATACAAAAAAATTAATTCAAAGTGCATCATAGGCCTATTCAATAGAGCTAAACCATAACTCTTTGAAATAAATCATAAGCGAAAATCTCTGTGGCTCTGGGTTAGGCAAATATTCCTTATATGGCACATAAAAAACACAGAACACAAAAGAAAAAGATTAATAAATTGAATCTCATAAAAATTAAAACCTTTTGTTTTTCAAAAGACACCATTATAATGAAAAAAGACAAGCCACAGTCTAGGAGAAAATATTTCAAAACATATATATGTGAAAAGGGCTCGTATCCGGAATATATGAAGAACAACTTATAACTCAATAATTAAAAGCAGCCCAATTAAAATAATGGACAGAAGATTTGTAGATCCTTCACATATATACTACATGAATGACCAATACATATAGGAAACAATCTTAGTTCTTAACAACATTAGTTCGGTGAGAAATATTAATTTAACCACACTAAAGTATCACTAAACTAGAATGACAAAAAACAAAGCAAATTAAAAAATAAAACCACAAAAACAAACAAACAAGCAAACAAATAAAGAAACCTAGCAATACTAAGTATTGGCAAGGCTGCATCACAGCTGGAACTTTAATATATTGCTGATGAGAATGTAAATAAATGGTACAGCCCACCTCAGAAAACTGGCAGTTTTTTATAAAATTGAATATAAATATCATATAATTCAGCATGTATACTTCTAGGTACTTATCCAAGATAAAGGAATTTGTGTTCGCACAAAGACCTATATATGAATGCTCATAGCAGCTTTATTTATAATAGCCTGTAGCTGTAATTAATTCAAATGTCCACTAGTGAATGAATAAACACATTGAGTTATATTTGTAGAATGGAACATTATTCACCAATAAACTGAATTACTGACATGTAACAACCTGGGTAGATCTCCAGATCATTAAGTATAAAATTCTAGATATGGAAGACTACATTCTATGTGATTCCATCTTACAAAATTTTAGAAATGATTAATCTGATCTATTGTGACAAATAGCCATTCAGCAGTTGCTTGGGACCAGGATGGGGAAAGTGAGTTGCCTAAAGGGGCATCAGGGAACTTTTGGGGTTGATGGAAATGGTCAGTATTTTGCTAATGATGAAGCAATAAGACTATACATTTCCCAAAGTCATCAAACTCTATGCTTAAAACAGGTAAGCATTAATGTATGTAAATCACACCTCAATAAAGCTGTTTAAAAAATTCATCCTGTCCAAGTAAGAGATAAAATATACAGGTAAAATATTTTCACTTATCATTATTAATATTATGTCCCTTCTCTTTCCCATCGATGTTAGAAATATCCTCAATATGACATATGCTCAGATATTGAGAATTTTAGTTTCAGTTGGGCAAAATGAAAAGGTGATCATCTTCATACATACCAGTCACGTTATGTAGACCTGGAAAGAGAAACAAAACAGTTTTATTTAGCTTCAGAAAGACATTTTAAAATAAACAATATCCAGCCTATCAATTATCTTTTAAATAAATGGAATCATTTTGCCCTCTCTATTTTTTATTTCACACATGGAAGTTCTTAGTCATAGAAACTGTATTTGCTTTCTGCTGGGTGTCAGGCTTGCTCTTGTTTTCTTTGGCAATTTTTTAGAGGCATCATTGTGAAATTTACTCAGAGGATCAAAGTTTAGATATGCTTGAAGAAATTTCTGGTATTCCTGACATCATATGGTTAGAAAAACCTCTTGGGTATTGGGGTAAAGGAAAGGGACGGGCAGGTAGTAACAGCGTTCTAACTCTTTAGCCTGAAGAGTTTGTGTGTGATTGGTGTTGTGAAAACAGAACTCATGTCATTTATGGGGAAATTAACATTAATCACAGAATTAATGCAGATAAAATACGGCTTCTGAACTGCAATTATTTTAAGTGTACAAAGGTAATCACTTTCTTTTTTATCTTTTCTTTTTTATTTATATATATATATTTTTATTATACTTTAAGTTCTAGGGTACATGTGCACAACATGCAGGTTTGTTACATATGTAAACATGTGCCGTGTTGGTGTGCCGCACCCATTAACTCATCCTTTACATTAGGTATATCTCCTAATGCTATCCCTCCCCCTTCTCCCCACCCCACAACAGGCCCCGGTGTGTGATGTTCCGCTTCCTGTGTCCAAGTGTTCTCATTGTTCAATTCCCACCTATGAGTGAGAACATGCAGTGTTTGGTTTTTTGTCCTTGCAATAGTTTGCTGAGGATGATGGTTTCCAGCTTCATCCATGTCCCTATAAAGGACATGAACTCATCTTTTTTATGGCTGTGTAGTATTCCATGGTGTGTATGTGCCACATTTTCTTAATCCAGTCTATCATTGTTGGACATTTGGGTTGGTTCCAGGTCTTTGCTATTGTGAATAGTGCCACAGTAAACATACATGTGCATGTGTCTTTATAGCAGCATGATTTATAGTCCTTTGAGTATATACCCAGTAATGGGATGGCTGGGTCAAATGGTATTTCTAGTTCTAGATCCCTGAGGAATCGCCACATTGACTTCCACAATGGTTGAACTAGTTTACAGTCCCACCAACAGTGCAAAAGTGTTCCTATTTCTCCACATCCTCTCCAGCACCTGCTGTTTCCTGACTTTTTAATGATTGCCATTCTAACTGGTGTGAGATGGTATCTAATTGTGGTTTTGATTTGCATTTCTCTGATGGCCAGTGATGATGAGCATTTTTTCATGTGTTTTTTGGCTGCATAAATGTCTTCTTTTGAGAAGTGTCTGTTCATGTCCTTCACCCACTTTTTGATGGGGTTGTTTGTTTTTTTCTTGTAAATTTGTTTGAGTTCATTGTAGATTCTGGATATTAGCCCTTTGTCAGATGAGTAGGTTGCGAAAATTTTCTCCCATTTTGTAGGTTGCCTGTTCACTCTGATGGTAGTTTCTTTTGCTGTGCAGAGGCTCTTTAGTTTAGTTAGATCCCATTTGTCAATTTTGGCTTTTGTTGCCATTGCTTTTGGTGTTTCGGACATGAAGTCCTTGCCCATGACTATGTCCTGAATGGTAATGCCTAGGTTTTCTTCTAGGGCTTTTATGGTTTTAGGTCTAACATTTAAGTCTTTAATCCATCTTGAATTGATTTTTGTATAAGGTGCAAGGAAGGGACCCAGTTTCAGCTTTCTACATATGGCTAGCCAGTTTTCCCAGCATCATTTATTAAATAGGGAATCCTTTCCCCATTGTTTGTTTTTCTCAAGTTTGTCAAAGATCAGATAGTTGTAGATATGCGGCGTTATTTCTGAGGGCTCTGTTATGTTCCATTGATCTATATCTCTGTTTTGGTACCAGTACCATGCTGTTTTGGTTACTGTAGCCTTGTAGTATAGTTTGAAGTCAGGTAGTATGATGCCTCCAGCTTTGTTCTTTTGGCTTAGGATTGCCTTGGTGATGCGGGCTCTTTTTTGGTTCCATATGAACTTTAAAGTAGTTTTTTCCAGTTCTGTGAAGAAAGTCATTGGTAGCTTGATGGGGATGGCATTGAATCTGTAAATTACCTTGGGCAGTATGGCCATTTTCACGATATTGATTCTTCCTACCCATGAGCATGGAATGTTCTTCCATTTGTTTGTATCCTCTTTTATTTCATTGAGCAGTGGTTTGTAGTTCTCCTTGAAGAGGTCCTTCACATCCCTTGTAAGTTGGATTCCTAGGTATTTTATTCTCTTTGAAGCAATTGTGAATGGGAGTTCACTCATGATTTGGCTCTCTGTTTGTTGTTGGTGTATAAGAATGCTTGTGATTTTTGTACATTGATTTTGTATCCTGAGACTTTGCTGAAGTTGCTTATCAGCTTAAGGAGATTTTGGGCTGAGACAATGGGGTTTTCTAGATATACAATCATGTCGTCTGCAAACAGGGACAATTTGACTTCCTCTTTTCCTAATTGAATACCCTTTATTTCCTTCTCCTGCCTAATTGCCCTGGCCAGAACTTCCAACACTATGTTGAATAGGAGTGGTGAGAGAGGGCATCCCTGTCTTGTGCCAGTTTTCAAAGGGAATGCTTCCAGTTTTTGCCCATTCAGTGAGATATTGGCTGTGGGTTTGTCATAGATAGCTCTTATTATTTTGAATTACATCCCATCAATACCTAATTTATTGAGAGTTTTTAGCATGAAGGGTTGTTGAATTTTGTCAAAGGCTTTTTCTTCATCTATTGAGATAATCATGTGGTTTTTGTCTTTGGCTCTGTTTATATGCTGGATTACATTTATTGATTTGCGTATATTGAACCAGCCTTGCATCCCAGGGATGAAGCCCACTTGATCATGGTGGATAAGCTTTTTGATGTGCTGCTGGATTCGTTTTGCCAGAATTTTATTGAGGATTTTTGCATCAGTGTTCATCAAGGATATTGGTCTAAAATTCTCTTTTTTGGTTGTGTCTCTGCCAGGCTTTGGTATCAGAATGATGCTGGCCTCATAAAATGAGTTAGGGAGGATTCCCTCTTTTTCTATTGATTGGAATAGTTTCAGAAGGAATGGTACCAGTTCCTCCTTGTACCTCTGGTAGAATTCGGCTGTGAATCCATCTGGTCCTGGACTCTTTTTGGTTGGTAAGCTATTGATTATTGCCACAATTTCAGATCCTGTTATTGATCTATTCAGAGATTCAACTTCTTCCTGGTTTAGTCTTGGGAGAGTGTATGTGTCGAGGAATTTATCCATTTCTTCTAGATTTTCTAGTTTATTTGCATAGAGGTGTTTGTAGTATTCTCTGATGGTAGTTTGTATTTCTGTGGGATCGTTGGTGGTATCCCCTTTATCATTTTTTATTGCGTCTATTTGATTCTTCTCTCTTTTTTTCTTTATTAGTCTTGCTAGCGGTCTATCAATTTTGTTGATCCTTTCAAAAAACCAGCTCCTGGATTCATTAATTTTTTGCAGGGTTTTTTGTGTCTCTATTTCCTTCAGTTCTGCTCTGATTTTAGTTATTTCTTGCCTTCTGCTAGCTTTTGAATGTGTTTGCTCTTGCTTTTCTAGTTCTTTTAATTGTGACGTTAGGGTGTCAATTTTGGATCTTTCCTACTTTCTCTTGTGGGCATTTAGTGCTATAAATTTCCCTCTACACACTGCTTTGAATGCGTCCCAGAGATTCTGGTATGTGTGTCTTTGTTCTCATTGGTTTCAAAGAACATCTTCATTTCGTTATGTATCCAGTTAGTCATTCAGGAGCAGGTTGTTCAGTTTCCATGTGGTTGAGTGGTTTTGAGTGAGATTCTTAATCCTGAGTTCTAGTTTGATTGCACTGTGGTCTGAGAGATAGTTTGTTATAATTTCTGTTCTTTTACATTTGCTGAGGAGAGCTTTACTTCCAAGTATGTGGTCAATTTTGGAATAGGTGTGGTGTGGTGCTGAAAAAAATGTATATTCTGTTGATTTGGGGTGGAGAGTTCTGTAGATGTCTATTAGGTCCGCTTGGTGCAGAGCTGAGTTCAATTCCTGGGTTTCCTTGTTGACTTTGTGTCTCGTTGATCTGTCTAATGTTGACAGTGGGGTGTTAAAGTCTCCCATTATTAATGTGTGGGAGTCTAAGTCTCTTTGTAGGTCACCCAGGACTTGCTTTATGAATCTGGGTGCTCCTGTATTGGGTGCATATATATTTAGGATAGTTAGCTCTTCTTGTTGAATTGATCCCTTTACCATTATGTAATGGCCTTCTTTGTCTCTTTTGATCTTTGTTGGTTTAAAGTCTGTTTTATCAGAGACTAGGATTGCAACCCCTGCCTTTTTTTGTTTTCCATTTGCTTGGTAGATCTTCCTCCATCCCTTTATTTTGAGCCTATGTGTGTCTCTGCACGTGAGATGGGTTTCCTGAATACAGCACACTGATGGGTCTTGACTCTTTATCCAATTTGCCAGTCTGTGTCTTTTAATTGGAGCATTTAGACCATTTACATTTAAAGTTAATATTGTTATGTGTGAATTTGATCCTGTCATTATGATGTCAGCTCGTGATTTTGCTCATTAGTTGATGCAGTTTCTTCCTAGTCTCTATGGTCTTTACATTTTGGCATGATTTTGCAGCGGCTGGTACCGGTTGTTCCTTTCCATGTTTAGCGCTTCCTTCAGGAGCTCTTTTAGGGCAGGCCTGGTGGTGACAAAATCTCTCAGCATTTGCTTGTCTGTAAAGGATTTTATTTCTCCTTCATTTATGAAGCTTAGTTTGGCTGGATATGAAATTCTGGGTTGAAAATTCTTTTCTTTAAGAATGTTGAATATTGGCCCCCACTCTCTTCTGGCTTGTAGGGTTTCTGCCGAGAGATCCGCTGTTAGTCTGATGGGCTTCCCTTTGTGGGTAACCCGACCTTTCTCTCTGGCTGCCCTTAACATTTTTTCCTTCATTTCAACTTTGGTGAATCTGACAATTACGTGTCTTGGAGTTGCTCTTCTCGAGGAGTATCTCTGTGGCGTTCTCTGTATTTCCTGAATCTGAACGTTGGCCTGCCTTGCTAGATTGGGGAAGTTCTCCTGGATAATATCCTGCAGAGTGTTTTCCAACTTGGTTCCATTCTCCCCATCACTTTCAGGTACACCAATCAGATGTAGATTTGGTCTTTTCACATAGTCCCATATTTCTTGGAGGCTTTGCTCATTTCTTTTTATTCTTTTTTCTCTAAACTTCCCTTCTCACTTCATTTCATTCATTTCATCTTCCATTGCTGATACCCTTTCTTCCAGTTGATCGCATCAGCTCCTGAGGCTTCTGCATTCTTCATGTAGTTCTCGAGTCTTGGTTTTCAGCTCCATCAGCTCCTTTAAGCACTTCTCTGTATTGGTTATTCTAGTTATACATTCTTCTAAATTTTTTTCAAAGTTTTCAACTTCTTTGCCTTTGGTTTGAATGTCCTCCCATAGCTCAGAGTAATTTGATCGTCTGAAGCCTTCTTCTCTCAGCTCATCAAAGTCATTCTCCATCCAGCTTTGTTCCGTTGCTGGTGAGGAACTGCGTTCCTTTGGAGGAGGAGAGGCGCTCTGCTTTTTAGAGTTTCCAGTTTTTCTGTTCTGTTTTTTCCCCATCTTTGTGGTTTTATCTACTTTTGGTCTTTGATGATGGTGATGTACAGATGGGTTTTTGGTGTGGATGTCCTTTCTGTTTGTTAGTTTTCCTTCTAACAGACAGGACCCTCAGCTGCAGGTCTGTTGGAATACCCTGCCGTGTGAGGTGTCAGTGTGCCCCTGCTGGGGGGTGCCTCCCAGTTAGGCTGCTCGCGGGTCAGGGGTCAGGGACCCACTTGAGGAGGCAGTCTGCTCATTCTCAGATCTCCAGCTGTGGGCTGGGAGAACCACTGCTCTCTTCAAAGCTGTCAGACAGGGACATTTAAGTCTGCAAAGGTTACTGCTGTCTTTTTGTTTGTCTGTGCCCTGCCCCCAGAGGTGGAGCCTACAGAGGCAGGCAGGCCTCCTTGAGCTGTGGTGGGCTCCACCCAGTTCGAGCTTCCCTGCTGCTTTGTTTACCTAAGCAAGCCTGGGCAATGGCGGGCGCCCCTCCCCCAGCCTCGCTGCCGCCTTGCAGTTTGATCTCAGACTGCTGTGCTAGCAATCAGCGAGACTCCGTGGGCGTAGGACCCTCTGAACCAGGTGCAGGATATAATCTCGTGGTGGGTGGTTTTTTAAGCCAGTCCGAAAAGCGCAATATTCGGGTGGGAGTGACCCGATTTTCCAGGTGCCGTCTGTCACCCCTTTCTTTGACTGGGAAAGGGAACTCCCTGACCCTTTGCGCTTCCCAAGTGAGGCAATGCCTCGCCCTGCTTCGGCTGGCGCACAGTGCACGCACCCACTGACCCGCGCCCACTGTCTGGCACTCCCTAGTGAGATGAACCCGGTACCTCAGATGGAAATGCAGAAATCACCCGTCTTCTGCGTCGCTCACGCTGGGAGCTGTAGACCGGAGCTGTTCCTATTCGGCCATCTTGGCTCCTCCGGTAAAGTTTTATACTTTAAAAATATAATATTAAAAAGAATTAAAGTAAATTGATTTAGAACAAGTGAATAGATTATTCACAAAGATAAGTAGCAAAAGTAAAAATTATCTGATTGGTGGAATATGAGGTTCGAATTTGAATAAGTTAGGTGGAGCACATAATATTTTAAAATTTACCTTAATTCTATAAACCACTGGGGATCAGGTGAAGATTTTTTTCTCTCTTCATTGTTTTCTGTTTTTTTAAAGAAATTTATTCTTGTTATGAAATTAAACGAATATACAAGTATAGGTAATAAAAAACAAGTGTTCCTTAAACCTTCATTTTTCTCACATCTTCCTCTAATCAAGACAAAGTAGTGAATAGTTTGGTTAGAATTATTCCAGAATTTTTTCCTATGAACTCGTATATAGTTTGCCTGAAAAAAAGTGGGATGATAGACATTACATTGCAACTGTATTTTTTAATTAATTGGCATTTCAACAACACGTTTTCATGTCTGTACATATGGATCTTTTGTTTTCTTTTTAAATGCAGTGAAATATCCACAGGATATATGCGCCATAATTTTTTGATGCACATTTAATCTGATTTCACTATTTTATATGGTTTTTAATTTTTCATTTTGACATCATTTCAGACCTAACTATATTCGTAAAGCTTCCTTAAATTTTTACACCTTACTTAACCATAGTACAATAATCATAACTAGGAAATTAACATCAATGTAACACTGTCAACCAATCAAGGAACTTTATACGCATGTTCCCAAGTGTCCCACTAATGCCCTTTGTACTGATTCATATCTAATCCAGAATCACACATTGTATTTAGTTGGCATGTCTCTTTGGTCTCCTTCATTCTGGGACAGTTCTGAAATTTACTTTGTCTTTCATGTCTTTAACACTTTTGAAGATTATTGGCTACTTATTTTGTAGAATTTTCCTCAGTGTGTGTTTATGTATTTCTTCTTAACATAATTTACCTTATGCATTTGGGCAAGAATCTTACAGAAGTGATGTGAGCTCCTCAGTATGTCATATTCGAAGACATGATAACAATATATCACATTGCTGGTAATTTTAAATTGATTGCTTGCATAAATTGGAGGATTCTAGGTTTTACCACTTTAACATTGCTATATTCCCTTTGTAATTATTAAGTATCAGTTGAAGATGACCTTGAAAATATGAAAAATCCTATTTCTTATTCAACTTTGCCCACTAATTTTAGCATCCATTGATGATTCTGGTCTGCAACAATTATTATTTTTTTTTCTGAGCAATTTCTTACTTTCTGAAACTTTCCGTGACCCAGACCTAGAATCAGCCATTTTACCAAGGAACCCCAGTTCCTTATATTGGAGAGTAAAATTTAAAAGTCAAGATCTGAAGGCTGGATGTACTTATTACTACTGGGAAATCATTGCTTATAGGCACTCAGTGGACAGAGCTGATTATACATATATATATGCATATTTAACCATATATCTACACATATGTATATTAATTTCTATATTATCCATGTATGTATGTATATGGGTCACACACAGACGTCCATGTATATAAAAAACCATGAGTTTCTACTAATATTTTCAATTCCATCTGGCATTATAGTGTTCCTTCTCGCCTTCTCTCCTACCTTATTTGAAACTTCTTTCTTCAACAGTGAGAAGCCTGGCTGTTGTTATCTACAATATACTTATGTAATTGTTTAATCCTAGAGTATACATGAAGTATTTTTAGAATTGCTAAGATGTATTCCATGAAAACAAATTTACAAACTATAAAACAATATTTGTGTATAGTTTTTGTTTATTTGTTTGTAGTCTTGCCATATGTAATCAAAACACCGTTTTCCAAGTTTACTTAGATTAGCTCTTTTCTTCCTCACTCGCTTCAGTGTGGTTATGTTACTCATCTGTAATTCACTTAGGTTCTTTTTTTATTGCTCATATCCCATTTGGGTTTTCCCTACATGCTAGTTGATTTTATGATTCTACTATTTTTGACTCCACAAATAATCTTGCCAAAATCATCTTTGTTCTAATGACTATGTGTGAATTTATAAGTATTTCTATAGGTAGATTCCTAGAAATGGAAATTCTAGGTCAAATGCATGTACATTGTACGTTTTGATATACATCACCAATTTATTACAAATACCAACACTAACATACAACCCAACCAAAAGCTTCTGAGACTTTGTTGCTTATACACGTCAACACTGAATACTGTAATTTTTTAAAATTTTTGCTAATCTTATTACTGAAAAAATTTGTCACCTGTTATTTTAATTTTTTTTTATTTGACTAATGTTGGAGTGGATATTATTGGCCATTTCTGCTTGTTAGTGTGAATTGCTTGTTCATTTTTTTTGCCTCCAATCCCAGGCACATTTTATACTTTTCTTGTTGATGTTTTTTAGAGTTTTAAAAAATATAATAGATATTGACCCTGCTGTTTCCTATACATGTTGCAAATATTTTCTCTCATATTGTCAATTGACTTCCTTTTCTTTTTTGGTAGTTTGTGCCATACCAATGTTTTCATTTCTTATGGAGTAAAGTCTATCAATATATTCCTTTATGAATATAGGAATAATAAAGTCTATCAATATATTCCTTTATGAAGCCTTCGTGTGTGTTTTAGGAAGGCTTTCTCTACAGTAAGATAATAAAAATATCAACAAAATATGTAAAACAATTTTTCTTACTGATTTGAAATACCACTTGTACAATACTCTAAACTGTCACTTAAACATGTGTCTGGAATGCACCATTCTGGCAGTCCTTGAGTATGATCTGAGGGCCTCTGGAAGTCCATGTGATCTTTTCATAGACCCACAAGATAAAAACTATTTTCATAATAATACTACAATGCTATTTATCTCTCACTTTCATTCTTTTATGCATGGTTAGTGAATTTTTCCAGAAACTACAAGCATGACATGTGATGTCTTAACAGGTTGAATGCAGAGGCAGCTGTGAGAAACCAGTTGCCTTCTACTAAGTCAGTAGTATATATGTGTGTGTGTGTGTGTGTGTGTGTGTGTGTACACATACATATTAGCTTCCTGTGACACACACACAAAGCTAGTATTTAAGCTGTAAGAGATTTTACATTAGTGAATATAATTTCTGTGAGATAAATATTTTAATATTAACATGTCAGATTTAATGACAATACATTTATTGGGTAAACATTTAGTGGATTGGGGTGTAACTCCATCTTTGGTTTTTTTTTAATATTTTTTATTTTTTTGAGACACGTTCTCACTCTGTTGCCCAGGCTCACCTGCAGTGGGCCAAACATGGCTCACTGAAGCATTGAACTCCCCAGGCTCAATCTGTCTTCCAACCTCAGCCTCCCGAGTAGCTGGGACACAGGCATGCACAACCATGCCTGGCTAATTTTTGTATTTTATGTAGAAATGAAATCTCACTATGTTACCCTGGCTGATCTCAAGCTCCCAGGCTCAAGCAATCTTCGCGCCTCAGCATCCCAAATTGCTGGGATTACAGCCATGAGCCACCACAACCAGGCTGTAACTCCATCTTTGAAACCATGATTGAAATGTGACAGTAGATTGGTTACAGAAACCAGAGATCCATAGAAATCATGAACAACATTCTGTGAGAATTAATTGGCTATAGAGGATTCAAAATAATAAATGTTAAATTTTAAAATTTTTGTTTGTAAATTATGTGCAACACATCCTTTAGACAAATACAATTTATAATTAGTATGTGCATATATATGTATGTATTATGCACATAAAGTTTTGGGGGAGCAGGTTATTAAACATTTACCAGCATACTACTGATGAAATATCAGGGGGATAAATATTAACACTATAACACATTCTACTCTGCATACAACAGAAAGGGTAACATTTAAAAATCTACTAAACTTTATACCAAGTGTTGATGAGGATGTGGAGCAACGAGAACTCTCATATGCTTCTGGAAGAAATCTAACTTCATGAAACCACTTGAGAAAACTATTTGGAGGTACCTTTCAAATTAAACATACTCATGATCTGATGCAACCATTTGATCCTAGTTATCTATGTTTGTAGAACTGTATCTGTACACAAAATATATGTATAAAAATATTTATAGCTGCAAACTGTAAATAAGCCAAATAGACATTAACAGCTAAAAAGTAAATAAGCTATTAAGCAATCATACAGTCAAATTTTATATAGCAACCAAAGAGAATAAACCACTGTCACGTGTAACAACATGGTTGATACTAAAACCAAGAATCCTGTGTTGCTCAATGACTGCAGGATGATATTGTAAGAACATATGGCTAATGAATGAGGTGGGTAATAGAGAAGCTGAGATACTGATGGCAAGAAGAAAAAACAGGAGAATGGTAACAGACCAACGGGAGAGTAAAATAAAAAATTTTCAGCAGTCTATGTTATGGGATAACAACTTAGGAATCTTCATGTTGCATAATAGAGAGTCCTCGAGGCAGTTATGGTGTGAGAAACTAAGGAAAAGAGAAATGAAAAATGCTGAATTTCAATCATTTTGGCATGGCAAATAAATAGAATCTTTGGTGTACTTGAGAGTAATTCTAATGCAGACAATTTGCTTTTAAAAATAAAATTTTATTTTAGATAATTTTTGGGTTTACAAATTAGTTACAAAGATAGTACAGTGTACCCAAATATCCCACATCCAGTTTACATCTTACATTGCTATGGTACGTTTGTTATACCTAATTAATCAATATTGATACATTATTATTAACTAAACTCCAAACTTTATTTAGATTTTATTAGTTTCTTCCTAATGTCCTTTTTCTGCTCTAAGATTTTATCTGGGACTACTAGACAGTTTGTTTTAAATTAACCTTTTGCTATTGCTGGGCTTAGTTCTTTTAATAAAACACTTTCCTGAGGCTGACTTCCTGGCATGAGCCAATTAGTCTGGTTTTATGTAGATTATACTAGGATATGATGATTGAATCCTCTTTGTGGTTCTCATGTTTTATTGCCAGGTGTTATATTTTTTTTCCTAGAAGAAAATAAATTTGTTTCAAGATGTTAGGATGATCATCTAAAATGATTGAACATAAACAATCTAAAGTCAGAAAATATGCCAGGACAACCAATTTCATCTACTTCTGAAGCCATTGGGCTTTCTTTTAACCTCTAGTTGAAGGGTCTTGAATCTATTTCTAAGTACCAGCATAACTTCTGTTACTCTCAGATTTTTGGCAAATCATGTAAAATTCATAAGTATCAAACATCATGGTGTGAATACTAAAACTAGAAATCAGAAAAGTCTGAAATCTGCCTTACCAAAGTTAATCATGACTCATCTGTATGCCTGAATTAAGCTGTGAGGAACTAGAAGTACCAGTCTTGACACTTGTGATGTATTAAACAGCCCTTAGCAAAACAGATTGCCCAAATTGTTCAATTAGTTTTTTAACACTGATCCAATTCACCTGTGGTCATGTAGCCAGAGCCTAGGAAAATATTTCCCTGGGGATGGATGTCTAGTGAAATAGAACATTTAAAAATAAAAAAATAAGTAAATCTTCCACAGACTTTTTTTTTTCAAACTTCTTCTGATATTCAACCAATTTTGATTCCAAAAGAATCTTTTGGAATATAACAGAAAATATGCTATCTGGGTATTAAAATGTTTGGTGAGATCTAAGATTTATTGTATTCATTCATTTAAATATATACTGAGCTGCTATTAATAATAAGTGCCAGCCACTGTACTAAGCCTTGGAAATACAATGATAAATCGCTACAAGGAAAGAAAAAGACAGGGTATCTGCCCTCATGGAGAACATTTTCTGATAGGAGAGAGTTTTTGCTTAAACAGAGAGACACATACAGCACCCATGTGCTCCAGAGGTGCCTCAAATAACTTTAATAGGGTACAGTTGTCCTTCTTGATTTAAACACAAGAAATTATGGTCATTTCCAGTACAATACAGGTTTCACTAAAAAAGCATTATGAATTCAGTATTCTTATATATATTTTAATCTTTTATTGGTAGCCATCAATGCTTTCAATATTTGCAAAAACTTCTCTTGTGACAATGACCTCCAAAAACTGTCTTCTTTATAGTCTTACTTCATTAACTACTATACAAATCAGTCAATATTTACTGAATACCCAAGTATTATATCCTGGCAGCTTGTCTTTTCAAACTTCAAAACACGGAAGAGGAAATATTAGGTGACTTGTTATAAGTCATACAGCAGATAAGTAGATAATTAGACTGGGTCAACAGTCATAACCAAATGAAGCCAAATCTCACATATCAATGCTGACTGTGTACATGTTGGCAATGCTATTTAAATTTCTTCATTGATAAAGAGAGTAGTTCTAATAGCCTTGTGGGGCTGGATTACAAGTTGAGTACATTTTTGAAGAGCACGTTTTTTAGTGTGTAAAATTATGTTAATGGAAAAATATGGCTGATGAATTAATAGTATAAATATATTATTTTGCAGACGGATGAACCCAGAATAGTGTGTAGGAGGGAATTACTGAGCTAAAAGATGGTTCATATATATATTTTTCCTTATGTCCAATAGGTTTAGCCAATACAAATGTTTCCGATGTGAAATAGAGAATATGGACTCCATTTTATATGCTAGTAATGTTCACAAAGTTTTTAAAGATCTTTTTGACATTTTTCATTGAATTTCAAAATGATTTATAGTAAAAGTTTGCAAAACTGAAAATTTAAAAAAAAGTAGATTCTCTTTTTTACACATTATTAAATTTTGAACTACCATAATAAGGAAGTATGGCTTACATTATTAACTGTTCATAAACACATCTTAAAGACTATGAGCCTTTCTGAATTTTAGGATCATTTATGAGTTGTTCATAGATGAGTTACCATCCCAAATACATGTTGGTTAAAAGGTTTTGTGTATGAGTTTTGGGATCATTTATGAGTTGTTCGTAGATGACTTACCATCCTGAATATAGGTTGGTTAAAAGGTTTTGGGTATGATGCCCTGAAGGTTGTATTTGTCAAACTTTCCTAGGTGAATTTAAATAGATCAAGAGAAACAGAAAAATAGAAATAGAGAAAATAAAGAGGAATAGCTAGGCATGGCATAACGTTATTAGCCACAATAAATATCATAATCACAATATTAACAATGTGAGCATTGACCACATTATGGCTGTGCAGAACTGCAGAAAATAAATAATTACTCTATAGAAGTATAGTGATTTCAAATATTTAGAGTTTTTATAATGATTATTTAAATTTCTAGATTTATTTAATCCTTCATATTATAAATAGTTCTTAATTGTATCCATTTTAAACACTATATACAAGATAAGAAATTAGATTTTATTTCTTAAACTTCATTGTGATGAAGATAAAATGATATAAGAAAATTAAATATATTAGTAGTACATTTAAAAAATCTCAGAATTAAGTGAGCCTCAATACTCAAAATTTAGTATAAAAAGAAAAAGTG
The DNA here is from genome assembly GCF_000001405.40 of Homo sapiens. Taxonomy (NCBI): domain Eukaryota; kingdom Metazoa; phylum Chordata; class Mammalia; order Primates; family Hominidae; genus Homo; species Homo sapiens. Next base: position 75,316,735 of record NC_000008.11, on the reverse strand, counting down.
AAAGGACTGCTAGTAAAGAACCTGGGGCTTTATACAGATGCAAACTGATCTAATTCTTTTTCAGCATGAAATATTGTATTAGTCTACTTACATATTATGCACCTACCACAGATCTCAGGAGTTCTAATATTTCAATATGTTGTTAAATAACAACCGGGTGTGGTGGCTCACACCTATAATCCCAGCACTTTGGGAGGCCAAGGAGGGCAGATCACTTGAGACCAGGAATTCGAGACCAGCCTGGCCAACATAGTGAAACCCCAGCTCTACTAAAAATGCAAAGAAATTAGCCTGGCGTGGTGGCAGGCACCTGTAATCCCAGCTACTCAGGAGGCTGAGGCATGAGAATGGCTTTAACCTGGGAGATGGAGGTTGCGGTGAGCCAAGATGGTGCTACCTCACTCCAGCCTGGGTGACAGAGCAAGACTCTGTACCCCCCCCCCACCAAAAAAAGAAAGAAAAAGTAAATAATTTAAAATATTTGTTTGAATGCAACCAGTCAGCATATGATTGATTTATAAGCTTTAATTAATGAATTGATTAATCTCAAAAATGTGATTTTAACAGATTGATAGTTGGTGTTTTCACATTGTTCCTTGAGTTTTACAGAATCACTTGTTTGCCTCAAAAGGTGAATTGAGGAATGAGTGTAAGGAATACTAAAGTCAAACATGAGAATCACTACATTAAGCAAATCCATTCTTTGCATGTGTTACTCTGAGGTCGACATTATTTTTAAATTCCTTTCAAGACTATTCACAATAGACTTGCTTTCTTCATTATTGTGACCTTATTAAGTGCGACTTCACTTCCCCTTTGTTCAGCTTTTATGCCCTTTTCCCATTCTTGTGTCCAATTCTCTTTGCTGGCCTATTTTCCTCTTCCAGTGACTGTGGACTTTGGTGCCATGAATTGGCTTAAGTTGAAGTGCAATCTCTGACATTAACTTTGCTGCAACTGTTCTTTCTACCAATTATGTTAAATGAAAGCTGGATTTCCCCCACCACACAGCTCATCTTTCTCAGAAATCCTAAGCAAATGACACCTATTCTCTTTCCTTCCTCTCCACTTGCAACTTGCCAAGATCTAGAGAAAAGCTCAAATCAATGCTGGCCTTGTTTCTATCAGTTGCTCTCACATCCTTGCCATTTCTTCAATTCAGAAGCAGCCCTGACAAATGCAAATCTTGCTTTTCTAATGGTGCACTTGTCCTGTGAAATGCTGCTGCAGAAAGTTGAGGAAGCTTCTGGGTGTTCTGCACCTGGGCCTTGCAGAGCACACAGGTACTCCCTGCACCTCTGTTCCCTCTCCCCAGGGTCCCCACACAGCTGCTGCAGAATACTTGTCCCTTCTCATTCTGACAAGGTGCTGTAACTAGACAGCATAACTTTCTACTTTATTCAAGGCATTCCATAACTCTCCTCTTTCCCCTGGAACACAATTCTTTACTTTCACTTCTCTGCTTTTCCTCCAATCTCAGAGGACAGTGATAAATTCTTTTTTTAGGCTTTATCATTTTACCTATGCTCATAATCAATGGCCCCCCTCTTCCTTTAAGAATGTATTCTAAAAACTATCCAATTCTTATTATTTATTACTCCTTAACCTAAAAATATTCCCAAATCCTTTTTTTCTTCAAAAATACATTACTTTTCCCCCCATATCTTTCTATCCATTCAAGGAATCATATCTTTTAAAAGAGAATTTGAATCCACCATCCTCTTTTTGCTTTCACTCTTGGCTACCTTTCTCTAGCAGCTAACATTTCTCAGCACCTCAGTGGCTGAGAAATGTGGCTAACCCTATTTCCCGGTGCACTGCACACACAGTACACAGAACAGGTAAAAACCTGCCTTCATGGAGCAGATGTTACAGGTCAGCTATATAATACATTAGAACATGATAAGGACAATGTAAAACAATACAGCAGGGATAGGGATAGAGAGGAGGAAGTAAATGGGTTTGTGGTTTACAACATTCTTGCCAATGATTAAGAAAAGCCTCTCTGAGAAGATGCCATTTGAGCAAAAATTTAATGAAAATGAGGAGTGAGTCATAGAGAATTTGGGGGAAGAGCCTTTCAAGGAGAGGTCAAGCCAGTGCCAAATATTGAGACAAGAAAATAGAGGCAACTGTGGCTGATGCAGAGAGAGGCATGACATGAGGTCAGAAAAGGGAAAAGAGGAATGCTGATCATTTACCAGACATGAAAGCCAAGTGCTGGACCACACAGATAGGGCTCATCTCAAGTGGGTAGTTCGATTCTCTTCTGAATGGTACTTGAAGTGTACTGGAAAGAGAGAATAGCGTGTGCAAGTGTGTCCACATGCACATGTCATGTTCAGTTTTAGGCAGATGGACCTTCCTTGTAAGGAAGAGAAGCTAAGATGGGAAAGGAAGGCAGGAGCCAGACCATGAAGGGATATGAACATCAGGGTAAGAGAGTGGAATTTCAGTCTATAGCCAACAAAGAGCCATCTATACCTTATCAAAGGGATTAGGTAAGGAGAGTGACTTCAAATATATGGAAGAAGAAGTCTGAACCAGATGGCAAGGTTCTACTAAGGGCAAAGAACCTTCTGACCTCTCGGACTTCCTAAGGAACTTTCTCCAGCCTCCCTCCCACATTCCCAGGTCACCACACATACCCAGACAGTCTGTTTGCATCAGATTGCACGCTTTGCTTGTTCTGTCGGTTGCCTCTGCTCTCTCGTGTTGGTTATTAAGCTCTTGTCTTTCACAGCCTTCTATATTCTGTTTTGTGATTCTGCAGTTTGGACTCTGCAAACTACACTTCTACTCTGTCAGCTGTCTCCTGTTAGTTTCTACCACTGCATAGAGATTGGAAGTTTGGAGGAGAAAGAAGGGAAATGCTCATTTCTTTTCATTTGCTGTTCTTTCAGCAACAATTCTTCATCCCCCTCAGGCAGCAGCAGCTGCTTCCAGTGGTCATTGGTTATGATTTTCACTTTTTTTTTTATTTCTTCATTTCACTTACAGGCCCTAAACAGCCATGTCTGAGATATTAGTACCAGCCACCTGATGTCCAGCTCCTCTGAGATGTAGGTTCTGCTTCAAGGGGCCCCTCCCCAGAGTTTCAGAGGTACCAGCACCCGCTGGACAGCATCTCTCCTTAGAGACTGTGGGTCCCAGCACATGGAGACCTGCCTCCAAGCTTCTACAGCCTCATGAGCAATCTTTTCCCTTTGTTCCATTAGTCCTACAGGTGAAGGCTGCCTGTTGAAATCACTGCTCTGTGTTATCTCAGTGTATTTTTTTTTTGTTTGCCTTTGTACTCCTCCAGTACTTGTTTAACCAATTTTCTATGTTAAATTTTCTCTATTAAAATATCTGGTGTAATTACGCTTTTCCTGACTGGACCCTGACTGACACATCTCTTTTTTTTTCTTCTTTCTCCAAACATTCTGCTGAAAACACTACATAGACCTTTGTTACTACTGAATCTTCAAGGATATCTTCTGTCTTATTTTTTTTTTTGTCAAATAAAATTGCACTTCAAAAAAATTAAACAAGTATCTAGGAGACTGCAATGTTCAAGACATTGCACTAGATACCATAGAGGGCATGTAGTACTAGAGAAGTCTCTCTCTCTCTCCTGGCAGAGCAATAACCAGAGACTTCTCATATAGTGTAAGCTTTTGTATTCTACGCTGTCAACTAAAACAATCACTTATATAATTTCAACAATAGGTAAATTTTATTAAACAACATTCTTCTTAGTATGTTTGTCTTCATCATAAGCTAAAATAATATAATCTTTTAACCTATTTTATATTAGTATTATTTATTTTTACAGGGATAGGCCAATCACCTCATTTATACACTAACATAGTAAAACCTCAATATTAAATTGGCTCAAATAGAACCATTCTCTTTATGCAAATGTGCTTTAGAATTCACAGCATTCTCTACCTCCTTCCTTCCATTCCTTCTCTTTCTGGCTAGGCTATTGAGGGAAAGAGCATAGGAGGAAAGGAGAATTGGTAGGAGATTGTTAACTTGTGTAAACAAAGTAATAGCTGTTTAAAAATTGGAAGGCAGAATTTTGCAGGCCCAGAAGGCAAAAGAGAGGAAGCTAAAACTGAGGAGTCAGCACCATTGTAAAGAAAGAACATTGGCACTAATGAGAAGCCTGGAAAATCAAATACCAGTTTAAAGGTTGGTACATTGGACCTCTTAGGAAGTGAAAAAGGCATATTTCACATCCTTTGTTTGAGATGAATGAATTCTCAAACTGCTAGATTTCAATGAACTGGAAGATACATTATTTGTGGGATATGTTCAAGAATTCCTAAGGGTGATAGATCAACAGGAACTGGCATAATTTATTATATTCTAGCTGACAGAGTGAAGAATAAAGACAATTCTGTGTAAGGCTCACATGAAAAAGGAAGTCAAGTGTAAAAGAAATCAGATCTTATTTTTTCCTGATCTGTAGCCAAACATTCAGTTAAAAGGTGAACTTTTCTTCCAGCAAAGAAATGTTTCTTGCCAGGAATGTGGAGGTAAGCTATCTTATTCCACGCCAAACTGGGAATGAATTATGAAAGCAAGACTTATATCTTTTGGGAAACCGGATCAACTAAAGATCTGATGCAAATGTTAAAAGGAATTGAATTCAGGAAGATCTGGATTCTAACTTAGTCTCAAAGGGAATTTAAAGACTTTGTGGTTTCCTCCCTGCCCCCCCTTTTTTTCCTGGAATCAAATTTTATAGCTATTATATTTGTAGTAAAAAATATGTTTTCTGAAGTTTGTATATGTTATGTGAAGCTTTTAAACCACTATTTCATTTAAACAGCAGCAGATGGTGCATTTCGTTTATGACTGTTCCGTGGATCCTGTGGGACAGTGTTGTTCTTCGAATGTTTCTATAGCATCACCAGCAATTCCGTGGGCCTGCCAATTAACAATGCTGTTGCAAAAAATCATTAATGATTCAAATCAAGCACAATGGTACTATTCTTTGATGCTAATAGTAAAGATTATAGAAATAATATGATATATTTATAATTTGCAAAGTCAGTTATTTTTATCATTTTAAAGGGATGAATAAAGAAAAAAAGTCCTGCTTTGTTCAAAGAAGAAAATAATCACACTGTCATTTGAAATTTGTTTATCATAGACATTCATTTGTGATTGGCTGGCATTAGATTCTCTTAAACCAAGTAAAGTATATCTGCCAAGAGTATATACTCTACTATAGACAATGTATTTGTAAACTATTTTAAAAGACAAAGGGAATTTTACTGCAGAGTTTATAAAAATAAATAATATAGAATGTTGTTTGACTAATGAAATGTGTGAGAAGCAATTATTACTCCTCTTCCCCACATTTTACGAGGTGGGGGGTAGTAATATCAGTCCATTGTTATAGTACATTTTATGAAATTGCTTCACTATTTTTTATGAAATTATTGCATGGGCCTAGGTTTTATTATGAAGAAATAGGTGTCAGCTTGTATACCAATTTCTTTAGTATACATTTTAGATTTTTTTAAGAAAAATTTGCATCTGAATGGCAGAAGACATAAACCCTGTAGTGTACTTGCTTCAAGATGTCATGTGTCAATTTTCAATTTCAAAGTGCTTTTTGTAGAGAGTAATGTAAACACAGAGCTAACCCAGAGGCATTAGTTCTGTTTCTCAATTTCAAGAATATCTTATTATAGTAGAGCTTGTTATAAAAGATTACATTGTTAAGAACTTCAATGGCATGTCTTGAGTCCACTAAGTGAAATAAGAATGAGATAGTTTAATACATTTTCTTCCACTGTGTATTTTGAAAGTTATGTTGATTTTACTAGTTACAGTGTTCATGATATTTGAGGTGAGGGTTTTAATAGAAAGGTACCAAGGTACTCTGTTTGGCTGTCCTGTTAGGAGGGATCATGACAGAGATAGAAACCATTCAGCAATATTTAGTCAAAAATACTATGTGTAAAATATTGTGATAGAAATATATTGAGAATTAGATACACCGTAGTCAAAACCAGTATGTTAAAAGTACTCAAATAAAAAGATAAAATGATTAGCGGCATGAAAAGGAAGCGAATCAACTAGTATAGGAATTCAAAGACCAAAAAAGTTTACTTTTCCTGAGCAAAACAAGAAAGAAATGATATTTGAGGAGTGTGGTTAGTAGACAGCATCTAAGATGGTTCCCAAAGATCTGTGTCTCCAAATATTCACATGCTATGCAATCCTTCTAAGTGACTCTACTACGGGATAGAACACTGCAAAGGTGACTGGATATCACTTTTGAGATTACATTACAAAATGACGCTGTCTTCTATCTTTTTGGCCTCTCTTGCTAACTCGCTTGCTCTGATAAAGCAAGCGCATGTTGCGAACTCCACTCTGTAGTGGCTAGGTACTGAAGGTGGCCTCCAGTCAACAGCCAGTGAGGACCTCAGACCCTCAGTCCAACAGTTCACCATGGACTGAGTGCTGCCAACGACCAAACATACTACTCTGATGTAGATTCTGTCTCCAGCTGAGCCTTGAGAGCAATGCAGCCCCTGTTGATGCCTTGATTTCAGCCTAGTGGCAGTCTCTGAGACAGAGGCAACCAACTAAAATGTGCCCAGATTCCCGATGAAAAGAAATTATGTGACAATAAATGTTAGTTGTTTTAAGCAGCTAAGTTTGGGGGTGTTTGTCACAACCATAATTATCTAAAGCAAGAAGTGTGAAGAAAAAGCAAAAAATTTCAGGTAAATACATTTAGGCAGAAGAAGGGAGATTAAAGAGTATCCCTTGTTAAAGGCATAATAGAAAAAATGCACAGAGCTAGGAAATCTCATGGGGCGCTTGAGGGAAAGCAAATATTTGAATTTTATGAAGTATAATGCACACAAAGATTTTGTAGAGGTCAAAATTTAAAACACTACATTGAAGCCTCAGTACAGAAGGTCTGAAAAGTCAAGCTTAGGATATATATATATATATATATACACACACACACACACACATACACACACACACGTACATATACACATATATGTGTGTGTGTGTGTATATATACACACACACACACATATATATATACACACACACACACGTATATATATTTAGTTGAATTAGGTACATGAGCTAAGCAAAGGTGTACTTTAGGTACTTTTACCAAGAGTAATGTGTAAATAATGAGAGAAGGAAAGAATTACGAAATGTACTTTGAAAAACTATACAATTATACATGGAAAAAGTAACAAATGAAAGTAATAGAATAAAGATGTGAGAGACTGAGGTAGAGGAAGAAATGATAGGTTTTTTTGTTTCAATCATGAATTTATCTGAGATTTTTAAGGAGATATATAATACATCTATAAGGATTTAATTTTGGATTATGGGGAAAATACTGACACAATATGAGAAATATTAAATTCAAGGGAAGAAGAATGACTGGGAATGGAGAAGATATATCTAGTTTTTTGACCTGAAGGCGGGATAGCAATACCACACTGTGATGACAAAGCAAAGCTACTGTGAGCATTTTAGGCTATAATTTGCATGTGGGTTATATTTAAAGATGTGCAAAATGATCAAATTCAAAGTCTGGAGAGAATCTTGGAAAAGGCTCACATTTAGGACCTGAATGAAAAAATATTAAAAAGAGCCAGAGAAAACCGGGAAATTAACAGGAAAAGTAGTTGGTAAGAATGTAGATGCAGACAAATTCTTATGCAAATAGATCAAAACCCAGTGCTTTAGACCAAAACCAGTGTAGTCAAACTTACTCCTCAGCCATTCAAAAACAAATTTCAGAAAAAACTGCTATATTTGGAGGCAGAAATTGCATGTGGGTTATAGTTAATTTTTTAATTGTGCCCTCCAAAACAACCAGTTGTAAATGTACTTAAGCAATTGAACTAAGTTACTTGTTACATAATATTTTTAAAAGATAGTTTGTGTAAAAGATAATTGTGTTAATTTTAGAGTCTGTCTTTCTGGTATCTAGATAAAAATGTCAGCTATGGATTTATTCATTTATTTAACAAACAAATTTATTTGCACATTTGCACCTTCTATGTGCAAAGCATTATTTTAGGTCTTGGGGGCATAGCTGTAAGTAAGATAGACATAAACCTCACTCATTTGGAGCTTACATTCTAACAGGTCATGTTTCTTATACAATATGACACTTTCATAGAAAGGTATCCCTTAACTATATATTAACATATGAAGAAGGACATGCAACTAGCTGTAGCAAATACAATGTCAGGCCTTACCACTGCATAAGAGCCACATTAACATAGTGTATTTTTGGGGGAAGACCAGATATTGTTTGAAGTCCACCACGGCATTACTCATTTGTGCCGCTGAGTTGTTTTGATATCTCCACCTCCTATTCAACATTTTACTTCCCTCTTTGGTGGCTTTGGTTTGAAATTCTTATTACCCTTGGTACATTTTGATACCAGTCCCCACTCACAGGATTTGGTCTAGACTTCAGTCCAACTCTCTTTTCTCTCTAGGCAGTACATAGGACACAGGAATATTCAGTGGTACATTTCTATACATACGACTTACTAAGTCAAGAATAGTACCATGATAGTGATGGTGGTAATGACATAGGGGTTAATCAGAGAAGGAGGACTGATCTGAGCCCACCAAACCAGGGTAAGAATTAGCACTCCAAATTCAATAGCTGTCGACGTTTGTTATTGACACTCCCAGCACATGCAAACAATTGAAGTATAATGGTAGCACTCCAAGTCTAATACCATGAGGTCTTCCCATTTGTACAAATGCAATATAAAGTCTAAGATATTTATCCGTTGAGTGATGTTTCCCAAGTATTTACAACAATACGTAGAACAAGTAAAAACTCAGTAACTATTGTTGGATGAATGAATATGTGCATTATAGCTATGTGTAATTTTTGTAAAAGTCTATGTTCATCCCTGTTAGTTATCTTTTTATCATGCATACTCATGCACAAAACCCCACAAACTTTAATTTTCAGAGAAAGCACAGTATAAACCTACGAGAAGGAAGAGAAACATTTTCATGTTTTATATTTTAGAAAAACATTTCATTTAATGATGGATTCCATGTATGTATTATTATGCAGCATAGCGCTATTTCTTCGTAACCAAATTTTATGTAAAAAATCATCTCTCTTTTAAGAAATGGCTTTGGAAAAAAGTAAAATGTCTTTCTAGGCTTATGATACCGTCCTTTTTCAGAAAGTGACCTGCCCAGAATTATGAATTTTACCCCTGCTTTACTGTTTCATAATCCCTGAACACAGAGATTTTACAGTTTTTTATTTTGAAAGGAAGGCATAAGGTATTAAATAGTATAGATATTCCATTTACTTAAATATGACCAAACATTATTATTGCCTAAGTTGTGAATAACTACATGTTCATGTTATTCTAGATTATATACGTGGCTAAAGGGGCCAAAAGAAATTATGTTTTTTGGAACATTTGTCTTCCTTTTATGAATATCAGTGTGTCTGTGTACTTGTGATTTAATTGCTTTTCTATAAACTTGGTGATATTTAATAATTTCATAACTATCATAAAGTATAATAACCCCTTAATAATTATACTATATGTTATAGCTACTTAAGTAAACAAAATATCAATATTTAGTGTACCTAATAATAATTTGTCTATACTAATTTTTGTGTTTATTGTTTTAGAATATCTCACAAGAACTTAATTTAACATGAGATTGAGAATTTCTGACTGACAATAAATATCTCCAAAATTTAATATTTTCTTCTTTCCTACAGAAATTATTTAAGAATCTTTTATGACACTACAGTTAAATAGCAAGAAAGGGGTTTTATTAAACCAGTCATTTATTTTTCTCTGTGAGTTTGAAGGGTTGCGGAAAATGTGAATTCATATTTCTAAAAATCTATAGAAAAAGGTAAGAGATAATATCAGTACCCTCTATTCAAGTGCAGGATCATTTTCCCATGAATTTAGAGTGAAGACACCTGGTTTTGATTTTAATTTCAAATATTTTAGGTTAATTTACACTTCATTACATTAGACCATATTGAGCTAAGAAGCTTTATAAAATTTAATTAACACAGTCATTGCTCTTGACAAACTTCTGTACTGAGATGATTTAGTGTGCTTTGTTTTGGTTGAGTCTTCTTAATTTGTGTTGAGATCTCTGCTGTTGGTTAACTTTGTTCATTAGAAAAGTGATACAAAAGAATAGGACCTAAGTTTTCCACATATGGACTGATTTGCTTTATGCAGTTCTATAGCTCCAAACCACAACTCAACCATAATCAGCAATGCCAACAACTAACCAACCAACTAATAGAGCCTTACTCAAGACCTACTACTACATGTCTAGAATTGAGGAAGCTTCCATAGGTGTAAACATAACACACTTCTTAATCAATCCATGCTACAGGGAACAAATAGGGTGAAAGGGCAAGCAAGAGAGGATTTTGTAGGACTAATACTTCACTACAACCAGAAAAAAGTTAAAGTCAATGGATCAGAAATGCCCTCTCTATTGTATGACAGCTCATTATATTTTATAGGTAATGATCACCATGTGGTAAACATCTGTACTTTGCAATCATCAGCATTAAGAGAAGCAGAGCACTGGAAATTGTCCAGAGAATTGGGATGGGTAGGCAACACACTTTGGACTACTTTGGTTCAATTAGGAGATTTTCCTATTCCATCCCTATTCTGTTTCTTCTATAATAGGCCAGAACTGTTGCAGAGCTATAATCTTAGATGGTGACAATGTCATTAATATTTAATCTTGCTGTTGCCATCTACTCTACATTTTTGAAAAAAATTAACAGAGATGATGGGGGGAAAAAACCCTAAGAACCTCTCTCCTTTCTCTCTCTCTCTCTCTTTCTCTCATAAGTAATCACTTTTCCCCATCTGAAACAAATTAACTCCTGGGGAGGAGAGATATTCCAAGAGCTTTCACATACTCATTTCCAAGGAAACAGCTTCTATTGTCCACACCCGTCCTGCAGCTCACACAGTAGATGGCTTTGTATCATCAGACACATGTCCAGAGAAACCAGCTAGCTTACATATACTTTGAGATTGTTAAAATCAAACTAATGATCCCACTGTAATCTGCATTGGATTACTTTTTTCTTTCTTTCTTCTTCTTTTTTTTTTTTTTTTTAAGTCCCAATATAGTATATATGGGGTTGTGGCAAATGGTATGGGTTGAGTTTTCAAATACTATTTACTATGTTGTGTATAACCATAAAATGGCTTCACTAAAGGGACCTCCTCAGTGAACATCCTTCAGTATTGTGGAGCCCTCTACTGGGAAGCTCTGTGTATCAAACTCAGGAAAAAAGTTTTGTTTTCAAAGATCCACCAAGTTTCAACTTTCGTATTGGTGAATATTGTTTAACTCTTTCTTTTGAACTTATGTTTATTTCAACAGTTTGAAGTTACTTTATCAAAGTGGTTTCTCTTAAATTGTTTACTTTTTTTTTCTTTTCAGTTAAAACAGTGTTCTTAAAAATACTTGATCTAAACTCCAAGTTGATATAAACCATTATTCTAACTTAGTCTTTTTAATTTTAAGAACGGAGTAAGTAGTTTTTTTTTTTTTTTTTTGTGACTGGGAAGGCCTCAAAAGCAAGCACAATTCAAGCTGTCTTGTTGTTATTAGTTATTCTGTCACACTTTTAAAAACCTCATATCAATATCATACATAAAAATATATTAAAAAGTATAAGAAGAAAAGGTAATCATTTTTTAAATATGACGTAATGAACCTGCAAGTGTTGTAAGATATGAATTGCACAGCCTTGGGTGAGAGAAATTACAATATTCACTGTGCAAAGAACAGTACCAAGGGAAAGTTTGAAATTCAGTGTAAAGATTAAAGTCAAATAAAGAATTTTTTTTTGACGTGAAAAATTTTTAAAGACAAGGTTTTATTTCAGGAAATGTCTCAGTAGGGATGGTTATCATAGGTTGCCCTGTTTTAACTATGTAGTCAAAATTAACTGGAATGACATTTGATATGCCCAATAAAAATATTACATTTAAATTAAGTTTCTATAACAATATAGGGATATGAATTACTGCTCCTTGTAATGTGTGATTTCTACGTCTTTAAGTTAAAATTAACCTAAGTATCCACTAAAGGAGTTGTAGAATACAGAAAGCACTCTATAAACATTTTATCATATTCAGGGGATATTCTACTGATTTTGAGACGGTACACTCAGAGAAGCAATGGTAAGGTGTAATCCCTCTAGGTTTAGCAAGAAACATTAAAGTAGAGTGTTCATATAATTCATTGTCCAAATCAAGACACCTTTTGTTGGGGGTTGGGGGTCTCAAACTCCTAGGACCAAGTGATCTGACCACCTCAGTCTCCTGAGTAGCTGGGATTACACGCACGCGCTACCATGCTGGTTCCAAATCATGACACTTTTGAAAGTAAAAGATATTCGAGTTTGCAAAAGCAATATCACAAATCAAAACTGTCTTGGGGAACCTGAGACCTATAGTCACTCAATATGTGACTCCATATATATCTGCTGCATGGTGGCTTAGTTATTTTAGCATGGGGTAAATATGCCTAAAAGAAATATTATGAATAATGTTTTCCTAGGTCTTACTGTATTTTCTTTTTTTTTTTTTTTTTGCATTAAACTGATAGCTAAGGGCATTAACATTTTGAGACCTGCTATACAAATGGACTGTAATAATTCTGCTTACTGTTATAGAGTAGTTGGTGTTTACCCAAAGTATCCTTCATCAGTTGGAATAGTATATTGAAGTCAGACAGACTGCGTTTGAATCCTTCCTCCATGATTTAATGTTTGGCATTTAAGCCTAATTTTCCACATCTGTAAAATCAAGATACTATAATGCCTGTGTCTAAAGTTTGTTATGGAGGATTTAATGATATATATATAGGATTTAATTATATATTAAAATAATTTATATACATACAAAATAAAATGCTGTATACATCACATGGGCTCCATATATGAAAGTTGTTATTAATAAAAGGAATTTTTGTTTATTCAGTGTTTTTTAAATATTCTATATGCATGGTTTGACTTTCCCTTGTGACTCTGAAGTTTGTATTATTTATTTATATTTTACAAGTGAGGTTACTAATGGTCACAGACATTGTATGATTTAATCAACCTTGGGTTTTTTTTTTTTTTTTTTTTTGACATGGTCACTTACGTTAATAACAATACATATACCACGTTATCACCATGGAATGTAAATTCAGGTTAGACAAGAGAATTTCACAAGTGTAATAGCATTCTGTAGTATATAAAAGTTTGTATACACTGTCTGACCAAACCAGCATTCTCACAAATCATTAATCAATTCCACTGTAGGTAATTTGTTTAGTTTAATGTTTACAATTCTTGTGGAGAAAATAAGCAATGCATACTTTAAAAAGTGTTCATTTACCTTTGTATGAGACCTTAAAATACATATTTCTATTTCAAGATGACATTTAAAAATTATTCTAATATAACAGCACCAAAAATATAATTCTGCAATTACAAACAAACTAAACTAGAATCTGTAAGTTATTCTTGTGTTTACAATTATGATTCTTTAATAAATACTACTACTATGCAGCTCTATTATAAGCTTTTTAGATTTAATTTAAACACACACACATATATACTTTCAGCTGTGGGAGGCTTTACAGGTTCTATTCCATGCACTTTTTTGACAGAGTTCTAAAAGAGCCAGCCAGTCCACAAGACAGGTAGAAAAAAAGTTAAATTAACTGGGCAAATAGGACTCTTATATAACATCCCAAACACGCGAGATTCTGCAGCAAACTGGGAGTACTTCAGGGTTAGCTTGCTGTCTTCTTTGGAAATAATTTCATCTTCGCAGTTTAAGAAGGTGGACATTTCAACACTATCAAGCGCATTTAGGTGACATGTTTTTTTGTGTGTTAGCTTGACTCCCCTCAATGACTTAGTTAGTAAACTAGTCACAGGTGATTTAGTCACCAGGAAAATAAAGCCTGCAACAAAGGAAGCCAATATTCAAAATGCCTTGTTACCATCTGAACCCACTCAAACAGTTCATTTTCAACGTTAGTATGTAACTTCGGTAATGAGATGTCTAACTAAAGCAAGCTCCTCCAATGAGACCAAGACACTTCTTTTCCTCTTAGGCTTAGGTTTTGCCCAGAATTCCTGAAACATGGACTAGCCCATATCAACGGTCATTGCTCCTACAAGAAAACCTTGGGCTGCCACATGCATGTGGATCAGATGAAGGGACATTTTAGTATTTCCTCTGCTCTTCAATTTGTACAATCCCTGTGCAACAATTGCTGCAAAACCTGCCATTCCGATGGGGATGAATGGTGCGTCTTTAGCTCTGCTAATAAGTTTGGATCCCTGATCTTCATCATATGAAGAAAGGGAAGCATCTGTGTCTGTTGACAGCAATTGCTTGAAGACTCTCCCTAGAGCAAG